>NC_000001.11:183184587-183809587 GCF_000001405.40 Homo sapiens | reverse complement strand
CGAGAATTATAGGTGGGTAAAATTATCCCAGCCAAAGATGTTATTGTAAAGGGAAAATGGGTCAGTATTTCAATAATATTTGGTTTTTCAAAGTTGCCAATATAATCTCACCGTCAATGGGCAAGGATGCAGCTGCACGTACAAGTAAACTGGGCCTGGGACATACTTGGTTGTAGTTTTCCAAACACAGAGTTTTACTTTAAAAGATCAACTGAACACAGAATTTAACAGACAAAATAAAAAAGAATGACCTAAATGTTTTGGACTGTATAATACTTCACATCTGAGGATATGTAATTATTTTGCTCTCCTCCCCAAAATTGAATCTTAATTATGTTTTGAGATCTGAATACTAGAAAATACAAAAATTATGTTCCATCTTTTAGGCATCTGGAATAAGCATTACAGACACGTAACAAAGCTATGCCTATCCTCACATGCTACATAACCTCATACGTATCTTCATATCTTCAATGCACCCTGCTTTAAACCTCCAAAATGGGGAGTTTATCAGTGAGATCATAGCTTCGCAACAAATATCTCAATTTGCAGCTCAAGTTATCATTCTAGACATGAAGAAAAGAAAGTTACATCTCTCCAGTCTTGCAACATTAGGGAAAAGCACACCCAAAGCATCCTCAGTCTTTTGAGCCAATGTTCTTTTCTACTACTATGGAAACAGCCTTAAGGTCCCAGGAAATTCTTCACAACAAAGAGCCAACCATCTGGATTTGAATCTGGTGTTTACCACTTCATAGCTGTGTGACCCTGGCAAACAATTTAACCTCTCTGGGCATTAGTCTCCTCATGTTAAAAAAAAAAAAAAGAGAGAGAGAGAGATCATCACAACACCACCTTCCTCAGAAGGTTGTTGTCATATTGCAATAATTTCCTCACCTGACCCCACTCTCTAGTAACTCTGAAACTAGTTACTTTGAAGAATTTTGAAAGGGTACTGGAATACAGGAAAACAAACATGGGGAAGCCACTCAGTTCTAAAGAGAAAGGTTTGTAATTGCTATGGCTCAATGGGTTGAGTCACATTTAATTAAGTCTGGAATTTTCAAGGACAAAAACAGAACTTCCCAACAGGACACCTAAGACAAGAAAACACGTAGATTAGAGCTGGAGAGCCCCTAGGAACTTGCAATAAAGGAGTAGGCTGGTAGCAGTAAATCACACTTTGTTGAAATGGGGGCGAGGGGGACAGATTCCTCCATCAACTAGAGCCAATCTTTTCACATTATCCTCCTTCTCAGTATTTCATATCTACTGTTGAATCCAGGGTGAATTAACTCTGAACTCTGTATAAATTTGAGAACACTGAGAGAAGGGAGAGAGAAGAAAAGAAGTGAAGTCTAGTGAAGAGAACAGTCAGTGGGGATTACTAAATAACTCTGAGCATCTAAATACATGACAGTTTGTAGATGTGGGGCCTACAGAGTGAACCCCTCCATTTCCAATGACTTACTCATAACTAATGTTGTATATGGCTGAAAACTAAAACAGTCACCCAAGCAAAGTCAGTCTCATTAGAAAGAGAGGAATAACCTGATACCAAAAAAATGTAATGACCCTTTTGAAGACAACTGGTTCAGAAGTTGTGAATCATTCTGAAATAGCTAGAGGCCAAACCACATGGACGCCACATTTAAATAAAATACATACACACAACCACCAAAAACAAAGTGATGACTTGTCAGAACTCTAGTTCTGCTTTCCCTATCAGGTCTGCTAGTGATATACATAATTAATTTTAAAATCATATTCTGAGTAAGGTAGGTACTTGGTAAGTGAAGACCTCTAGTTCTCACTGGAAAGCTCCTATCTTTCCAGACCACACCTGCAGATGTCATTAACAATTTCTGGCCCTCATGGGTGATACCTTGGCCCAAAGTACAGTAGCAGGAAAGGCCTGAGCTGAAGCAGCTGGGGAAGCCCAAAGCAATGAATGCCTGTGTCAGCAGACTCATGGCAGAGGAAGTGATTGCTGCCGGCCATGGGCCACCATCCTGCCTTAAACTCCCTGGAGTTACAAGTCACACGTTACCACTACTCTTAACAGGAGGCCCTGTGCAATTTTGTGTCCTATCCTCCTTCACACTCCACCTTTGAATGCTGCTCAAAATATTCTGAATTTTCAGAGACTCCAAGCCGCTAAAGATGGGATGCAAGTGCATAAATCTTCAACACTCTGAAGCCCATCGGCTAAAATAAGGCCAGCCAGGTGAAATCACACTCCACCCCCTCTATTCAGCCAACCATTATTTTCTTTCTCAAGGCTTTTTGGGTCGCCTCTCACCGCCTGGTCTGAGAACTACTTCTCCTTCCAGATCAAGAATCCCTTCATTCTTCCACATGTTTGACATTTGCCCAAGTAGTGATCCTGTCGCTGAGCTTTCCATTTCTCATATTCGCTTTATTTGGGATGTGTTGAAGGATCTACTAGGTGATACCTACAAACTTGCATGACCTCACCCAATATTTTACAATCTCAGTGGAAAAGAGTCCTGTTTACAGAAGCAGCATTTTTCCAAAGGCCCACCACTCTACACACAAAGTAGTGGGTACTAAGCATCCATTTGCCTCCTCCCAAGATATAGAAAAGAGATCACAATAGGAAATCTACCACCCCTCAAAGGATGCAGACTTGGAATGCTCTGTCTCCTGAGCAATCTGGGTACCTCCTAGAGATATAGGAGCAAGGCAGACGCTGACAGCATCAATTGGGGGAGGGCAGAGAGAGACAAGGGTGGCTTCTGGGCAAAGCTGCTTATGGCTCTTGTCTAAGAGAGTGCTGCTCTCTGGGCCTGTATTCTGTGTGTCATTTTCTGCCACTCCACCCCCAATCTATTTGCCAAAGACCTCAAGATGTTTCTAAGAGGTTCTGAATTATTGACAAACCTAGGGAAGATGCTTTTGAAAACATTAAATACAAAAAGAGACCTGTTCAGCTAGTGCAAACACTTGGTCATTAGCATTTTCCTTTTTAAAGCGAAAAGAGGAAAAAAAAAAAAGCCTGCCTCTGTTAAATAATAATGATATTCACAGAACGACAGACACTGAAATTCCAAAGTTCACCATCTCGCCAGCTTTACTCACCCCTAGCCATCTTGCTCCTTTATTGGCAGCCTGTTGAATCTGGACTCTTTTGAGGGTGACATGGTAAACAGCTCCTTCCTCTACCTCTTCACCCCAGTCCTGAATCGAGCTCTGCCAGGGACGGGATAAAGAGAAAGAAAAAGAGTATTTTTTTCCTCTCTGCTAACCACAATCTATCCCAGCTGCCTTGCTGCTTACAACAGCACTCAGGGCACAAGATGGGCTGTTCAAAATAAATATTACAATCCGCAATACAAGACACATTTTGATAGAGGGAATGCTGAGATTTTCTTGGCTTGCAGTCCCTTCCTGTGGTATCAGGATCCCCTGACTTTTCCATTTAGTTATTTCTCCTAGACTTGCTCACATATCTTAAATAGTTTTGTTTTGAAGTCTTTCTTTTTCTTTACAAAGAAACTAGATTAGTCCTGATTAACTTGTCCCCCTTAAGTGAAAGGAAAAATAATTCTTTGTAAAAAAAAAAAAAAAAAAAAAAAAAAAAAAAAAAAAAAAAGAAAAGAAAAGAAAAAGAAAAAGAAAAAAAGAAAAGAATAAGTCTGTACTTTTTAGAGTGGCTCGGTCATTGAAGAAACCAGATTTTAAACTCAGACACAAACAAGTGTTTAAAACGCCAAGAGTCCTCACTCCTTTGGAAGTGAAGTGGTTTGCTTGTCTTTTCTCCTCATTGTTTTGGAGCCCACAAAGTTAGCGGGGGTGGAAAGTTTTTATTTCCGTAAAATAATCTGGCAAGTGCAGAAAAAGCAACACATCATCAGGCAGCTTCTACTAAAATCTGTGCAGCGACCCCCTGGATTTCCATGTCCCCAGCTAAACCTGAGGTTTGTGTTAAAGAGCCGCTGGGACGCAGAAGCGCTCCGCGGTTCACCCACACTAACAGTTCTTTTTCCTTCAAAGTTCTCCCCTCCTGACATGCATCTGCCCCAGACACACCACAGGCAATTGCTGAGAAAGTAGGTACGGTTGAAAGGGAGAAGACACGCAGAGAGAGAGGAATACAAAGCGGAGTGAGAGAGCTTTAGCTCACAAGTATGGAATCGGATTGCTCCGTTCACTCCGAGGGAGTCCAAAACACGCCCAGCGAAAGCGGGAGAAGATTCCCCACCAGAGAAGCCTCGGGAGAAGGCAGAGAGCTCTCGTTACCATTTTAGCTTGCCAAAGCAATTTCATTCTCAGTTTTCTCTCCGGTGCGCGAACGCTGCATGATGCGCCCTGCTCGGAGGCCAACGCAATGTCTGCTGGGCTCAGCCCCGCGGCGCCTCGCCCCGGTCCCGGTCCCGAGCGACCGCAGCGCACAGACACGCGCCGCGCTGCCCCCGCCGCCGCCGGTGCGCGCGACTCGGGCCACAAAGGGAGCGCGGCGAGCGAGCGAGCAAGCGAGGAGCAGACTCCTCCCCACGCCACTCCGTGATGTAAGGCTTTCCTGTTTGTGCTTGTGAGCACACTCTCCCTTTCTTCAGTCCCATGGATAAAGTCAGCATGAAAGCGTTTCTCCAGTTCTGAAGGTGATTGGGAAACAACACTTTCAAGTTTATCAGGTTTTCCTGACGGTCACCAGGTGCCAAAATAGAACTGAGTGTGGGATGGAGGATTTGTGTGTGTCTTCTTCCTTCGCTAAAACAATGGAAGGAGAAAGTCCAAAAAACTTCCATTATCTGCCTATTATCTATTTTGATTTTAGAATAATTAAGTCAGAATGACCCCAGTGAGAGCCGCAATACTAGACGCCAGGAAGTTTTTCATTAGGACAGAGGATAAGGTCAGAGGACACCCGGGTATTCCAAAACCATGCCCAGGGGCTATACCCTCTCCTGCATCAGCACACTGCCAACAGGAAATCGCGCTGGGCTTTTCACCACCCCAATTACCCAGTAACTGGCCATTGGGGGTGGGAAGGGAACAAAGCAGGGTAAGGTTTTGCTAGGACTGACAGTGTCCTGGAGGTTCTGTGAGTCTTTGTGAGTAGCCACCATGGGTTGAGTTGCCTGTACTGTAGGGACACAGTAGGATCATAGCCACAGGGAAAAGTTCTTCATCAGATGACTACCAGCAGGAGTTTTATCATAATGGAAAGATCTGCTATAGGGATAAAAGATTATTACATTTTTTTAGATCCAGTTTTAACAAGTCAACAGCAAGAGATACCAGATAATGCAGTCAAACTTGACACCTGCCAGAATTCCATGCAAATTGCAAATACCTTTAGGGCTCATGTCTTTCATACTATTCACCCTAAATGAATTTAATCACCTTCAAATAAAAAAAAAAATAGGTCTCCCACTAATTGCCATACTATGACATAA
The DNA here is from genome assembly GCF_000001405.40 of Homo sapiens. Classification (NCBI taxonomy): domain Eukaryota; kingdom Metazoa; phylum Chordata; class Mammalia; order Primates; family Hominidae; genus Homo; species Homo sapiens. Next base: position 183,804,164 of record NC_000001.11, on the reverse strand, counting down.
GCCTGGGTTTTGGTTAATGGTAAATATATCATGAGCTGACAATTTAGCAAATCAAGTGTACTGATGTTCCCAGGAGAGCAGAATAAATGACAGCAAGGGCACATTAAGCAAAAACAAAAGGATCTGTGGACACTTGAGAACATCTACAAGTCATTCAGCCAGGTTATCCCCATACAACCAGAACCTAAGGGCACCATCACTGTATAGAGAGGAGATGCCCTTTTAGCAAGCTGAAGTGGTTGTTCTATAATTTAAAAAACAAACGAACGAAAAACACATAGACTAAATCCTTCTATGATGATCAGGGCAGAATGTTGCTGGGAACCAGAGGAAAATCATGTGAAGGCCCTACCTCCCTGCTTGTTAAGCCATCCTCAGGAACCCAGGCCCACCTCTAGAGGACCTATTAGGTGATCTTGGACACCACGAAATGCAACTGAGGACAGTTAAACAACCTGTAAGATTAACTTCACCACTACTTTAACCTGATTTTTGGCTACACATTTGGCAGTAACTGAAATATTTCCATTTCAGGGATATTAAGCAGTTTCTTCAACCTCACTCTCCCAGGAAACCTTCCTGGACAGGGCGGCTTAAATTCACAAGGCCCCACTCAGGTTTCAGAGCTACTCACCTTTCTCTGTACTCCAATTCCCTGGCTGGCCACCTAGTGTGTAAAGGGAAAAGAACTAGCTTCAAGCCAAGTGGATACAGCTTCACATCCAGCCTTGCAGTGAGTGAACCTGAATGCTACTACCCTGAGCCTTAATTTCCTCATCTGCAAAATGGGACAACCATCTACCTGAAAGAGTTTGAAAGAGATCAAATGAAATAATGCATGCAAATCATCAAGCACATGGTAAGTGATCCAAAAAAATTCCACTGCCTCCTTATTGTACTTCCTCCCAAACCATATTTATCCAGACTCAGTGAAAAGCGTGTTATGTATGCAACACTAGGAAATCTGAAATGATGTCTTCTCATGGAATTACTTTAAAATTTCAGAGAGGTTTTCCAAGAATAACTATTTGTATTTACACCTCACAATGTATGTAATTTTGTACAAATGCTGTTCTGCAAAAAAAGAGGCAGACTTTATGCTAGATAGAGCAATTGTGTGTTGCAGTTTACAAATTTTTTAATATTCATTTAAAAATATTTCATCAGTAGGCAGTTCAGTCCATATTACCTTATTACCTGTACCTTTGGGTTAAAGTACTCCTGGTCAATATGTGGGAAGACAAACCAGTAAGCCATTTATAACTCAGTTGGTGTTTATTTACCACATTAGCCTTCCCGTGACCTAACAGAGTCCTGAGAGGATAGGTTAAGTTTTGTTAAAAGATCAGGAATGTTTTGTAGTTTTTAGAGAGCAAGACTTGCATCTCTTTGGTTCAGTTTATTCCAAGGTACTTTATTCTGATACTATTGTAAATGGGATTGCTTTGTAAATTTCACTTTTAGATTGTTTGTTGTTAGTATATAGAAACACATTAATTCTTTATTTTGCAATTGACTGAATTTGTTTATTAGTTTATAAGGGTTTTTTTTTTTTTTTTTTTTTGCTGATACACCTAAATAGAAAGACATCCCGTGTTTACGGGTTGAAAGACTTAATATGTTAAAATGTCCATATTATCCAAAACTTTCTGCATATTCAATGCAATCCCTTCCGAAATCCCAAGTGTATTTTTGACAGAAATAGCAAAAATAACCTTAAAATTCAAATGGAACTACGAAGGATCCTGAATAATCAAAGCAATCTTGAAAAAGAAGAGTAAAGCTGGAGATCTCATGCTTCTTGATTTGAAAACATATTACAAAGCCACAGTAATCAAAACTTTATGGTACCGGCATAAAGACAGACACACAGATCAATGGAACAGAACAGAAAGCCCAGAAATAAACCCAAGCATATGTGGTCAACTGATCTTCAATAAGGATGCCAAGAATATACAACAAGGAAAAGATAATCTCTCCAACAAATGGTGCTGGGAAAACATTTGTACAAAAACTAGATCACATGTAAAAGAATGAAATTGGACATTTATTTTACACCATACACAAAAATCAATTCAAAATGGATTGCAGACTTAAACATAAGACCTGAAACTATAAAACTCCTTAAAGAAAATTGCTATAGTTTGGTTTGTTTGACCCCTCATAATCTTATGTTGAAATTTAATCCCCAGTGTTGGAGGTAGGGCCTAATGGGAGGTGTCTGGATCATGGAGGCAAATCCCCCATTAATAGCTTGGTACCATCCTCAAGGTATTGTGTGAGTTCTCACTTTATTAGTTCCAGTGAGAGCTGATTGTTACAAGGAGTATGACCCCCATCTCTCTCTTGCCTCCTCTCTCACCATGTGATCTCTGCATGCGCTGCCTCACCTTCCCCTTCTGCCATGAACTAAAGTGGCTTGAGGCCCTCAACAGATGCAGATGTTGGCGTCATGCTTCTTGTGTACAGCTTGCAGAACCATGAGCCAAATAAACTTCTTTTCTTTATAAAGTACCTGCTCTCAGGTATTCCTTTATAGCAACACAAAGGACTTAGATAAAAATATAGGGGGAAAGCTTTATTATATTGGCCTTGGCAATGATTTCTTGGATATCACACCAAAAGCACAGGCAAGAAAATTAAAATTAGAGAAGTGAAAGTACATCAAACTAAAAAGCTTCTGTGCAGCAAATGAAACAATCAATAGAGTGAATAAATGACCTATGGAATGGGAGAAAATATTTGCAAATCATGTATCTAATAAGGGGTTAATACCCACAATATTTTAAGAGCTTCTACAACTGAATAGAAAAAAAAACCCAATTTAAAAATGGGCAAAACACCCGAATAGATATTTTTCCTAAGAAGACATACAAACGACCAACACATATATGAGAAAGTGCTCAACATCACTAATCATCAGGAAAATGCACACCAAAACCATAATGAGATGTAACCTCAAACCTGTTAAGGTGGCCATTATTAAACACACACACACACACACACACACACACACACACAAAATAACAAGTGTTGGTGAGAATGGGGAGAAATTGGAACCCTTGTGCACTGTTAGTAGGAATGTAAAATGGTGCAGCCACTATGGAAAACAGTATGGTTCCTCAAAAAATTAAAGAGAACTACCATATAGTCTAGCAATCTCAATTCTGGGTATTTAACCAAAATAAATCAAGATCTGAAAGCGATACTTGCACTTCCATGTTCATTGCAGCATTATTCACAATAGCCAAGAGGTGGAAGCGACCTAAATGTCCATCAACAGATGAATGGATAAAGAAAATGTGGTATTATTAAGTATTAAAAAGAAAGAAAATCCTGTCATATGCAACAACATGGATGAACCTTGAGGACATTACTCTAAGTGAACTAAGCCACTTACAGAAGGACAAATACTACATGATCCCACTTATATAAGGTATCTAAAATAGCCAAACTCTTAGAAGCAGGAAGTAGAATGGTGATTGCCTGGGGCTGGAGAGAGGGGCAGATGAGGAATTCCTGTTCAGTGTGTACAGAGTTTCAGTTATGCAAGATGAATAAGTTCTAGAGATCTTTGTGCTTATAGTTAACAATAATGTACTGTACACACGAAAATCTGCTAAATAGGGGAAGATCTATATTTAAGCATTAGTATGTTCTAGGAATAGTTTTGTGTTGCCATATTTGGTGTACACTGACAGTAACAACAGAAAAGTTCTAGCATATAAGAGGAAAGAGGTATGGAAGAGCAACAAACGGGAGAAAAAAAAAATTTCTTGCTTTACAGTTTTACCAGAGCCAATAGATAAAGAGCAAATGCAAGCAGCTGGTGTGCTGATTCTTTAATAGAGTCTGTCTAGAAATGGAAGTATACAATATATATACCCCATTCATTCATTTATTTATGTATTCATTGGTCTCTATGACACCACATTTTTCTACATTTTATTCTACCTCTCTGGCTGCAAGAAGAATTAAAAAATATAAAAATTATGACAGCATGTACTTATGTAGGATGATATGGAGTGATATTTATGTGTCTGGGTAAATGATGGGACATATGGCATATGAGTTTAAATTCCAGCTCTGGATGACTTGCCAACCAAGAGTCTGACCCTCACTTCTCACAGCCTTATTTTTCTCATTTGTCTCTTGTCATGCTTATCATGAGGATTACACGAAATATACTATGTAAAGTATCTGATAGAGTACTTGGAACATAGGAGGCATTGAATAAAAATGTATCTCCTCTCTCTACTTTCACACCATTTCCCTTTAATGTAATTTTGTATTTGTTTACTGCTTTTGGTTTGTAACCTGAGTATTCTTTATACTTTTACCTGGGCAAGATATTATATTGCATAACAGAAAAGTAAGGACAGTGAAAGTATAATGGACACTGTACTTCGAAATAAGTATGTAATAAAAACTTGTCTTACAAACCATATATCTGATAAGCGGTTAATATCCAAAATATATAAGGAACGCATACAACTCAACAGCAAACGAACCAACCTGATTTTAAAAATGAGACAGGGGACTTGAACAGGCAATTTTCCAAAGAAGACTGACAAATGGCCAACAGGTGTATGAAAAGATGCTTAATATCACTAATCATCAGGAAAATGCAACAAAACCAGAATGAGATATCAACACATACCTGTGGGGATGGCCATTATCAAAAAACAAACAAGTGTTGGTGAGGATGCAGACAAAAAGGAACCCTGATATGCTATTGTTGGGAAAGTAAATTGGTACAGCCACTATGGAAAACAGTATGGTGATTCCTAAAAAATTAAAAATAGAACTACCATATGATCCAGCAATCCTAGTTCTGGGTATTTATCCAAAAGAATTTAAATCAGTATCTCAAAGAGATACCTGCGCTCCCATATTAATTGCAGCATTATTCACAATAGTCAAAATATTGCAGATACAATTATTATTCAACCTTAAAAAAGGAGGCCAGGCATGGTGGCTCATGCCTGTAATCCCAGCACTTTGGGAGGCCGAGGCAGGCAGATCACGAGGTTGGGAGATCGAGACCATCCTGGCTAACACGGTGAAACCCTGCCTGTAGTAAAAATACAAAAAATTAGCCAGGCATGGTGGCGGGCGCCTGTAATTCCAGCTACTTGGGAGGCTGAGGCAGGAGAATGGCAAACCCGGGAGGCGGAGCTTGCAGTGAGCTGAGATGGTGCCACTGCACTCCAGCCTGGGCGACAGAGCAAGACTCAGCCTGGGCGACAGAGCAAGACTCCGTCAAAAAAAAAAAAAAAAAAAAAAGGAAATCCTGCCATCTGTGGCTACATAAATGGACCTGAAATACATACTAAGTGAAATAAACCAAATACAGAAAGACAAATACTGTATGGTCTCACATGTGGAATCTAAAATAGTCGAACTCATAGAAGCAGAGTAGCATGGTGATTGGCAGGGTGAGGGGGTGGGAGAAATGTGGTGGTGATGGTCAAAGGGTGCCAAGTTTCAATTATACAAGATGAATACCTTCTAGGGATCTACTACAGGTCTATAACACAGTGCCTAATAGCTACCAATACTCTATTATATACTTAAAATTTTCTGAGAGGGTAGATCTTATGTTAAGTGATCTTCACATACACACACAAAATAATAAGAATATACTAATAATAATAATAAAGGAGGAAGGAGGAAGCTTTGGGAGGTGATGATATATCTGTGGCTTTGATGGTGGTGATGGTTTCATGGGAATATACTTATCCCCAAACTCATCAAGTTGTATACATTAGATATGTACAGCATTCTGCATCTCAGTCATACCTCAATAAAGTTGTTTTTTAAAAAAACTTGCCTTGAAGATGGCAATATCAACATAAAATGGTAAGAAATGAGAAGGCCTTGGCTTTGTCATCCTCAAACTGAATGCTGCACTATAATGTCCTATGCCCAGTCAAAAGTTTAGAAGAAAGCAGTCCTGAGAGGGCAATAATAATAATAATACCATGCGAAGAAAAATAAATAAGTGAGAGGGCAGGATTTCCATTCCACACCTTAGTACTACTGAGCACAAATTGCCTCTACTTACCTATAACCACTACCTAAGCAGACTAATGTGAAACTTCTCCCACTCACTGGTAGTGGACTTTTGAACAAAACTGATAATTGCCCTTTTGCAATAATTTACTCATAAACTATAATAAAGATTATAGATCCATAAAACCTTTTGGAGGACATAAGCAAATAAATCTGGTATTTCTTGATTCCTTCCTCCAACAATATGAAAGCTATTTATTTCTTCCAATATCCCTATGAAATGCTTCTCCCTATTCTTTAGGTTTGCAGCCTGTGTTGCTTACCAATCAACTTTCCATCTTCAGCTTTCCACTATCAGTTGGGCATTCTGCTATGGTTGTTCCTAGCTATGATAACTGTGGTTTCACCTGCTTTTTGCTTGAACTTTCAACCTTCCTTTGCAAAGGGTAAAGAGCCAGTCATGTTTGGTTAAAGATGACCAGTCCTCTGAAAACTCCTTAACCAGTAAGCCGTTGCTTCCATTTTCTGAGGGACCAAGCTGATTTTATTAGTTATCACAGAAATACTATAAGGTATGAGTGAAAAATTCTCAATGCTCTGTTATTACGTTTTTATATTTAGGCAAGCAAATTACAAGCCCACTTTAGGCAGACGTATTACAACTAAAGAAGAGGCTGCCCTAGGGTATAGAAAATGAAGACAGAAGAAACAAGCAAATAGCACTTAGCAGATGGTAGGCCAAAGGCAGAGAGCTCCTCCGGCCATGATGGCAAACATTTTTCAACTAATAGTTTACCAATTGTTGGCAATAATTTTTTTTTGAGATGGAGTCTTGCTCTCTCACCCAGGCTGGAGTGCCGTGGCGCCATCCCAGCTCACTGCAACTGCCGGCTCCTGGGTTCAAGCGATTCTCCTGCCGCAGCTTCCCAAGTAGCTGGGATCACATGTGCCCACCACCACGCCCGGCTAATTTTGTATTTTTTATAGAGACGGGGTTTCGCCATGTTGGCCAGGCTGGTCTCAAACTCCTGACCTCCAGTGATCCACCCACCTTGGCCTCCCAAAGTGCTAGGATTACATGTGTGAGCCACCGTGCCCGGCCAATTGTTGGCAATTATTCTTAATCAGTGATGATGCTCTCCTAAGGAGGAAGTTGGATACTGAAATACTATTTGTAACTTGGGCTAATGAGCATTATTACCTCATCTAATTATATATTTCTGTAAAAGAAAAAAGGACAGCCAGCCAGAAATTTGTCCACATGTTTGAAAAGATCAAAACATACAACCATCAACTCAGAAATAATGCCAGGTTGTGTGACATGTAATAAAACATCTGCAGAATGGGAGCTGGGTGAGCTGATGCCATGGAGGCTTTGACCAAAATTGAGGAAGGAGTTACTGGGCAATTAGCTAAATCATATCTCTTTGTGGGACTGAAGGAATCTCCTTTTTCATAATAGTGGTATTGAAATGGTACTGAAAACCAAGATAAACTAGAACTTCTATAACAAAGTAGCTAAGAGTGAAGGCTCTGCAGTTAGAGACAACTAGATTTGAGTCCTAGTCCCACCACTTCTCTCTGAGGCAAGGTCTTTAACACCTCTAAGCCTATTTCTTCTTTTTTTAATTATATTTTAAGTTCTAGGGTACACGTGCACAACGTATTTCTAAGAAAATAGGGATACAGGCCGGGCACAGAGGCTCACGCCTGTAATCCCAGCACTTTGGGAGGCGGAGGCAGGTGGATCACAAGGTCAAAAGATTCAGACCATCCTGGCCAACATGGTGAAAACCTGTCTCTACTAAAAATACAAAAATTAGCTGGGTGTGGTGGCATGTGCCTGTATCCCAGCTACTCGGGAAGCTGGGGCAGGAGAATTGCTTGAACCCAGGAGGCAGAGGTTGCAGTGAGCCGAGATCGCGCCACTGCACTCCAGCCTGGTGGCAGAGCGAGACTCCATCTCAAAAAAAAAAAAAAAAAAATAGGAATACAAACACCTTCCTCATTGGCTTATAGTAGGAATTAATTAAGATAATTGACATCATGCCTTTAGCACAGTGCTCAGGAGCATACATAATGTTTTCTATTATCTAGACACTAGATACTAAACTCTAGATACTAGATAATGTTGTCTATCATCATCATTGTTATTATCTGTTACTACTACATGTTAGGTCAATGAATTGCAAATGCTTAGGAGACTATGTTAAAAATTAGACCCGTATTTTGAGTAGCTCAAGATTTTTTAGCTTGAAGCCAAACGTCATAATATAGAGATTACAGCAAGAACTATAAGCCCCACAAACTGTTCAGTCAATGAGCAACATTTACTGAGTCGCTACACAACATAGAAAAACACCAAGCTTGATTTTCCTGCCCACTTTAATTTATCCTCCACACAGTGACCACAGTGATCTTCTCAAAACCCCATACTATCCTTTCCTGTTCTTAAATCCCTCCAGTGGCTCCTCATTGCTCAGTATAAAAGCCTAAAGCCTTTTCATATGCCACAGGGCCTTGCCCAGGTTAGCCCCTGCCTGCCTCTTCAGCTTCCTTCCTCTAATCTACCTATGCTCTCTGGGCTCCAGCCACCCCAGTCTTCTTTCAATGTCTTGAACATATCTGGCTCCCTCCCTTCACACAGCCTTTGCTCATGTGGTTCTCCATCTTTGGGACATCCTTCCCTGTTCTCCTCTCCCACCTCAGTTAAATACCCCTATTATGTGCTCTCATAGTACCATATTCCTCTCTTTGTAGCTCTATCACAGTTGTAATTTTACACTTAATTGTATGATTATTTGATAAATGTCTGTTTCTCCCGTTTCTCCCATTAGACTGTTAACTCTATCAAAGCATGGGTAATGTCAGTTTTTTCTCATCACTGTATTTCTAGCACCTCACACTGTGCCTAGCACATAGCAGATGCTCAATAAATAATTTGATATAGATAGATACCATGCTATAAACTCAGTAAGTGTGGCTGGACATGGTGGCTCATGCCTGTAATCCCAGCACTTAGGGAGGCTGAGGCAGGAGGATCACTTGAGCCCAGGAATTCAACACCAGCCTGGGCAATGCAGCAAGACCCTGTCTCAAAAAAACAAAATCAGCAAGTACTTAGTAATTATAGTTGAATGATATAAATAAATCTTAGATATTGTCTCTACCTTAAAGTTGCTTGTACTCTAAAAGCAGAGAAAAGGCATAAAGAAAATGACTACATGATGTTACAAAGCCACACATCAGCAAGTACAGATAAAGAGAGCAGGGCAGACTAACAATGTAGCCCTGAGACACTGAGAAAATGAGTCAGGTGGTACTCGCTCTTAAAGGACCAGGTAATTTCAGCTTTTATTAAGGCTGTGTTAACCACCACCTTTGAAGAAATAGAGAAATATGTTTGGGGAGGAAGAAAGAGGAGTCTTCCAAATGGCATGTTGAAAGGAGATGGAAAGAGATGATATTTGTTTGGAGAAGTGGACCATATAGTTCAGGTAAATGAGGTGGGAATAAAGTAGCCAGTTGGCAGATTTTTAAAAAATTTTCTTAAAAGATAAATGAACAGTGTGAACAAGAGGACTTTTTTATTGATACATGTTTGTGAGGTACATGTGATAGTTTGATAAATGCATACAATGTGCAGTGAGCAAATCAGGGTAATTAGGATATCCATCATTTCAAACATTTAACATTTATTTGTGTTGGGAACATTTCAAATAATCTTTTAGCTATTTTGAAATATATAATAAATTACTGTTAACTATAGTCACCTTACTGTGTTATCAAACACTAAAACTTAATCCTTCCAACTGTACCTTTGCACCTATTAAGCAACCTCTTCTTCATCCCCCTCTCCACCTTTTCCAGCCTCTCTGGTAAACATCATTCTATTCTTTTCCATGAGATTAACTTTTTTTTAGCTCCCACATGAGTGAGAACATGCAATATTTGTCTTTCTGTGCCTGGCTCATTTCACTTAACATACTGACCTCTAGTTCCATCCACATTGCTGCAAATAACAGAATTTCATTTTTTTATGGCTGAATAGTATTCGTGTGTGTGTGTGTGTGTGTGTGTGTGTGTGTGTGTGTCCACATTTTCTTTACCCATTCATCCACTGATGTACACTTAGGTTGATTCTATATCGTGGCTATTATGAATAGTGCTGAAATATACATGGAGGTCCAGGTAGCCCTTCGATATACTAATTTCCTTTGATATACTGATTTCCTTTCCTTTGGATAAATACCCAGTAGTGACATTGCTGGATCGCATGGTAATTCTTTCTTTAGTTGTTTTTTTTACAAACTCCATGCTGTTTTCCATAATGGTTATCCTAATTTACACTTCCATTACACTGTATTAGAGTTTCTTTTCCTCTGCATCCTCACCAGCATTTATTATTTTTTGTCTTTTTGATAATAGTCATTCTTTTTTGTCTTTCCCTGATGATTAGTGATGTTGAGCATTTTTTTTTCATATACCTGTTGGCAAATTGTATGTCTTTTTTTGAGAAATGTCTGTTCAGAGCCTTTGCCCACTTTTCAATGGGATTGTTTTGTTTTGTTTTTTCCTGTTGAGTTCTTTGAGTTCCTTATATATTCTGGATATTAGTCCCTTGTCAGTTGAATAGTTTGCAAATACTTTCTCATATTCTACAGGTTGTCTCTTCACTCTGTGGATTGTTTTCTTTGCTGTACAGAGGTTTTTAGTTTAATATAGTCCCACTTATCTATTTTTGTTTCTGTTGCCTGTGCTTTTGAAGTCTTAGCCATAAAATCTTTGCCCAGACTAATGTCCTAAAGCATTTCTAGTAGTTTTATAGTCTTAGGAATTATGTTTAAGTCTTTAATCCATTTGAAGTTGATTTTTATACACGGTGAGAGATGGGGTCTGGTTTCATTCTTCTGCATATGAACATCCAGTTTTCACAGCACATTACTGAAGAGCGTATCCTTTCCCCATTGTATGTTCTTTGTGCTTTTGTCAAAAGCCAGTTGGCTGTAGGGACAAGGATTTATTTCTGATTTCTCTATTCTGTTCCATTGGTGTATATGTCTGTTTTTAAACCAATACCATACTGTTTTGGTTACTATAGGTTTGTAGTATATTTCAAAGTCAGGTAGTGTGAGGCCTCCAGCTTTGTTCTTTTTGCTTTGGCTATTCTGGCTCTTTTGTTGTTACATACAAATTTTAGGACTGTTTTTTCTATTTCTTGGAAGAAAAATTGGTATTTTGGTAGGGATTACATTGAATCTATAAATTGCTTTGGGTAGTATTATTATTTTAACAATATTAATTCTTCCAATACATGAGCATGGAATGTCTTTCCTTTGTTTGTGTTCTCTTCAATTTCTGTCATCAGTGTTTTGTAATTTTCATTGCAGAGATCTTTCACCTCCTTCAGTAAATTTATTCCTAGGTATTTTTTGTAGCTATCATAAATGGGGTTGCTTTATTTCTTTTTCAGCTAGTTTATTATTAGCATATAGAGATACAACTGATTTTTGTATGTTGATTTTGTATCCTGAAACTTTACTGAATTCTCTTATCAGTTCTAAGAATTCTTTTTTGGTTTATGTATATATAAGATCATGTTGTCTGCAAAGAGGGAGAATCTGACTTCCTCTTTTCCAGTTTGGTTCCTTTTATTTCTTTCTTTTGCCTGATTGTTCTGGCTGGGACTTCCACTACTACGTTGAATAAAAGTGGTGAAAATTAGTATCCTCATCTGTGAACAAGACGATTCTCATACTTATCCATAGGTTAGCTTAGAGTAGAAAAAGGACATAAAAGAGGATATTACAGTAATGTACACACCAAATAATTATCACCTAGGCTGAGTGAGGCAATATCAGGGTTTTGAAATAAAGAAATGAATCCGAGTGATATTTAGGAAAAATAAACATCACAACTTGATAATAGGCAGCATGTTGCAAGTAAATGACAGAGTAAAGCAAAACAAACAAAAAAAAAACCCCACAAAACTGCAAGGTTTTAAGACTAGACCACTGGGATTGTGGTGAGGACATAAAAATAAAGAGAAAATGGGAAGGTATGAGGCTTTTGGAAAAAATATCAGCTCAGTTCTGGGGATAAAGAAATTGGATATATTGAAGAGTGGTAGAAAGGAGAGATAAAGATTAAAAATGAAGAAAGCGACTTCTAAGTTAGTACATACATATACATGGGAAATTATTTGAAACCATGAATTCACATGATTCTTATTTTGAAGAGAAGCAGTCTAAAAAGAGTCTCAAGATGCACTCATCATTGAAGAAGGAAAAACAAAAATAATCAGGGAAACGAGCAAGAGGGAAAGAAGAGCAAGAAGAACTTGAGTTATGAAAATTAATGCCTCAATGTCAGACAGATTAGCATCAGTCTTGGAATACAGTCAATGGACTTTAGAATACTTCAGACAGGAGATTTACCTTCCACACTTATCAAAAGATGCTGCATATATTTTAAGAGAGCTTTCCCTGTTTAAAAACATAGAAAAGTTTTAAAAAATTATCACCAGTTATTCTGTTCTATGACACTCTTCAATAAAACACAACCAAAGTTAATTGGAAGTCTTAGTGTGGTCAGTTACATAACACTAGAATTGCTGAATAGCTTAAACACAGTGTTTTCCCAGAAATATTTGTCTTTTGGATGAAACCAAGAATGGAAAGTTTCTGCTTTAAAGGAGAACTTTTGAGAAGGTGGAAAGAAAAGAAAAACATATATAATGGAAATATAATTGTAACAAAAATTAACCAAAATTCTACAAATATAACTACTCACACAGAGACACACCAAAACACAAAGAAAAGTGAATTTTACCACTTTAGAAAATCAACTGTGGATTGTATATCAATTAGATAACGTCTTTTTAAAAATCAGATAATATCTCATATGTTGCCTTTGCCAAGAACAAATTTAGACAGATCTTTGCTTTTTGTTATTTTCCTATTAAACTGGCAGAATCATCTCATAATGACCCACACTGATCCTGTTTTGTCTAGGACACAAAGTGAGGTCTACAGAATGAAAATGTTTAGTTTGGGGAGGGGGAAGGGAAGGAGTAGTTACTTTTGTTTATTCAGCGTCTTCTAGATGAGTGAATAGCTAATGCTCTAGAAAGCTGCACCCAGCTCTCACCCCTACCCTGATTCTTCTCCCATTTTCCTCTCTCTTCTCTCCTTCCCTCCAGAGATTGTGTGTGTGTGTGTGTGTGTACACATACATGTGCTATCTGTGCTATGTGTGTATATATCGTGGGAGGGGAGAACTGATAGAGTGGGCTGGCCTTCATTTCAAACTTCTGTAATAAGAATTAATGACTTATTTCCAGAATAACATAAACCCAACAGAAAGGCATTGTAAAGAAATAATGGTGCAATGGTATTTTGTGGCAACCTTATAGCCAAATAAGTACTATACTTTTCCTGATAGCTAACTAGATAATATAGTTAACATTGTTCCAAGCAATTTCTCTTTTATAACTTGTTAGAATGCCCTTCTGTTAACTTATTGTATCCTGTGCCTCAGGAAACCATACCACCCTGTTTGAAGGCTGCTTGACCTTGGCATAAGAACCAGCTGGCATTCTTGTCATACATACCCAACTAAGGCTAAGTTATTAGTCTTTCCCACTTGAGAAGGCTTGAGGGTAAGGCATGGATTAGACAAGCAGTGAGAAATTGTTCAACTTGATTAATTCTATAAATCCATACCAGACTCAAGCTGCCTTACATGGTCCAGAAGGTCCTCAAATCAGTTCAGGTACCCAAAAGAAATTAAACTGGCTTTGGGTGTAGGTTCCAAGGATTCCAGGACAAAAGTGGACCTACTGGGATTGTGTCATGGCTGTGAACCATGGGAACGAGGGCATCATCATAGGATATTGGAGCATCAAGATAGAAAAAGCCTGGAGCCCAGGCACAGTGGCTCACGCCTCTAATCCCAACACTTTGGGAGGCTGAGGCAGGTGCATCACTTGATGTCAGGAGTTCGAGACCAGCTATGACCAACATGGTGAAACCCCACCTCTACCAAAAAATTAAAAAAAAAATTAGCTGGGTGTGGTGGCGGGTGCCTGTAATCCCAGCTACTCGGGAGGCTGAGGCAGGAGAATCGCTTGAACCCGGGAGGTGGAGGCTGCAGTGAGCCAAGATCATGCCACTGCACTCCAGCCTGGGCAAGAGTGAGACTCCGTCTCAAAAAAAAAATAAGTAAAAGCCTGCTTCTGACTATTAGGTTGGTGCAAATGTAATTGCGGTTTTTGCTATCACTTTTAATGGCAAAAACCACAATTACATTTGCACCAACCTAATATCCTAAAGAACAAAGCTGCCATACCTGTCCATGACTGCCTATCTCTGGATTGTTTTGTGACAAAGAAAATTCCTTCTTGTTTAAACTGGCATAGATCTGTGACAAGCAGCCAAACCTATATTCCAATTAATATACCTGGTTAAATAGAGCAGAAATCAGTAGAGGTAAAGGAGCCATTTAGCCAAAGCCTTGCTTATAATAATATACTAAGACTTACTCTGATATACTCTGATTCCAAATTGCTCTGGCTTTTGCCTACTTATTATGTAATGAATATTTATTTTGTGACCACTATATACCAGACACTGTGCTACACATGGTAGAGCTTCCTTTTTGTTTTTGTTATTGTTTTTTGTTTTTTTGTTTTTTGTTTTTTGAGACAGAGTTTCACTCGTTGCCCAGGCTGGAGTGCAATGGCACAATCTCGGCTCACTACAACCTCCACCTCCCGGGTTCGAGCAATTCTCCTGCCTTAGCCTCCCAAGTAGCTGGGATTACAGGCACCTGCCACCATGCCCAGCTAACTTTTTTTTTTGTATTTTTAGTAGAGACAGGATTTCACTATGTTGGCCAGGCTGCTCTCGAACTCCTGATCTCAGGTGATCCACCCGCCTCGGCCTCCCAAAGTGCTGGGATTATAGGCATGAGCCACCATGCCCAGCTGGTAGAACTAACTTTCTACATGACAGACATGGTACCTGCCTCATGGTGCTAATGGATTAGAGGGAGAAACAGACAAAGCACTTACACTACCATATGATAAATGTTGAGAGAAAACCTCCTATTACAGTATACAGGCTAAGCCCATAGAATTCAAGAAAGACTTCCCAAAGAAAACAATCTCTTAGGTGACATCCAAAAGATGAGGCAGAATTAATCAGAAGTTGTAGTGGAAGGGGTGGGTAGGGGAAGAGAGCAATCTAGGCAGAGAAGACAGAATTGGAGAGTTAGAGGGAGCACAGATTAAAAAGAATCCTGGACGTGCCCCCCTAGTTCACACACATGTCAAATAGGCTAATACTGTATATTTTTCCTAAATAAGAATAGCACTACATCTTCTCTTCTTGAGCACTAATTTGTTTTAATAGTATAATATACTGTGTGTATGTCCCTTGTTTTTGTTTTATTTTATGTAATCCCATAATCCTTCAAATAATCCTCTGTCAAGGGCCAGGTAAATAAATAACTATTTTAGTGACCTCAACAGAACATGTACTGTGCATAAAGTACTAAATGATACATACTGCTCCTGGATCTAAAGTAAGGGAGGTGTGATGGTTAATTTTATGTGTCAACTTGACTGAGCCAATGAGTGTCCAGATTAAGCATTGTTTCTAGGTATGTCTCTGGATTTAGGTCAGCATTTGAATCAGTAAATTCTGTAAAATAGATTGCTCTCCCCAATGGAAGTGGATATCATCTAATCCATTGAGAGACTGAATAGAACAGAAGAGAGGAGGGAGGAATTTGTCCCATTTTTCCCTGCCTCACTGCTTGAGCTGGGACATCTCATCTCATCTTTTAATGTGCTTGGACTGGGATTTACATCATTGGCTCTCCTGATTCACAGGCCCTTAGACTGAATTTCGCTGCTGGTTGCAGACAGCAGATATGTGACTTCTCAGCCTCCATGATCATGTAAGCCAATTCCCAATTAAATATATTCCTATTATTTCTGTATCTGTAGTGAACCCTGACTAGTACAGGAGACAAACAAGGGAATGAACAAAGTAAGCAGGTAAAAGGGAAGCAAGTGAGTGTGGGCTTCTTTCCTAGTCCATTTTGTGTTGCTATAAAGGAATACCTGAGACTGGGTAATTTATGAAGAAAAGGCTTATTTGACTCATGGCTCTGCAGATGCACCACCAGCATCTGCATCTGCTGAGGGCTTCAGGCTACTTCCACTCATAGTGGAAGGTGAAGGGGAGCTGTAAGAGATCACGTGGTGAGAGAGGAAGCAAGAGAGACAGCGGGGAGGTGCCAGGCTCTTTTTTTTTTGTTTTTGTTTTTTTTAACAATCAGCTCTTGTGGGAACTAATAAAGCAAGAACTCACTCACTACAGCAAGGATGACACTAAGCCATTCACAAGAGATCTGCCCCCATGACCCAAACACCCCCTGTTAAGCCTCACCTCCAACACTAGGGATCAAATTTCAACATGAAGTTTGGAGGGGACAAACATCCAAACTATAGCAGCTTCTATGGAACCATCCTGACCCTAAATTCCAAATTCAAATGCTAATGTTATCATTTGTTCCATTTAATTCAGCCATCCTAGCACAGGTCTGGCACATGTCTGGGGACAGGAATACAGGCTGGATGGAAAGGCCTCTTTCAATTCCCACCTTGGAAATACTTAGGTGTTAGTGCTATCCTTGACCAGGAAATGGAAGAGAAGACGATATTGGGATCTCTCTTGAGAGAGGAAAAAAGACAACTTTAGAAGTACTGAATGCTGTGAGCCTTCAGACAAAGAACTCGTACCCCATTAAGGCATCCTGAAGGAGACTTAAAATGTGAGTAGAGTTTTAAGGTGGTAGGGCTGGGGTTTAGTGAAGCAATGCAGGAGTGAAGAAGAGAGCAATGCAAGCAGAGTGAATAGTGTGAGCCACAGTTAGAGGTCAAATGTGAGGCCATCACAGACCGGGCACTGGGAAGGAGGGCGCCCAATCAAGCCACCTCTTGCTCACTCTCTCATTAGCTCATTCCATGAGTTGTATTGATGGAATGTCATGTGACAAAGTGTAAATTGTCCACGTTCCTCTGTGCTAGGATGGTTTGTTTGAGATTTACATTATTTGAGCAGGTCCCGATTATGTACAATTTAATCACTACAGCATGTTTATCACCTACTTGCAGGTATAAATATTTTTGTATTGGCAATAACTAGTGTTTTCTGTCACTTTTCAATTTGCAAGATGCTTCTACATATATTCCCCTAATACTCACAATGAGCCCCAAATGTAGAGGTATTACTGTCTCCATTTTATGACCTAAAAAACTGAAATATCAAGACTACAGACAACATAAATGCTGGACCAAAGTCTTAAACCTGTCTTTTGACTCCAAGTATCAGAATACTTTAAAAAGAATGTTTCTTTTTTCCTTAGAACATTTGTCCACATCATTGCTATTTTTAATATTATTTAGGACTTAGGGCATTTTATGAATTGCATTAGTTCTTCATACTCATTAGTAGAGATTGAGCATCCCTATTCTGGCACCCAAATTGCTACAAAATCTGAAACTTTTTGAGTGCCAATGTGACACTCAAAGGGAATGCTCATTGGAACATTTTAGATTTCAGATTTTAGGATTAGGGATGTTCAACTGGTATAATGCAAATATTCCAAAATATTTTAAAAATCTGAAATCTGAAACATTTCTGGTCTCAAGCAGTTTTTTTGTGTGTTGTTTGTTTGTTTAGAGACAGGATTTTAGTCTGTCACCCAGGTTGGAGTTCAGTGGCATAGTTCACTGTATCCTCAAATTCCTGGACTCAAAAGACCTTCCCACCTCAGTCTCCTGAATAACTAGAATTACAGGCATACATCCCGATGCTCAGTTAATTTTTAAAATATTTTTTTAGAGATGGGATCTTGCTATGTTGCCCAGGCTGGTCTCAAACTTCTGGGCTCAAGTAATCCTCCTGCCTTGGCCTCTCAAAGTGCTGGGATTACAGGTGTGAGCCACTGTGCCTAGACAAAAGCATTTTCCATATTTTGTTTCATTGATTGATTGATTGATTGAAAGGGTCTGGCTCTGTTGCCCAGGCTGGAGTAGAGTAGTGCAATCACAGCTCGCTGCAGCATCAAACTCCTGGGCTCAAGCGATCCTCCTGCCTTAACCTCCCAAGTAGCTGTGTCTACAGGCACACACCACCATCCCCAGCTAAGTTTTCTGTAGAGATGGGGTCACACTCTGTTGCCCAGGCTGGTCTCAAACTCCTGGCCTCCAGAGATCCTCTAGCCTTATCCTCCCAAAGTGTTAGGATTACAGGTGTAAGCCACTGTACCTGGCCAAAAGCATTTTGAATAAAGGATACCCAACCAGTAATTAGAGGTCAATTTACATGGTTGCCAGCACTCACAAATTACGTTCTTGATGAGTGTCTTATCCTTTTCATTCCCAATGCCACTATGCTGGTTCAGGTTCATTTCACCTAGCACATCTGCCCCATTCATTCATTCATACAATCATGCAAGCAGCTATTATGCTCCAGGTACTGTGCTGGGTGCTGGACATGACATAAAGATCAATACAGAGTTCCTATTTTCAAAGAACATGCAGTCTAGGTAGAGGATAAAGATAATAGGACCTCAAAAATAATGCGAGAAATGCTATAGTAGAGCAGGCACAGGATGTGGCCCTTAGCATCAAGGAGAAGCACCTAATCCACAGTCAAGGAGTCAGGTATGCCTACAGCTGAGACCTTAATAGGAGGCAAAAGTTAACACATGAAAAAGGGGAGAAATATTCAGTTCAAGCGAAGGAATGGCAGGAGCAAAGGCATGGATGCCAAAGAATACAAAGTAATTTCACGGGTGGACCGAAAATAGTTTGATACACCTGAAGGATTAGTGCAATGGGAGATGGGCTAAGGCCAGATGACAAAGAGGGTGGGGGCCATGCTAAGGAATTTAGACTTTATCCTGGGGCAATGGAGATTATGGGGAGATTTCATGCAGTAGAGCTACATGAGAAGACTTGCATTTTAAAAAGTTCTAACCGCAATATGGAGAAAGGATTAGAGCAGCACTGCCCCACTGAAAAATAATGTGAGCCGCTTATAAATTTTAACTTTTTCCAGAAGCCACATGAAAAGAATGAAAAGAAACACGTGAAATTAATGTTTTATTAGTTTATTAATTGTATGAATTTTACTCATATAGTTTATGCCACAGTATTAGAAGGGGGCCTGCAGAGAAGTGAACACACTGGAGAAGTGCTTAGGAAGGAGAATGGCCGAAATTTGTTACAGGTGAGGACTCACTTAACTCTGGTTCCTTTTACACACTAGGATCAAATTGATCTTCCTGAAATACAGCTCCAATTAAGATATTCCTCTGTTTTAATTTTTCCATTGTTCTCCTTTTGCCCACTAAATAAGGCCTAGACTCTTTAGCCAGCAGTGAACCCTGACTGTTTCTCCAGTATCTGCATCCTCCCCTCCAAACAGCTGGACCGCTCTGCTCCCACCTGTAAACCCAGCGTCGAAGGTCAGTCATAACCTTAAGCAGAAGGCATTAAAAGACTTTGGCTCAGCACTCTGGAATGGAGTATTGAACCATTCTTACTGCTAGTCAGGCCCATGTTCCAGGTCTGACTCCTGGCTTGGAAATCTGCCTGGTCCCTCTGGGGCTGGGGCCCAGCTTCTTGCTTTCCATTCTGCTGTTTCCTCCCAGAGCTTGGAAGTCTGCCCATGAACCTGAGCATAGCGGCTGGAGCCTGCTAACTGCTGACAGACTTTCTTATTCCCTCAGTCTTGATTACACTTCTAAGTGCCACCTGTTCCTGTATTTCCCAGTATCAGGCACCTTCCCTCCTTGAGACTTGTCTCCTACCTCTCAGTACCAACTTGTCTGGGTGACCGCTTGTCATCTATCGCCATATTCTTCTGCACATCTCTTCTAATGCCTTGTCTGCCAGCCTAGACTTCCTCACAGTTCCTGATCAATCCTCGAGGGCAGATCTGGTCCCTCCCAGTTTGCCCTGTCTTTTGCAGCAAACCAGGCTATTTCTAACAATTATCTGTAGCTATGACAATGAACATTCAAGGCCCTGCAGATTAGAGCCCCACCACACCATTGAAACTTCTTCCTTAATATGCTTGTGTACCCTTCACTCCACTCAGAATAATCTCATCATTGTATGCTATTCATGCCCCAAGACTGCAGACCTCCCTGATTTATTCCTGACAACTCCACACCCTGGAAAAGTCTTTTTCCCATTCCATTCCTATTTAACTTAGGCATTCACAATAAATATTAAATTCAAAAATATGACAATCCATAATCTCCTCCCCACTCCAACTGGTTACATCTCCCTCCTCTGAACTCCTGTGGCTCATTAGCTGGGTTTCCATTATAGATTTTATTGCATTCTTCCTTATTTTAAATGTCTTATTTCCCTAAGAATATAAATATCTTGGGAATAAGATCCATGTCTGATTACTTAGCAAAGCAAAGTAGCTGGGGGAAAGGGAAATAAGGAGAAAGGGGGAGCAGGAAAGAGAGACTTGGCTCAATTTCACAAAATGAGTAATAGTCCATCAAGGATTATTATTGAGCAAGCTCACATTGTCACATGCCTGTTTAGTATCCTTAATCAAATCATTCCTGAAGCATGGAGGGCAAGGGCTCCTGTCCCTATGGACTTAAGGAAATCTCTGTGAGTCCTTAGGTAATAATATTGGATTGGTGCAAAAGTAATTGTGGTTTTTGCTATACTTTCAATGCAAAACCACAGTTACTTTTGTGCCAATCTAAGTATCATTATATATATGTATGTGTGTGTGTTCCTTATTTTCTTCCCTTTGCCTGTCTATTTGAACTTATCTCTTCCCATCTCCCCCTCCCTCTCTCTCTTGTTGAATTCATCTGGGAACCCCCACTCCTCACCCCAAGGTTTGAGAGTTCCCCAAAACGGAGCTGGAATAAATTCAGTAACCCAGTAGAAATCCCTTCAGTTCTTCCTTTTGGCACCCACTGGGTCCACAAATAAGCAGCAGCTTTCCTCATTGATAGGAAACTCAAGGATCCTGGGAATGCAGCTCTACCCTCCCCCGGTTATCTTTTAGAAATTCAGTTATCTTTAGAAATTCAGTACCAGTGGAAAAGGTTCAGGCCGGAGAACTAGATATTTCTGTTTATGATTAAGGTGGGCAAAGTTGATTCTTGCATCCAGTACAATACTCAGCCTCTTGTTCCCTGTAAAGCAGTGAGATCTACACATGGACGTCTGACTACCCTCTCATTTTGCCATTGTCTACACCCCCATGGCACTAGGAGAGTTAAGGAGACTGTGCATCATTACTTTGCACTCATTTTCCAGCTTTCCTCTTAGGAATTCCAGATACTTTAGAAAATATGACAGCAATCTCACCAAATCCCTGCATGGTACCTAGAGCACATTACCAACAAAAATAAAATAATTATAATCCACCCACCACAATATCTATTCTGTCTTCTGCATTATTCTGTAATATTAGATATCTGAGTAGCTCTCATGTGTATTATACTATTCCTGTTCAGCCATAAAAATATGTAGTGCCAAATCCCAGGCCATGAGTTATGAAGACACAATAGTTGCAAGTTCTATGATGCCAAACAGACCTCAAAAATCAAGTTTTATGAAGAAGCATTTAACTGTGATTGAACACGCTTCAAAGTGCTTTTAAGTGGTTATTCCTCCCAGCTTCCCTGTCCATGTAATGAGCTCCATTTCCCTGATGAACGCACTGAGTTTCCTTTAGAAGTAGCAAAAAAGATTCTATCTTGCCTCACAAATTTGATGGGTCTGTGTAAAGGCAGCAGAGTTGGCAATAACCTCTCAAAATACCACGTGTCTGGGTGGAGATGGAATAGTAAAGTCCTGTTTCCTGGGCTATGTTTTCTGGAATTGGAGCCCTGGTATCTTTGTGGCAGGTATCTGGGGACAGAGTGCCATCGGTGGACAATCCTCATAGAACCCACATCCTTTTCTGGCCAAGCACAGGGTGAACATTAACTTGTAAGGTGTGAAAGAAGATTTATTCTATTGATTAGCTTAAGAGCTAGATAGGAACATCACTTATTTATGTATCAGGTGTTCATAAACTAGAACACAGAAAACACTTTAGGAATAAAATCAGAAACCAGCTACATGAGTCTGGGAAAATATTATTTTTCTATCTATTCAAAATGGATTTTTATACTCTTGAGAGTGCAAATGGGCATAACCTTTTTAGAGCACAGTTTGTTGTGGTTTTAAAAATACATCAATATGTCCATCAGTATAGAGACTGTTAAATGAAAATGGCACATCCATGTAATGGATTACTGTGTAGTTAGAATGAGATGGATCTGTGTGTGCCAACATGAAAAGATTTCTAAGACACATCATTAAAGGAAAAATGCCAGGTATAGAATGACATGTACACTATGATACCTTATATGTTAAAACACACACATATATGTAGAGATGGGTACATATATACATTCAGGTACATGCATGATTTTTTTCTTCTGTAAAGAATCTCGAGAAATGGTTAACAGTGGTTAACTTTCAGTAAATGGATCAGATGGGGTGGAGAAATAGCTTAACAGAGTGGAGTGGCATTTGGGAGAAAAACCGGGGCCTAGTTTAGGTTTCTTATACTCCACAGTATTAAAAAACTTAATAAATATTCCATAACTATTTTAATGGGTTTCTAAGTTAGTGTTTTCAATAGCAACTGGGTATGTGGCCAAAGAGGGAAGAAAAAGAGAGTTCTTAGCAGAGCAATCCATAATACTTTCAGCCAGCTAAGGTAAGGGGGAAGTATTCCAGTCTACATAGAAGAAATTGATCTCTCCAAAAAAATGTTTACTGTGTGTGTTAGGAAGGAGAAGGAAGTGGAAAAAAGAAGAGTAATAATTGCTTCATCTGGGTTTTCAATTGAATTTGATTTTTTTCTACTTATTTTACTTCAGAAAAGAGATTTTGATAAGAGGAACTAGTCCATGCCTGAGAGTATGAAGAACCAAAATGTCCTAGCTATCCATAAAGTCGGAAGGATCACTCTTATCCCTGCCCCATCCCTCTGGCCAATGGAAAGGCTAGAAAAGAGGTGCTTGGAGGAAATGTTGACAAACCTACTTAGCAATAGGCCCTGAAGTGTGAGGAATATAAACCAGCTGCAGAGAACTGGCCTTCAGGAGCTGCTGGTGGCTCCATTGCCACGGAACAGCATGACTCCTTTGTTTTCTTGGGCCTGGGAAAGGAAAAATGTCTTTTACTCTTGTGTACAGTCTTGAACTGCAGCTTCATTAATCCATTTCATGGTCAGGGCTATTGTGGCATATTTCATTATTTATCCAGACAGTATGAAGAGGTAAGGCAAAACTGAGACTCAAAAGAGTCCACCGCGCTGAAAGTATCACCTATCATACACCTTTTGTTGTGACACATGTAGAGGCTTTCTATTGGCCAAAACCTATCCTCAAGCCTGTATACAAATCCTATAAAATAAGCATGACTTTAACATTTTTTTTCCTACCTGATGGTAATCCCATAAAGCACTGAATCTCCCCCTCTTCTCACTCACCATCCAAGCATTCAGTGCTGGGGCAGAAGAGGGCAGGTTGGCAAAATGAGAAGACTTATTGGATAATTTCTAAATGCTGAAGCTTCTTCAGGGAAGCAAACTTCCTGCCCAGGGCAGGTTACTTCAGCTAGTTACAGCACAGGGCTAATGAGGCCAAGGTCATGAGCTTGTTTACCCTGAGGGCCAATTAACTTTGATCTACTTTATGGCCACATCCTGTATCCCTCAATCCAAACAGCTGTTTCAAAAATGGATGCCCTTGACGACAAGGAGGACTGCTCCAAAGTAAAATAGATGTAACAGTTCAAATTTATCATGCTCCTGAAAAATGACGCAAAGCATATTAGAAACATTATGAACCCACATTTCCACCAAAATAATTATTTGCAAAAAATCAAGTCACCCAGCACATTAAGAATGTTGCACCCATTCACAGGTATTCTCCCAGGGAGGAAACTGGAATCAAGGTGAGTTTTATCAAATTCTATATCCTTTATATCTCACTAAGTATTTTATATAAAACTAAACTGAATCAACATTTTAGACACTATTTGATCTGAGCATTCTTCATGCTAATTAGATACTGATTTTCTCTTTTATGAATTGATAGTTATTTCAATTGACCCATTTCCTCCTTCACAAATACATTCTTCACCCACACACTATGCATAAAATACCTTCTGTTTTCAATTGGCTTGCAGAACTCAACACTGATGCTTTCCTATCATTCAAAAAAAAAAAGATACAAATTTACAAACTATCTTTCCTCAAACTTCTACACAAGTCCTTGTTTTTTAAAGTTTCCAACACAATCCACAAACCCAGACCTAGAGCAAACTTTGGGGCTATCTCACACACTCACCTTGACCCAGAATTAACTGTGGGGGCTACCTCACACACTGTCCTAGAATTAGCATCGAGAGTCATCTTACACACTCATCGTGAAACCTGAGCACGTCTTGATCTCAAGATAATAAAAAGAAATTTTGGCCAGGCACGGTGGCTCATGCCTGTAATCCCAGCAACTTTGGGAGGCTGAGGTGGGTAGATCACTTGAGGTCAGGAGTTCAAGACCAGCCTGGCCAACATGGTGAAACTTCATCTTTACTAAATATACAAAAATTAGCTGGGCGAGGTGGCACATGCCTGAAATCCCAGCTACTAAGGAGGCTGAGGCAGGAGAATTTCTTGAACCCAGGAGGCAGAGGTTGCAGTGAGCCAAGATCCAGCCTGGGTGACATTGCATTCCAGCCTGGACGACAAAGCAAGACTATAAGAAAGAAAGAAGAGGAAGGAAGGTGGGAGGGAGGGAAGGAAGGAAGGAAGGAAGGAAGGAAGGAAGGAAGGAAGGAAGGAAGGAAGGAAGGAAGGAAGGAAGGGAAAATTTTGAAATTTTGCAATGCTCCAAATAAGAATCACCACTTCTAATGAACAGCTACACAGCTTCCTTACTGATAGCAGTCTGTCCTCCAGGGGAGGAGGAAGTTTCCCCTTCTTTCTTCCTCCCAGCCACCTAATAGGTGTCCATGAAAGACTGAGAGAAAAGTCTAAGCGGAGCACCAGTTGTACCAGTGCCAGGTGTACAATTCTGCCAGGGGGTTGGCACAGGACCATCTCTTACAGAAACTGCTCCACCTATCACGGCCCATTTGTCTTCAAAGGAGCACTGAATCCAGGCCTCAGGAAAGATGCAGACAATTCCCTAAAGGATGAGCCCTCTTTTGTAATGATCTGGGAAAATATGTCAATCTGCTCAGAGAGACTTATGCTGACCATGTATATTTTGATCCAAAACCTGAGACATGTAGCTGAACCATAGATGACATACATCAAATCAGACTGAGGACAGAGAATTTGGAATATAGAATCCAGACCCTTTTTCCCATCCTAGATTTTCCATTCTCCCCAACTTCTTTAAAGAACCCTCCCAGTTCTCCATGGGCTATCAAGCCTCCCCACAGTTTCTCTGTTTACCCCCATAAAGGACAGAAACATATCATATAAAATAAGGTGTCCCAAATCCCTGAAACCATAAAGGATTATATATAAACATCATTTTATTTAGTAAAACTTTACATAGTATACAGTTTTCCCCATACTACTTGTTTATGAGGTCACTAGGAAAACCCCTACTCTTTTATGTCTTCCCTCTCCTGTTTATGTTTGATATCCTCCCTTCTCCCCCGCTAGATTTTTCCTTCTTTCCTATCCTATAGTACAGAGCCCCTTTTCTTCTTTACTGTATAATTCTAAACACAAGCGCTGCCAATAACCCTAAGCTATGCTGCATCATGCTGATTTGCACCAGCTGTGCCTTATGGCGGTTAACCCATGCTTATAACAGGGTCTCCTTAGATCTTCCTGTGAGAACAAAATCCACATACACATCTAAAAGTCACAACCAGTGAGGTGGAAAGTGAGCCAAAAATAAATAGATCCTGCTTTGAACTACTGATCACATTAAATAAGAAAAAAATACAGAGCTGGAGGAAAGAAAAATGCTACCCCGAGCTGCAGCTTAAAAATTTTCTTGGACACATGAAACAAACTGTAAAGATAATCTATCCCTTCAAACATCCCACTTCCAAATGAGATGTTAATTTTCTCAGTATCAATAGGGTTGGGGAGAAAGGAAGATCAGGGTAGGGAGTGAAGGAAAGGAAGACTATCATCATGCAGAATTCAAATGACAATAAAAAGTACATAAAACTCAAACGACAATAAAAAGTATACTCTAAAATTAAAAGCTAATGGCCAGGAACTTTGTCATGTAATTAGAGTTTGCAAAGCTTAGAGTCTTTGAAAATCTTAGATAATTGTAAAAACCAAGTCCATAGAGCAACAGTTGGGAATTAGAGTATAATGTTATTCTGCAACTTTGGGCAAATCACAATCTCAGATCATCAGTTTTCCTATGAGCTCCCTCCCTGAGGAGTCACAGGCAAGGTCACCAAATGGTTTGTGTATTCTGAATTATCTGGACCGCTTATTTTCCATTATGAAACCTTGTGTAATCGTCCTATGTTTGAACACGATGAGACATTGCAAATGACTGTCATTAGAATGTAATCCTCCTTCATCCCTGCCCCAGAGCAACTGTGTTCTAGATTCTCCAAACCAAACTCAAGTTGTCCTAGCTCCATAGGATAATGGACACATGCCATTGGTTTTGTTAAAAGAAAAATCTTCCAGATTGTAAAATTATTTATTAGTTTTACAAACTCTGGCTAACCTCAAGATCCGGGACACAAACATAATCCATCTGATGCAAGAAAATGTCAGCAGTATACGAAAATTAAGATAAAGTTAACTTTGTATTACAAAGCTTATGTACTTACAAGTTAGCTTCCCAAAGGCTATCTTCAAGTCTGTTTCTCTGAAAGTCCAAAAAGAAATTAAACAAACCACTGCTAATATCTTCTGCTGATGGTAGGCAGAACTGATACACTTTGGCTCAGGACAGCTTCGATCCATCTATAAAAGTCCTTAGGTTGAAAATGTGTAGGAGACAAAACCTCTATGCTCATTTTATTCACTTGAAATACAGTAAGTTTCTGTCCATTAAAAATAGCAGCACCATGATTCTGGGCTCCCCAGAAACCACAGCATTCCATCAGACTTCAAGCACTGAATTATTGCTTCCTAAGCACCACAACATTAGTACAAAAAATGGAGACCTCGCTAACAGTGACAGATGGGGGTCATGTTTTTGTGGATGAACTCTCCCCAGGAGGTACAAAGCTTCATGGCCTTTCATGATCAGACCCCTGCCCTCTTCGCAAGCCTTGTCTGTCCCCCACCTTCTATCTTGAACCCTATGCTCCATCCATATTGAACTATTCTTCATTCTCCATTCCCTGTAGTCTCTAGTATGTGCTTTTTCTTGTCCATGGGACACTCCCCGCCTCCATCCCTCACTCCTGTTCATTCTCTGCCTGCCAGTTTATACATCACTTACTCCTACACATCATTAATTCCTCTTAGCTTTTCCGAATCTCCTAAATCCAGGTAAAATGTGCCGCATAATGTGCTGTTACAACCTTGTATTTCCTTTCAATTGCTCTGATCACATGTTTTAAAAAAAAAATCTGGCCGGGCGCGGTGGCTCACGCCTGTAATCCCAGCACTTTGGGAGGCCGAGGCGGGCGGATCACGAGGTCAGGAGATCGAGACCATCCTGGCTAACACGGTGAAACCCCGTCTCTACTAAAAATACAAAAAATTAGCCGGGCGTGGTAGCGGGCGCCTGTAGTCCCAGCTACTCGGGAGGCTGAGGCAGGAGAATGGCGTGAACCCGGGAGGCGGAGCTTGCAGTGAGCCGAGATCGCGCCACTGCACTCCAGCCTGGGCGACAGAGCGAGACTCCGTCTCAAAAAAAAAAAAAAAAAAAAAAAAATCTGTATTCCCCACTGAACTGTAAGCTCCACATCAGTCTTGTTTATAGTAGTTACTCAACAAATGTAACTCAACTGAATGACTCAATTCCCTATTCTATATTTATAAAGGTAGGAATCAATTTATTTTTGATGTTTTATTTAATAATATCTGTCATTTTATTTAATGCTTTGTTTTTTATGTGTTTAATTTTTAGAACTGTTAAAGACATAGAAAAGCACAAATATATATAATCATGGTACTATTACTACCACCTGGAATTAACATATGTTAACAATTTTCCATATTACTTCCAGTCTATTCAAGACTATTTTCAAAGAGCCAAATCTCAAGTGGTTTTGACAATCCTGAGTTAACTAAAGTGAAGAAAAACGGAAATAATATCAAGTCCTTGCTATATGCCAATCATTGTGCTAAATGGTTCATATAAATTGTATATTCAATCTTCCCATAAGGATATTATTATACACATTTTATAGATGAAAAGACTGAGACTTAGAGAATTAACTCTTGCCCAAGGTAATATAGCCAGTAAATGTCAGACCCATGTTCAAACTAAATTGTTTACATCCAAAATCCATGGGCTTTTCTCTTCATTGCCTATATCCTCAAATTCTGCCTATATTTGGAAGTAACTTGAACTACTTGAGCCAGAGAATGTGCTTTCACATAAGTTACTCATCCATTCATTTAACAAACATCAATTAAGTGCTTCCTATGGGCTGTGTGCTACTATCTCATAAGTGTGCAGAAAATTAAATCAGTGCACTGCATTCACAAGCATTCTGGTTAATTTAGCTGAAAAAATAAGAAGTTAAGTGGTGATATACACCATAGAAGTTTCTCTACTGTACAAGAAACATGTAACCATTAAGGCATATAGAAGAAATAGCATTAGAAGATGGAATATGTTACCGAAACACCAGGGGTTCAGTCTAGATTCTGTTGCTCACAGCACAGAAAGTCAATCACTGAGACAGTGAGTATTGCCAAGGAAGAAGGCTTTAATCGGGTGCTGCAGCTGAGGAGATGGGAAATCAGTCTTAAATCCATCTACCTGAGGGACTAAAATTAGGGGTTTATATAGCAAGGAAAAAATGTAATAATGTATGAGAAAACAAAGTCAGGAGGGGTAAGGAAGCAATCATAATGAATGAAGGGCCTGACGTCTCATTGTCTGGATGCTGTGATCTGGTGAGTTTCAGTTATTTGATACCTTCTGAGAAGACTGGAGGTCCTCTCCTGAGGAACTCAGAAATAACAAATGTAGGCCAGGCGTGGTGGCTCACATCTGTAATCCCAGTACTTTGGGAGCCTGAGGCGGGCGGATTACGAGGTCAGGAGTTTGAGACCAGCCTGGCCAATTTGGTGACACCCCGTCTCTACTAAAGATACAAAAATTAGCCGGGCATGGTGGCATGCGCCTGTACTCCCAGCTACTCGGGAGGCTGAAGCAGAAGAATCACTTAAACCCAGGAGGCAGAGGTTGTGTGAACCGAGATCATGCCAGTGCACTCCAGCCTGGGAAACACAGCAAGACTCCATCTCAAAAAAAAAAAAAAAAAAAAGGAAAAAAGAAATAACAAATGTAAGTTTCAAGCTTTAAGACCAGAAGGGTTAATTTCTATGTTTATCCATAAGAACTGTCTATGGGACTATTGGATCGCTTTCAGTTAAAGATGGCAAATGACAAGTTTCTCCCAGTCCCACAGTCATTGTGATTGTGGTGTGACAAGATTTTATAACGAGACTAGATGTTTAAAAATCATCTGTCCCTTATCATTTCTGCAGTGCCCTTTTTGCTTTCATAACAAAACAAACAAAAAATTAGGAAACATTTATTTATATGTCTTCTCAGTTCTCAGTTCACATTCTTATGTCTGCTTAGTGGCCAGCACCTGCTTGGTTCTGTAGTTCAGGTCTGGGACAGTGAAGCCTCTGCACTTTCTTCCCTGTGGTCCCTGCATCCCTTCAGAAAATGGAAGACACCATGTTCCCTGTCCAAAAGGATTACTTGTCCTCATATGCATACTTTGTATCAAGGGGCTTGCTACACTTCTTCCGGTAAGTTCTGTGCATATGGCAATCACTCACTTTTGTTGTGACAATACTGTCAGCAGTTTGAACTTCTCTTAGTAAATTATAATTTGTCTGCACTCCCATGTGAAATCCTGGCTTTTTTTTTTTCTTTCCCAAGTCTCTACCACCCTCAATTATTCCTTAAAAATAACTTCCCCTCCCACCTTGATACAGTATGATTCTTCCATCACAATGTTTCAAGTCTCTTTGTTTGCCATTTTTTTATTCCTTGATCAACATTTTTACTTTGAAGAAATTCAGATTTGTTCTTGCATTGTATCCATACTACTTAAGATGAATGTTTTGAGGCAACAATGAGTTAGTTTGGAAGCGTGACCTGACCACAAGGGTAAATCAGAGTGGGAAGACTCCTGCATGCTAAGGACTCTTTTCATCAGGCTATTTGCTTTTGTTGTCATTATTTTTACTACACACATATGTTGCTGATTCTCAGAAATCCAGTAAAATTATAATGGTTCCTATTGTTGGCAAGTACAAGTCACAGAATAAAACGTGCCATTCTGAGCCTTGGGTCTGCTCTTCTATTACATCAGAGAAAACACCACTAATTCCCAGAAATCCTGTCACTCACATGCTCATCTCAGGGCGAAACACAAACAGGCAAAGATGGTTATATGTCCATTCCTTTATTTGTTCATTAATTAATCCATTCATTCAACAAACATCTCAACATTGCAGTGGTATAAATTGAACAGGATAGGTGCAGTTCCTTGTGTTAGAAGCTCATAGTCTACTAGAAAAGAATATAAAACAAATAACTGCCATATAATGTGATAAGTGTACATAAAGGAAATGCAGAAAGAAAGGAAAAAATAAAGGAGAGAAAGAAGGAAAGAAGGGAGGGAGGAAGGAAAAAAATGATAAGGGCACATAATGTGGTCTGCAGAGAGATCAGGGAAAATTTCCAGAGTCTGAAGGATGAGTAAGAGCTAGGTGTTGTGAGAGAACAATATAATGTACAAAGGCATTGGGATTATAGATATCAGAGTGAAATTTTTTTTTTTTTTTTTTTTTTTTTTTTTTTTTTGAGACGGAGTCTTGCTCTGTCGCCCAGGCCGGACTGCGGACTGCAGTGGCACAATCTCGGCTCACTGCAAGCTCCGCTTCCCGGGTTCACGCCATTCTCCTGCCTCAGCCTCCCCAGTAGCTGGGACTACAGGCGCCCGCCACCGCGCCCGGCTAATTTTTTGTATTTTTAGTAGAGACGGGGTTTCACCTTGTTAGCCAGGATGGTCTCGATCTCCTGACCTCATGATCCACCCGCCTCGGCCTCCCAAAGTGCTGGGATTACAGGCGTGAGCCACCGCGCCCGGCCCAGAGTGAAATTTTTTTTAAAGAATGTTAACTGTTTCCTACACAGGAGCCTGCCAACCCCAAAATCTCCCCCTTTCTGAAATTTTCTTCATCAGCAAACTTTCCTGTAGACCAAGGTTTCCCATCAAGTAAAGCAGGTAACTTTCTCAGATGCCAGGACATGGGAGTAGAGTTTCCAGTGAAGGTTTTTCAATTTCTACTACTGTAGGAAGAACTACTAACTTTCCCAGACACCCTACATTTGTTAGCTAAGGAAAAATTTAAAAAATGTCATTTCTTTCTCATTTCTGCCCGCTTAAAGTGAAATAGGAAAGGTTCCCTTGTCCCCCTCCCAGGACGTGACGGAGGTGTGGCTCGCTTCTTCAGTGTCCTGCTGCTCAAACCTCTAGGGGAGCATACAGACTTGGGCACCCCACAGCAGAGTTTACAGTTCCTGAAGCCCCAGTGGGCGTGTGTTACAAGGTGCTCTCTTAGTTTGCCATCTATAGGCGGCTTGTGTTAACCAGCTCAATCAGACCCTCCACCTTGTCACAAGAACAGACGGCTTTCTGTATCCCAGGTTCCTGCCTTGGAAGAATCGTGGGCTTGGAGAATAAGTGCAAAGTTTTATTGAGTGGAAGCAGCTGTCCACCGATGGGGGAGCCAGAAGGGAGATGGTTTATCCCTGGAGTTGGGCCGCTGGGCAGCGGGCGCTCTCCTCCGACTGCCCTGGCCAAACTCCGCCTAAACCTGCTGGTCAATAGCCTGCTTGAGTGCCTGTGTCTGTCAAAATGCTCTTCCGCCGGCGTGTTCCCCTCCGTGTCCTCTCACCGTCCAGCCACTTGTGTCTTCCTCCGCCTATCTGCTCTGCTCCACGTCCAGCCACTTCTGTCTCTGCCTTGCTAGGGTCTCGGGTTTTTATAGGCCCAGGATGGGGGCATGGCAGGCCAGGGTGGTGTTGGGAAACGCAACATTTAGGAGTGAAGGCACAAGTGCCTGTCCTCACCTAGGTCCGTGGGGGTGGAGCCCTAGCCAGGGACCATGTCCTCCGCTATCCAACACTTCCCTTCCCGCTTCCATATCATTTAAAGGAACCACGCTCTTCCCTTCCCAGCACTCACGTATCAAAAGGAAGGATGAGTTTAAAGAACAGAAGATGCTTCTATTCCCTTTCATGGGAAACATTTCAGCGTTTAAGTTCTTACCCCATCCCCTACCTGTTTATTGCCTGATGTCAAGCTTCTCTTGACATACGGAGTTTTCAAAGGAATAAAAAGGAGACTCCCAAGTTTTCAAAGGAATAAAAAGGAGACAGTGAACATATTTTGGGAAACAATAGGCTAAAACAACTGCTTTGCAAACTTTTTCTTAGAGACCTAAGGCCCCAAGAATGAATAATTTCCAGGCCCTGAAAAAACTGGTCATTTTTTTTCTTGTTTTTTTTTTTTCTTTGTTTACTAAATTCCACTGGAGTTTCCTTAGCTCTCTACACTAAAATGTAAAGAAATGTTCATGTCTGGTATAGTGAAAGCAGGACTCATTCTAGGCCTCGGAGCCAAACAGAGAGGGCTAAATTGGCTGCAAATGTCCAGTAGATTTTTACAGGACCAAGCACTCTAGAAATAAGTCCTATCTCATTTTATCCTCTTGGAGAAGTTTTGCCTTTTCCCATTCAAATAACCATCAGCTGAGCAGCCAGGATAAGGTAAGGTTTATAACCCAGCCTTCCACTTGGGTTCAGGAACACTTCCTCTGAGAAGCACAATGCTTACTGCAGTATGGTACCACCTCATCCACAGGGGAGGGAGGGAGTAGAGATGAGTGGTTCTAACACTGAAACCAGCCCAATTGTCTCATAGAACTGATCTTTATGGTTTCTTTTGACTAAGCATAGAATTGAAGCTTCCAGGCTTAAAATTTGAAAAAGTTTGTCTGATCTGGGTTCCTTTCTCAGGAAACCAACCATAAGACCTCCCAGAAAGTATCAAGGAACTGAAACTTACCAGATCAACACATCTGGACAATGAGATGCCACACCCCTCACCCGTCATGATCGCCTGACTTCCTATTTCCTGTTGCCCAACTACTCCTTTTCCCTCCCTAATTCCTGTTTTCCCACATATGGTTACATTTCTTCCTTGCCACATAAACCCCTAATTTTAGTTGAGGAGACGGATTTGAGACTGGTCTCCTCTCCCCTCAAGCGAAGCACCCAATTAAAGCCTTCTTCCCTGGCAATATTTCAGTAATTGGCTTTCTGTGTGGTGAGCAGCATGACCTAGACTGAACCCCTGGTGTTTTGGTAACAGATTTTGGTTCCCTTATTGGGAATGCATGGGCCAGGAGTTTCAGAAGCCCTCCTAGGCAGCTGCCTAACCCCTTTTTTGGCCAGAGATGGGTTTCAGTCTCTCTCTCTCTGTCTCTCTGGTACTATCACTGCTGGCTCCAACTTCATTCCTGATCACCTAGGAAGAACAGCCTTTGAAATTTGTCATCTGCATCTGGACAGATGATGTCTTTCGTGGGTAACAGACAGCAGGATCTGCTCCTCTCAATTAGGGGAATTCTGAAGGAGTTTCCTTTTGCAGGTTAAACAAGCCCAACCAATTGAGAGAGAAAAGCACCTGGACTGTTTCAGTCTGGACATGCTTGGGGCTTGTTGCTGCAGCAGTTGGATGGTGTTTTGATGATTGTCTACATATGTGTGTTAATAAAGTCATGGGAAATCAGAATTTTATAAACTGATCTTTTGTAATACTATTTTGCCCCAATATTCTTTGCAATCTAGAGAAGTGTGGCCTTTCCATGGGCCTCATTTTGATGTTTAAAGAAAAAGTGGGATGGAATTTCATGTATCCAGACTTTTATGCTGCTGTTCTAAGCTGGGTCGGGCCTGGTTAATACATGATGTTTTATGGTGCTGTTTGACCTCAGTGTTCTTTGGAGTATGAGGAGGTTTGGCCTTTAAAAATCAAACTGCCATGGAAACGACCTTACCCAAAATTTTGGGTCTCAGCCTTCATTAGATTACCTATCAGGGTAAACAAAGTGTAGCCACGTGAACGTGTTTGTAAACTGGTGAGTTTGTATTACTATCTCATGGCTACAGAGTTCCAAAGTAAAAGCTATTGGAGCTTTATGTTTGTGTATCATGTTTACATGTTTATGTATTGTGTAACATTTATTATGTTATATGTTGTGTCTACCAAATTGGCTTATAAATAAAAGAAAGCTCATAATTAAATCTATCCAAGCATGTTTCAAGTTCATGTGACTTATGTAAATCTTTAATAAGCAATCTAGCTTTAAAATTATTGGTAAGATAAAAGTAGATGTGACTTTGGAATTGTCAGCATACATTTTTGTCTGGGTTTTGTATTTGTCTCTGTAGATATTTTGAGGTGTCAGGGTTTGGCACAGAAGATTATAAAGCTATAAACTCAGCCAAAACAAAATGATCTTTGTGCAATTTTTGCCAAATAAGACTAATTTAATGTTGTTGGTTTAATGAATATAGCTGAGTCTTCTGAGTATTGGTGAAAATACCCATGTAGTTAACTTTAAGGACCTTACTGCTATTCACAGGTTACAAAATTGTTAACAAGGAAATGACAACTAGCTTTGTCTAATATCTCAGTTCTCATAAGTAATCTAGGTAAAACTGTTAAAAATGAAAAAACTGAATGAAATAGAAATGGCATGATGTAATTTAAAATCTTAAAATCATTTTTGATGTTCATTAGATGTCTAGGTAATTCCCAATTAAGAAAAGGTTATGATACAGGGAAACATATTTCCAAAAATTGTGGAATGGTCCTTATCTATAAAATGCTAATATCTTATATGACAGTTCAGGATTCTTGCTTCCTAGGTTTTCACTAAAACTTAAGGATACTAAGAATAAGAATTGTAGTTAATATGTAATATGTAATTCCGTATATAAAATTGCTGAGAAAAAGAATAATTTTGTTTAATTCAGAAGTTACTGGCTGGCTCATGCCTATAATCCCAGCACTTTGGGAGGCCAAGGCAGGAGGATAAGTTGAACCCATGGGTTTGAGACCAGCCTGGGCACCATAGTAAGACCTCATCTCTACAATTTTTTTTTTCCTAATTAGCCAGGTGTGGTGGCACATGCCTGTAGTCCCAGCTACTCGGGAGGCTAAGTTGGGAGGATTGCTTGAGTCCAGGAGGTCAAGGCTGCAGTGAGCTGTGATCACACCACTGCACTTCAGACTGCACAACAGAGCAAAGGCCCTGTCTCCAAAAAAAAAAAAAAAAAAAAAAAGTTATCTAAAGGTTAGTTCAAATTATGGGCTTGAAAAGGTTATTTATGAAATAAGGTAGAATAGAACTGGTAAGTAGGGGAGAGAGATGTGAAGAAAGTTATGGATATGAAGATGTATTTTCGGTTTTTTAAAAAAGGTTATAAAGTAAAAAAGAATTTTGTATGAGAAAGAATCTTGGAACGGTAAATTTTTGTCCTAAAATAAAATAACTGGCTATTTAAAAATAAAGAGAATTTAAGACAAAACAGAAAGTCCATGCATGGTCCTTCTGTTGTTCTGTGTAAGTCATATGTAGTTTTTTTTTTTTCTGTTTCTCTGTGTGTCTACCTTCATGCACATACAGAGAAGACGGAAGTTTAGACAGTAAAATATTCTTTAAAACCTGAGAGAAAATTTGAGATATTGGGCTAATTAACATTGCTCATAGTTAAAGCTCTTAGTCTTGATAAAGTAAAACAAGAAATATTTTAAAGAAATACATGGCAGTTGGGCAATTTTTTTTTTCTTTGAGACGGAGTCTCACTCTGCCATCCAGGCTGCAGTGCAGTGGCACTGTCTCAGCTCACTGCAACTTCTGCCTCCTGGGTTCAAGCGATTCTCCTGCCTTGGCCTCCTGAGTAGCTGGGATTCCAGGTGTACACCACCACACCCAGCTAATTTTTGTATTTTTAGTAGAGATGGGGTTTCACTATGTTGGCCAGGCTGGTCTCCAACTTCTGACCTCAGGTGATCTGCCCACCTCGGCCTCACAAAGTGCTGGGATTACAGGTGTGAGCCACCATACCCGGCCAGCAATTCTTTTTTAATATTGTTGAGCACGAAGCCAGATTTAGCATGGAGCCAAATTTCACTAAATGCTTGCACTGATTTGTTTCACACTATATTTTCTATTCTGCATAGATAGTACTAGCACTAAAGTACTTAACTGGTCACATCCCTGAAGTGAATTTCTTAATTGCACAAAATGTATAGGGGCGTTGGTGGACTTAAGAACATTCATTTGCATATCAGGAGCAAAATATCCGTCACGTGCTTTTGTATTTTAGGCTGTGGGTAACACTGTAGCCTCCAAGGTTATCTGAGTAAGAGAAAAATTTGGGGCTTCCTATTTATCTGTTTTTGCTTTTAATTTTCATTTATTTGCTGTTTGTTCTCCTTTGGGTTTTACTTATATATACATATTACTTATATATACATTGATGTTCTTTAGTTTCTTTTTTTTTTTTTTTTTTGAGACAGGGTCTTGCTCTGCTGCCCAGGCTGAATAGACTGGAGGGCAATGCCATGATCATAGCTCACTGCAACTTCAAACTCCTGGGCTCAAGCTATCTTCCCACTGCAGCCTCCCGAGTAGCTGGGACTATAAATGCATGCTACCACATCTGGCTAATTTTTTTTTTAATTTTTAGTAGACACAAGTTCTCATTATATTGCCCAGGCTGGTCTCAAACTCCTGGTCTCAAGCAATCCTCCCACCTTGGCTTTCCAAAGTGCTAGGATTACAGGGGTGAGCCACTATACCCAGCCATGAGTTTTCAGTTCCTAATGAAAAGCTTGCATTTGGTTCTATGGATAGCCATTTGGTTTCCCATGTTTTTCCAACATTCATCATTTGCTCTATCTATCTAAAATTCCTAAGCTACCTTTGTCAAGCCTCAAAAAAAAAAATGATAGAGCACACCAGCCTTTTAAACTTGGATTGGTTTTGCTCTCCTCTAATGATCTATAGGATCATTAGCATTGGTTATGCTTTCCTTTAATGATCTATAAGAGTTTATAAAGCTCTTGGACAAAATTAAAAGACTTACTTTTATAAGTTCTGAACAGAAATAGTACAATATTTTGTTATTTGGAAAAGTAGATGGGAGTGGATATGTTTAAATGGTGTTTATTTCCAAGGTAATTCAATTTAGTCAATAATTTGAGTTGGTTTCAGATCTTTTCCTTTAGAAAATGAGGAAAAACTTGATATGGGTACAAAGTTTTAATGTTCAGGAAAGATTGACCTTGTCCTTTAGAAAATTATATTGACTGGAGTTTCTCTCAAATTACTTTAGCTGTGTTTACCATTATTCATATTAAGTGACAGTCACTTGAATTAAGTAGTAGTAAAAAAAAAAAGTGAGACATTCTAGTGATTTTTGATCCCAAACCTTATCATTGTTGGGCCTTCATGTGTGTACTTGAAAACAAAGTATGTACAAGTGTTGTACTGGTTTGAAGATTCTAGTGGTAACCATGTTAGCCAGGCTGGTCTCGAACTCCTGACCTCATGATCCGCCCGCCTCGGCCTACCAAAGTGCTGGGATTACAGGTGTGAGCCACCACACCTGGCCAAGATGGTGTTTAACTTTCTTTTTTTTTTTTAATTTTATTATTATTATACTTTAAGTTTTAGGGTACATATGCACAACGTGCAGGTTTGTTACATATGTATACATGTGCCATGTTGGTGTGCTGCACCCATTAACTCATCATTTAGCATTATTTCTTTGGGTTATATTTATATAGACATGTTCTAGGATTGTATGAGATTCCTGAAATTCTGATATGTCTCAATATGTTATTAGTAAAAATTATGATTTTTATGTTAAATTGTTGGATGCCACAGAAATAATCAAACTTTCTTGTCAATTGTGTCTTTGACTATAGCTATCCTAAGATTTTTATCATCCACAATTGTTGTTTTGCTTTGATTCTTCTCAAAAAGCAGCTTATAATCAGCTACAACCCAGGGCTTCCTTGGGAGAGTTCATGAAAAGGACTCCTGATTGCAGGTTTCTGATAACTTTGGAGATTGTGCCATTGGACCAGAGAGAAAACTTCCAGAACACTAATTGAAAGGCTGATGTGTTCATAAAGACTGCTAACCTAATATAAAGCAGAACAAGAGCTGATTGCATGGATTGAACTACAGGAGGATTGAAATAATTTTCATGGCTCTTTTTTGTTTGAAACATTACTGATTCTTTTTGTTTTGTTTCTCAGAGTCTTCAGAATTTTTTTCTTTTGAGCTGTTTATAGCCTTTAACAATTGAGTATACAGAAATGAGGCATATTTCTCCCTCTCTGCCAGATTTATCCAGAATTCAGAAACTTTGTGAATGTTCTTAATTCATTGCAATGTGGTTGTTTGCAAGATCAGTAAGAATCTGTTTTCTCTTATATTTGGAAACAATTGGAGGCACTGGTTATTTTCTAGGACTTGGACTAAAATGGCATGTTTTGGGATATGAGCACACAGCTTTGAGGAATTCACATTGATTTTATAGAGCCAATGAGAACCCCTTAGAAAGATGCCTCATACCTTGTCTATGCAGTTCCTTTGCAGGGTTCCTGGCCTGTGGTAAGTAGAGAGTCACCTTCCTGGCAGGCCCAGGAACCACAAGTTCTTTTGGGGCCTTGGAAAGAGAGGAGTTCACCCAATTCATGTAAATATCTGTAGACACAGATGGATCCTTGGCTAGGCTTGAGAGGCCTTTGGAGGTTGAATCTGATTCCTTGTGAGAGGTTCCAGCAAAGCCAATGTAGAAGAGCCTATATGGACAATGATTCTTGCTGCACTTTATATGGGTAATCAGGCCAAGTATAGTGGGACTGATGCTTATTTTTCAGGTAGGTTAGTCCTGCTATGATTTGTCTTTGGTGGAAGTAGTGGATTGGAGACATAAAGATTGTATCACAGAAGAAAACTATGGTATTAAATTAACGTTTGATTCCTGGGTGGCCACGTGGTTACCCATGGTATGGAGCTGCTCACAATGCCCCCTTTTTAGCATGAAGCAGCCCGAAAGATCGACAACCATATTCTCCATGATTGAGGAACTGATAAATAGAAAGATCAGGACTGGAACCAGCCCAATTGTCCCATAGAAGTGATGTTTATGGTTTCTTTTGAATAAATATAGAAATTGACCCTCTCAGTATTAAAACTTGAAAAACTTATATTTGTATTATCTGAGTTCCTTTCTCAGGAAACCATTAGGGCTCCCAGATAGTATCAAGGAACTGAAACTTACCAGATCACCACATCTGGACAATGGGATGCCAGACCCCTCACCCATAATAACTGCCCACTGACCATCTACTTCCTATTGATCAGTTCCTCTTCCTTACTCCTCCCTGATTCCTGTTTTCCCATACATGGTTACATTTCTTCCCTGCCACATGAGCCCCTAATTTTAGGCAGTTGAGGAGACAGATTTGAGACTGGTCTCTCATCTCCTTGGCTGAAGCACTCAAACCCTTCTTCCCTGGCAATGCTCATTATCTCAGTGATTGGCTTTCTGTGTGGTGAGCAGGAGAACCCTGGACTGAAGTCCTGGTGTTGTGGTAATAATACACCCATATCTGGTCTCCCCTGCAAATAATTTTTGTATCTCAACACAATGCTATTTAGTTCAGGCCAATTGTCTTCCTTTGTGAAAGGTCACCCTTTACAAATATTAGCAGGGTAGTCTCATTGGAGCCAAACAACTGTGTCACCCAGTACAAATTCTGCAGGCACTTAAAAACAAAGGATCCTGGAGTGTGGGGCTTTCCAGAATGTGAGGGAAATCTTGAATTCAGGCAGCAGGAGTCAAAAGCAACTATTGTACAATTGGTGGGCCCATGTGGTGTAACATTTTGTACTCTTTCCCCACTGATTCACTCAATAACAATAAAAGTCTACATCTATTGCTTATTATGTACCAAGCTATATTCTAAGCAATTTACATATTATAACTCAATTAATTCTCATAACAATCCTATTAGTGTACCCACTTTATAGATAAAGAAACGGAAATACAGATTAAGGAATTTGCACATCATGGCCAGTCTGTCTCTGGAGACCAACCTCTTAGTCCCTCTACACATTTTCTCTATTTAATAAGTACTTGTTAGGTTCTCACTATGTGCCAGATACTGTGAATAATATTGGGCACATAAAGATGGATTATGACAGAGGCCCTGCCCTTGAGGAGCTTACATTTTAGTTTGAGAGACAACAATATGTAAATATAAAAGTATAGGCAGCTTGTTTTCTTGTGCTTCACTTTATAGCACTTAGTAGATACTGTGTTTTTTTATATATATATATTTTAAGTTCTGGGGTACATGTGCAGAACGTGCAGGTTTGTTATATAGGTATACATGTGCCATAGTGGTTTACTGCACCCATCAACCCGTCATCTACATTAGGTATTTCTCCTAATGCTATTTCTCCCCTAGTCCCCATGTCCTGACAGGTCCCAGTGTGTGATGTTCCCCTCCCTGTGTCCCTGTGTTCTCATTGTTCAGCTCCCACTTATGAGTGAGAATATGTGGTGTCTGGTTTTCTGTTCTTGTGTTAGTTTGCTTAGAATGATGGCTTCCAGCTTCATCCATGTCCCTGCAAAGGACATGAACTCATCTTTTTTATGGCTGCATAGTATTCCATGGTATATGTGTGACACATTTTCTTTATCCAGTCTATCATTGATGGGCATTTGGATTGGTTTCAGGTCTTTGCTATTGTGAACAGTGCCATGATAAACATACATGTGCATGTATCTTTATAGTAGAATGATTTATGATCCTTTGGGTTTATACCCAGTAATGGGATTTCTGGGTCAAATGGCATTTCTGGTTCTAGATCCTTGAGGAATTGCCATACTGTCTTCCACAATGGTTGAACTAATTTACACTCCCACCAACAGTGTAAAAGCATTCCTATTTCTCCACACCCTCTCCAGCATCTGTTGTTTCTTGACTTTTTAATGATGGTCATTCTAACTGGTGTGAGAAGGCATCTCATTGTGGTTTTGATTTGTATTTCTCTAATGACCAGTGATGATGAGCTTCTTTTCATATGTTTGTTGGCTGCATAATAAATTGAAGGTTTGTGGCAACCCCGCATCAAGCAGGTCTTGCCATTTTTTCAACAGTATGTGATCACTTCATGTCTCTGGACATTTTGGTAATTTTCTCGCAATATTTCAAACTTTTAAATTACTATTATGTATTCAAAGCATGATGTAGGCTGGAAAAAAATTGATCAAAGCTGTGTGTGTTCTCACTGCTCCACTGACTGGCTGTTCCCTTGTCTCTCTCCCTCTCCTCATGCCTTTCTATTCCCTGAGACATGACAATATTGAAATCAGGCCAATTAATAACCCTACAATGGCCTCTAAGTGTTCAAATGAAAGGAAGAGTTACACATCTCTTGCTTTAAATCAAAACCTAGAAATGATTACACTTAGTGAGGAAGGCATGTCAAAAGCTGAGACAGGCCAAAAGCTAAGCCTCTTGTGCCAAATGGTTAGCCAAGCTGTTAATGCAAAGGAAAAGTTCTTGAAGGAAATTTAAAATGCTACTCCAGTGAGTAGATGAATGATAAAGCAAAACAGCCTTAATGCTGATATGCAGAAAGTTTTAGTGGTCTGGCAGAAGATCAAACTAGCCACAAAATTCCCTTTAACAAGGCCTAATCCAGAG
Source organism: Homo sapiens (assembly GCF_000001405.40). Classification (NCBI taxonomy): domain Eukaryota; kingdom Metazoa; phylum Chordata; class Mammalia; order Primates; family Hominidae; genus Homo; species Homo sapiens. Next base: position 183,762,004 of record NC_000001.11, on the reverse strand, counting down.
CAAAGCCCTAACTTTCTTCAGTTCTATGAAGGCTGTGAGAGGTGAAGAAGCTACAGAAGAAAAGTTTGAAGCTTGCAGCGGTTGGTTCATGATGTTTAAGAGAAGAAGACATCTCCATAACTTAAAAGTGCAAGGTGAAGCAGTAAATGCTGATACAGAAGCTACAGCAAGAGAAAGTTATCCAGAAGATCTAGTTAAGATCATTGATGAAGGTGTCTACACTAAACAACAGATTTTCAATGTAGACAAAATAGTCTTATATTGGAAGAAGATGCCGTTTTGGACTATCATAGCTAGAGAGGAAAAGTCAATGCCTGACTTCAAAGCTTCAAAGAAGAGGTTGATTCTCTTGCTAGGGGCTAATGCAGCTGCTTACTTTAAGTTAAAGCAAATACTCACCATTCTGAAAATCCTAGAGCCCTTAGGAATTATGCTACATCTATTCTGGCTGTGCTCTATAAATGGAGCAATAAAGCCTAGATGATAGCACATCTATTTACAGCATATACAGCTTACTGAATATTTTAAGCCCACTATTGAGACTACTGCTTAGAAAAAAAGATATTCCTTTCAAAATATTACTGCTCATTGACAATGTGGCTGGTCACCCAAGAGCCAGAGATGTGCAAGGAGATTGTTGTTTTCATGCCTGCTAACACAATATCCATTTCACAGCATTTCATAACACAATATCATTTCATAGGTCAGAGAGTAATTTTGTCTTTCAAGTTTGATTAGTTAAGAAATATATTTCATAAGGCTATAGCTGCCATAGATAATGATTCCTCTGATGGATCTAGGAAAGTAAATTGAAAATCTTTTGGAAAGGATTCACCATTCTAGATGTCATTAAGAACATTCATAATTCATGAGAGAAGGTCAAAATATCAACATTAACAGAAGTTTAAAAGAGGTTGATTTCAACCCTCATGAATGACTTTGAGGGGTGCAAGACTTCAATGGATGAAGCAACTGCCAGTGCAATGGAAATAGCAAGAGAACTAGAATTAGAAGTGGAGCCCAAAGATAGGCTAAATTGCTGCAATCTCACAGTAAGCTTGAATGGACAACGAGTGACTTCTTATAGATAAGCAAAGACTGTGGTTTCTTGAGATGAGATGGAATCTACTCCTGAGGAATGGGCTGCGAATGTGGTGAAATGACAACAAAGGATTTAGATATTACATAAACTTAGTTGATAAAGTAGCAGCAGGGTTTGGGAGCACTGACTTCATTTTTTGTTTGTTTTTTAAAGATAGGGTCTTGCTCTCTTGCTCAGGCTGGAGTGCAGTGGTGCAATCATACCTCACTACAGCCTCCTGAGTGAGGATTGCTGAGGTTCATGCAAGCCTCTCACCTCAGCCTCCTGAGTAGCTGGGACTACATGCACACACCACCACACCCAGGTTTGTTTTTTTTTTTTTTTTTTTTTTTTTGCAGAGACTGGATCTTGCTATATGGCCCAGGCTAGTCTCAAATTCCTGGCCTCAAGCAATCCTCCTACCTCAGCCTCCCACAGCGCTGGGATGACTGGTGGGAGCCACCATGCTCAGCCTGACTTTGGTTTTGAAAGAAGTTCTACTGTGAGTAAAATGCTATCAAACAACATTGCATGCTACAGAGAAATCTTTCAAGAAAAGAAGAGTCAATGGATATGACAAACTTCATTAATGTCTTATTTTAAGAAACACAGCCACTGCAACCTTCAGCAGCCAACCACTCTGATCAGCCAGCAGCCATCAACATTGAGGCAAGACCCTCTGCCAGCAAAAAGATTATGACTTGCTGAAGGCTCAAATGATCATTAGCATTTTTTAGAAATACAGTATTTTTAAATTAAGATATGTACTTTTTAGATATAATGCTCTTGCACACTTAATAGCCTACAGTATAATGTAGACATCACTTTTATATGCACTGGGAAAACAAAAAAAAATTTATGTGACTTACTTTGTGCAATATTTGCTTTACTGAGGTGGTCTGGAAACAAACCAGGTATCCACGAGGTATGTGTGTACCATTAATGTGATGAGTCTTATAAGATAGATATGCAGAGATATTACAGTACCACACAGGAGGGTCACTAACCCTGACCAGAAAAATCAAGGATGTCTTCCTGGAAGAGGTGATACTTGAGCACATTCTAATACCAACAGTGAAATTTAACCATAATGAAAGCTTTAATATCCTCAGTATCCACCTTTAGTTTAGACTAAGAAACTTATTAAATGCATCATGTCATATTCAGGTGGTCTTAATCACAAGGAATCTTGAGACTGGCAACAAGGGCCAATGGAAAAGAATAAGACAGTTGACAAACTGGAGCTGGAGAGACTTCCCTGACTAGAGGTATGTGTCCCATGGTAGTAGCAGGCTGTTTGGTAAGATGTGTCCCAAGGACTGTATTGTAAATATTTTTTAATTTTCTGTATATTATGATGTTTTGATGTCTTTAAAAACTTTACAACTGGGAGAGACTGCCTTCCCTGGGCTAGCTAATTCTTAAAGATAACAAAAGTCAGAGAGCATACCTTTGATGTGCAAATTAACCAAGCAAAAGCCTTATCTCCTCTGTTTGGCCTGGATACTTCAGGAGACAGTATTTATCTGCCTTAATCATCCCAGGGCCAGGTACTAGGCAACTAGAAACTACTCCTATAGCAGAAAACCCACCAAAAGTGTTCAAACTAACCAATCCCAAACATTCTCCCTGCCGTGGCATGCCTTTTCCTCAAAAACCCCAATACAGAAGTAATCTAAGCTTCCCACTCACTCTTGTCTTCTGCCTCATGACCACAATCGTGTCTTCCCATGCAGAATATCTCCTCTCTCTAGGACCTGCAAGTGTAATAACCTTTGTTTTTTCCTGAGCCTCTCTTGTATCTCTTATGGCTGCACGTGACTAACCAAGCTCAGAAGGAACACAAAACAAGGGCATAGGAAAACTCTGATGTGATTCTGGCAAGCTTTCATATCCAAGAAAGCAACAGGAGTTCAGGGATTGGGTAAAAATAGCCAGGTTCCAAACAGACTGTTTACAATTAGACCCCAATTAATAGCTTGGGGTAAGTGGAACAGAGCTCAATTATGCAGAAGACAGAGCTACATGGAGCCTAACAGAGTTCTAAGTTCTATTTAAATAGGATGGAGTTAAGGGCACCATTTAAATAGGTACAGTCTCTCTGAGAAACTGGGTCCTACTATGGACTGAATGTTTGTGTTCCCAAACTTTGTTAGGTTGAAAACAGAACCCCCTCAGTGTGATGATATTAGGAGGCAGAGCTTTGGGGAGGCAATAAGGTCATGAGGGTAGAGTCTTCATGAATGGGATTCATGCCCTTATAAAAGGGACCCCAAAGAGCTCTCCAACTTTTTCTGCCACATGAGGACCCATTGAGAAGACACCATCTGTAACTCAGAGAAGGAACCTCACCAGAACCCAAACATGCTGGCATCCTGATGTCAGACTCCCAGCCTCCAGAGCTGTGAGAGAGAAATTTCTATTGTTGGCTGGGCACGGTGGCTCATGCCTGTAATCCTAGCACTTTGGGAGGCCAAGGCGGGTGGATCACAAGGTCAGGAGATCGAGACCATCCTGGCTAACACGGTGAAACCCCGTCTCTACTAAAATATATATAAAGTTAGCCAGGCATGGTGGCAGGCGCCCGTAGTCCCAGCTACTCTGGAGGCTGAGGCAGGAGAATGGTGTGAACCCAGGAGGCAGAGCTTGCAGTGAACCAAGATCGTGCCACTGCACTCCAGCCTGGGCGACAGAGCGAGACTCCGTCTCAAAAAAAAAAAAAAAATTCTATCGTTTATAAGCCACCCAGTCTGTGCTATTTCATTGTGGCAGTCCAACTGGCTAAGACAGATGATATATAGGAGAACTGAGATAGAAGCCTAGCCACACCAACTGAGCCAGCACTTTGAGGAATGGAAGAAGATTATGACTCAATGGGCACACTGGTATTTGTTCACATGGGCATTGCAGAGCCAAGGTCTAACAGAGCAAGATTGGTACCAGTTATTGAGCTGAAGTTGATGCCCTGGCCAGGAATGGTTATGGTCTGGACAAGAAAACTAAATGTAAAATTAGAGTGATTTAACAATTTTGGTAGTTTGCTTCATGAGGAGATTATAGAACAAAGACAAATGAGAGACAAATGAATTTCAATCTTACTCTGCCACCAAACAGCTATGTATATTTGAGCATGTGCCTTAACCTCTAATCTTCATAATCCTTATGAGTAAAATGAAAATGTACCTATGGCTGTGACAAATATATTAATAAATATGAAAGCACCAAGTGCAGTTCCTGACACAGAATAGATGCTCAATAAATGATATTTTCTTTTTCTTGTAAACCCAACAGAATATTATTCAGTCTCAATATTCCATTTCTCACTACTGATATGTCTATTTTACCCATCTCAGAGATTCATATATCAAAGCATTTTTATATATTAATAACTTCCTAGAAAGTAAATTTCTATCCCTTTGCCTCATATGAAAATTTGTGGCAGAGTGAAATAGAAATTCATTCAGAATCATAAAGAAGGACCCTAGCTCTGTCATCAAACCACAATTCAGCAAATAGCTGGCTTTTCACAGTTTAATACAATACACTCCCACTGCTTGCCTAAATTGCCATCCAGTTTTTAAAAACTTCTCTCTTCCTGTCTCTCAGATGTGTATGATTTAATCTCCAAAGCATGCATGATGAACACTTACTATTTCCTCCTCCAAGAATGTGATTTTACAATGTGAAGCCCCATTCCTGAGCTGGATAGAGAAGAGGTCATATGTCCAGTCTCCATACAGACATTCGCCAGTTTAATTTCACGTAGAGAACATCTCTGTTCGATAGCCATAGAGAACATTGCATATCGTTGTGGTATTCTTGTAAAACATTGAACATAGATAAGTCCAGTGCATAGTGGATGACTCCGTGCAAATTCAATCAGCAATACAAAAAAAAAAAAACAAACAAACCACCCAACTAAGTGTTATCCAATGGTGAGTCAAATGAATCACCTTAGTACCCAAAGATGACAACATTCTGCTTGATGTTACAATTTAGAGAAACAGGGTATTACCATTAAATAATGAAAATAATTCATCAGTCAATCATCAAATATTTATTTCAACCTGTGTCTAGTAGTACCAGTGCTTTGGGAGTCATAAGTGAAGTAGAATTAAGACTAAGGGGGTGACCTATCAATATGGGAATATAAATTTTTTAAAAAGAAGAAGACTAAGAGGCCTGGTCTGAAGGACAGACAGTCTAGTTGGAGAGGAAGAATTACTATCATGAAAAAAAGAACAACCCCAAATAATCACTACTTGAGCACTGGCTAGCATAGTGTGGACAGAGAAGAGAGACAGCAATCTGGGCTAGAGAGGTTTTGAAGTATTTTCGGCCATCCTAAACATGTCTGACAGACTAGCATTTCTAAAAACAAATCTGAACATGTCACTAGCCTGCCAAAAACCTTTCATTGACTGCACAGTGCCCACAGGATACTTCCTAAGTTTCTAAGTAAGAGACGTGAAGACTTTCATTATTTGTTTCCTCTTGGCTTCATCTCTTGCCATTCCTCTTCTGCTACAGATGCTCTAAATGGTAGGACATTCTCTCTAACACTCCCCTTTACAGTTTTCCCTGATCCAGAAATATTTGATCCAATTCCCCTTCAAAAATTCCATTTGCCAGGCTAGTTTCTACCTTTCCTTTAAGCGAACCAGGGAGGTCAAAGTTGCACTCCAGCCTGGACGACAGAGCAAGACTCCATCTCAAAGAAAAAAAAAAAAATGAACTCAGGCCAGGCGCAGTGGCTCACACCTTTATTCCCAGCACTTTGGGAGGCCGAGACGGGTGGTTCACCTGAGGGCAGGAGTTCAAGACCAGCCTGGCCAACATGGTGAAACCCCGTCTTTACTAAAAATACAAAAAACTAGCTGGGCATGGTGGCAGGCACCTGTAATCCCAGCTACTCAGGAGACTGAGGCAGGAGACTCGCTTGAACCCGGGAGGCAGAGGTTGCAGTGAGCCGAGATTGCGCCATTGCACTCCAGCCTGGGCAACAAGAGCAAAACTCTGTGTCAAAAAAAAAAAAAAAAAGAATGAACTCAACTATCAGCTCAGTGAGAAGCTTCCTTTCCTTGACATGCACACCTATGAGTGCCCATACTCATGCTGGATTACATGCTCTAAGCTCTCGAAATACCTGTGGACACTTATTACAGCACACTGTATGGCAATGACTGATTTATTTATTTAATTCTATTCCCTCATCCCATTGTCCGTTTTTTAAGATCAACTTTGTTGAGGTATCATTTACATATAATAAAATATGTCCATTTTAAATGTATAGTTGAATGAGTTTTGACAAATACGTACACCCATGTAATCACCAATCAAAAAATTGAACACATCACCACAAAACATGTCCAATTCTCCCATTGCTTCCTTGCTCTTTTTTTTTAAAAAGGTACTGAAATTATATAAAGATATTTGTCATACTTAACCCTTTAATAAAGATTTCATTATTTTCTACTACATATAGGTATTATTTATCATTTAAATTTTAAATATTTGAATTTTAAAGGCATAGAATAGTTACAGTTAATCACTACATTGAAAATGAAAATAATATTTTCATTTTAAATATACTTGACAAACTGATTTGTGACTACATAAAACTTTTAAATGATTGCAAGATGTCAGTTACGAATATTCATGTGCAAGCAGGTACTTAACTAAATATGGCCAAAAAATTAACTAAATATGGCCAAAAAATAGAAATTCAACATTATCTAGATGCCACTTTCTGACCAAGTGAAGTAATTTTCAAAAGGTAAGTTTAAAAAAATAGACTTTCAACTTTTAAGATCACATTTCTAAATAACTCACAGGAGTGTGTAGGACTCAGTTCCAGCAGTACAGTGGACTAAATACCCTAGTTCACTCTCCCACTACAAATAACTAAAACAAACAAACAAACAAACAAAAACTTGATAAAATAAAACTAAAATATCTTTTTTAATACATGACAGGCTGGCAAAAAATTAAGAACTCTTAAAAGCCAAAAGGTAAATGAAAGCAGAACCCACAGATAGGCATTGAAGTCAGCTTCCATTCAGACGTCATTGGCCAAACCAGGTAAATTTAAACTTTGTTTTCTGTGACACTTAACTGCCCACCAAAATTCAATTTGTATTTCACTTTCCATAGTATTGAGTCATCACTGGTAAGTAGCAGCTCAGCCAGAGATTACATCTCCCCATCACACATCCCTCACATCTGTATGGAACAACAGGACTAATTCTCAGTCATAGAAGGTAAACTAATACAATGCATGTCTGGTCAAAGAGAGTTAAGAATTGGGTGTGTCTTCTTCAACCTCTTTTTTTGTGAATTGCCAGGTGAATACAAAAGATTCCCAGGTCCCAGAGGATGGTGGAGCTTCAAGAAGAAAGTAGCCTTGGTCCCTAAATTATCACATGGAGAAAAGGGGCACTCCCACCAGAAACACCTAAATTGGACTATTATATGATTGAGAAATAAACTTTTATTATGTTAAGCTACTTAAATTTTATACTGTATTTGTTACAGCATTAATGTTACTCTAACCAACATAGGACTTGTTACCTTAAAGCAAGTAGGGAACAATATACAAAGCCCAAGGTTAGCTTATGGGAGAGAATCTAACAGGAAATCCCCACTGCATAAAACTGAGACCCTAAAATGTGATTCCCTCAGCATCAAGGTGAGCTAGTAATACTATATCTTCTGTGACAATACAAGGAAAGTTGACTATCTTTATATATGATGCTGAGGAGGGGTAGAGAGGGGGAGTCATTTTCTCCTTAGAATTTACTACCACAAGCACGCCCATCTGTAGATTTCTAGCCTGTAGACACATTAAGTGGTCTGAAAAACATCAAGATAAGAATTTATTTTCAAGTAGTTTCCCGTTGGTAGTGCTCCCAGAAACAAATGCAAATTCTCTCTGGAGAAAATTTCCTTCTTTCCAAGAAAAAAAAAAAATGAACCCACTGTCAAAAATCACAAAACTCACAAAGAAACAAAACACCATGTTCAAGAGCCAAAAGAAACAACAGATAGTACACTGAGACCCACAGTTTTTAGAATTACCACACTCAGAATACAAAATCACTATATTTAATATTGTTAGGCAACACTACTTCATGGATCTCTCTTGTTCCTACATGTCTTGCTATATATGCCAAAAATTCAAGGCCCTGGCTGATCTTTACCCAGATTATTTTTCAGGATTGGGCTTGTAGCAAGAAAACTTGAGAGATGAGCTAATACTTCCCCCTTAAACAAAATGCCAGCTTGTTTATTACCTACTATAAAATGGCAAGTTTCCCAAGGTCAATGTTCCCTTCCTGTGCAGGTATCTATCTAGGCCCATTTCTAGGAATTGGAACATAGAAAACCAAAACAAACATGTTGACACTCTGGCTGCTGCTCTTGCTGTGAGTAATAAAGTCTTTTGCTCTTAGCCAAGAGTCTCATGTCTTCTTTCAACATCCACAAAACTGTGGATTTTAAAAAATTAAAATCTCATAGCCTTCACAGTTCTTGACAAATATGTCTTGAAAAAATAAAAATATAAATAGGAAGCAAGACATTGAAAAAATGACTAGAAGATTTTTAAAGAACAAAACAAAACTTCTAGAAGTAAATAATACAATAAGTGAAATTTAAAAATCAATGATTGAGTTAAAGGACAGATTAAAGCTGAAGAGAGAATTACGGAATTGGAAGGCAGACCTAAGATTAATAAGAATGCAACTCAGAGAGGAAAAAGATAGTAACTCTAAAAGAGAGGTTAAGGGACATAAGCAGAGAGTGAGAGAAGCAAACATAAATCTTGCTAGAGTTACAAAAGGAGAATGAGGTAAAATTTCAAAAGAAAAAAATTGGAGATATTTCCAGACGGATGAAAGACATCAATTCATCTATTTGAGAAGCCCTCGTACCCCAAAATGTTAAATAAAAGGAAACCCACATGGAAAAACAGAAGAATGAAACTTCAGGACAGCAAAAAATGTAGAGATGATCTAAACAGTTATAGAGAAAAGATGTTACATTCAAAATAATACAAGTTAAACTTTATGCTAGCTCCCCTTCCAGTGCAATGGAAGGCAGAGGACAATGGAAAATTTCCAATGTACTCAAAGAACTATAATTCTATAGTCATCTAAACTATCACTCTGAGAAGCACACAAAATAAAGACATCTTAAGGCCAAAGAGAGGAAAGGGGAAAGAGAGAGAGAGAGAGAGAGAGAGAGAGAGAAAGAGAGAAAGAGATGTGTTACTGTTAGACCCTCAGAATAAGTACAAAGGAAAAAAAAAAGTGTTCTCGAGCTGAGATGCATAAAGAATTGATGAGCAAAGAATGAGATTCTATTTTATATCATCTAGATTTAAAAAATTAAGAAATCTGGGCTGGGCACAGTGGCTCACACCTGTAATCCCAGCACTTTGGGAGGCCGAGGTGGGCGGATCACAAGGTCAAGAGATCGAGACCATCCTGGCCAACATGGTGAGACCCCGTCTGTACTAAAAATACAAAAATTAGCTGGGCGTGGTGGCGTGCACCTGTAGTCCCAGCTACTCAGGAGGCTGAGGCAGGAGAATCGCTTGAAACCAGGAGGCGGAAGTTGCAGTGAGCCCAAATTGTGCCACTGCACTCCAGCCTGGTGACAGAGTGAGACTCCATCTCAAAAAAAAAAAATTAAGAAATCTGACAATTCCAAGAATTGACAAGGATAGGGAATAGGGGAAACTCTTATGCACTGTGGATGAGAGCATAAATTGGTACCACCATTTTGGAAAACAGTTTGGCAATAACTTGAAGAAGAGAACTTGCACATATCAACTCAAAATTCATCTAATAGCTATTAACCTGGAAAAACTCTTACATATGGGCAAAAATAAGATATGTATAGTATGTGGGGATCTGGCAAGATGGCCGAATAGGAACAGCTCCAGTCTGCAGCTCCCAACAAGACCAATGCAGAAGGTGGGTGAGTTCTGCATTTCCAACTGAGGTACCCAGTTCATCTCACTGGGACTGGTCAGGCAGTGAATACAGCCCATGGAGAGCAAGCATAAGCAGGGTGGGGCGTCAGCTCACCTGGGAAGTGCAAGGGGTCAGGGAACTCCCTCCCCTAGCCAAGGAAAGCTGTGAAGGACTGTGCCATGAGGGATGGTGCTCTCTGGCCCAGATACTAAGCTTTTCCCACAGTTTTTGCAACCCACAGGCCAGGAAATTCCCTTAGGTGCCTACACCACCAGGGCCCTGGGTTTCAAGCACAAAACTGGGCAGCCATTTGGGCAGACACTGAGCTAGCTGCAGGAGTTTTTTTTCATACCCTAGTGGTGCCTGGAACCCCAGCGAGACAGAACCATTCACTCCCCTTTAAAGCAAGCTGAAGCCAGGAAGCCAAGTGGTCTCACTCAGCAGGTCAAACCCCTACAGACCCCAGCAAGCTAAGATCCACTGGCTTGAAATTATCACTGCCAGCACAGCAGTCTGAAGTCAACCTGGGACCCTCGAGCTTGCATCCACCATTACTGAGGCTTGAATAGGCACTTTTCCCCTCGCAGTGTAAACAAAGCCATTGGGAAGTTCGGACTGGGTGGAAACCACCGCAACTCAGGAAAGCTGCTGTAGCCAGACTGCCTCTCCAGATTCCTCCTCTCTGGGCAGGGTATCTCTGAAAGAAAGGCAGCAGCCCCAGTCAGGGGTGTATAGAAAAAACTCCCATCTCCCTGGGACAGAGCACCTGGGGGAAGGGGCAGCTGTGGGTGCAGCTTCGGCAGACTTAAACATTCCTGCCTGCCAGCTCTGAAGAGAGCAGCAGATCTCCCAGCACAATGCTCAAGCTCCACTAAGGGACAGCCTGCCTCCTCAAGTGGGTCCCTGTCCCCCATGCCTCCTAACTGGGAGACACCTCCCAGCAGGGGATGACAGACACCTCATACAGGAGAGCTCTGGCTGGCACCTGGCAGGTGCCCCTCTGGGACGAAGCTTCCAGAGCAAGGAGCAGGCAGCAACTTTTGCTATTTTGCAGCCTCCACTGGTGATACCCAGACAAACAGAGTCTAGAGTGAACCTCCAGCAAACTCCAGAAGACCTGCAGAAGAGGGACCTGACTGTTAGAAGGAAAATTAACAAAGAGAAAGAAATAACATCAACATCAACAAATAGGATGCCCACGCAAAAACCCCATCCAAAGGTCATCAGCATCAAAGATCAAAGGTAGATAAATCCAAGAAGATAAGGAGAAGCCAGCCCAAAAATGCTGAAATTCCAAAAACCAGAATGCCTCTTCTCCTCCAAAAGATCACAACTCCTCACCAGCAAGGGAACAAAACTGGATGGAGAATGAGTTTAATGAATTGACAGAAGTAGACTTCAGAAGGTGGGTAATAACAAATTCCTCCAGCTAAAGGGGCATGTTCTAACCCAATGCAAGGAAGCTAAGAACCTTCAAAAAGGTTACAGGAACTGCTAACTAGAATAACCAATTTAGAGAAGAACATAAATGACCTGATAGAGCTGAAAAACACAGCACAAGAATTTCATGAAGCATACACAAGTATCAATAGCTGAATCAATAAAGCAGAAGAAAGGATATTAGAGATTGAAGATCAACTTAATGAAATAAAGAGTGAAGACAAGATTAGAGAAAAAAGAATGAAAAGGAATGAACAAAGCCTCCAAAGAATATGGAACTATGTGAAAAGACCAAACCTACGTTTGATTGGTGTACCTGAAAGCGATGGGGAGAATGGAACCAAGTTGGAAAACACACTTCAGGATATTATCCAGGAGAATTTCCCCAACCTAGCAAGACAGGCCAACATTCAAATTCAGGAAATGCAGAGAGCACCACTAAGATGCTCCTCAAGAGGAGCAACCCCAAGACACATAATCATCAGATTCACCAAGGTTGAAATGAAGAAAAAAATTTAAGGGCAGCCAGAGAGAAAGGTCAGGTTACCCTCAAAGGGAAGCCCATCAGACTGACAGTGGATCTCTCTGTAGAAACACTAGAATCCAGAAGAGAGTGGGGACCAATATTCAACATTTTTAAGGAAAAGAATTTTCAACCCAGAATTTCATATCCAGCCAAACTAAGCTCATCAGTGAAAGAGAAATACAGTCCTTTACAGACAAGCAAATGCTGAGGGATTTTGTCACCACCAGGCCTCCCTTACAAGAGCTCCTGAAGGAAGCAGTAAATATGGAAAGGAAAAACCTGTACCAGCCACTGCAAAAACATACCAAAATATAAAGACCAACGACACTATGGAGAAACCGCATCAACTAACGTGCAAAATTACCAGCTAGCATCATGACGACAGGATCAAATTGACACATAACAATATTAACCTTAAATGTAAATGGACTAAATGCCCCAATTAAAAGACACAGACTGGAAAATTGGATAAAGAGTCAGGACCTATAGGTGTGCTGTATTCAGGAGACCCATCTCACATGTAAAGACACACATAGGGGTTGCAATCCTAGTCTCTAATAAAACAGACTTTAAACCAACAAAGAACAAAAAACACAAAGAAGGGCATTACATAATGGTAAAGGGATCGATGCAACAAGAAGAGATGGCTATCCTAAATATATATGCAACCAATGTAGGAGCACCCAGATTCATAAAGCAAGTTCTTAGAGACCTACAATGAGACTTAGACTCCCACAAAATAACAGTGGGAGATTTAACAACCCACTGTCAGTATTAGACAGATCAATGAGACAGAAAATTAACAAGGATATTCAGGACTTGAACTCAGCTCTGGACCAAGCGGACCTAATAGACATCTGCAGAACTCTCCACCCCAAATAAACAAAATATACATTCTTCTCAGTACCACATAGCACTTATTCTAAAATTGACGACATAATTGGAAGTAAAACATTCCTCAGCAAATGTAAAAGAATTGAAATCATAACAAATGGTCTCTTAGACCACAGTGCAATCAAATTAGAACTCAAGATTAAGAAACTCACTAAAAACCACACAACTACATGGAAACTGAACAACTTGCTTCTGAATGATTACTGGGTAAATAACCAAATAAAGGCAGAAATAAATAAGTCCTTTGAAACCAGTGAGAACAAAGATACAATGTATCAGAATCTCTGGGACACATTTAAAGCAGTGTTTAGAGGGAAATTTATAGCACTAAATGCCCACGGGAGAAAGCAGGAAAGATCTAAAATCAACATACTAACATTACAAATAAAAGGTGGCTCACGCCTGTAATCCCAGCACTTTGGCAGGCCGAGGCAGGCAGATCACGAGGTCAGGAGATCGAGACCATCCTGGCTAACACAGTGAGACCCCCAACTCTACTAAAAATATAAAAAATTAGCTGGACGTGGTGGCGGGCACCTGTAGTCCCAGCTACTCCAGAGGCTGAGGCAGGAGAATGGTGTGAACCCAGGAGGCAGAGCTTGCAGTGAGCCGAGATCGTGCCACTGCACTCCAGCTGGGGCAACAGAGCGAGACTCCGTCTCAAAAAAAAAAAAAAAAAAAAAAAAAAAAAGAACTAGAGAAGCAAACAAATTCAAAAGCTCGTAGAAGACTAGTAGAAGACAAGAAATAACTAAGATCAGAGCAGAACTCAAGGAGTTAGAGACACAAAAACTCAATGAATCCAGGAGCTGGTTTTTTGAAAAGATTAGCAAAATAGATAGACCACTAGCCAGACTAATAAAGACGAAAAGAGAAAAGGATCAAATAGACACAATAAAAAATGATAAAGGGGATATCACCACTGATCCCACAGAAATACAAACTACCATCAGAGAATATTATAAAAACCTCTACACAAATAAACTAGAAAATCTAGAAGAAATTCCTGGACACATACACCCTCTCAAGACTAAATCAGAAGAAGTCAACTCCTTGAATAGACCAATAACAAGTTCTGAAATTGAGGCAGTAATTAATAACCTACCAATCAAAAAAAGCCCAGATCCAGATGGATTCACAACCTAATTCCACCAGAGGTACAAAGAGGAGCTGGCACCATTCCTTCTGAAACTATTCCAAATCATAGAAAAAGAGGGACTCCTCCCTAACTCATTTTATGAGGCCAGCCTTACCCTGATACCAACACCTGGCAGAGACACAACAAAAAAAGAAAACTTCAGGCCAATATCCCTGATGAACATCGATGTGAAAATCCTCAATAAAATACTGGCAAACCGAATCCAGCAACACATCAAAAAGCTTATCCATCACAATCAAGTTGGCTTCATCCCTGGAATGCAAGACTGGTTCAACATATGCAAATCAATAAATGTAGAGCTTCTGCACAGCAAAAGAATCTATCATCAGAGTGAACAGGCAACCTACAAAGTGGGAGGAAAGTTTTGCAATCTCTCCGTCTGACAAAGGTCTAATATCCAGAATCTACAAGGAACCTAAATAAATTTACAAGGAAAAACAAACAACCCCATCAAAAATTGAGCAAAGGACATAAACAGATACTTCTCAAAAGAAGACATTTATGCGGCCAAAAAACATGAAAAAACGCTCATCATCAGGGGTCATTGTATACAATGAGATACCATCTCACACCAGTTAGAATGGCCATCAATAAAAAGTCAGGAAACAACAGATTCTGGAGAGGATGTGGAGAAACAGGAATGCTTTTACACTGTTGGTGGAAGTGTAAATTAGTTCAACCATTGTGGAAGACAGCGTGGTGATTCCTCAAGGATCTAGAACCAGAAATACCATTTGACCCAGCAATCCCATTACTTGGTATATACCCAAAGGATCATAAATCATTATACTATAAAGACACATGCACATGTATGTTTATTGCAGCACTATTCACAATAGCAAAGACTTGGAACCAACCCAAATGCCCATCAATGGTAGACTGGAAAAAGAAAATGTGGCACATATACACCATGGAATACAATGCAGCCATAAAAAAAAGATGAGTTCATGTCCTTTGCAGGGACATGGATGAAGCTGGAAACCATCATTCTCAGCAAACTAACACAGGAACAGAAAACCAAACACTGCATGTTCTCACTCATAAGTGGGAGTTGAACAATGAGAACTTGAGAACACATGGACACAGGGAGGGGAACATCACACACCTAGGCCTGTTGGGGGATGGGGGGCAAGGGGAGAGATAACATTAGGAGAACTACCTAATGTAGGTGACAGGTTGATGGGTGCAGCTAACCACCATGGCATATGTATACCTGTATAACAAACCTGCATGTTCTGTACATGTATCCCAGAACTTAAAGTATATTAAAAAAATATATAAGAAAACTAAAAAAAAAAAAAAAATACATGTATACTATGTTCATATCAGCATTGTTCATCATGGCAAAAAACTATAAATAACTTAAATGTTCATCCACATAACGATGAATAATTAATCATGATATAACCACACAATGGCATATTGTACAATAGTGAAAATTAATGAAGTACTACTATATATATTTTTGTGGCTGAATCTTAAAAATTTTATAAACATAATGTTGAGTAAAAGAAGTGAGTCACCAAAGACACCATACATATAAATATATATGTGTTTATATATACATACATATGTAGGTGTATATATGTGTGTGCATGTGTGTGTGTGTATAACTCAACAGTATTGTTTGAGGATACACATATGCAGTAAAGACTTTTTAAAAAGCAAAAGGATGATTAAACACAACTTTCAGGAAGATGGGTACCTTTGCAGGGAAAGAAATCAAAGAGATAGTAGGTGAAACAGTTCACATATAGACTCAACAAACTATTTCTTAAGTTGGTTGTGGACTCACAAGTATTTGTGATTCCACAATATTATAATCCATAACTTGCATGTGTATTATTTTGTAGGTATCAAATACTATAATGTTAAAAAATAAGCACTTAGCAAAAAAAAAAAAATGAATTGAAGGAACTTCTTTAGCCTTAGTTATCAAAATCCTACAGCAAAAGAATGTGGGATCAAATATTGGTGAGACATTAAGGATGAAATATTAAAGCATAACCTTTAAAGTCAAAAAGAAGACAAGATAGCCATTGAATATAAAAATGTTGATACTCTCCAAATCAGTCAACAAATTTACTGAAATCCAAATCAAATTCCCAACAAGTTTCTGCTTAATTTTTCTTCATATCTTCAGAACTGAACAAGCTCATCCTAAATCCATATGGAAAATGCAGTTTCCAAAAACAACCAAGATAATCTTGAAGATCAATAGCTCAGCAGAGAAACATTCCCTACTGGATACTCGGGGCTTTTTTTTAGAGCTAGAATAGTTAAATGAGTATCATATCCACAGACAGGATATCTATAGAAACATGATACATGAAAAATAGCATTATAAACTGAAGAAGAAACAATAACATTCAAAAGTGACACTAGATAATTAATTATCCATATGGAAAAAACACATATCCCTATTTCAGATTGTGAAATAAATACTAAGCAAATAAAAGCAAACATTTAGAACTTTTAGAACTTTTAGGAAACACAGGAGAGTATCTTTATCATCATGAGGTCAGAAATAATTTCTTAAAGCAGAAAAAACACAAACCATAAGGAGAAAAGAAGACATAAATTTTACCAAATTAAAATTTAAAACAAAAATTTAGGAGTGGGAAAATATTGTTTTAGTGCATGAAATCAATAAAAAGGATTGTTTAGTAAACAAAACATTAGTTTCCAGAAATCAACAAGGAAAGACAAATGACCCAATGAAAAGAAACAAGCAAAGGATAAGAACAGATAATTCACAGAAAACTAAATGGCCAATATCCATGTGAACAGATGCTCAATGCCACAAGAATTCAGGGAAATTTGTGTTACAACAAGGTCCCATTTCAAAACAAACAGACTGGCCAATATTTAAAGGTCTGTCAATACCAATAACAGGTGAGGATATAGAATGGTTGAACTTTCATATGCTGCTAACAGAGATACAAACTCATGGCCTCATTTCAGAGCTGATCTAGTAATATCTAGCAAAACTAAAGGTATTCATACTTTACAACTCAGCATGCCACTTCCAGGTGTCTATGCTAGAAAAAACTCTAGCATATGTTCACGAGGAAAAATGTATTATACTGCCAATTGTATTGAAAGAAAACTAAAAGTTAATCAACAAGAGAATGAAGAAATAAATTTGACTATATTAAAATAATATAAACAGCAGTTAAACATGAATAAAGTGAAACTACATATGTCAGCATAAAAATAGAAACAAAAAAACAAGCTGTAGAAGTAGATGTACAGTACAAGGCTTATATAAAATTTACAAGATGTAAATCAATACTGTATATTGAATATATAGATCCACATGCATGTAGTATAAATACTGAAATATGCATAAAAATGATAAACACCAAATTCAGATTTATGACAGGGCCAGGACTGGAGTGAGACAAGCATCAAGCCTAGGGTGCAAAATTTAAGGATACACTCACTCTCAATTTTGTGCAAGTACAGGGCATAAACCTAAGAGTGAGTGCTTCCTTAAATTTTGTGCCCTCAGCACAACACTCATCTCATCTTATCTTGGACCTGTTAGGTAAGATACACAAAGACTTCATCTACCACCTGTGGAGTTTATTTCTTTAAAAAAAAAAAAAAGTCTGTTGTGCAAGTATATCCCTATAGAGAAGGCTTGTATTTGCTTCTGCTGGATTTTACATGTTCAAAACTAGTTGTTAGGTTACTTCCTTGGATTGGAATTGTCATAATGTGTCAATATTAGGAATTTGAATTTTAAACACAACTGTAGTGAGGAGTTGGTATAATAATTTCCCATGGAAGATTCCTCTTTCTCTTCACAGAATAACCAAAAGAAAGGCATGCAACTAAACTTGGCAATGAGCTCCTCTCTCCCACAGCTTTGCATCCTGAGCAGAATATGAGAATATGGAGGGGAAGGGACCAGTTTAGAATTTGTGCCAGGATTGGCACCCTGAGCAGTTTCTACTGACTTGGTTCCTGTCTTATTTCCAAGCCTAGTCCTCCAAACTTCTCACCAATTCTGTAAGCTTCTCAACATCCTCCAGCAATTTCTCATTCTCCTTAATTTAGTCAATTTCTGTTACTTGGAACCAAAGAGCCATACCAATATACTTAGCCTCATGCTGTCAAACAAGGAATTTATATATTTCCACTTGTTATGATTCCATCCTTAGGAATCAACTTTCTCAGCATTATTTGATTTCCCATTAGGTTTGCCTACAAGGAGAATGTGTGCTAAACATTTTAAATTGAGTATTCCAGAAGATAAAACTCTTCTATTTGTCTTTATCAATTAAGGAATTGCCATTTTCTTTTTATATATTAGTTGCATAAACTTAATTCATGTGAGTTTGCCCCAGAAAGTTCTGTTGGATACATGAGAAAATAAAATTTCCAAGCATGTAAGCTAAGGACCAGACCCTAGACAACTACCCAAGATAATGAATATCACCCAGGTAAGCCTCTCAGAAAACAGCTGCTGGTCTTTCTGGTAGCCAAAATACCATTGACAAAGTGTTCTCTGTTTTCCCTATTACGTTTCTATGCTATCTTAGTTGTTGCTTTGCTACCTCTCTCTGAGATGCTCTTTCCCATGTATTAAAACCTCTAGCTTTTGGGGCTGGGCACAGTCACTCACACCTGTAATCCCAGTGCTTTGGAAGGCAGAGGCAGGAGGATTGCTTGAGGCTAGGACTTCAAGACCAGCCTGGGCAACATAGCGAGAGTCTCATCTTTACAAAAAATTTAAAAATTATCCAGGTGTGGTGTTGTGTGACCTGTAGTCCTAGTTACTTGGGAGCCTGAGACAGGAGGATCACTTGAGCCCAGGAGTTCCAGGCAGCAGTAAGCTATGACTGTGCCACTGCACTCTAGCCTGGACAGAAGAGCAAGATCCTGTCTCCAAAAAAAACAAAAACATAAAAACCTCTAGCTTTAATTTTATTTGCTGAGCTGAAAAGATGGTCACAACCCAAGCTCAGGGAAATTAGGCCTTTCCATGATCTGGTTAATAACTCCATTCTCTTTTCCAATCTTCCTTTTATACCTCTTCATGCCTATATGGAAATGGTTTTCAATATCTTGCCAATATGTATTTTACCTCAAACGCATAATAAAAATAAAAGCTTTAATTTATAATTTCCATTGAAAGAATAATAGCATCTCTCTCTCTCTCTCTCCCCGTCCCCTCTCTCTCTTTCTCTCTCTCACACACACACCCCCCACAAATATGCACACAAATATCAGCATTTTATATAAGTCAAATGAAACTTCAACAACAATAGGCTTGAGAGAGGGAAGTCACAGAAGGGCAGCCTTGAGAAAGAATGTAGCTAGCGGGATACCCACAGCTACACTGCTGATACCTGAGGCTAAAGTGCAGATTATATGCATATGAGCCTTAGATCATCATTTTTTAAGCGCTGGCTTTCAGTGCAGCCTCCTTGGCCTGAATCACTGTGTAGTCATTAATGTGCAAAGGACATGCTCCTGACTTACTTGTTCTCCAGTCATGGCTGTGCCTACAGCCCCTGAATAAAGATTTGCCAAGCTGGCCTGTGGTGCTGGCTACACGAAGAATTATGGTCTCAGGTATAAACAAATCCAACATTTCACCAACTGTGTCATTTAGAGTCATCTTACCTCCTCTGTCTTTAAAACTTCCCATATTCGAACATGATCTTCCACCAGCCAGTGTCCCGTGCTTTCTACCTTGGTGGAAAGTTTGAATTTAGACACCTCTTGAGTAGGTTCTCCCACAGGTTTCACCTCCATCTTGAAAGAGGCAGGCAGGAGGCATTACGGATCTGTGTGGAAGAATAAAGTGTGATCCAGGTTAAAACAATGGGTAACATTAAAAGAGACATCGAAGCAAATTATCATGCTTGACTTCTGACTAGTGAGACCATTAAAGACAGTATCATAATAGGCATCAACTTTTATGGCCACTTTTATATTCTAAATATTCATTATTGGTATTTTAATGCAGGCTTTGGGAGGTAAGAATGCATTCTGATAATGGCAAACTGATACAAATTTTAAAGCAAAGTGCAAGCCATCATCTGCCTGTTATACCTGCTCATCACTTGGCTTTGGTGCTCTCAGGGGGAGTGATGGAAATGGGTGGCTGTCAGGCAAACCTGAGTGATGTTTTCATATTTTCATGCCAAGTGCTCCATGTGGAAGAAGCACTGGCTATGATGTCAAGAGTTTTACTCTTCAAACATCTATTATGCACTTGTGTATATGAGGCTCCATGCTAGGCATACACAAATAATTCAGTAGTTTGGCTGTTAACCTTAAGAAGCTTAGAGCCTCAGGACAGAAAGATTGTAAACAAGTATTAACAATATGATGTATTACAACGTAGTGTCTGAAATGCCACAATAATTGTGTTTCTAAACTGCAATGAAGGCAGAGGAAGATCCCTTTGATATTCACTGGCTATGCACTTTCTTGGGCCTTGGTTTCGCTAACAGTTACTGTAAGATATTATTTAAAAATTGATACCAATTTTACAAGGTCTACTTCTTTGACATCTTTCCATCCACCACTGGCTTGCTCAGAATCTCATCATATCTTGCCTGGCTCAGCCCCATATTATCAGAAGAGTCTCCTTGCCTCCATTCAAGTCTCCTTGAGTCTATTCTTGGTGTAATTTTTCTAAAAAGCAAAACTGTTACTGATGTTCCATCTACCTAAAACTTTTCCTAAAGAATAAAACCCAAATTCCTTCACACAGCATCCAAGGATCTTTGTGTCTGGCTTTCTCCACCTCCCTTCTCCCACCTCATGCATGCACTGCTGCCTCCTCAGCCACTGTTTCAGCCATTTGAAAGTATCTATGGACCCCAGATACATCTGGTGCCTATAGCCTTTGTTTGTGACACCTTCTCTCCAATCCCCATCCCAAGAGAATACAGGCCTCCCTCCTTTGTTATTCTATGTACTCTAGACAAACTTCTATCATGTCACCTGTAACATTTTATTATATTTATTTGCTTTCAATTCTATTTTCGCCTTCTAGTCTTATAAGCATCTTGAGACTAGAGATAGTATCACACACAGAGTAAGTACTAAATAAATGTTTTATGAATCATTAATTCAATCATTTAGTAAATCATGACAATCCATTGAAAAGGAGGCAGCAGATCTTATATATTCAAGTAACAGATGTAAAAGTCAGGTTACCTCTTCCTTTTAACTTTTTTATTGACTTAGTGGGCTGTAAGTTCTTCACAAAAAAGGGATAAGTCTAACATTCATCACACACCCCCCAAGCAGCTTATAATGCAAGACGATATTGCTCATTCGTTAACAACAGGCTGGTTTTCATGGAAATGTCTTCAAGGAATCACGTCTGCAAAACACAGGTGTTATGCTCACTTAACCCACTACCCAAATAAAAGTAAGTGGAAATTGAAATCTATACGAGTGGCAGGCGTGACGGGTCAGCGGATTTAAGAAAATCATCATCTGCAGAGGAGTTACTTCTCTGCTCTGGGGCTTCCCATGCTCCATCTGTAAGCCATGGAGAGTAAGCCCATCTACTTGCAGAGAGCAGTGATGAAGAAACTGATAACCAAAACCATCGTGAAGTACTTAGAAACATAGAGCACTTAATACCCTCCCATTAGGAACCAGGAAACAAAACCTACATAATTAATGAACAAAGTTCCTCTGAGTGGACACACTAATAAATGATGCTGACACATACACGCAAGGAAATAAACAAATCAGAGTCATGTAGAGATTTCAGTCCAAAAAAAGGAAATTAAAATAAACAGGCAAAATGGAAACAGGCCAGATTAGTAGGAAAGGAAATTCCATTGTTGTTATTGGAGATAATACTGTAAATAATAACAAATAAATCAAAACAAAGTAGGAAAACTACATAAAATGGTTTTGGCTGTCTCCTTCGTATATTATGGAAACAAACCTGGATAAAACAGACAAAGTACAAAATCTCATGGGAACAATGGAACATCCGTAAGCGTAACATGTTCCAGAGACCCCACAGCTTACTCTACTGTCTGCCCACAGCTGCTTTCTCATCTCCACAGTGTGGGTGAAAGTTGGCAAATTTTCAGCGTTGGAAGACTGAACTCTACTGTGCACTGACTTCCCACAGATTGCTCCTCACCCTATTTGGGAAGAAGATGCAATTGTGAGTTTTAAACGATTCCAAAGCACTCAGGAACTAAGGAGGGACTCAAGAGAGGCAGCCAGTTCTTACAAGGCTCTTCAAGCATTCTGAGATCCTCCACCCTATCTGAGACTTGAAGTCTTTTTCACTCATCCTCAGTGTATCTCCGCACTTACAAAAATGACCATATGTACAATATATCTTGAGCTTCCACTGCATACCAGCCACAGTGCTAGGCATTTTCCACATTATCTGTAATCCACACAGTAACCCTGAGAGGTAGATATCACCATTTTACGGCAATGAAAAAATAAGATTCAGAGAGGTTAAATAACTTTACTACACTGCTAGAAAGTTGCAGAGTTCCCAAGTTCATGCTCTCTCTCCTAGATCAGTTCAGAAAGCCTTCAGCTCCATCCTACTCTCCCGCCGCTGGTAGAATGCAACCTCCTTCTCATGCTCCTTCCTCCATAGACTAGAGCCAGTGTCTGTGCCTCAGCTCACTGGCACAATGGTGCCCCCTTGAGAGATGGTCACACCTGATGAGTACATAGGTAAGGATGGCATAGAGGTAGGAAAACATCACAGGGAATGGATCATTCCTTTTCCTTTTTACTGACATCTCAACTTCTGACCAGGGTGAGCTTTATGAGTGTGTGACCTATGAAGTCACACAGGGCCCCATGCTCAGAAGAGCCTCATGCTTGGTTTAATGCTTTGCTGTTGCTACCTTAAACTTCTTAATTTTTGAACAAGGGGACTTCTATTTTCATTTTGCACTGAGCCCCACAAATTATATAGCCAGTCCTGCTACCAACCTGTCCTTTTCCTCTTCAAATCTAGCATTTTATTCCATACTCTCTTTATTCTTTTCTTTTTTTCTTTTGAGACAGGGTCTCGTGCTATCACCCAGGCTGGAGTGCAGTGGTGCAGTCTTGGCTCACTGCAACCTCTGCCTCCCGGGTTCATGCAATTCTCCTGCCTCAGCTTCCCGAGTAACTGGGATTACAGATGCCTGCCACCACGCCCAGCTAATTTTTGTATTTTTAACAGAGACGAGATTTTACCATGTTGGCCAGGCTGGTCTTGAACTCTTGGCCTCAAATTATCCACCTGCCTCAGCCTCCCACAGTGCTGGGATTACAGGCATGAGCCATCTCACCCAGCCTCGATACTTTCTTTAAACAATTCATGCATTATAGGTTTCCTACCTATTCCGCTAAAAAGAGCTAGAAGTCTATGTGACAGAGTCATTTTTTTGTTAAAATTAAAATAGGAGGCATATGTAGACTTTCCACTACCTCTGATATACTGTGCATCTTATAGTTGAACTGCTGACTTCTTTCTTTTTCTTTCTTTTTTTTTTTAGACGGAGTCTTGCTCTGTCGCCCAGGCTGGAATGCAGTGGCGTGATCTCAGCTTACTGCAACCTCTGCCTCCAGGGTTCAAGCGATTCTCATGCCTCAGCCTCCCGAGTAGCTGGGATTACAGGCATCTGCCACCACCTCCAGCTAATTTTTGTATTTTTTAGTAGAGACGGGGTTTCGCCATGTTGGCCAGGCTGGTCTGGAACTCCTGACCTCAGGTGATCTGCCTGCCTCGGCCTCCCAAAGTGCTGAAATTACAGGCATGAGCCACCGCACTCAGCCTGCCTTCTTTCTTAAAACACATAGTCAAGGCTTACAAGACAACCTCCAGGCAAATACCATAAATAATGGGCCCCTTCAACAGAATCATCAGATAATATGAAATCACTGTAAACCTAAAAGGCAAAATTTTCTGTTCTAGTTAAGAATTGGTCTAAAATATCGTAAGCCTTAC
The DNA here is from genome assembly GCF_000001405.40 of Homo sapiens. Lineage (NCBI taxonomy): Eukaryota > Metazoa > Chordata > Mammalia > Primates > Hominidae > Homo > Homo sapiens. Next base: position 183,737,965 of record NC_000001.11, on the reverse strand, counting down.
GGACTCCTTTGGAAATCAATTTTGAAGAATTTTTAATTTAAAACACCTGATACCCAAAACAGAATTTTGTTTAAACAACTGGATGGTAAAATCAGCCTTAAGTTGGGAGTGGGGTGAAAAAAGGAACCTGTATGTATATAAAGGCAAATCTGATCAGAGAGCATAAAAGCAAAATTTTTCTCAAAAATTAAAAAAGAAAATTGTTTGGGAATTTTTTTGTAATTGTAAAAGGATTGTGATTGCATACTGCCTCAACCTTATGAAGCACAGAAATAAAATTAAAACAGGGAAGACAGGTGGGATGGAAGAAAGATGTGCTTGCTTGACACTGAGAAACAATCTGCAGATGAGAAAGCCATGGAAAGATTTTTTTTTTTTTTTTTGTAGAGATAGAATCTCACTATGTTGCCCAGGCTGGTCTCACCTGGGCTCAAGTGATCCTCCTGCCTCAGTCTCCCAAAGTACTAAGATTACAGGCATGAGCCACTGTGCCTAGTCTTCTTTTTAAAATATTTACTAACACTATGCTTATAATATCTATAATATGTAATCATAACTTATTTCTTCTATTCCTTCCAAAATAATCATTGACAGGAGGTCATAACATTTTCCATGGTCATAACAAAGGGCGCAGCTGATGGCTTCATACCCTAAGTGATCATTATGCACCAAAAGTAAATGAGCAGCTTCTCAGAGGCTAATCTTGAAAACGTTAAGTATTAAAATAACAATCTAAGAACACAATAACTTGCCATTATTAGTGTCTGTTCTTGCTATCAGATAAAAATTATCCATCACTTCCATGGATGCCCTTTTTTTGAAACATGGCTTTAAAAGTAAGTGCTAGGACACAACTCCACTCAAGTCTGTATTTATTTTATTAACCTCCATGCTGAACTTTGTTTGATACATCATTTTGTAATTTATTGAATTTTACTTTCCTTCTTATAATAAATAGCATATGAGACATCCCTCACAAATCGTTATTTTTTTCTCCTCCTCCTCCTCTTTAAATGGTTTGGAAGGAAAAGAAAGTGTTTAAAATTCAGAAACTTATTGAAATGATTTGGTGCTTCTTATCTTTATCTATTAGGGTCATGCTTTTCTTCTTCCTCTGCAGACTCCCTTATATGTGATAATATTTCTGCTTATTTTCCTTTTGCTTCTACCTGAAGAAATCTTTCAATTTTTCAAACTCAACTCAGATTTCTTCTAATCTTGAAAATGTCTGGCATTTACCCTGTTCCAGTCCCTTCCCATGATTATTTGTCTTTCTGCCATTTCTTTCCTCCTACATTCTCTCTTCCTCATTCCTCTTCCTAATGAGCTGAGGTCCTGTCCAGATAAGATAGGTTTGTTTATCTTTATATCCTACTATCTTCAACTCTTCCACCTAGAATGCTATCAAGAGCAGTCTTTGCATTTTAGTTTTACTCAAAGGTTCAGAATTGCCTAATGCAAAGTGCACTGAAATTCTAGTCACAAGACCTGAGTTAAAATCATGAAGCTACAGTTAATTCTCTGTGTAACCATTAAGCAAGCCATTTCACCTTTCTTGGCCTCAGTGTCCTTATCTTTAATATGAATAGGCTACAAGACTGCTGAGACCTCTTACAGTTACAAAAGTAAAGCATTCACCTCCCTCAAATGTAGAAAGCAAAACTAATGTGCATTGAATTATTTTTCCAGAAGAACTGAAGGCTCCAAACTACTAAACAAAACAGTGAAAGGTGATTTCGGTGTTTCACTCACGTATTGTACTTATTCCCATATTATGCATTCACTACTCAAAAGTCAAACAAACAGTATGATATTAAAATAGCCTCTTTACATACATGTATATAATATCGGGGTTTTGACTATTCAGAGATAACCCAAAACTCTGACATGTAGTCTATTGTAAGTGTGCTGAGGCTTTTTAAAGCTGCTATTTGGACATGCTCACCCATCCTTAGCATCTAACTCCTGGTTTGGTGGTAGACTTCTCTAACCATGATTGCTATTGTGATATCTACAAATTGTGGGATCCAAGAAGGTCTCAAGATACAGCCTCCTAATTGTGGAGGGGGCATGACAGTGATCTCACTAGTCTATTTCTTCTGAGAACACAGAGAGAAGCAGCTATCCAGAATCAAAGATGACCATATGAAAATGGAAACTGGGGCACAGACAGACATCAGAAGGGAAGGACTCCAGAAAGCCACAGCAGAGAGACAGATTCCTACTGCCCTGAGAAAGGAAGCCCATTAGATAATTTCGTAGTAATACTAAATGTTGCTTGTGTTTGAAGTGGAGGTATGAGTCAATGTACTAGGAGGTAAGAGAGCAACAGATTCCTATTATCTCTTCCTCTTTGGAATCTCAGCAGCATTTCAAGTCTATCTATATAAGGCAACTCAGTTATATCCTGAGTATTGCTTTTTTTGCTTTCCATAACTTACTCTGGTCTCCCCTGCTAGCCTGCCAGCTCTTTAAGAGCAAGATTAGACATAAGTTTGTTACACTGCTTCAATTTTTTACAAAACTCCATCACCCTTTTAAAAAATAGATTTTTACTTTTTTATTAAAGAAAATGTACTGGAAGAAGGAATTAAGCATTCAACATGATAATGTATTTTGGAATAAATGTCAATCATTGGGCAACCATTTTCAAAGGAATTTTAATTATATAGTGTCTCCAAATGCTGAGCAAGGTTGCACAATACTGTCTGTGGAGTTAGAAGTGACTCTGGGAGCAACTGTCTCCTGTTAAATGTAGAAAATTAAAGAAGTGTAAGGCATTCTTGCTTTATTCCAGTTGATATTTTAAAAGACTGGTCCAACTGGTCTTCAAACCACATACTTTCTCCCCCTTACTGATAGTATTTGGCCAAAGTTTTTAATAATTAAAAAAAAAAGAAAAATCCAGAGTGGGTTTGTACTACCCTGTGACCCTCCCTGGAGAAACGCTGCTCAGCAATCCCTGCTTTGCTCAACAATCCCTGCTCGGCACAGAGGGCCAACACAAGGAAAACAGTTGGGCTCCCTTCCTAGTCTCCATTCAGTGCAGCCGTCTGGTCACAAATCTGCAAAGACAGACGTGGGGAAGGGAGAGGATACTTAACAGAACAGAGCTGAGATCACAAAAAAATATCCTTTAGCATTCTAAGAGAGATAGAGGGAATTCCAGGGGACTGCCTTTTTTATTGCCTATATTTTTATTACGATAAAAAGTTCAGTAATTATGTTGCTGGAAAGCATGAAACAAGACAAAACTGTAAATCACATGACTGTCCCAGGCTCAAATGTTTCACAATTCTGTAAACACCAGCTTTAACTGGCTGAATGAAGGCAAAATGCAAAAACCATTAGGAGAGCATCATCCAGTTCAATAGTCACAGGCTAATTTTTATCAAGTTGAAGGAAATTAAGCTGATTTAGATCATAGCAATCCTTTAGGTCTCAACAATAACAACAGCAACATTGACAACACAACCCTCTCCACCACAGTGCATTCAATATTTACTACACCAGATACTGGGCTAGCATGTTACAAGCCTCAGTTTATCCTCAGAAGCTCAAATCAAGAGAGATTATGGAATAAGCCTTAGGGTTTCTCTCCAGTTATCCTGACCCAGAGCTGTGCCCTCACCACTCCACTCCACTGCTATCCTTTAATAGTCAGTGTTCCACTTACAAAATAACATCATGTAGATGTTCAAAAATCTGAGTTCCTAGGAATCTGAGCTCTCGAAAGGATTCAGAGGTGGACTTCTCACGGGAGGAATGCAAAGATCTAGAAATGTTAGATTCACAGGGGAAAAAATCTGTTGAGTTTACCAGTTAATACACAAAATCATTTTAACTAGCTTCCGAATCGACTAGCCCTTCCACATTTCAGGTTAAAGAGCAATCTGTTCTCAATCTTTTACTTCACCATAAACAGAAATTGAATCTATTTAATTACAGTCACTTTACTAAGCCAGAGGAAAATGGAAGGTCCCAATGGGGAAAAACTCTTTCAAGAAAACACTTCTGGGAGAGCATGTAGAGTGAGCTGGCTCTAAGCCAATCCTTATCCCTTCTCACAGTCTCTAAGTAGCAAGAACACCATGATTTTCACATATACCATATACTGCCAAATATCATTCCTCCTTCATTTGATCAGATAACACCTTATCCCATTACAGAAGACCCTTTAATTAGTGTCACATAATAATGATCTAGTTAGTGTTGAAGACCAAAACACCAGTTTGCTAGATTAGCTAGGTGCAAGAAGCTTTATACACAGAGTAGCATTTTTATTCCTATCTAACTATGTTGTTCCTTCTCTGAATGGGAATAAATCCTCTGGAATGGAAATAAATCCTTGTAAGTGGTGCTAAGGACAAAGGAATTGGTCCAATACTCATCCAGCAGGGGAGAGGGCAGAAGCTATGTGCCTTAGTTAGAATGAGTTATACTACTACTGGCTCAACATGGCAAACCTTTCCCATGTGGGATCAAAGACTCAATAACCCAGATGAACACAGGAACACAGGGACAATGAAACCAAGGGGAAACCACTAGAGATGCTGCTTCCTGACGCTGCCTTTTGCATAGATCTTGTGACTTTTCCCTGATGACCTGGTGCCCAAAAGCGAATACAAAGTCAAAGCCATATCTTACAGAATCCTGAAAAACCCTCCCAAAGACTTGAGCTTGACATAACATAGTGACATTTTTATCAGTAAATTCAGTAAAAACTGTTGTGTTGGTCACGATCCATGTATACTCAAGAAGATACAATCCCTATTTTTAATGAGAGCCCCATTTGTCCTTTAGCAAACCCCGTAAGGACACTCCAACATTAAAAAAAAATTTGTTTCCATGTTTTTTTCCTCTTACTCAGAGCTCTGTGAGGGTGTACTGTACCATATAGAATGCATCCTGCATTCATAAATATATATCAGAGGAGAAGCAGCTGTTGAATTTAACCTCGATAGTCCATTAAGGATGAAACCCTCGCATTATTTTAGAGTGAACCAAAAGGTTTTAAGCCTAAATGAAGCCTTTGAGAACCAAATTCTACTCTCAAATTTCAAACGGATTTTCAAAACATGTTTAGAAACTGCTTTGCATAGCAACGGAGTCAGAGTATTTTCAACTCAGCCTATGGGAAGGACCTTACTGGGATACATTCAATGGTTACTCAATTAGAACCTATTTTTTTTCTTTAAAATTGCAAATATTCGTAGCAAAACCAAGCCTGGCTTTCTCATCAGGCCTTCACAATAGCACCAGCTGTTCATCACAGTCTTTCCAAGGGCTGCATTAAATGACTTGTGTACATCTGCGGGGCTTCTGTGTTTGATCCTAGATTATATTTTCACTAAGGTTAAGGGTTAGAGTTTTGACAGATGTGGCTGTGTTCTAATTGGCCCATTTTATCTGGCCCTTTTCCACACACATACAGTATTCGATAGCCAAGTTTGTGAAATGCCTCAATTTTGATACTAACAAATGAGGGGTGGATGGAATGTAGGGCTTGAGCACTCGGTTGGGTGTCGGCTTTAGTTTCAGAGTCCATATGAAATCCATGCCAACATCTGTCTGGGGGGAAAGAGGATCATTTCATTCCATGTTACCATTTCATTCCAACTGGGTTACAGTTTCTTTTCTCTTCCTTTTATTCTTCCCTCCTTAAACTTTTACAGGACTTTCCATTTTTTTCATTGCCACAGATTGACCTTGCTATTTCCCATAAACCAAAGTGTAAACTTGAACTAAGATTGTATCTTGCGTTCTGACACCTTAGCACAACAGCAATCATGCAAATATAAGATTTAGCATTCCTGACTTTCTAGCTGGAGGGTTAGTGGGCCAATCTGACTGACTATAACAAGATGGCAAATTTGCAGGGACATGACGTGTAGTTTCCTTAAATCTCACCTAGCACCATGCTGTCACAGGAAGGAAGAAGTCCCTAAAGTTTTACGTAGCTATAGCCTAATTATTGTGCGAGGTGTGTATGGGGCAGGGCGAAACAAAGATAAGTTAAGCCTGTGTTCTCCACTAATTGGCCCTTGAGCTGGGAGTTCTTAATCTCAATTCCTGGGAAGTCTACAATCGTATGAGAAGAAAGAGATACATTTCAAAATGATAGATTATATTTCAAACTGACAGGATAGGTGTTAGAAGAGAGAAATACACAAGTGTATTACACTGAGAGCTCTTTGAGGTAAGTATTAATTCCCCATCCAGATGAAACTGAAGCTCAGAGAAATTAAGTGAATTGCCCAAGGTCACAGAGCAGGGTCCAAATTTGAAAACAGATCTGTCTGACTTAGAACAAAGCTTTCATTTTCATTTTGTCATGGCCTTTCAAAATTTTCACAGAATTGTGGCCATGTTACTATTTGGCTTTGTAACTTTAATGCTTAAGGAGAAACACTAACTCTCTGTAATAAGGTAGCAGGGGAAAGGCCAAGAGGGTTATCTGAAATTGTGCTTCCTTATCTGTGCTACCTTTTCTACCAAAGCTGAGAGTCAGTTTCTTCTACCTCCCTTCATATTCTATTTTATCAGCTCCTCCACATTCTCTAGTGCCTATCACACTTCCTCTGCCCTGCCCTTCAAGAGCTAAATAATTATTCCACTACTAAAAAGAAGTGGCAGAAAACAGAAGCAAAAATTGGACAGTCAGTTATTTCACTTCTTATTCACATATGTAAATTTTTGCCACAGAAATATGGTAACCTGTAAGTCTAGTTATTTTTAAGCCTTCTTTAAAACAACATATGGAATCTATTATAATATTCAATGACTTCACTTTTGCTTCTGCTCTAGAGATTGATGGGTTTATGATTTATAGCTCAAGTGAATTCAATTCTCAGGTTCATTGCTCCAATTTTGGTTGACATTGTTTCTGGATACCACAAAGATATTAATTGTTAACTTCATTGTGTACTGAAAAATGACTTATACACTTGCAAAACTTAAGTGGACTCAGAGTTACAACTTCTATGCACCCACTCCATTTGTCCACTTCAGACGGGACAAAAAGAAAGTGTGTTTTACTCTTTTGTGTGCCCTTAAAAGGAATTCGAGGCTTGTTACTTTGAAAGCATAATATCATGAACAGGATGAAGTATAGTGAAATTAGATCCAAATAGTTTTGAGGTCTTACCTGAGAAATAAGTACATTGATTAAGTCAGCCTAGAAATCTGTCAACAGCCTGCCTGGGTGAAGGTTGATTAAATCTCTCCCTCCTTCCCTGTTTCATTGCCACAGACCTCCAGAGTTGTTTAGATTCTACTCTAGTTCCTACTGGACCAATTAGTCAAAATTATGTTCTGTACTCTCCAAATTAAAATCTGGCAACACTAGCCTTCCATGTATAATGGACTGTCATAGTTGGTTTCCTGTAACCACAGAGGAAATTGAAATAGAAAGGCAGGGGCTTAGATACATTCAAGCAGTACATTAGCAGTGACATCAATTTTAAATATAAGAGTCCCTGACGCTTTAGTCTGAGCCACTGAGCCAACCTAACACACTCACTCCATTATCTCAGAGAGGGGAGGTAGTGAGTTTTGTGGTCCTCTGAAAGAGACCTGTGGCCGAAACACACCATGTTAGCACCTTCCTCTGGGTCCAGCTTGGGACTTCTAGGAGGGAACCCTGGCTCTTGGTCTTAGCCAGTATTTAAGTGGGAAGTTGCTTTGTATTACAGCCAAGAGTCACAGGAATGCCTGACACAGTGCCCAATATGGAACAGGCTTTATACTATGGAGAAATTGTCAACACCTTTATAATGTTTCCCTTTACTGACTCCAAGATGTTGCCCCTCAAAAACAGCAACTACTACATACAAGCACAATTTTAATGAGGGATAGTTTACATATCTCATGTTAAGGGTATATTCTATGACTTTTGACAAATAGTATACACCCATGTTACCACTGCTAAAGTCAAGATTAGAACATTTCCATTACTTCAAAAGATCATTCTCTTAAGCCCCTTCCCAGCCGATCTCACCCTATCACTGGCCCCGGGCAACCATGAACCTGCTTTCTGTAAATATATGTTAAGTTTTTCTTTTCTAGAGGTTTATATTGAATATCATACAATACCTACTTTTTTTTCGGTCTTCTTTCACTTACCACATTTATTTTGAGATTCATCTATGTTGGTACATGTTTAAATAGTTTGTCCTTTTCAGTACTAAGTAGTATTCCATTGTTAAACATTTTATTTATACATTCACCTGCTGATGGACATTTGTGTTGTTTCCAGTTTGGGTTACTTTAAATAAAGTGAAAGAACACTTGTGTACAACTCTTTTTGTGGACACATGCTTTCATTTCTCTTGGATAAACACCTAAGAGTAGAATTGCTGAATCTTATGGTAAATCTATGTTTAACTTTATAAGAAACTGCCAAAACTGTTTTCCAAAGTGGTTGTACAATTTTATATTCCCATAAGCGGTGTATGCAGGAAAATCTCAGTGGTTTCATATCCTCATCAACAGTTAGTATTTGGGGTCCTTTTAATTTTAGCCACTCTAATGTTCTAACGGATGTGTAGTGATATCACATTGTGGTTGTAATTTTCATTTCCCTAATGATGAATGATATTGAGCATCTAGTCATGGATATATTGGCTATCTGTGTATCTTCTTTGGTAAAGTTTGTTCAAATGTGTCCATTTTATTGACTTTATAATTGGTTCTATCAGTGAGTTGAAAGACTTCTTTATATATTCTAGATATCAGTCCTTATAATATAAAATAGTATACACACACACACACACACACACATATATATTTTATCTGTCTGAGGTCTACCTTTGCATTTGCATTTTCTTATAAACGGGTTTTAAATTTTGATGTAGCCCAATTTATAAATTTTTTATACTTTTTATGTTTATGCTATTTTGTGTCCTGTTTAAGAAATCTTTGCCTACGTGAAGGTTATAAAGTTTCTTCCAGAAGTTGTATAGTTTTAGCATTTACATTTAAGATTATCCAGTTGTGTACCATAAAGTAAGGGTTGATGTTAATTTATTTAAATGTGGATAACAAGTTGTTCAAGACCATTTGTTGAAAAGGTATTCCTTTCCATATTGAATTACCTTGGCATCTTTGTCAGAAATCAATTGGCCATACACATGCTCGTCTATTTCTGGGTTCTCGATTGTGTTTAATTGATCTATGTGTCAAAACTATGCCAATAACACACCAACTTGATTGCTGTATCTTTACAGTAAGTGTTAAAGCCAGTAAGTTTAAGTGTTCTAACTTTGTTCTTTCTCAAAATTGTTTTGGTTATTCTAAGCATTTAGGTTTTAGAAATGGCTTGAACATTTCTATAAGAAAATCTGGATTTTTATTGGAATGTCATCAAATCTATAAATCAATTCGAGGAACTGAAATCACAATTTCAGGTCTTCCAATCTATAAACATCATAAATCAATACATTTACATATTCTTAAATTTCACATAGAAATGTTTCCAGTTTTCAGGGTAGGGGTTTTAACATATACTTTATTTAATTTAACCCCTTTGGAGTGGTCAGGGTTCTCCAGAGGAGCAGAACCAACTATATATGTATATAAATTGGCTATATATGTATGGAATTGGCTAATGTAATTATGGAGGCTGAGAAGTCAGACCATCTGCCATCTGCAAGCTGGAAACACAGGAGAGCTGATGGTGAACTTCCAGTTCAAGTCCTTACACCTAAGAACCAGAAGAACCAACAATGTAAATTCTACTCCAAGTCCAAAGGCTTGAGAATCAGTAGAACTGATGATATACGTTCCAGTTCAAGTCCAAAGACCTAGGAGCCAATGGTATAAGTTCCAGTCTGACTGCAGGAGACCAATGTCCCAGCTTAAAAACAGAGAGAGGAAATTCTCCCTTTCCCTGCTTTTTGTTCTATTCAGGCTCCCAATGAATTGGATTAGATGAGGCCCATATACACTGGGGAAGGCAACCTGTTTTACTCAGTCTACCCATTCAAATGTTAATCTCATCTAGAAATACTTTCATAGACATACCCAAAAGTAATGTTTAACCAAACACCTGGGCCCCCTATAGCCCAGTCAAGCTAATACACAAAATTAATCATCATACTCACGTATTTCATGCTTTGAGATGCTATTGCAAATAATATTGTCCTTTTTAAAATTTCCATCTGTTTATTGCTAATATATAGAAATGCAATTAATTTTGCATCCTGAAATCTTACTAAAATCACTTATTAGTTCTACTAGTTTTTGGTAGATTCATGAAGATTTGCTGTTTGCTGCATGCTTGATCATGTCATCTGTGAATAAAGACAGTTTTACTTGTAGCTCTCTAACCTATGTGCCTCTTATTTTTCTTCCTCGTCTTACTGCACTGGCAAGAGTCTTCAATAGAATGTTGAAAAGTGGAGAGAGTGACCATCCTTGTCTACTTGATCTTAGGGCAAAAGCACTCAGGTTAAATACTAAGTCAGCAACAGGTTTTTTAAAAAAAACAGTTTAATAATTCACATACCATAAAATTCAAACACTTAAAGTGTAAAATTTGGTAGTTTTTAGTATATTCATAGAAATGTGTCATCATCAGCCTTTTATGAGATTGAGGAGGTTCCTTTCTATTCTTAGTTTACTGGAAGATGATTATGGTACAATATGATAATATGTAATGGATGTTAATTTTATCAAGTGGCTTTTCTGCATTTATTGAAATGATGATATGGTTTTTGTCCCATTATGACAATAAGATGAACTACATTCATTAATTTTGTAATGTTAAGCAACCTTGTATTCCTAGGATAAACATTATTTGATTATCATGTATTACGTTTTTTATATATTTCATTTTCAGTTTGCACATCTTTTGTTGAAGATTGTTGGTCCATGTTCATAAGTAATTTTATTCTGTAGTTGTCTTTATTTGCAATATTTTTGGTCTGGTTTTGAGATCAGAAAAGTGCTGACCATATAAAATAAAAGTATTTCTCCTATATTTTCAAAACAAATTCATATAGTGGTATAGGTTGAACATTCCAAATCCAAAAATCAGCAATAGGAAATGCTTCAAAATCTAAAACTTTTTGAGTAACAACATGGTGCTCACAGAACATGCTCATTGGAGCATTTCAGACTTCAAATTTTTGGATTTGGGATGCTCCACTGGTAAGTATAATGGAAGCATTCCAAAATCAAAAATCTAAAGTCCTTCTGGTCCCAAGCGTTTTGGATAAGGGATTGTCACTTATATTTCTACCTTGAATGTCTGATAGAATTGACTAGGTAATAAACTGACCCGGTAATAGAATTGACCAGGTAATAAATCTGGGCCTATACATTTTTTTATGGAAAGATTTCTAATTACAAATTAATGTGCTTAATTGATATTCAGGTTTTCTGTTGATTCTTGAGTTAGTTTTGATTGTGTCTTTCAAGGAATTTGTCCATTTCATCAAGGTTGTTTAATTTATTAACATCAAGTTTTTTTATAATATTCCCTTAATTATAGACATTTAGTATATAAAGAATCTTAGAGATGTCCCCTTTTTCATTATCTATATTGGTAATATTTGTCATCCTTTTTGTTTTTTTGATCAATATAGCCAGCAGTTTATCTATTATACTGATCTTTCAAAGAATCAGATTTTGATTTCATTGTTCTTCACTGTTTCTCTATTTCATTTATTTCTCTTCTTTACTATTTGTTTCCTACTAGTTTGGGGTTTAATTTGCTCTTATATTTCTAGCTTATGATGGAAGCTTGGCCTGTTGCTTATAGAGTTTTCTTCTTTTCTAATTAAGCTTTTAAGCCTATAAATTTCCCTTTAGGCTGCATTTCACAAATTTTGATATGTGTGTCTTCTTTTCATTTACCCCCAAATATTTTCTACTTTCCTTTTTATTTCATCTTTAAACCATTAATTACTTCAATGTATGCTATTTAATTTCCAAGTATTTTGAGATTTTCTATGTATCTTTCTATTGCTTATTTCTAATTTATTCCCTTGTAGTCAGAAAACATACTCTATATCATATCAATCCTTTTAAATTTCTGGAGACTTGTTTAATGGCTAAGCATGTGGTCTATCTTGGTAAATGCTCCACTGCACTAGAAAAGAATGTATATTTTGCATTTGTTAAGTGACATGTTCTTAAAAATGTCAATTAGTTCAAGTTGATGATTAGTTTAATTCTTCCATATTTCTATTTGTTGACTTGTTCTATTAATTACTAAAAGGAGTGGTGAAATTTGCAATTATAATTGTAGATTTATCTTTTTATCTTTCCAGATCTGTCAAGTGCTTAATGAATTTTGAGGTTTAGTTATAAGGTGAATACACATTTAGGAATGTTATGCCTTATTGATTCATTGACTCCATCATTGTGAAATATTCCTCTTTATCCCTGGTAATAGTTCTTATTTTTTTTGGCTATTAATATAACTAAAACAGCTTTATCTTTTCCCAGCTTTTCTCTTTTGTGTATTTTTATTTAAATAAATTTTTATAGACTACACATAATTGGGTTTTTAAAAGTTCAGCCTTGGCTCAGCAATTCTTCCTGCCATCATGTGAAGGATGCATTTGCCTCCCCTTCTGCCATGATTGTAAGTTTCCTGAGGCCTCCCAAGACATGCAGAACCGTCAATTAAACCTCTTTCCTTTATAAATTACTGAGTCTTGGGCAGTTCTTTATAGCAGTGTGAGAACAGACTAATACACCATCCTTCCTGGGAAAGCTTACCAGGTATTCAAAGGAACTTGGATATTGTCATCTGAGTTTTTGGTCACTGCAGCTGTATCTGCATTAGGGGGACACCTCGAGCTCAGTAACGCTGTGGCTCTTGCAGACTTATAGAGGTACCGCCTTGATGATCTTGGATAAGATTTGGAAGAATTCTCCAGATTACCAGGTAGAGACTCTTATTCTCTTCCCTTACTTTCTCCCAAAGAAACAGAGTCCGTTTCTTTCTCTCTCCTCCTCCTCCTCTTCCCTCCGTGTGTGTGTGTGTGTGTTGTGGTGCCTAGAGCTGGGGGAGAGATGACACAACCACCCCTGTGGCCACTACCACTGGGACTGTGCTAGGTTAGACCTGAAGCCAGCAGAGCTCTGGGCCTCGCTCAAAGCCTGCTATAACCACTATCTGCCTACTGCCTGTGTTCACTCAAGGCCCTAAGGTTCTATAATTAGCAGGTGGTGAAAACAGCCATGCTCATGTCCTTCGCTTAAGGATGGCAAGCTCCCCCCAGGCCCCAGGCAGGTCCAGAGATACCATCCAGGAGCCAGGGCCTAGAGTTGGAAATCTTAGGAATCTCCCTGGTGCTCTATTCTACTGCTGCTGTGCTGACACCCAAACTACAATATAAAGTCCCTCATACTCCTCCCTCCCCCTTCCACAAGCAGAGGAGTCTCTCTTCATGGTGACCACTGCTACAGGCCTGTGAGGAGTACTGCCAGGCTACTGCTGATGTTCACTTAAGGCCCAAGGGATCTCCAGTCAGCTTGTGGTGAATGTTGCCAGGCTTAGGACTCATATGTCAGGGAAGTGGGCTCCCCTCTGGCCTAGGGGACGTCCAGAAATGCTGTCCAAGAGCCAGGGCTTGGAACTGGGGACCCCAAGAGCCCACTTAGTGCTCTACCCTGCTGTGGCTGAGCTGGTACCTAAGCTGCAAGATGAAGTCTCCTTTACTCTTCCCTCTGCTTTTCTCAAGCAGAAACAGTCTCTCCTCATAGCCACCACAGCTGGGAATGTGCTGTGTCACACCTGAAGCCAGCACATCTCAGAGTCTCACCCAAGACCCATGGCATGTACTACCCACCTACCACTGCTGATTATTTTGGGTTCAAGAGCTCTTTTGCTAGCAAATGATGAATCTTGCCAGGACTGGGCTCTTCCCTTCAAGGCAATGAGTTTGCTTCTGGCCCAGGGTGTGTCTAGTAATGTTATCTGGGAGCTAGGGCCTGGGATAGGGGCTTCATAACTCTGCCTAATGCCCTATCCTACTGTGACTGAGCTGGTATCCAAGTTGCAAGACAAAGTCCTCTTTACTCTTCCCTCTCCTTTCTTCAAGCAGAAAGAAGGAGTCTTTTTTGGAGCTGTGAGCTGCACTGCGTGGGTTTGGGGAAGGAGTGGCATAAGCACTCTCTTGGCCATTCCAGCTGGTGTCTCTCTAGGTTGCATGCCCTCAAAATCCACTGGCTCTGAGCCCAGCACTAGGATTGCCTAGGAGTTGCAGTCCTTATGGCCTAGATTGCCTTTCAAGTTTATTTAGAACCCCAGAGCACTTTAGCCTGTGGTGGGGAGGCTTGCCAGAACTCAAGTTCCCACTGCTAGGATGGATAAAGCCCTGCTGGCTAGGGCTGGTCTAAATGCTTCCTCCACGTGCACTGGCTGAGTTCTGCCCAGTATTGTTTCCACTGTGACAGAGCAGCACTGAGTTCCAATGCAAGGTCCCACAGTCACTGTACTCTCCCTCCCGCAAGAGCACAGATTCTCTTTGCTATGCGGCCACTGCCAGGGAACCAGAGAGGGATGGCACTGACAAATCAAGACTGTTTTTCCTATCCTCTTCAGTGCCTCTTTCAGTGACATGAAGTTAAAACCAGGTACAGTGGTCACTCAACTGATTTTCAGTCCTTACGAAGGTGTTTTTTTATGTGGGTAGATAGTTGTTAAATTTGGTGTTCCTGCAAGGAGGACAATTGGTTGAAGGCTTCTATTCAGCCATCTTGCTCTGCCTCCTGCTAGCTGAGTATTTTTAAATTCCATTTTCTCAATACTATTGGTTTATTGGCTATACTTTATTTTTTAATGATTCATCTAGGGCTTTTAATACGCATCTTTATCTTATTTGTCTACCTTGGAAAAACATTACAATATTTTACATAAAATACAAGAATTTTGCATTGGTGTGCTTCCATTTCCCCCCCAATGCCCTTTGTGCTATTGTTGTCATGTATTTTACTTTCTCATGTCATGAATTCCCCCAATATATTGTTGCTGCTGTTTGTTGTTTTAAGCAGTCTACTGTTGCCTTTTTAAAATTTTTTAAATGATGAAATTAGTTTACCCACATATTTATCACTTTCAGAGCTCTTTATTCTTTTGTGTAGATCCACATTATCATCAGGTATCATTTTCCTTCTGCCTGAAGAACTTCCTTTAACAAGCCTTGTACTGCAGGTGTGCTGGCCAACTCTCACAACTTTTCTTTGTCTAAGGAAAGACATGTTTCATGTTTGAAAGGTGTTTTCTCTGGGTCTAGAATTTTAGATTGACAAAATTTGTTCCAGCATTTTAAAGATGTTACTCCATTGTCTTCTGACATGCATAGTTTCCGAAAACTCTGTTGTAATTATTTTTATGTTGTTCCCTGTATGGAATGTGCCCTTTTTTCTCTAATTTTAAGATTTTTGTCAGAATTAGTAACTTGCTGTAATTTGATAATGAAGTTCTTGGTGTGGTTTCCCTAGTAGGTATCTTGCTTCATGTTCCGAGTTTCTTAGCTCTGTGAGTTTATACCTTTCATAAAATATGAAAGATGTTTGGTCATTATTTCTTTAAATATTATCTCTGTTCTCTTTTACTCTCTTCTCTTCTGAAGCCTCCCATTTACATATGTCAGTCAACATGTTATTGCCTCCAGGTCTCTCTTATTTTTCTTGGTCTTTTTTATCTCTGTGTGTAAGCTTCATTTTGGATAGGTTCTATTGCTATGCCTTCAAGTTCATTTATCTTTTTTTTTTTTTTTGGTCCCAGACTATTAAGTGTTCTCTCCTTCTTCTTGGAATCCTCTCCATCATTGACTTCCATGACACTGTTCTGCCCTGTTCTCTTACCTTCTCCAGTGCTCCTCCACAGACTTCTCTGTGGGATCTGCCTTCATGTCCAGCTCCATAAATATTGGTATTCCCTAGTGTTCTGTCTTGACTTTCTTTCCTCACTCCAAATTTTCTCTTTGACTAATTTCATCCCTATCCATGCTTGCAACTGCAATCCACAGATGCTGAATCACAATGGTGAATGAAATAGTCACAGACCCTGACCCTATGAGGTCTTTAATCTAGTGACAGAGATAGTCATTACATAAATGATCACATAAATAATACCATCATCATTGTGATAAGTGTCTTAAAGTAAAAGTAGGCAAGGGAGCTAAACCAAGACACAGGCACAGTGTAGGTCTCTATGAGGAGGTGATGTTTAAGCTGGTCCTTTGAATGAAGTGAGGAAAACACATTCCAAGCTAAGAAAACAGTATCCAAGGTGGCCAAAGGTGAAGAAACTTCATCCTGAAGAGAGGAAACAACAGGCACAAGGGTGCCTAAATTAGAGTGCGCATTTGTATAATAGCAGGTTATCCAAAGATCTGATTACAGATTGGTTGAGCAAAGAAGACAAGATTGGTGAGGTATGCAGAGGACAGAAGGGGAAAGGCGTTTTCTAACATACTGTGGGGTTAAAACTCATACTTACTATTGAGCCTTTGAAAGATTGCACCCAGTGTGAATAAGGACGTGTGCTTGAAGTTAAGAAATCACAGTTTCAGGGAGACAAATTTGGAAGCTATTATAATAGGCAGGGGTAAAATGAGCATCAGGCAGTGGGAGTGGAACAATGGCAGTGGAAATGAAAATAAGAGTTAGACGTATAGATCAAAAAGACTTACATGACAAGGGTGGAATGGATTTGCAGGTCAGGTAGAGACAGAGGAAACAGGAAAATAAAATTCCCACTGAATGACTAAGATTTTAAGAAGGAAACCAGGCTACACAGAGGAATATGATTAGGTGAGTTTTAGTCATGCTGAGAATGAGCAGCCTGTGGTTTTTCCAGATAATATGTTCAATAATTGGTTGGAAACAGAGATCTGGGATCAGGAAGTAAGTCAAGTCTAGAGAAATGGGAGTGAAAGGACATCACTTTCAGCTCCATACATCCAACTGCCAACTCAACATTTCCACCAGGATATCTCAGGGGTTTTTTATTTCCCTCGCAAACTTGATCCTCGTCCAGTGTTCTCTGTTATACTCAATTATACCACCACCCAATCAGAGCTCTCTCCAAGTCATCCTTGACACTTTCCCTTGCTCAGTACCCACATCCAATCAATTACCAAGTCCTTTTCTTTCATCAAAACATATCTCCTAAAAGTCTCAAACAGACATTTTCCTATGCCGCAGCTTCCAACTCCCTAAACCAAGTCACCCTTAACTCACCAAAACTACTTCTTACCCTGGTAGTAGGTAAACTCCTACTCTCTCCCCATCTAATCCATTCTCCACACATTAGGTTCCAGGACTACTACAATAAGCAAAAGAGCCACAGTCCCTAACTTGAAAGGCCTTCAGCTGAAAGAAGGAAGACTGTCAATAAACACTTGTAATATTGACAAGTCAGTAGTATGACAAGGGAAGTGGACAACTTAAGCAAACTGATCCTTTGCCAGAAGTAGGCAGCCCATGGATGCAGGTCTTTGCACATTGGCAGCACCGCTGGGTCAGTTCTTATAGGTTGCATATACAGTTTTGGACCAGTGGGAATGAAATAAAAAGAATGGTAACAAAGCTTGTGTGTGAAGAGGGAGTATAGGGACGGTATGAAAGATTTCACTTCAGGGCATGCATGCTGTGTGGGTGCCAGAGGCAAAGGATTGGCCGTTCTGTGGTGTTTTTTAGGAGCCAGGCACAGACAAGCTGTGTACTTTCAAGCTATCTTTTTACTCTAATATTTTGGCATTAAACTTTCCATTAATGATTTTTAAGGCCTTGCTATAACTCCCTGGTGATTCATCAGTTGTATTTTTCCTTTACTTCATTTCACAATTTTCCTTCTGCTATGTATCTTAATGAATCCTTACTTTTGCTTTTGGCAGACTCTATTTTTTTAACGCTAATTTTTCTACCATCCTTTACCTTCATCTTCCAGTTTCTTTAATCATACTTCCCTCAATAATTTTAAATCCTCTCTCCTTCTAATGCCACCTTCATTCAGCTTTTCTCTTCACCTCACCAGACCATGTTAACTTGCTCCCAAGGTCCCCTTTCCTTTGCAATTTTTTTTTCATTTTTTTTGAGATGGAGTCTCACTTTGTTGCCTAGGCTGGAGTGCAGTGGCACAATCCCGGCTCACTGCAACCTCTGCCTCCAGGGTTCAAGCAATTCTCCTGCCTCAGCCCCCTGAGTAGCTGGAATTACAGGCATGCGCCACCATGCCCAGCTAATTTTTGTATTTTTATAGGGACGGGGTTTCACCCATGTTGGCCAGGCTGGTCTCAAACTCCTGACCTCAGGTGATCCATCTGCCTCGGCCTCCCAAAGTGCTGGGATTGTAGGCAGGAGCCACTGCACCTGGCCTTTAATTTTTTTCTATTTTTTTTTAACATTCTACAGAACACCCTTTGCAAATATTTACTTCTTCCTAGTAATCCCCAGCTGTGTCACACAAAGGCCCTAAGGCCTTAGCAGAACAAAGGAGGAAGCCACAGCAAGGACATCAGGAGACAGAGCCAGTGCCATCAGCTTGTCCTCAGGGAGAAACCAAGTACTCTTCTCAAGATTGCATCTCCCTACACTCTAGAGGTACACGTGCACAGGGAGAGAAGGAAAATCTGTAATTTCCTTGGAATGACTTCAATGAACTACAAGGAGGAGAAGAGACCACACTGTAGTCAAGGTGCAGGACTGCTCAGTAAGTGTCTCAAAACATACTCAACTTGGACTATCAATGAATGAATGAATATCAATCAATAACACATAAAGCAAGTAGGAAAGAATGAAATGAATAGTGTAGTTTGCCCCTAAGTGCTACTCCAGTTCAGCAAAGGGCTAGATTTCACAATTTACCTTTCAGCCTGCTCTGCAACCATATGAAAGATAATAGAGTTCAATCAGCACTATACAGTTGAGAGCAAAGTTATAATGTTGATAATATAGAAAACATTGTTCAGCCCTTATTGTGAGATTAGCACTTGACATGCATTATCTCATGTAAACTTCAAATTTCCTCCTTCTTAGGTGCTTTTTGTGTTTGTTCGTTTTCGTTTTTTTGTTTTGTTTTGTTTTTTTTAGACAGAGTCTCACTCTGTTGCCCAGGCTGGAGTGAAGTGGCAAGATCTCGGCTCACTGCAACCTCCACCTCCCAGGTTCAAGCGATTCTCCTGCCTCAGCCTCCTGTGTAGCTGGGATTACAGTAATGTGCCACCATGCCCGGGTAGTTTTTTTTTTAGTAGAGACGGGGGTTTCACCATGTTGGTCAGGCTGGTCTCGAACTCCTGACCTTGTGATCCACCCACCTCAGCCTCCCAAAGTGCTGGGATTACAGTTCTGTTTTACAGATTCAGATGCTGTTGCTCACAGAACTGACTCTTCATCACACGACCAGTAGTAGTGGATCCAGGATTCCAACTTAAGCAGCCTAAACTCAAAGCCCATATTCTAAGCTACTATGCCAGTGGTTTTGAAAGTCCTTTGCTCATGTATCCCCAAAAACATTTTAATAAACTATTTACCACTTGTTCATTTTAGGTTGATATGAAAAAGTTTTCATTGTAAGTTTAAATATTTGCAAATGATATAATTTCTAGTGTATGGTGACTATTGAAATAGTTTAAATATCACAAACTTATGTCATTCCTTTAAATGTATCCAGTGGGAATATAAATACCAAAGCAATTTGATCTCCATCAGCATCCATTTAAAATATACATAAACAAGCTCTCTCTCTCTCTCTTTTTTTTTTTTTTTTGAGACCAAGTCTCCCTCTGTCGCCCAGGATGGAGTAGAGTGGCACTAGCAACCTTCACCTTCCAGGTTCAAGCGATTCTCCTGCCTCAGCCTCCCAAGTAGCTGGGACTACAGACGTGTGCCACCATGCCCAGCTGATTTTTTGTATTTTTAGTAGAGATAGGGTTTCACCGTGTTAGCCAGGATGGTCTCCATCTCCTGACCTCGTGATCCACCTGTCTCAGCCTCCCAAAGTGCTGGAATTACAGGCGTGAGCCACCGCACCCAGCCATGAACAAGCTCTTTTTAACAGAAATAAGCTCTGCTTCCCTTCCACCATATCCATGCCCCAACCTGAGAGGATGTATTTGCTCAAGAGGAGAGAAGACTTCTTCTGTGCTCATACCAAATGCCACTTCCTCTGAGAGGCTTTCTTTGACCACCCTCCTGCTTACCTTCTTCATAGCATTTATCATGGTCTAAAATTATCTTGCACTTTTGCTAATTTACTTGTTTATGCCTCCTCCACTAGTTTATCAGCCACAAGGGCGGAATCTATCTCAATCATCACCCGAGTACACACAGTCACTCCTTTAGCTTCTTGAAATTGTATTTCTGTTTCACCTTTGCTATAGAATTTTCTCTTAGGGCAAAATAGTTTTAAATTTAAAAGTACCAAATATAAATAAAAAATATTTTTTAAGTTTCTGTCACTATCAGGCTATAAGTTAAATAATGTTTTACTGAGCTGTATTCTCAATTATGAGTGGTACATAATTGATCAAAACAACATAAATACATATACTTTTCATAAATTATTACTAAACATAAAAAGCAAAACTTTTATTATAAATATACTCTTTAATGTGCCAGATGGAGAAAGTATGTTTAATATCTTGAATATAAGTGACACATATTTTAAAAAATCACTTTGGTGCCCTAGAGGTTTCTACACTTGGAACAATGAACTATGCAAGATGCAGGCTGAGTAAGCAGTAGACTTTCATTTGTAAAGGTAGAGAAGGGCAACTGTGAAAGAGGTGGGAAAGAAGAACTAACAAAATTCTTTCATTGCAGATGTTCTTTGATCAGTTTAGGAGTAGGTACATATAAAAATTAAAGATAACTGATCCTCTAAAAATGCTGGCTGTAACACCTAACCCTTTGGAAAAATCTTCATGTGGGCCAGGGGCACACACCACTTAGAAGACCCCTAAAATACAGTAAACTGCCACCCATGAATCAATGCTTACTATGCCCAGTGAATAATAATTTATCCAGTACAGGATCAAAAGAGCCCCCAGACTTGGCTCCCTGATTTGCCAGTATTAAGTCCTACATGAGACAAAGTTTGCTGCATGAACCAGGACCTTCACTGCATCCAGGCAAAGAACTAGCTGTCTTCACACAGAACATTTTCTTTTAAAGAGCAAAACAGAGACACAGAATTCTAGAGCAAGAAGGTATTTGGGATATCAACAAGCTTTTACATTTTACAGACAAGAAAAGATCACCAGCCAGTTAATAGGAAAGCCAATTCCAGAATTCAGATCTTCTGATTCTTTATACAGGGTACAGTGGACATGCTGGGATATGGGCTGCCCAGCCAGGGACTACATTTTTCAGCCGCCCCCAAACAGTTAGGTGCAGCCATGTGACTGAGTTCCATGCAAAAGAATGTGACAGAAAAGACTTGGGCCATTCCTGGCCTAGCTCATAAAATCCTCCCATGTGGCACTTCTCCATGCTCTTTTCTCCTCCCAGCTGGTTGAGATGAAGACAACATTTGGGCTGACTTCAGAAGCTACATATTAAAGATGAAGAGGCCTCTTTTAGCAGGGACTCTGCTGACCTGGTAACTTGATCAGTACTTTGTAACAAGCAAGAAATAAACTTCTTTTATGATTAAGCCAGTAGAAATTTTGGAGTCTATTTGTTATAACAGTTAGCTTACCCTAACTAAAACATACAGTTTTTATCTGTGTTTATATTTTTAATAGCATATCACCTTTTCCCCTTAGATCGACTGAGTCACTTCAACACCTCTTGAAGTGTAAAAACATAATAGTTCTAGTATATTGTAATGGTTAACTTATTTGTCAACTTGGCTGGGCAATGTGGTATCCGGATAGTTGGTTTAACATTGTTCTGAGTATGTCTGTGAGAGTGTTTCTAGATAAGATTAACATTTGAATTGGCAGAATGAGTAAAGCAGATTGCCCACCCCAATGTGGGTGAGCCTCATCCAATTCATTCATTGTCTTTGAGCTGGAACATTAGTCTTCTGTCTTCAGTCCTCTCCTCAGACTAGAACTTACACTATCAGCTCTACTGGTTCTCAGACCTTCAGAGTTGCACTAGAACTACAACATCAGCTCTCCTGAGTCTCCAGCTTGCCAACTGCAGATTCTAGGACTTCTCAGCCTCCATAACCACATGAGCCAATTCCTTATAGTTTCTTTCTCCATCGTTCCCTCCCTCCCTCCCTCCCTTTCTACATGTATAGTTATAGAAAGATACAGGTATAGATATAGATATAGGTCTCCAATTGGTTCTGTTTCTCTGGGTAATCGAGACTAATATGTATCTGAAGATAATAGTTTGGTTTATGAGCTAAGGATTGCATGGGCTAATTGGCAAAATAATAGCAATTCTTAGTTACTTGGTGTTATGTGAAAATAAAGTGTTAATAGTCTCTGTCACCTAATTATTTAAGATGCTAGTGAAAGCATAGTACCCTGAGAAACAAGGCTTACACCTAAAAGAAACAAACTTCTACAGTCTCCAATGGTCCTCTTAGCACACTATCCTGGGAGACAGACGTGTGAAAATCTATATAACAATCAGTTCACCATATATAACAATCAGTTCACCAACAATCAGTTCACCAACAATGAGGTGAGGTTGGTTGTGTAACAATCAGTTCACCAACAACGAGGGAGGAAAGGGGGTGGACTAAATCTTCAAAGCCAAACATCACTAAAAAAAACAAAAAAAACAAGATCAAATGTAGAATTTGTGACCTGGAAGGAATGTCAGAGATCATCCAAACATTTTCTTTTCAATGAGGCTCAGAGAGGGAAACTGGGCAGTAACTTTTGGGTAGTATTATATAGGCTGGGGTTCAAATGAAGCTCTGCCACTTATTAGCCTGTATAACCTTAATTTAAAAAAGTTTCCTAACCTTTCTAAGCCCCGGTTTCCTCATTCCTAAAATAAGAATAACCATCCCTACCTAGTAGGATGGTAATTAGGACTAAACAAGGTAAAATATATATAGCATGGCAATGGCTCGATCAGAATCAGAACCTAAGCTTCCTCACTCCACCCCAGTTCAATGCCTTTCCACCTGCACCAGACTGCCTCCAACTCCCAGTTCACACCCTGTGAGCAACGGGTCTTCATGTACTCTCCAAGACTCACTGATGCCGACCCATCAAGCTCTTTCAGGTGGCTGGGAGCTGGTACAGTGCAAATATCTGTTAACATCTATACTCTTCTTTCTGGCCTTAAGCATTCGATACAGTTATTAAAAGATAAAAAGACACTTGTTCCCTGTGGCATGCTGTGACAGTACTATGGAAAGAATTTACTGTCAGTCAGAGGGCATAAGTCTTAACTCCAGTTCTTATACGTCCTTAGTCTGTGCTCCACAGGGCTTTGGTTTCCTCAGGTACAAATCAAGGGGCTTAAATTACATAATGAGGCAGAGATTATCATTGATTCTAAAATTCTATTTGTTCACTAATGTTTCATCAAAAGCATCATCTTCCCTTAATCCTGGTGTGTGAGTCTCATTTCAGTGATTTTGTGGCATTGGGTGTTTCTGTGCATGCTGGCAAAGCTAGAATAGATGGAATAGGTTCTCTAAATGATCTTTTATACTAAATTAGTCCTCAGTTTAAAAAGGGACAAGATAGACCACCTTGCAAAAACTGTACATGGTCATCAGAAAGCTGAACTGCATTGTTCTCTGGCATGGGTTTGAGTATGATTCAAATGCAAAAAAATGGAAAACCCAGTAGTAGGGTTAAGTTAACATCACAGGGGCATCTGCATGAAATAAGAAAATAAATATCTGCCCAATAAGAGGAAAACTTCCCCACCCATGACATGTGTTCATTCAAAAAATATTTTTGGAAAGCGTGAAAAATCTTTGGGTAGTGATTTCACAGAAAATCACTGCGGTGGAAACAAGCTCCATATTTCTCGTGGCTTAAGATTTTAGCACTTATGACATCCATGCAAATGATCCCAAAAGGCAAGCATGAGCCAATACCCAGAGATCACTCCTAATAGGAGGTTATAGCCCTTTTTCGATTGATTCATTCATCAAACAAATATTTATTGAGCACCTTAAATAAATGTCAGGTCATATCTAGGGCCTAGGGATACAGCGGTGAATAAAATATGCAAAATATCTCTAGATTCATGGTATCTTAGTCCAACAGGGCTTCTATAACAAAATATTATAAACTGAATGGTTTATAAACAACAGAAATGATTTCTCACAGTTCTAGAGGCTGGAAAGTCCAAGATCAAAGCTCTGGTAGATTTGGTGTCTAGTGAAAACCCATCTTCTGGTTCACAGACAGTGCTTTCTCCCTGTGACCTCACATGGTAGAAGGGATGAGGGATCTCTGTGGAACCTCTTTTATAAGGCCTTTAATCACATTCATCAGAGTTCTGCCCTCATGACCTAATTACCTCCAAAAGGCCCCACTCCCAAATGCCATCGCATTGAGAAAGGAATTTTGGGAGAATATGAAAATTTATAGCACATGGAAATCACATTCAACTGGCTAATTTATCCCTTATCCTGGAATTTTTAAGATAAAGTTTCAGTCAAAAGGGTCATTATAAAAGCGGGGGGGGGGGGTGCCTCTAGATTTTTTTTTCAAAAAGGCAATACAACTCCTTTTAAAATCCTCCATCCCAGCCAGGTGCAGTGGCTCATGCCTGTAATCCCAGCACTTCAGGAGGCCAAGGATCACCTGAGGTCAGGAGTTCGAGACCAGCCCGGCCAACATGGCAAAACCCCTTCTCTACTAAAAATAGAAAAATTAGCCATGCATTGTGGTACACGCCTGTAATCTCAGCTACTCGGGAGGCTGAGGCAGGAGAATCACGTGAACCTGGGAGGTGGAAGTTGCAGTTAGCCGAGATCATGCCACTGTACTCCAGCCTGGGCGAGAGAGGGAGACTCTGTCTCAAAACAAAACAAAAAAAATCCTCCATCCCACTGACACACACGATCATCAAAGGCAAAGGAAGGCCATGCAGGTGATAGCTATGCTGTGGTCTGTTCAATGCCAACTGATAAAAATCACCTCCTCACAGTTGATTTGCTCACCTGGGGTCTTCAATAATCTGCAGTGGCAAAATTAAGATTCCACAGGGACTTTTCAACCTGTTCCTTTTATAAGAATGCCACAAAACATTTATTTTAGACCAGAAAACTTGATTTCCACAATTCCATTCTACTTTAGGAGCTGGGATTAAGGTCTATATGAGACTATCATTCTCGACTGCCCTTGCTATCAGCCAAACTCTGCAACAATGAAGACATAAACTAAATTATCATATGACTTACCATGTTAGCTTCCTTGTCCAAAAAACAAATCATCCTAGCAAAACATGCTTCATGCCAAGCCTCCAAAACCTAAATAGAATGTGGCCCATTGGTAATCACAAGTGAGTGAATAGAAATTGTTCACATGAATGTGTGTGCATGTGTGCACACGTGCACACACACACACTCTCTCTCTCTCTCACTCTGTCTCTCTTTTATTCATTCACTCAAGCACACACGAAGAGTTCCTAAGTCACAGGATTAAATCACCAGCAGGAGTTATTGCAGCTGAACTAAAAATGAATCGCTTACAACCTGAGGCTGCCCTTCTAGCCACTGAAGTTTCTCTCCCATTAGAGTTGACAATGGCAGGCTGTCAAGTGAATACCTCACGGCCTCCTCCTGCTGTCACAGGCCTCACACTGTAGCTTTACAAAGATAAAATAAAAACCACATGCCAGTCAGCCCTTCTTAAACTAGTTCTGTGCAACATCTGTCAAGGGCCCTCCCAGGCCAGTTCCTGCCAGGAAATTACTACTGCCCAAGGAATGGCCAACAGTTCAAACATAGCCCCTCACTGGGTCTCTTAGTAATTATTTTTCTCATTTCCATGGCTCTTCAAATTTGGAAAATACTTTATGTTCATTTTAATTACATGATTTAGGGTACTTTAATCCTCAGAAAAACCTTGCCAAGTAAATCTGCACTGCTACTCTAGATTTATAGATGGGAAAACTGAGAGGCTTACTCAAGACCACACAGCACTTTGCATCTGTGACTAACGATTTAGCTCTTGGGTGGATAGAGTCTTGTAATAGTATCTATTTGCTATCAGAGATGTCATCAGAGGTGTTAACTGTGAATGTCTTCTTCTTCTCCGCCCGCCCCCACACCCCATTCCCAGCGTTCTGTTAACATAGTAAATGCTTGTGAGAAACTTAATGAGTTATGGCAACCAGGGCTAAGCTCAAGACAGTTGCCAAATCCACTCACAGGTTCAATTGAATGTAGAGCTGACCTCTCCAGATAATTATAACAGGACATGGAATGAATTCCCCTCCAAGGCTTTCCAAGGGGAAAACTAAAGGCCCCTAGACTCTCACCTTTGTACCCCATTCAACCTTACTAATCTTAAGAGGCGGTTGGAAAGACCCAGTAAGAGTGGGCTATAGTATTTCACTCCTCTCTAGAGTGCTTCTCTGTCACCTCACCCCCCAACACCTCCTACATACTCATTAAGTGCAGTGGTGGGTGGGAGAGTTGGAGGGCTCCCAGAAAACTGCTCACTGAGGCTGGGAGAGACTGCAGGCTCCATGGGCTGAATGTCATTGAACTACATCCAGGGACAGTTCATGAGAGAAAATGACAGATGTCCTCTGGAATCTGGGTGCCTATGAACACAGAGCTTGGGTTCTGCTTCTCACTGAAGAGTTGGTTGGAACCAGTGTGCAAAAGTAGAGTGCAGAGGGTGTGCAGCAGGCTACCCTTTGCATAACGATGTGAGTTGCCCAGGATCTGAGTGCACACTGCAAAGGGTAACCCAGCCTTGAGACATCGTGTGTGACCCGGCCTAAAAGGGCTGACTCAATAACAGGTTGTGGGGTCAACCTCCAGGAGCAGGAGCTCAGGATAAATTCAAAGAAGGGTAAAGCAGAGACATCCCAAGTGAGAGGCCTCCAAAGATGCAGAAGTGTAGCTCAGGAGAGAGAAGACATATGTAAGCATGTCACATCTGGAAAGCATCAAGGGCCAAGAGAAAGATGGCACCCAGATAAGCAAGGGATTTTTGCCCTTTTCCTTCTAGTTATCCACTTCCACTACTTCTGTGATCCTGGTGATATGGTTTGACTCTGTGTTCTCACCCAAATCTCATCTCAAATTGTACCTGGTGGGAGGTGACTGGATCGTGGGGGCAGTTTTCCCATGCTGTTCTCTTGATAGTGAGGGAGTTCTCATGAGATCTGATACTTCAAAAGTGGCAGTTTCCCCTGTGTGCTCTCTCCCTCTCCTGCCACCATGTGAAGAATGTCCTTGCTTCCCTTTTACCTTCTGCCATGATTGTAAGTTTCCTGAGGCCTCTCTAGCCAGGCAGAACTATGAGTCAATTAAACCTCTTTTGTTTATGAATCACCCAGCCACAGGTAGTATCTTTACAGCAGTGTGAAAATGGACTAATACACCTGGGAAACACCTGCCAAAAAACAGGGGATGCAAAAACAAAAGAGCAAGAGGTCTGCCCTAGTCATGCCTTTCAGGAGTTCAAGTATGATAACCTTCCCCCTTACCACCAGTGCCTTTCCTGACCAGATCTCCGTCCTTACCCTCCTCCAAGTCTATACAGGGACCCAGGCACCTTCATAGGTCTTGGAGAGGTAAAGATGGTTCTCAAGTAGCAAGTTGGGGCTTAGAAGAAAGTGGGGGTGCGGGGGAGGCAGGCAGGAGAATGAGCTCCCACAGCACTGGTAAGAGTGTGCATCGAAGAGCCTGCAGTACCGAGTGGACCACCTGCTGAGAGCCATGAAGCGTGAGCAACAAGCCAGGCATTGAGAAGGGTGACCATGTAGAGTGAAAGTGGCACATAGGCCTGGAGGAGAGCAAGTTGTGGCTATGCTTCAAGGAGCTCACCAATGACATGATCACCACCAGGAATGCCAGGAAGTTGTTTCCAGTGCCAAGCATGTCTGGCCTGGCTTTAAGAGCCATGTACTCCTTCTTGCTGGACTTCATGGAGGCCCACAGTAAGCGCTGGAAGAAAACCAGGAGTGGGAACCAGGAATGGGTGCCAGAGGGCAAGCCTGAGCTGCAGGTGCTCAGGTGTGTGCCCATCCAGCCCAATTCCCCCAACTCAGGGCCCTACTAGATGAAGGTGTCCATCTCCCTCAGCAAAGTCAAGATCAACAACTAGCTACACAGAGGGGGCCTGATTATGTCAAACTCCTTAATAAGCACCAGCCTCGAATTCACATAGTGAGAGTGGGGTGTCCACAACACATGATCACTAGCCATTGCTTTCCGAGACCTAGTTCATAAATAACTGTGACAGCTTATCAGAATGAAGAGCTCACAGCTGAAAATTAAACACAATCCATTTGCAAAAGCTTCCCTGGATGCAAAGGAAAGAAGCAATTACAAAGATATGATGGAAGAACTCCAAGGCAGCCAGGAAGAACCCCAATCTAGGAACTCCCATTCAGTGGGTAGCTTATTCCTAGAACCAGTACCTTCTGTCCACCTGCCAACCCCCATCCTCAGTTTGGAGGCCTCCCTCACTTCCTTCCACATACAGCTGTGAAAGGTACCCTGCCCTGAGGAACCAACATTCATCCTCCTACCCTAGCCCTGTGCTCACTGGAACAGTTCTCCAACACATTCTTGAAAGACTTTCCCTGAGGCCTGGAAGCTGGGCGGGAAGAGGGTGAGGGGGTGAATAACTCATCCCTTCTCAGGCCCAGTCCCAAGGCGCAAGAACACTTGCGCCAGCAGCGTGCATCAGCAAGACAGCAGAAGCAGGAAGAGAGACGGCCGGCAGAAGACACGTACCCCCTGAAGGCTGAGAGAGAGGCCGTCCGGGTACCCTGTAGCAGTTACATCAGACTGAGGCACTTCCTGTTTACAGGAGACTATAAAACCCCTGCCCGGTCTCATTTGGTGCTGATGCCATTTTAGGTCTCAGCCCATCTGCACCCAGGCACACATTAAAACAGCGCGTTGCTCCACACCGCCTTGTGGTGTTCATTGGCGCGCTCTCGGGGTTCAAACTGATACAAGAGCCTTACATCTGGTGCCGAAATCTGGAAGGGGCCCCGGTCCGCGTCCCTTGTGTCCTTCCACCCTGGACGGTAGTCCACAGCAACCGGACAAAGGAAGCTCCTCAGCCTCCAGTCACCTCTCTGTGCATGCACACCAGTCACTGATCTCATCTACTGATAAATTTCCCAGGAGCCGGGTTAACAGAGAAAAATCCACGTGGCCTCTCTTGGTTTCTCCAATCCAAAGATCCAATGTTGGTCCAAGAAGGCTCTGGCATGTGCCAGGCACTCACTGATCATCTGGTCTTAGGGGGATGCCTCTAAGCCTGGTTGGGGACTGCCTCTGTGTCACTAGGCTGGGCAGGAGCTTGGTGATGAATTGTATCAGCATGCGCCTGAGCTAGGGTCCAGATACGGTCCCAGTCTTCTGGGGTGAGGGTGGAAGAGAGGATAACATAGAGGTCATGCCAGGTTAGTTCATAAGACTGGGTGAGGCACTGAAACTCTCTAATATAAGAGGTAGGGTCTTCTGGAAATGAACCAAGTCTTGTTAATTTGGGAGAGATCAGTGAGGG
This sequence comes from Homo sapiens, assembly GCF_000001405.40. Taxonomy (NCBI): domain Eukaryota; kingdom Metazoa; phylum Chordata; class Mammalia; order Primates; family Hominidae; genus Homo; species Homo sapiens. The sequence continues at coordinate 183,708,359 of NC_000001.11, read as the reverse complement.
GGAAGGGAACATGAACAAGGCCTTGAAAAAGGCAGCAGTGACGATCGCTCCTTTTATCATCTCCCTCCGGCCGTCCAGGATGGTCTCCTTTTCCCTGTTCTCCCGAGCCTACCCTCCGTTATGGGAAATTCCCAGTCTTCCATTCCAAAAGGCAGCCTCTAGACTGCCTCATAAAAAACCTGCAGACCTTAGGCCTCATGCAAGATATCCGCCCTAAGCGCCTTGTCTTTTTTTGCAATTCAATCTGGCCACAGTACGAATTACATAACAGGTCCAAATGGCCCACAAATGGAACATTCGACTTTATAATTTTAACTAATTTAAGCAATTATTGCCGACAACTGGAGAAATGGGGAGAAATTCCTTATGTCCAGGCCTTTTTGCACTCAGATCACAACCTGACCTCTGCAATTCTTGCTCACCTGTTCAAATCATTCTCCTCCATTCTCACCACCCAGATCGCCTTCCTCCTCCCCACCCCACCTCTTTTTCCTTGTTTGATCCAGCAGTCTGCTGTCTACCTCTCCCAGCCCCTACCTCTCCCCTCTCAACCATCTTCTTTAACCCCCAAGCCTCCTCTTTAGCTTCTCAGCCGCCATCTTCCCAGCTGCCATCTTCCCAGTCAGCTGTATTCACTTCTTTTTCTACACCGTCCCCTCCTCAGGACAATTCTAGAATTGCCTGTACCCATTGTCCTCCCCCAGCGCCCTCTCCTGAGGCTTGCAAATTCATCCCGCCACCTTACGCCCCTATCTTCCACTGCCTGTTAACTCAACCCCCCTTTCCCCATTCAAACCCTCAGCAGGAACCACTTCCAGGCTCTTCCTTCTCTCCTTCCCATACTCGCTCAGGTGCCATCTTTGGCCCATGCCCCACGCTTACTTCAGCGCCTGTGCTAGAGTGCCCACTTTGGGAAGTAGCAGGAACTAAAGATATTGTTAGAGTTCATGTTCCCTTCCCCCTCACTGATCTCTCTCAAATTAACAAAAGACTCGGTTCATTTCCAGAAGATCCTACCTCTTATATTAGAGAGTTTCAGTACCTCACCCAGTCTTATGAACTAACCTGGCATGACCTCTATGTTATCCTCTCTTCCACCCTCACCCCAGAAGACTGGGACCGTATCTGGACCCTAGCTCAGGCGCATGCTGATACAATTCATCACCAAGCTCCTGCCCAGCCTAGTGACACAGAGGCAGTCCCCAACCAGGCCCCCCACTGGGATTATCAAGACAGGGCCCCTGGACGCCGCCATCAAGACCACATGATTGTGTGTCTCCTTACAGGACTCAAAAAGGGTGCTCATAAAGCAGTCAACCATGAAAAGCTTTCAGAAATCACCCAAGGTCCCGACAAAAACCCAGCCCTTTTCTGTCTCGTTTAACTGAAGCCATGAGAAAGTATACCAACCTAGACCCAGACAGCCCAGAAGGAACCACTATCTTAAACCTTCAGTTCATCTCCCAATCCACCCCCAGTATTTGGCGCAAGCTTCAGAAGCTTGACGACAGCCTTCAAACCACACGAGACCTTCTTAATTTAGCCTTCAAAGTCCTTAACAATCGTGATGAGAAAAGTAAAAGGCAAAAAACAGGCAGAGTTTCAAATGCTTGCCTCTGCCATCAGGGGCTCTGTGGGCCCACGGGGGCCGCAGCTCCACACAGAAGCCTCCTAGCAATCCACCTCCACCTGGTGCCTGTTTCAAGTGTGGCAATGAAGGCCACTGGTCCAGACAATGCCCAAACCCAGGTAAGCCCACCAGGCTGTGCCCCCTCTGTGGAGGACCCAACTGGAAGTCAGACTGTGAGCAGCCCCCACAAGGACTGCCCCCATCCCTTCCTGAGCCAGTCAAAACCTCCTACTCGTATCTCATCAGCCTTGCTGCTGAAGACTGACAGTGCCCTGGAACAGACACCCCGGCAACTACCATCTCTTCATGTGATCCAAGGGTAACCCTGATGGTGGCAGGTAGGCCAGTATGTTTTTTAATTAATACCAGGGCAACCTACTCTGCTTTACCTAATTTTTCAGGACCCACCCAGTCCTCCCAAGTCTCTGTTGTGGGAATTGATGGACAAGTCTCCAAACCCCGAGCCACCTCTCCACTTTTCTGCTCCCTGCACACCTTTTCCTTCACTCACTCTTTCTTAGTCCTGCCCTCATGCCCAACTCTGCTCCTAAGTAGAGACATCCTTTCAAAACTCCACACTACTCTCCACTTCCACATTCCCCATAGTACCCAACGCATCAACCCAGACCCCTCTGGGGCTTCTAACTTTCTTCTACTCCTCCAACCTCCCACCTTAAAACATGCAACCTTTCCTTATCCCCCATCCATAGTTAACCCCACTGTTTGGGATACTTCCACACCCTCAATCACAAAACACCACACCCCTGTCCACGTTACTCTTAAAGTCCCCACCCAGTTCCTATCACAGAAGCAGTATCCCATCCCCCAAGCAGCTCTCATAGGCCTAAAGCCTATCATTTCTCACCTCCTTGTCAGTCACCTACTCTGCCCAACAGACTCCCCTTTTAACACATCAATTCTACCTGTCAAAAAGCCAGATGGAACTTATTGCTTAGTCCAGGACCTCAGGCTCATTAACCAAGCCATACCCCTAGTATGTCCAGTAGTTCCTAAACCATATACTTTACTTTCTGCAATTCCCTCCAACACCACCTGTTTTTCTGTTCTAGACCTACAGGATGCTGTTTTCACAATTCCTTTACACCCTGATTCCCAAAACCTCTTTGTCTTTACATGGGAAAACCCCGACACCCACCTTTCACATCAGCTTACCTGGTGCATACTAACTCAAGGTTTCAGAGACAGCCCCCACCTTTTTGGGCAGGCCCTGGCTCGTGACCTCTGTACCTTATCCCTAAAACCATCCACTCTCCTTCAGTATGTTGATGATCTACACCTATGTAGACCCTCTCAAAGAGACTGCAATGTCCATACCATCTCTCTTTTAAACTTCTTGGCAGAATGGGGGCATCAGGTCTCCCCTAAGAAAGCACAAATAAGCACCCCCCCAGTCACCTATCTAGGCCTAGCTCTTACCCCGCAAACCCGAGGGCTCACAACCGATGGCATATCCCTCCTCCAGTCCCTCCCACCTCCACAAACTAAGCAAGAAATTATCTCTTTTCTAGGACTAGCAGGATATTTTAGGCTCTGAGTTCCCTCCTTCACTCTACTCACCAAACCGTTATACCAAGCCACTAAAGGCCCTCTCCATGAGCCTTTAAACCCTGCACTGCCTATTACCTAACCTTTCCGTCTACTCCAGAAGGCTCTCGCCTCAGCCCCCGTCCTCACTCTCCCAGACCTAGACCTCACCAAACCTTTCTCCTTCTACACCAATGAATGATGTGGAGTTGCAATAAGTGTTCTAACCCAGTCTAAGGGACCCACCTTCCAGGTTGTTGCCTAAACAGCTTGAAGCCACAGTTCTTGGATGGCCTGCCTGCCTCCAAGCATTGGCGGCAGCTGCTATCCTCACCCTTGAAAGCTTAAAACTATCTCTTCATGCCAACCTAACAGTTTATTCAACCCATAACATCAAAGACATGCTAGCTCACTGCAGTGTACTAAGTCTCATCTCTGCCCAACAGCTCCTCCAACTCTATGCTCTATTCATAGAAACTCCCCACATCACCATGCTAACCAGCTCCTGTCTAAACCTGGCTACACTCTTACCTGAAGCTACAACCACCCAAGACCCTACGCACTCCTGTGTGAACACTGTTCAAACATTTCTTATACATTTTCCAAACCTAACAGACCAACACCTTCCAGATGCCTCCTTTACTTGGTTTGTAGATGGCAGCTCCTTCCTACATCAAGGACACCAACATGCTGGCTATTTTATAGTGTCACCCCCCACACACTATTGAAGCCAATATGCTCCCTCTAAGAACCACCTCCCAAAAAGCTGAACTCATTGCCCTCACTCAAGCTCTCACTCTAGCAGCCAGACAACAGATCAACATATATTCAAATTCTCATTATGCATTCCACATAGTGCACTCACACTCTTCCATCTGGAAAGAACAGCGTTTCCTAACTGCAAAAAACACTCCTGTCATACATGGCTCTCTCATCAACAAACTCCTTCAAGCTGCCAGGCTCCCACAGAAAGTTGCCATCATTCATTGCAGAGGCCACCAAACTCCATACGATCCTATAGCAGCTGGAAATGCACTAGCAGATTAGGTAGCCAAACAAGTACACCTACAACCTGTGCAAGGCCAGTTTTTGTCCCTGTCCTTGTTCTCTCCTCTTTAATCCTCGGAAGAAAAGGAGGACTTCTGAGCCCAAAACCTTCAAAAGCAAGGACCATGGTAGGTCAAGGAAGGGCGCTTCGTTCTTCCTCACTCTCAAACAATCCCTATCCCCCAAAGTCTCCACAACTTTTCCATGTCAGTTCCAAACCTCTCTTACAACTTCTCCGCCCTATTCTCACTTGTCCTCACCTTTCCAGCTGTGTTCAAGAAATCACCCAGTCCTGCTCTATCTGCCACTCAGTGTCACCCCAGGGCTCCCTCCAGCCACTGCCTTTTCCTACCCACCAAGCCCAGAGACAGGTACCTGGGCAAGATTGGCAAGTAGACTTCACTCACATCCCACCCGATAAACAGCTCCACTATCTTCTAGTCTTTGTCTGTACTTTCTCCAGGTGGGTAGTTCCAAACAACTTCAGAAGGTGAGGTTTGTGGTAAGTTTAATATCTCCAATTGTTGTCTTAACATAGACGATAATGGAAAAACAGTACTATAAATCGCTTCAAACATCAGAAAAGTAGCCCATGTACCAGTCCAAACCTGGAAGGGATGGGACCCAACAAACATTCTAGGAGGGTGGTTCTCTAATTTAAGAGGATTTAAAATGCTGGTAGGGACAGTAATCTTCATCACTGGGCTCCTCCTGTTTCTCCCCTGTATTATCCCACTAATAATAAAAGCTAATAAAAGTCTTGTTGAAACCATAGTTAACCACCAGACAATCCAGACGATGCTCCTGCTGCAACGACATGATGAATACCAACCCATCTCTCAAAAATACCCCCAAAATTAAGTTTTTGTTTCCAAGGTGGCCACACCACCCCCTATGTCACGCTTGAAGTAGTTATTGAGAAAGTCGTCGCTTTTCCCTTTTTCTATAACCAAATAGACAAGAATGAAAGACTTTCCCCAGGGCCTGGAAGCCGGCGGGGGGAGGTGGTGGTGAATAACTCCTCACTTCTGAGGCCTAGTCCCAAGGCACAAGACCACTTGTGCCAACAGTGTTTGTCAGCAAGATGGCAGAAGCAGGAAGAGAACTGGCCGGAAGACATGTACCCCCTGAAGACCGAGAGAGGTACTGCTGTCCAGGTACTGCATAGCAGTTACATCAGACTGAGATACTTCCTGTTTACAGGAGACTATAAAACTGCTACCCTGTCCGCATTTGGTGCTGATGCCCTTTTAAGCCTCAGCCCGTCTGCACCCAGGCACACATTAAAACAGCGTGTTGCTCCACACCGCCTTGTGTTGTTCGTTGGTGCGCTTTCAGGGTTCAAACCGATACAAGAGCCTTACAATTCTGACAATTCATCTGTGTGTTTATCCATGCTCCAATCCCCTGTCAGTTGGTCCAGCCTCGAATGCCTGCCCACATCAGTATGTGCCCCATGAGTCATAACACCAATCCATCTACTAGCTCTAGGATCCCCACTGTATGAAGGGACTGTCACAGACACAGACACGCCTGACAGCCAGTACAATGCCTCAGCCCAACCTTACTGGTAGCCTCATAGACAGCCATGTCACCACCTTCCATGTGAATCAAGACCTATGTCTTGAAATATGCAATGACTTTGCAACCAGCGTTCATCTGATGGATCTACTAGGTATAAAATGGCAGTCGCATGGGTCAAAGGAAGGAAATAAAGCCTTATTAACTTCATTTTAAAATAGAAGAAGGAATACATATTCTACTATTTATCAAAAAGTCCCATCACCACCTCCCACTTTGCTGGTAATCTGCAGTGGCAGTGTTGTCCTGAGTCATCTAGGTGAATTCAAGGCTGGAAGCAATGCAGTTGGGCGTAATTCACCATGACTCACAGAAAAAAAAAACTGTTCACTAGGGTCCAGAAACTTCTTGTTTGTTTCTCATATAGCATATAGATGACTTTGGCATACCAGAATTTGTAAACAATGGTCCTACTTTAGTGAGATAAAAAACAAACTTTCATTCTCTTCCTTGTTGCTTTCAAGTAATGTTCAGGCTTCTTTTGTGTCAGGTATCATAGCTAGAGTTGACATACCTAGAGTTTTGACAAAGTAGCCAAAGACAATAAGCAGAAAGCATTTTCTGCAAAATAAAGACATTATGCAAAAAACAATAAAATATTATTTTATTTTATTTTTTTCGAGATGGAGTCTTGGTCTGTCACCCAGGCTGGAGTGCAATGGTGCAATCTCAGCTCACTGCATCCTCTGCCTCCCAGGTTCAAGCAATTCTCTTGCCTCAGCCTCCCGAGTAGCTGGGATTACAGGTGGCTGCCACTATGCCCGGCTAATTTTTCTATTTTTAGTGGAGATGGGGTTTCACCACATTGGCCAGGCTAGTCTCGAACTCCTGACCTTGTGATCTGCCTGTCTTGGCCTCCCAAACTGCTGGGATTACAGGCATGAGCCACTGCACCCGGCCAATAAAATATTATTTTAAAAAAGAAAAATGGAAAAATTAAGAGCCTAACATTATTGAAGGCAGTGGAGGGTGGGGTGGGATTTTGGGTAGAGGTTGTTCCCTATTTCACTTCCCATTGAATTCCATCCATTTAATAAAACTGGTTGCACAAAAGATTGAGAGAGGACTTCAAGCCTTTCTTGATAGACCATACACCTCTGTCCTACTCTACCTCTCCATTCCCATCAGTCATACAATCCGGGGTAGGGAAATGGAACACACCTCCTATTCTCTGTCATCAGTACCTTGAAAATGAGGGTTTAGACTAATAACCAGGCAATCTCCAAGGTCAGTTCCAGACCAGCTCTGAAATTAAATTACCTTAAGGCTTCAGAGAACTAAAAACCATTCTTTCATCAAATGGTTGGAAGTCCCTGGGACAGTGGATTGTTATTCCCCAAAACCAAAACCTAGGATCTATCCTATCAACAAATCTGTGTGTGATCTCAAGGGCAACAATTGATCAATCTAAATCTCAATTTCCCCATCTGTTGCAAAAGATTCTTTAATCTTGCAGCCATAAAAAAGAATGAATTCATGTCCTTTGCAGGGACATGGATGAAGCTGGAAGCCATCATTCTCAGCAAACTAACATAGGAACAGAAAACGAAACACCACATGTTCTCACTCATAAGTGGGAGTTGATCAATGAAAACACATGGACACAGGGAGCGGAACATCACACACCGGGGCCTGTCAGGGGCTCAGGGGGAAGGAAAGGGAGAGCATTAGGACAAATATCTAATGTATGTGGGGCTTAAAACCTAGATGACAGGCCAGGCACGGTGGCTCAAGCCTGTAATCCCAGCACTTTGGAAGGCCGAGGTGGGCGGATCACAAGGTCAGGAGTTCAAGACCAGTCTGACCAACATGGTGAAACCCCGTCTCTTCTAAAAATACAAAAATTAGCCAAGTGTGGTGGTGTGCACCTGTAATCCCAGCAACTCAGGAGGCTGAGGCAGGAGAATCACTTGAACCCGGGAGGCAGAGGTTGCAGTGAGCCGAGATCACACCACTGCACTCCAGCATGGGTGACAGAGTGAGACTCTGCCAAAAAAAAAAAACAAACCTAGATGACAGGTTGATAGATGCAGCAAACCACCATGGAACACGTATACCTATGTAACAAAACTGCACATTCTGCACATGTATCCCAGAACTTAAAGTCAAATTAAAAAAAAAAAAAAGATTATTGAAACCTGCTTTCTGTCCATTTTTCTGAGACACAGGAAGACGTCATGTGAGATCCCATATTTATGATACTATACAGATGCTCCTGGAATAATACTACAAAGTTGAAATCCAACCATTATGTTTCCCTCAGAGACTGGATCCAGTGCTACCAACTCAACAAAGCTACTATCATCAGCCTACAATTCCTTTCTTCCCATAAAACCACTCATCATAATTGAAGTGGCTAGTGGTGCAGTATGGCTTTTTATGGGACTTAAATGGGTGGGCAATTCCCTATTACTTTGTCAGGTCTGAGCAGGTTGAGGGTAGGAGTGGGAAGAGGGATTAGAACTTAAAATCAGTCTGGTCACAGCCACTAGTATACTCCCATGCAATACGGGAAGGCTTGGTCTGGCAGGCAAAACACCACATCTGATATACAATGGTCCAGTCAGCAACAGCAAAAACAAACAAAATGAGGTGTCATTGCACAACATAACATCAGAAAATTGTGAGGTAGACACTCCTAGGAAGGTCAGGAATGCAGATCATAAGCTTCGAGGAAGTCTGTCAACAGATTGTAGAACCCAGACTTCAAGCTGGAATTTGGGCTTGAAGAATGAGGAAGGGGCTGATGAAAAGGTGGGTAAACAAGAACCAAGACAGTCAGAGGCTGGTTATTTAAAAGAGAGTACAAGGGACAGAGTATTAGAACAAAGCAAACATTGAAACATTCCAATCAGGGCTAAAAGGCAGGGGCAGGCCAGCAGCAGCGAGGGAAATAAATCAGAGGCAGCCTGCACATACGATTGATTTAGTGATCTAGTGGCTCTAGCTGGGGATAGAAGGGATCCTGGATAAAGAAAACCAGACTAGGCCTAACCTGCATATTTATTAGATTGATCAGAATCTTCAGACAATAGGATAATATGAAAATCAAGGAATCTTTCACATTAAATTTCATCACTTGCTCCACTCTAAATAGACTGATTATACAGAAAGATGGGCTCTCTAGAACATTCCTTAGAGGACTCTGTAAGGTGGGCATAGAGATAAAGATGGAGTTAAAGTCCAAGTCTACGACCTGGAGCAATTTTGGAACAAGCCTTGATGTAGGACTGTAGATGGGACTACAATATAGTTTCAAGGATGCTTACTCAGTCTGGACCAGTAGTATTTAAATGGTAAAAATGAATTTAAAAACATTGTTCAGGGTAAGTTACATCAACACATGTGAAGGAAACACACTGGGTGAACCCTATTACCTCCTGAGCTACTGACCCCACAGTGAATGTGTTAAATGACCAGGCTTCCCTGCCTCTGAAATATTGGTACCATTGTCAGATATCACAGCTCACAGCACCCAAGACTGGGCATCCAACATATGTGATGAATAAGACAGCTAAAATCTTTATAATTCAACTAAATGAGAGTATGGATGTTATAGTTCTTCCTATTCTCCATTTTTGTACACTTTGTTCCTGTGGCCAAACCTAAGGGAGTTTATAGCCTTGAAAAACACTCAATACATACATCAAAACAGAGGGAGATATTTAAATGACTTTGAACATACCATGAAGTAACTCATTCACAACGTGACCAAGTCTACAAATGATGAGTAAGCCATAGGAAAGCAACTGAAAATGACTTATAAGAAAAGCAATTGAAAAAAAGTATTCAAGTAGTTCCTATAAGCTTCAGAAACAAGTATTAGGAGGTAACAAAATGGCAGCATCTCTTAAAACTATATTGGATAATGTCATGTTAAGTGTTAACTATATTAGAGTGCTGTCTTTAAGTTGTAGCATTTCAAAATAATGTGTAATAATTTTGGCAATGAGATCAGAAATTTACTTTTTGTATCAAAGTATTTTTATGTGTTCCAAGGCAAGGCACTGGTGCAAATATTTCAGATGAGACAAAGATTTTTGTTTTGTATTGCTGCTAAAGGTTCTCTCAAGTTCACTCAAACATAGCATGGTTGTTCTATTTTAGGCATTGTATCAAAGTATAGGAAAACAGAAATCATTTCCTGTTTCTAAAAGGGAAGAGAATTAATGCAGGAAATTCTTTACAAAGGTGACCAAGGAATTGAGTCCTAAACAGGGAAGAGTGAATAAGCCAGGGACTAGCAACAGTTGGAAGCCACTACCACTCCTAGACCAGAGAGAAAAGGAAAAAGGGGTGTTACAGAACGCAAGGGCTGAGCCCACCAGGGTGTGCTGGTCAATGTTTAACAAATTGGTTCTCTGTCAGTGGAAAGCCAGGATTTGGCCTATTTTAAGTCATCAATGTGATATTGATGGAGTTGGAAAAACATAAACGTGGAGTTGAAAAAAATAAACAAAATTGTCCCTCATGAACTGGTGTGAGCTGGCTCACACACTAGGATGGAATCATTTGACAGAAGCTGTGGCCATGGCAGGAAGCTGACAGCAGCAGACAAGGAGGGGAAAATACCCTGGCTTCTCCAAGCTGCTTCTCATCATGCATTACTGCCTGCAATTAGGTCAACACAGACAGAAAGATGCCCAACCAAGAGAAATGCAACCTGCAGGGACCAGCCCCGCTACAACTCACACAGAGTACAGTGGGGAAGGGAGAGAACTGAGATACTTGGAATCCTACTGATATTTTCAATATACTCAATTAGATTAACCTAGCAATGTAGGGTTGAAATGCATGATACCTACATCTGCAGATGAAGTACCAGCACGCAACTAAAAATTCAAATTTGGCCTCAGCATACAAAACCAATGACAGTTTTTAACCTTTGAGTAAATATTTAGCAGGAGTGGGCACTGAGGTATCTGGATTGACTATCTCATGATGTTACAACGTGCATTTAAGAAGCATTTTGTGCAATACAAGGAGAATTTAAAATGATTAAAATTCCATTAATCACATTTCAAATTTCAAATTAAACGCTCACCATGCATTCAATTCATTCAGGAACCATTCCTCCGTGCAAACTGTTCCAAACACTTGGCATATAGTAGTGGACAAGATGGACAAAATCTCTGCCCTTGAGGAAACTGCACACTAGTAGAAAAGGAAGACAATAAAAATAAATAAGCAAACCATGTAAAATATTAGAAAATAATAAACACAATAGGGAGAAATAAGCAATGGAATGGGGATAGTGAGTGATTAGGGCCGTTACAATTTTTAAAAGGTTGGGAGGGAAAGGCCTCACTGATAAGGTATCATCTAAGCAAAGACTTGAAAGAAATGAGCAGTAAGCCATGGGGGTTTGGGGCGGGAGCAGGGGAAAGTGCCCTGGGTGGAAGTTGCTCAATGTATTGTAAGAACAGCAAAAAGACTGCAGCAGTCAGGAAAGAGGCACTACAGATCACGTAGGCCATTGTAAGGTTTCCAGCTTTTACCATACATATTGTAATTGGGAGCTACTGGAGAATTTTGAGCAAAGGACTGGATCAATTTGGCTGCTGTGTTTGAAATAGACTGTAGAGGTCCAACAATGAAAGCAGGGAGGCCAATTAGGAGGCAACTAGAATAGTTCAAGCTCTAGAGAATGATGTGGCTTAGGTCAGGGTGGTAGAAGTAAAGGTGGCAAGAATTGGTCAGATTCTGGATGTATTTGAAACATAGGTACAGTAGGATTTGCCAAAGGATTGGATGAAAGATGTGAGAGAAAGACCAGAAGTTCAGGGATGACTAAAATTTGGGGCCTGAGAGATGACAACTCTGAGTGGAACAGTTTTTGGGGGAAAGATCGGGTTTTGTTTTTGAACATGAGAAGTTTGAGATGTCAGATATTTACAAGAGGTTGCATCAAATTGGAGAGAACATTATCTTGTGTTCAGATAGAGGCCTGGGCTGGAGATATAAATTTGGGAGTTGTCAATATATAGATGGAGTTAAGGTCATGAAAATGCATCAGATGCCTAATGTTTGTGGATTGAGGCTGGCAACCTTTGTCAACTGAGGTTATGTGAAGAAACATTAAGACAAAGCCCTAAGGCACCCATTGTATGTGATGGATTAACTTCCTTCCTATGCACCTAGAACTAGTTATTTTCCTTGGAAAAAGTTGAGAAAATATTCTCTGGAATCATTTTTTGTGTCCTTGGTTCAGATGAGAAACCATGGTTGAAAAGGACTGATAGGGAGTTTGAGATAGTCAGGACAATGACGGGGGCACAGAAAGGAAGCTGAGAAGTGGCCTTTGAGATGGGAAGAAAGCCAGGAGAGCGCGAGCCTTGGAGAGTAAGTGGAGTGATCAAGAGTGTCAAATGCTGATGATGGGTCCCATGAAGTGAGAACTGAGAATTTATGGACAGATTTGGCTACACAGAGGTCTAGGGACCTTGACAAATGCTGTTTCAGAGGATGGTAATTGGACTGGGCTTAGGAGAGAAGAGGAAAAATGAATATTTTCAGGTATAGTTAGATAGTGATTCAAAGTGGGTCCAAAACTACCTGTTAATAATTTCTCAAGTGTCTGATTCAATCAGATTGAATAATATTTTCAGTAGGCTTAGCTTTTAAGAAAATTATACCTATTTTCAAGAATTTATCTGTAAATCAGTTTTTTTTTTCAGTGGGGGACAACCGAACAAAACTTTAAAATATATTAGATATTAAGGCTCCAACTCACATCTACAAATCTAGATTTCAAATACTTGTGTTCATAAATAGCTTCGTTAATGTTACTGGTTAATTTGAAGATAAGTAGTTATTAGAAACCTGAACTTGTGAAATAAATTCATGCTAAAATAGAACTTGTAGCTTTAACATATTGAACTTTTACTTAAGTTTCATTTGCAGAATATTTAAAAATCACTGACACAATCTAGTCATTTCTATTATTTTAAACTTCCTTTTAAACACATTACATATGTGGAGAGCTTCAACCACTTGAAAGTTGGTGGCTGACAGTATAAAATATACATTCCATAGCCCTCATGATCCACTAATCTGTTCAAATAATTTGTACAAATCACATAAATTCTCTGAAACCTGGTTTCTTTTTCTGTAGAACAGGAATCATAATACTGGAAGCATTCATTAAAAATGCTTTACGAGTCTAGCAAGTACAGTCTCTCATTAGTGATAGTAAGTGACATATTAACCCTGGACTAACTAGACCAATTAGAAAATGTGAGATGTTGGCTGGCTTAGGCAGATGGCCCAGCTGACTTAGGTGAATGGAACAAAAAAGAATCTAAAATAATAGAAGGTGGAAATATAATGTGCAGAGCTCCTATCAAGGACTTTTTGGCATCCTCGCTGTCAAGCCGATGCTTTCCTGGAAGCTTTTGGGGGCCACAGACATGATGTCATATCTGAAAGAGCAGACTCCACACATGAACTGTGTCATACACACCTTCACTTACATGGCTTCAGCTCTTTTCCACTTAGATCATCCAAGAGCTTTAGTGATTGGAGCATGGATACTTGAGATTCTGTGGACTCCTTTGCTTTTCACTTTCAAGGCTTTCTGAAAACAGCTGCAGAAATACCAAGACCTTTGGAAAAGGCTGATCTTACTACATTTTCAGCCAGACTGCAAGCTGAGAGAAGTGGAAATATTACCAGCCTGTTTTCCTGAAATCCCTGTCAGAGCTGCTCCAGCAATTTCTTGGCTTTCCATATGACCTCAAAACAGGACAATCTCATTTTCCAAATCCATCTGCTTTTTCAGCTTTACTTCTAGCCTTACATTTAAATATGCAATTAAGTCAGGCACAATAGCCCCACAGTCCCAGTAGTACCCAGATCTGCAAATCTGAGTTATCATGACCATAGAACATATAAATCAGATGGTAAACTCCAATCACAAATCCTCTACCCAATGGTTCAACTCCAAGAAATCCATTACCACCAGCAACATACTGCAGTATATTTTCAGACAAGCTAAAAGACAAATGCTTTATGTTGAAATGATCTATAGCAAGGGTTGTGACTAGGGTTGGCAAATGTCAAGAATTTCAGTTAATATTATCTCATAGCTAGAGATTTCAAATCCAGAATAACATAGAGGAAGGACTGAAAGAAAAAATGGTCATCAATGTTTAATGTAAAGAATATGGGTCAAGAACTTCAAACTAATCTTTCATTCACTCAGTCTGGCATTAGCAGATTCAGGAAGCTGTTGTAAACAAGTAGCTCTGCACAGCCCACTCCTGCCTGTGTGGAACTACACACACTAGCCACAGCTCAACACACCGCACTCTCCTGGGGACTGCTGCATCCAAGAACTCATGCAGCCAGTCCTCTTGGAAATAAAAGTTAACCTTTCCCTTCCCAAGAGACATAAAATTCTCTCTGATAGTCCCTCACTCAGAGCTGTTTTCTGGGCAAATGTCCACAGCAACACCCATTCAGAAAATCAGAAATCAGGTTGCCAAGTAAATGAGAAGTTAAAGAGACAATATTGAGAAAACAGGCCATGTTGTGCCATGCCATAGCAGCCCTTCACAATTTCTAGGAGACTGATTAAAATTTGGTTCAGGCCCAAGACACAAATATATTTTTTCAAAGGGACAGAGTAATCCTGGGAAGTCCAATCCAAAGAAGACTAAAGGGTCAAGGTCAACTTAAAGTCTATTCCAAGGGTCCTCTGATCAGTCTGGACTGCATCCAACTTCTGGTGCCTGTCTCAATTCTAACTCAAAGCAGGTGCTCAGCTCCAGAACAACACTTTACTGCCTGAAACAGGAAGGCCTACAGGTAGTGTAGGCACTACACAAGTGTATTCTGGTAAGCAGTGAGGCTTCACTTTTGGTTTTATTCTGGCTCAACTGTCCACCCTCAGGATTGGAGCAGAGCTAGACCAGCTTCTCATCCTCCCTTCATGTCCCTTCCACCAGTAGGCACTTGTGACCAAAAAAAAAAAAAGTAATCTAGAATGCCACTTCACCATGTCAGATAGCATGAACTTAAGAAAGAAAGAGAGTAAGGAGGGGAGGAATGATCGAAAGAAAGAGAAGAGAGGGAGGAAAGAAGAAAGGAAGGAAGACAGGTCTATTTTTGAAAGCAAGATAAAAGAAGAACTAGGGGACCAAATCATTTTCAGCTTCCAGGTAAAATGTGCCTTCCACCAACCTAAGACATTCAGAAACAGGCAAATGGCATACTTTTAGGACTCTGGCTTTCCTATAGCCTTCTAGGACTGTTAGGATTTACTTTGTTCTGTTGTGTATATTTGATATATTAAACATTTCTGGCTGGGCACGGTGGCTCATGCCTGTAATCCCAGCACTTTGGGAGGCCGAGGTGGGCAGATCACAAGGTCAGGAGACTGAGACCATCCTGGCTAACACAGTGAAATCCCGTCTCTACTAAAAACACAAAAAATTAGCCGGGTGTGGTGGCACACGCCTGCAGTCCCAGCTACTCAGTAGGCTGGGGCAGAAGAATTGCTTGAACCTCGGAGGCAGAGGTTGCAGTGAGCTGAGATCGTGCCACTGCACTCCAGCCTGGGTGACAGAGCGAGACTCCATCTCAAAAAAAAAAAAAAATTTTTTTTATCTCCCTGCTAGCATTTTTTGCTTTTTAAAAACAATTATCGTATAGTTAAATGGACTTTTGGGGCAGATGATTCTATGAATTTTAATGCATATAGATGTGTGTAAACACCACCGCTATCAGGATCCAGAACAGTTCCATGACCCCAAGAAACTTCCTGTTGCTACCCCTTTATAGTCACTGCTCCCACCCTAGCTGCAACCACTGATCTGTTCTTCATAAATAGATTGTTGTTTGTTCCATATTCCCTTCATAATGCTATTGTTTATAGAGTGAGAGTTAAGCATCTTGTTACTATAATTGTTTTAACTAATTATAGCAAAATGTATTCAAAATAAAAGTAAATTTATGTTAATAAGCACGAAACTATAAAAGGTGAACTACCTGAACCATGACTTTTAATTCCAGCCAAAGTCAACCTGGGACTGGGCAACCTAGAAAACTCAATCCTGTTTACAAAGGCCTGGACCTTCTCTCCTTCCCCAGAGAAGCTTCATTCACCCTGCTCCTGAATGCCCTTTAATCAGCCTCATTTTCAGAACTGATGATGTATATGGTTCATCCAGTCATGACCCACTGCTCCCCATTGGGAATGGATTGCACTGTCTCCTGTGCACTAGCCACTTCTGGATCCTCCAAGTAATTTGTTCACTAGGGCCAACCTCCAGCCTTCGGCCCCAAGACTTAGGAATGGCCATGAGGCCAATACACTTTCTCATTCCAACCTCGTCCCTAGCAAGTGGCAAGTTCTGAAGATACTACATTCCTCAGCTTGCAATACAATAATCTGAAATATCTCCATATATGTATCTGCCACATATATGACTTTATAGAAAATATAAGATATTAAGAACTCAAAAAGTATATTACACAGAATAATGTAATAATATATATATTAAAATATATATTAAGATTCTCATATTCATATATACATAAATATATGTTACCAGATTCAATAAATAAGATTAGATCACCACAGAAGTGATAATACATTTTGAACATTCACTGAAGTGGCCCTTTATGTTGAATCATTAAGAGTTGAATAGTCTATTTTTCATAAAATTGTATGATCTGAGCATTTTTCTTAATGCTTGACTTTAAGGCTATTAAAATTCAACATTATTAAATTAACATTAGTTATGCATATTTCAGGTTTATAAATCAAAAATGCACAAGTTTCCAGTGTCAACAAATTTCTCAGGTCCTCCAATTAAACTGAATTCTATGTAAAAATATGGCTTACTAATGTTTAAGATATAATTGAGGTTTATATACCTATTCATTCTCTCAACATTACTATCTTCTTTAACTATTATCCAATTAATTACTCTCCTAAAGATAGAATTATGGGAAAATCCCTTTTGTATTATTCGTTTGCATAAACTTAACAACTTTTTTGTTCCTCAATTACTGGGCTCTTATCAATTACATAAACCAATAATATGAAACTCTTTTTTATTGCAATCCTTTTTGGAACAAGCCAGGAAACAAAGGAACAGCTTATTTTTTCATAGATCTCTTTCCTTCCTCCTTAACTCACAATTGCAACATGATAGAGCTATCACTTCAGGGCATGTGATAGCGTAACACTCACCCAGAAGTAGAAATCCATCACTCCTATCTCTGATATATTAGTATGTTAACCTCTAGTTGGCAATGGCCCAAAGAGGGGCTCCAATCCAAATGTTTTCTATACAAACTGAGCATCCAATATTAAAAGAATCCGCATCTATGGCAAATAACCAAGTCATGTTCATTTTATTCAGTTTTTATGATGAAATGCAGATTTTTCATTATGAGGCAAATCCCTACATTCAAAAACCTAAATAGAATAATCCTTAAAAAATAATGTTTGCTGGTTAAAGCACTAACAATTTTTATTTTTATTTTTTATTTTTATTTTTTAAAGTTCCAAAATTTAATTTATACTTTAATCTACAAATCCAAAAATCTCAGTGAACCCCAATCAGGATATATACAACATAAACCTCAATTAGGCATATCATGTCAATGACAAAAGCATAAGTTGTTCAAGAAGTGATCTTAACATGACTTGCTTTCCATTAAAATAACTTGAGTCACTACTTGATGTCATAAACTTCAAATATGCTAACGTGCTAAGTATAAAAAGCAAAACTATTAACAAGTAGAAGAAAAATCAGTGGGAGAATGGGCATACTTTTACATGATCTGGTTGAAATACATTCTTTTTTTTTTTTATAAGTACCTCATCTTTCTAGCACTAACAATTTTTAAAAATTATTTCTGCCTTTGAATTAAGTATATTTTCATTTGGGCAACAATGGGATACATTTTCATTCACTTTTAGTTCAGTAGTTTCTCTCAAACAGGCAGTGTAGCCTCCATCGCTTAGATGATCTCTTTTGACAATCAGCTAAAGATACAGCATGTTAGTGATACACTTTCAGGGAAAGATCATTTAATAAATATTGATACCTATATTGTTAGCCTGAATCTCCCTCCTCCCTTCACCTCCCTACCCCATCGAATTCTTCCTTTTTCCCTTTCTTTAAGACTTCATGAAAAGATAAATAATGATAATGCTACCTATTCGTGATTACAACTACAAAACGTAACATTCTTTTAAAATCTGCATCTACTTCTTTCAAAGCTGAGAATTCTCCCTGGAAAACTGCTCATATAAACATACATACAACATTTTGCAAATAATTCCAGGGGTTCAAAGCATCTCTAAAATCCATCCATAGGTGTAGAAAGTGTCTGTGGTCTCCCAGAGTAAACACTGCTCCACAAGCCAATTCCCACACAGCCACCCATTCAACTCCCACCTAGCCCAAGGCTTGCCACTTCATCAGCCCTTCCTTCAGTCAATACTGCTGAGCCCAAATTAACTTGTGGCTCCTCATGAAGCCTTTCCAAGCTCCTTCAACTCATGTGGGTTTCTAACTTTTCTAACTTCCTCATAGACACACAGTCAAGTCTTACAACTTAGCCTTCAATTTCCCTCTAGATGATTCATACAGGTAAATTAGGCCCTTAAACCTAACTGGTAAACCCCTGAAAGCAGATACAATGTACCTCACATCTCTGCAGTTTCCCCCACAGCACCTGGCACAGTGCCAGAAGCTGAATGAATGTTTTTTATTGCATAATCAACCCATCCCTCTGTTCATCTTCTGGGTAGCCTCTGTCCCACCACCCCTACTTGCCCCACAAGGATGAGGCCAGGAATCACAACTTTATGAGTTGTATCTATGTTATGCAGTGATCAGGAGCTATCACTCACTTTTTTATTTATTCACTCAGCAGACATTTATTAAGTTCTTACTATATGTCAAGCACTAAGGTAGGTACTGGAAATACAAAAGCTACAGAAATGTAAGCAAATTATTGATGATGTGTTACATGCAATAACAGAGTTACATACAAGGCAGCAATAGAAAGGAGCAACTATCTATCTAGAAATGTTAGTGAAGTCATAGTGGAGAACAGGGTGCTTGAAATAGATGCTAAAAAAAATTGGTATGAATTTAAGCAAATGACCCAGGATGGGAAACACATCCAGGAGAGAAACAGCAAATGCAAAGACACAAATGCATGAAGATAAAATGTCTCTTATCCTCTCTTCACCTTCCCTGGTCAGCCCTGGCATGAGCCTCCATTTCAGTAAGGCCAATTCAGTTCACCTTTAGGATTATTTACATGAACTAAGTAATGGGAATATATATTTTTTAATTTACTAAGATGCACTGCCTAGCAAATATGAATTTCAAAATACTAAATAAATTTAGTATTGTGGGTTTGGAAATCCAATCCAAATCCAAATTATGGGTTTGGAAAGAAATACACGTGGCTGACTCAACATTCATTTTATTGGGTTATATATTTTTATAGAGAATATTTTTAATACAATTTTAATTTTAATGATCTGTCTGCCTTTAAGGGATAAAATAACATCAAGAAAAATTGCTGTAAAGTTATTTATTCAATGTTTCCATTCCTGTGTCATTTACCTCTCCAAGTGAATTTCAGTTTCTCTGTCTGCTGGCTTCGTAAACCTCTCTTTGGACTTTAACAACTATGGAATCATTTTTACTGTGAAGTTTAATATCCTGCTTTAAAATCCAAATATGATTCACATATTGCATCTTCAATATTTCTAAAGCAAAATGGTCTGCTTGGAAATTTTTTTAAAATGACTTTTCTCCAGAATACTTAAAAACATACCTTCCAATATCTGGAAAGGGGACTTATTTAAATACATGCATAATACTGTTTTCCTGCCTTTTATTTTAAGAAGACAAATTAATAATACTGCTGAACTAATTTTAACAAATACTAATGGTATTAAAATGCATCAATAGTCTGGCTTAAAAAAAAGTTGAAAAAATGTCAAGAATAAATGGTTGCAGAGGCGTCAGTCTTGGCACTTAATACTTTTTCAGAGACCTGAGCCTGTAATTGCTTTTAAAGACATGAAAGTCCTTGCTGTCTCTCTCTCTCTCTCTCTCTTCAGTAGATCCAGAGATTTCATTTTGAGAGCCTGGAGGATGCTCCAAAATTTATAATAAAGACATAAAGCCTCACTGATGGTGCTATATAAAAGGTGTTTTTACTGTTGTTAATCTCAGATACACATAAGCAAGCAAAAATTTCCCAAGGAAGTAATTTAAAACTATTTAGAGCTGTTTCATGAATCTCTGAGTTCAGATCTTGGCATCTTTGTAGCCATTGGAGTTCTGGGACCACAAAGTTGAAAACATCAAGAGAATGAAGCCCTGGATCCTCATACTAGAATGGTGAGATAATGATAATCAGGATAATATATTACACTTGTATTGTGCTTTATAATTGTAAGAATTATTTCCCAAGATTCATCTCATGTGATCATCCTAAACCACCAACAGAAATAACAAGCCTAGATTTCAGAAGCAAGACATCCAAGGTCATGTGGCCAGCTAGTGGCAAGACTAGAATCAAAACCCAGATCTTGCTGACACAAAATACCTTTTCCATTACACTAGATATAGAATGACCAATCAATCTCTCTACCCACTCTTCCCTCACTTTGTTTTCCATTTCTTAAAAGAATCATTGATTTTTTAAAATATATAGTATTTCAGGATCCTCAAACCTTCATTTTAAGTTTCCAGTTTTAAAAATTTATTCATTGGCCCGGTATCGAGTTCCTCTTTATTCAAAGTTAGCCTTAGTGGAAGAAGGGCAGTCCAAAGCAAATAAAGATGTTTTGCATTCACTTCTCTTTGTTCCCTTTTACATCATTGTTGAAGCACATACTGAATACCTCTCTCAACCAGCAAAAGTTTCTTCCCAGTCATTTGTTGAGCCTTGCTTCTCTGAGAAAGCACTGTGATGGTTTCCTTTTCAGGTTTCCACAGAAAATCTCCCAAAAAGATCTCAGGGAGCATAAAATGCATTCAGCAAGGCCTAAGTGATACTGTATATCTAAGATAATAAGACTCTAATATCAATCTCAAGAACACATTATTAAATAAAAGTTTTTCAGTTCTTTCAACGCTATACAAAACAGCGCTGAGAAAACCAGCAAAGGAATAATTTTCCTGAATTCCCAACTACTGAACAAGCACCAGACTTCTTCTATTAATTAATTTGTTTGTTTACAGGTTCAACACGAAACCTACCTGCCAGCAGTGTTCTAGGTCTTGGGGATTCAGTGGTGACAAGATAAAAGTTTCTGCCTTGCAGAGCTTACATTCTAGAAGGAAAGTAAGACAGACAATAGATCCAAAAGCCAATAATACCAGATATTGTTAAATATAATGAAAAAAATAAAAAGGTAATAGAATAGCACATAATGGTGATGACAGACAGAGGGGAAGCAGGAAAACCAATTGGGATGTGATTATGTTAGCCTAGGTAAGAGATGAACTTATGTTAGGGAAACGTAGTTAGAATCAGCATGTGCTGATGGATTGATGTCACGCTTGAAGAAGAGAAAAACCAAAGGTTATTCCAAGGTTTGTGCTTAGGCAAATGGATAGCTAATGATGCCAATAGCTAAAATGGAGAAGTCTTTGGGAGAAAAAAGGTAGCGGTGAGGACATCAAGCATTCTCTTTATTGCCAAGTCAAGGTTTGAGATGGCACTGAGGCGGAGATGTATTTTTTTAAATTGCATATACAAGTCTGATGCTCAGGGGGGAAGGCAGGGCTAAAGATACAAATTTGAGAGTCATCTCAAATACAGATGGTATTTAAAGTCATGGGACCAGAAGAATTCACCTAGGTACAGGTATAATCAGAAGGGATTTAAATCGTGGCTAGTCACATGTTAGCTAACTTGGGCAAAGTCATTAAGCTTTCTACAACCTTTCTATGCATGGTTAATGTATATCTGAACATGCTAGGAAATCTGTATAGCACTACAGAGTGTTGTCATCCAGTGCCCAATAAATCCAACACTGCAGGAAGTGAGAAACAGCAAAACTAGGAATAAAAATCAAAATTTCCTATCAGGGTAATGAAATTCCCAGTTATCTTAGCAGACAAAAAAAACATATTGTCAGCAAATTTTCTGGAAGAAAGTGCCACTGAGGGAAATGAAGATGGGGTGCCCCTACCTCTGACCAACTGAAAAGAGAAAATATTTTTATTAATAAATGCAGCAACTGAAAATAATACACCAGACTGTAAATGGTGATTATTTCCAGGGGTTAAGTTTATCAGGAATGATTACTTTAATATCTGAACTTGCATCATGAACATATATTACTTTTATAATTTGAAAAAGAAAGTGACACAAAAGGGCAATAAAATAAAGAGGAATGACTTCTGAAAATAATGTTGATTCGGCATGACATATATAACTAATGAAAAAAATAGTAACCCATGAACTATTTTCAAGATGATCCAGTGTGAGACTTGGAATTACCAATGGATTACTAATACTGGTCTAGTTAGTGATTTGTGCTAAACTCTCTAAACTAATATGTGTTGATAACGTAAAAAGCAAAATATGAATTGAATAAATATTTTTGCAAGGTGCTGGGGATTTTAAATGTAATTATTCTAGAAACTACAATGGTCCCACGTATTTAACTATCACAGACTTGGAACTAATGAATAGGTAAACATTATTTTTTCCAGTTGGATTCATCAATATTTGTTAACTGTTGAAAAGAATTTTCAAAAGCAGCAGACAAGCTAAAGAACACAAAATTACTGTATTACCACATGTTAGGTCTGAAGGAAACAGGATTATTATCTGATCATATACTTGCCATGCTTTGACTTATCTATAGCTGCTTACCTTATTATGTTATAGATATATCCAATTTAACCTATAATACTAGGTTTTATTACACATTAGAGCTGCTGCTAGAGAAAATGTTTCATGTACTATAATCTTTTTGAAATTATAACTGTAGTTTTTAATATTACATACAGTAACATTTAATGTAATTGTATGTAACATTAAAAGCTCAACATTAAAAGGTCTTGTAGAAAACTGTAGTCTTTGCCACATTTGTAAAGGAAGAACCTCCTCTGATTATATAAACCCAAAGTCTTAAAATGGTGAGAAATACCTTTTACATTCTATGTAAATCACTGAGCATAGAGTAGAATTTCTTAGTCTCCCAGATCCCATGCGGGTGCCTCTAATTGTAATTCAAGGTATTTACCACAAGATGGCACTGCTGATCCTATTCATAACCAGGCTGCTGGCGTTTCCTTTCCATGTTTCACACTAAGCTTAAGAATCTTTGTTATTAGCAAAATTAAAGTTCTTGAGTTAAAGAACGTTTAAGCATTTTAAATAGGAAAAAAAAAGCCAATGTAGAATGTTCTGTACTGTATACATTTCTCCAATTTCCATTACTCTAAATCAAGTGGTCAAGATAAAGTTTTAAATATATAACTACATATAAAAATAAATGTAAATAGAAGATGGCCAAATAAAAACAGCTCTGGTCTGTAGCTTCCAGCAAGATCAACGCAGAAGGCGGGTGATTTTCTGCATTTCCAACTGAGATACCTAGCTCATCTCACTGGGACTGGTTAGACAGTGGGTGCAGCCCATGGAGGGTGAGCCGAAGCAGGGTGGGGGCGTCCTCTCAACCAGGAAGCACAAGTGATCAGGGAACTCCTTCCCCTAGCCAAGGGAAGCTGTGAGGGACTGTGCCATGAGGGACAGTGCACTCTGGCCCAGACACTACGCTTTTCCCATGGTCTTCGGAACCCACAGACCAGGAGATTCCCTCGGGTCCCTACACCACCAGGGCCCTGGGTTTCAAGCACAAAACTGGGCAGCCATTTGAGCAGACACCAAGCTAGCTGCAGAAGTTTTTTTCATACCCCAGTGGCGCCTGGAACACCAGTGAGACAGAACGGTTCACTCCCCTGGAAAGGGGGCTGAAGCCAGGGAGGCAAATGGTCTAGCTCAGTGGATCCCACCCCCATGAAGCCCAGAAAGCTAAGATCCACTGGCATAAAATTCTTGCTGCCAGCACAGCAGTCTGGAGTCGACCTGGGACGCTCGAGCTTGGTGGAAGGAGGGGCAGCACAGAGGCCTGTTAGAAGGAAAACTAACAAACAGAAAGGAATAGCATAAACATCAACAAAAAGGTCATCCACACAAAAACCCCATCCAAAGTCACCAGCATCAAAGACCAAAGCTGGATAAATCCATGAAGATGAGGAAAAACCAGCACAAAAAGGCTAAAAGTTCCAAAAACCAGAATGCCTCTTCTCCTCCAGAGGATCACAACTCCTCGCCAGCAAGGGAACAAAACTGGATGGAGAATGAGTTTAATGAATTGACAGAAGTAGGCTTCAGAAGGTGGGTAATAACAAACTCCTCCAAGCTAAAGGAACATGTTCTAATCCAATGCAAGGAAGCTAAGAACCTTGAAAAAAGGTTAGAGGAATTGCTAACTAGAATAACCAGTTTAGAGAAGAACATAAATGACCTGATGGAGCTGAAAAACACAGCACGAGAACTTTGTGAAGCATACACAAGTATCAATAGCCAAATTGAACAAGCGGAAGAAAGGATATCAGAGAGTGAAGATCAACTTAATGAAATAAAGTGTGAAGACAAGATTAGAGAAAACAGAATGAAAAGGAACAGACAAAGCCTCCAAGAAATATGGGACTATGTGAAAAGACCAAACCTACATTTGATTGGTGTACCTGAAAGTGACAGGGAGAATGGAATCAAGTTGGAAAACACTCTTCAGGATATTAGCCAGGAGAACTTCCCCAAACTAGCAAGACAGGCTAACATTCAAACTCAGGAAATACAGAGAACACCACAAAGACACTCCTCGAGAAGAGCAACCCCAAGACACATAATCGTCACATTCACCAAGGTTGAAACAAAGGAAAAATTTTTAAGGGCAACCAGAAAGAAAGGTCGGGTTACCCACAAAGGGAAGCCCATCAGACTAACAGTGGATCTCTTGGGTGAAACTCTACAAGCCAGAAAAGAGTGGGGACCAATATTCAACATTCTTAAAGAAAAGAATTTTCAACCCAGAATTTCATATCCAGCCAAACTAAGCTTCATAAGCAAAGGAGAAATAAAATCCTTTACAGACAATCAAATGCTGAGAGATTTTGTCACCACCAGGCCTCCCTTACAAGAGCTCCTGAAGGAAGCACTAAATATGGAAAAACTGGTACCTCCCACTGCAAAAACATACCAAATTGTAAAGACCATCAACACTATGAAGAAACTGCATCAACTAATGGGCAAAATAACCACCTAGCATCATTATGACAGAATCAAATTCACACATAACAATATTAACCGTAAATGTAAATGGGCTAAATGCCCCAATTAAAAGACACAGACTGGCAAATTGGATAGAGTCAAGACCCATCAGTGTGCTGTATTCAAGAGACCCATCTCACATGCAGAAACACACATAGGCTCAAAATAAAGGGATGGAGAAATATATACCAAGCAAATGGAAAGCAAAAAAAAAAAGAAGGGGTTGCAATCCTCGTCTCTGATAAAACAGACTTTAAACCAACAAAGATCAACAAAGACAAAGAAGGGCATTACATTATAATAAAGGGATCAATGCAACAAGAAGAGCTAACTATCCTAAATATATACGCACCCAATACAAGAGCACCTAGATTTATAAAGAAAGTTACCAGAGACCTACAAAAGAAACTTAGACTCCCACACAATAATAGTGGGAGAACTTAACACCCCACCGTCAATCTTAGACAGATCAATGAGACAGAAAATTAACAAGTATATTCAGGACTTGAACTCAGCTCTGGACCAAGCACATCTAATAGACGTCTACAGAACTCTCCACCCCAAATCAACAGAATATACATTCTTCTCAGCACCTCATCGCACTTATTCCAAAATTGACCACATAATTCAAAGTAAAACACTCCTCAGCAAATGCAAAAGAACAGAAATCATAAAAAACAGTCTCTCAGAACACAGTGCAATCAAATTAGAACTCAGGATTAAGAAACTCACTCAAAAGCGCACAACTACAAGGAAACTGAACAATCTGCTCCTGAATGACTACTGGGTAAATAACAAAATGAAGGCAGAAATAAAGATGTTCTTTGAAATCAATGAGAACCAAGACAACGTACCAGAATCTCTGGGACACATTTAAAGCAATGTGTAGAGGGAAATTAATAGCACTAAATGCCCACAGGAGAAACCAGGAAAGATCTAAAATTGACACACTAACATCACAATTAAAAGAACTAGAGAAGCAGGAGCAAACAAATTCAAAAGCTAGCAGAAAACAAGAAATAACTAAGACCAGAGCAGAACTCAAGGAGATAGAGACACAAAAAACCCTTCAAAAAAATCAATGAATCCAGGAGCTGGTTTTTTGAAAAGATTAACAAAATAAATAGACCACTAGCCAGACTATTAAAGAATAAAATAGAGAAGAATCAAATAGACACAATAGAAAATGATAAAGGGGATATCACCACTGATCTCACAGAAATACAAACTACCATCAGAGAATACTATAAACACCTCTACACAAATAAACTAGAAAATCTAGAATAAATTCCTGGACACATACACCCTCCCAAGACTAAACCAGGAAGAAGTCGAATCCCTGAGTAGACCAATAACAAGTTCTTAAATTGAGGCAGTAATTAATAGTCTACCAACCAAAAAAACCCCAGGACCAGAGAGATTCACAGCCAAATTCTACCAGAGGTTCATAGAGGAGGTGGTATCATTCTGTCTGAAACTATTCCAAACAATAGAAAGAGAGGAACTCCTCCGTAACTCATTTTGTGAGGCCAGCATCATCCTGATACCAACGCCTGGCAGAGACACAACAAAAAAAGAAAATTTCAGGCCAATATCTTTGATGAACATCGATGCAAAAATCCTCAATAAAATACTGGCAAACCGAACCTAGCAGCACATCAAAAAGCTTATCCACCATGATCAAGTCAGCTTCATCCCTGGGATGCAAGGCTGGCTCAACATATGCAAATTAATAAGCGTAAGCCACCACATAAACAGAACCAATGACAAAAACCACATGATTATCTCAATAGATGCAGAAAAGGCCTTTGATAAAACTCAACACACCTTCATGCTAAAAGCTCTCAATAAACTAGGCTTTGATTGAATGTATCTCAAAATAATAAGAGCCATTTATGACAAACCCACAGCCAATATTACACTGAATGGGCAAAAGCTGAAAGCATTCCCTTTGAAAACAGGCACAAGACAAGGATGCCCTCTCTCACCACTCCTGTTCAACATAGTGTTGGAAGTTCTGGCCAGTGCAATCAGGAAAGAGAAAGAAATAAAGGGTATTCAAATAGGAAGAGAGGAAGTCAAATTGTCTCTGTTTGCAGAAGACATGATTATATATTTAGAAAACCCCATAGTCTCAGCCCAAAATCTCCTTAAGCTGATAAACAGTTTCAGCAAAGTCTCAGGATACAAAATCAATGTGCAAAAATCACAAGCATTCTTATACACCAATAATAGGCAAAGAGCCAAATCATGAGTGAACTCCCATTCACAATTGCTATAAAGAGAATAAAATACCTAGGAATTCAACTTACAAGGGATATGAAGGACCTCTTCAAGGAGAACTACAAACCACTGCTCAAGGAAATAAGAGAGGACACAAACAAATGGAAAAACATTCCATGCTTAGGGATAGGAAGAATCAATATCGTGAAAATGGCCATACTGCCCAAAATAATTTATAGATTCAATGCTATCCCTAACAAGCTACCATTGATTTTCTTCACAGAATCAGAAAAAAACTACTTTAAATGCCATATGGAACCAAAAAAGAGCCTGTATAGCCAAGACAATCCTAAGCAAAAAGAACAAAGCTGGAGGCATCACGCTACCTGACTTCAAAGTGTACTACAAGGCTATAGTAACCAAAACAGCATGGTACCGGTACCAAAACAGATATATAGACCAATGGAACAGAACAGAGGCCTCAGAAATAACGCCACACAAGCATTGGGGAAAGGATTCCCTATTTAATAAATGGTGTTGGGAAAACTGGCTAGCCATATGTAGAAAACTGAAACTGGGCCCCTTCCTTACACCTTATACAAAAATTAACTCAAGATGGATTAAAGACTTCAACATAAGACCTAAAACATAAAAACCCTAGAAGAAAACCTAGGCAATACCATTCAGGACACAGGCATGGGAAAAGACTTCATGACTAAAACACCAAAAGCAATGGCAACAAAAACCAAAATTGACAAATGGAATCTAATTAAACTAAAGAGCTTCTGGACAGCAAAAAAAACTATCATTGGAGTGAACAGGCAACCTACAGAATGGGAGAAAATTTTTGCAATCTATCCATCTGATAAAGGGCTACTATCCAGAATGTACAAGGAAGTAAACAAATTTACAAGAAAAAAACAAACAACCCCATCAAAAAGTGGGCAAATGATATGAACAGACACTTCTCAAAAGAATACATTTATGCGGCCAACAAACATATGAAAAAAAAGCTCATCATCACTGGTCATTAGAGAAATGCAAATCAAAACCACAATGAGATACCATCTCACACCAGTTAGAATGGCAATCATTAAAAAGTCAGGAAACAACACATGCTGGAGAGGATCTGGAGAAATAGGAACACTTTTACACTGTTAGTGAGAGTGTAAATTAGTTCAACCATTGTGGAAGACAGTGTGGCGATTCCTCAAGGCTCTAGAACCAGAAATACCATTTGACCCAGAAATCCCATTACTGGATATACACTCAAAGGATTATAAATTATTCTACTGTAAAGACACATGCACACATATGTTTATTGCAGCACTGTTCACAATAGCAAAGACTTGGAACCAACCTAAATGCCCATCAGTGATACACTGGATAAAGAAAATGTGGCACATATATACCATGGAATACTATGCAGCCATAAAAAAGGATGAGCATTCTTTTTTTCTCATTCTCATTCTCAGCAAACTAACACAGGAACAGAAAACTGAACGCCGCATGTTCTCACTCATAAGTGACAGTTGAACAATGAGAACACATGGACACAGGGAGGGGAACATCACACACGGGGGCCTGTCGGGGGTGGGGGGCAAGGGGAGGGATAGCATTAGGAGAAATACCTAATGTAGATGACGGGTTGATAGGTGCAGGAAACCACCACGGCACATGTATACCTATGTAACAAACCTGCATGTTCTGCACATGTATCCCGGAACTTAAAGTATAATAAAAATAAATAATAAATGTAAATATAAAAATACTTAAATCAAAGACTGGTGTGCTTTCGGATGTGAATTATAACTTAGGTAGAAATTTAAAAGGTTCTACAAGGGAAAGACTAAGTTTTAGGCTCTGCTGAAGCAACCTGACCCTCACATCTCAAAGGCATCAGCAGGAGGAGCCAGGAACAAATGATGGGCTTAGCCTTTCCTCCCTCTGATATGCTTAGGACCTATATATAAATGCTCTTCCATCCACTTTGGTACTCACGTCTCCTAGTCTTTCCACTTAAAAGCTGGAGGTGTTAATATGGCAAATGCCCAGCCCTAGCGGCTTCAGTAACTATTTTGGGCTTGTAAAAGGGGACTAACAGTGACAGTTAAGAGGTCTTTGTCTCACCCTTGGAAAGGCTGTTTTCTACCCCTTCTGTCATGCAGGTAACCAGTCAGTGTGAGACTGGATCTTCAAAGAAGCTAACCAGACCTCTCCAAAAGCCAAAGCCTTAGGAAATAGACTCATTCTTTCAAACATCACAACTTTTTTAAAAAAAGAAATCTTGCTTAGAAGAATCTTGCACTTAAGTGAGCCATAATCACACCACTGCACTCCAGCCTGGCGACAGAGGAAGACCCTGTCTCAGGGAAAAAAAAAAAATCTTGGTGTCAAAAAAAAAGAGACAAAGTAGCTCAACTCACCAACAACAAAACACAAGTGAGAGAGAAACATTCTTAAAGTTAATATGTGTTGGCCATTCACCAATTCATTCACATATTCCATTATAGTGCCTACTTTTTAGTAATAGACTATGTTAGTAATACAGAAGTAATATTTTTAACGTTGCTGATACATCAACAAAAAGTGATATAAACTCAAGTTCTCTTTGGAAGTAAGTCTGATATAAATCAATAAAAAACTCACTGATTATGGTATCATGATAGGGAAGAATATAAATCTATGGAAAGTGGGAAAATAATTCAAAGGAAGGCACTTTGGTCTTTGGTGCACCAATCTATTCCACAGAAAGCCAACTGTTTCATTGCCTAGGAGGTTACACACAGGTGCACATATTCTTTCATTCGTATGAGGAAAAGCAAATAGACATTATAGATGTTTTACAAGAAAAAAAACTGCACAGTGTCCCTCAAATTATTAATCCTCCAACCCCCAAAGTTCCACCTCATCCACATCTGCTTTAATAGTTTCATCTTTATGGAAATAATTGATATTTTAAATAAGGACTATGAGACCTCAACAGAATGATGAATTACATATGGAAGTATAATTTTATCACATCAGAAAAAAAGCCTTCCAGTTTAAAGGCTATGTTATCAAGAACCTCTGTTCAGACCTTCATTCTGAGGGTGCCCTGTTCTCCAGGTATCCTCACCACACAGACTGGATTCAAGTCCCAGCTCTCCGCCTCACTACCTACGTGACAACCTTGCTTCCCTCACCCCTAAAATGGAGATAACACCTAACTCATGGTGATGTGACATTGACCAGGGAATATACATGTGTAAAATGTTCACAACACCCCTAATTTGAGGGATACTGTGCAGTTTGTTTGCACATAATAAAGGTTCAATACATAGCAACCATTAACACTTCCACAGGGCTTTATATAAACCCTCTCTGGAAAACCCCATTGGGTAACCTCAGCTTACTTGGATTAAGACATAAAGCAACCTTTAAGGGATGTCAGCTCCCTAGGAAAAAGGACTTGAAAATAACATGAAATTGAGGATTAGTAAATATCCTGAATGACAGAATCAGAATCCAAAAGGTCTTCACAGAACAGAATGATGGGCAAATTAAACCCAGGTAATTGGGCCCAAGGGGGACAGCCTCCCCTTTGGAGTTTCTAGTCTGAAGCTAACTTCTGCCACTTGGCAAGGAAAGGAGGTATAGCAATGGGCAGCGGGCTCAGGTGAAACTTCAGTAGAAAAAAAAAGAGAGAGAGATCCCATCTTCCAAGTAAATCCAAAATTGATTAAATATTTAGTGAGAGAAGTTGTGGCTTTTATCTAGGATGGCACACAACTGAGGAAAATATTAATTCCTACTGCAAAAATACGATTTGGAATAAGCAAATCTGAGGTTCTGTTGGAGCCTTTGAGAATGAAAGGGGATACCATTAATTATGCCAGGACAATAGGTAAAAACTAGGGCTACCCTGGGCACAATGGGACATATAATCACACTATTTATACACATGCTGAAAGCTCTACATGTCTGAGTTGATGAAATGTTCAATGAATCAATAATTTGCTGATATTGCTTTAAAAATATTTGGGATTGCTAAGTGCTTATTATATGCCCTTTTCTGTCCTTTACATGTATTAACTCATTTAATACTCACAAAAAAAATCCAAAAATATTATAAAATACTGCAAATTTGAAATATGCTTATATTACAGATGAGGAAATTGAGGCATAGAGAAGTAACTTGCCCTTGGTTACTCTTCAGCTTATCTGCAGGCTTACACTGACTAAACAGAGACTCCAAAGCCAGAGGCCCCTGGGCTGTGTATTTCATCACTATGAGACACAGCCCAGGGGCCTCTGGCTCTGGAGTCTCTGTGACACATCCTCATCGATCTAATCACTTCAGGCTGCATTAAAATGCAGTGAAGTGCATTCTGCTAACCAAGAACAGGGTAGTTCTACTTGCCCCTGTTTCAGTTAGAACATAGCTAGGGACATTGTTTTTGATTCCAGGTCCCAATTTTTCATACAAACTAGATTCATTGAACTGTGTTCAGTGTGGCAAGGAAATGTGAGACTGTGATACATATGGATGAGTGGAAAGAAATGGAAATGCTTCGTGTAGGGAAGAAAAGACTTGATGGGGCATGAGAATGGCTCAACTATGTGGGTGGCATAGGGAAGAAAAGTGAGACATGTTCTATTCAGCAGCTTTCAAACTCTTTTGACCATTGAGATACAGTGCACATACATAGTTAATTATATAATTAAATAAACATAAAATCAAGACAAAGGTTTCATGAAAACTTTACTACTTGTGATATACTCTGATATTTTCTATTTTGTTCTACTCTCATTCTGTTCTATTTGTTCTTCTTCTCCTTTTATTTATTTATTATTATTTGTTTTTAGAGACAGAGTCTCTGTCACCCAGGCCAGAGTGCAGCAGTGCAATCACAGCTTATTGCAACCTTGACCTTCTGGGCTCAAGCCATCCTCCCACCTCAGCCTCCTGAGTAGTTGGGACAACAGATACACATCACCATGCCAAGCTAATTTTTAAATTATTCTGTAGAGACCTGTGCTCATTACGTTGCCGAGGCTGGTCTCAAACTCCTGGGCTCAAGTGACCCTCCTGCCTCAGCCTCTCAAAGCACTGGGATCACAGGCATGAGCCACCACATCTGGCCTTTTTCTTCTCTTTTAATGATGGTCATAACCAATTAAAATTATTTCACAACCCTGAATTTCAGCCTGAAATTTTAAAAATACTGCTCTTTATGGTCCCCAAAAAAGAAACTAAAGAGCAGAGGATAGGCATTACAGGAGAGTATATTTTAGCTCAACATAAACAGTAACTAAATAACAGCCAGAGCTGTTCAAAATTGTAAGGGATACTGCAGGACACAGAAGTTTCCCAACACTTGCAGGTGATGTAGGTATCCCATCATGGGCTGTGACTAGATTGGAAAGAATTTAAGCATTAGTTAAATGGCTGAAATAAAGGAATCCTTGGGTTCTTTCCAAATCTGAGGTTCCATTATTCTAAATCATATTTTTGTAATAGTGATAACACTTTTTCTTCAACAATGTCCATTTTCCAAAAGCCTTAGATATGTTCCAAGATACCAAAAGAGAGAAAAAAAAATGTAGGTTGGTAGGTAGGAAGGAAAGAAGGGAGGGAGGGTGGGAGGATGGAAGGAAGGAAGGAAGGAAGGATAGAGGGAAAGAAGAAAAGAAAACAAAGAGAAAAAAAAAAACCATATAGAATTGAAATGTTTCCTATGTAAATAAAAGGGTTTTTGCCTTCAAAATAAAGTCTAAAGCTCTACTTTCCCCATCCCAACCAAAATGTAAACTGGGTTCATCCAGAGTGCAAGATTCCCGAGTGCCCTGTGTAAGTAAAAGAAGAAAAAAAGGCATCTGAAAATCACTCCAGGCACTATGATTGGCTCTGATGGTTTCCTTTTGGATCATTCTGGATGATCAGCTCAGAACAGAAGAGCTGAGATTGGCTCATAAATTGATGTGTAAAATAGCTTTCAGCAGGGTTTGGTCAATTCCTTTTGACAGGTATACACATTGCAACAATCTTCAAAGGCAACTTCTGGGACAGCCGCCTAATTACTTTTGAAGATACTGCCAAGAAAGAAAAGACAGAAAATATGAAGAGAAATCTAAATAAAGACAGAATGATTGAAAGGGGGGCATTAACACAAATCCTAAAGGATGCAATTGATAGATGAAAGATTAAAGATTATATTAGACCACTATCCACCAACAATCATGCAACCTATCATTTCTGTGGGCTCACTACCGGTACATAATGCACTCTTGCCTCCAGGTATCTTATTTAATTCTCAAAGCCATCTTCATAACCAAATGCTAACTCCACTGGCAGAAGACCAGGGGTTATTCTCTGAGGAAAACTGATGTTTCAGTAATGATCTCAGCAGAGCTTCCTAAAAGAGATAGAAAAGTCCAAACTGGGGTAAATGATCCATCAAGGCTGCCAAGAGTTCTCTGGATGCTTTCCACCAAACTCAGCTTCCTTCCAAGGTCTCAGAGTAAAAAGGTTGCATGGACTACAAGAGCCACAATCCAGTCACAGCTGGTTTTATTTGATACACAGGAAGATGGCTATACATGAATTAAGCAAATTTAAAAAAAACAAAAGTGTATCCTCAACTGTAAAGGGTATCCTTCTTCCTGACAAAATCAGTGATACAGCATTTATCTTCAATTAATACTATAGGTACAAATGTTATCAATATATAATAGAAAGTATTTGGAATTTACATACTCAGTAACAAGTGTTTTTTTAATGACATATAAAGTTAGAAGCTATTTGCTCAGACCATCTTGGCATCCTAGAAATGTGAATCCTGAGCTGGACTCACTCCCATGGTGTTATAAACTGTGCTACAAACCCTCAAATCAGGGAAAGCGAGTCCTTTGTGGAAAGATGAGTCCAGGAAATAAACTGAAACCAGACCTGAGTTTAGCAAGTGAGTGAAGACAAAGACTTGGAAACACAAGAAAAAGAATAGAGGTTGACATAATTCAGGTAGGTTGGAATTCAAAGCATGCCTAGACCTTGGCAACAGAGACCAGATGGATTAAGACAAAGCCAAGACCAAGCCAAGCAGGGTGAAGGAACACATACAAGCTCCAGGGGCCTGCCAGATAGACACTTGCAAACCCAATGCACCATGTCTAAAGACACAGCAAGTTCACACTTGGTTTAGGCAGGCATCTGGAAAAGAGGATGATCCCAAAGGGTAGGGCATGGCCACAAAGGTAGAGAATGCCATCATAGCAAGACTTCTATTTCTAGCAATAGTGTGATGTAAGTACACAGAAAAACTGAGAATTGTTAAATATAACAAAGATTCTAAATGTACAGCTGAGCTCTCACGGAAGTAAGAGGAATTTAGAACCAAAATCAGAAAAAGACATAAACATAGAACTGCTGCACTGGCATCGACATTTAAGTCACACAGAGGGCATTTGTTAATATTGGTAATCAAGAAGTTCAGGATTTCACAGACATACGGAATCAACAATGAAGCCTTGGGTTTGCTCAACCTGATGAAGTAGAACAGAGCCCTTCCTTGCCCCCATGACCCCTAAAGGGCTACTCTCTAAGTGCAAAGAGATGACAAGGAATCTGTCTATCTCAGCCTACATGTTTGATGAGAGAAAGAAAAAGGTTCCCCAAACATGAGTTTCAAATTTATGCTACCTATATAGTTCAGGAACCCAAAGTTGAGACACTGATATTAAACTGGTCCAGGTCTGAAAACACACTCACAGTGCCTGTAAAAATCAAAGGCAAATTTTCTCTAGAGCAATGGTTCTCAATCTTGACTGTGAGGTTTTAAAAACACTGATGCTTCAGTCTCATACTCACAGTATCTGAGTTAACTGGTCTGAGCTTCAACCTGGCATCTTGATATTTAAAGGCTCAGTAGATTAATCTAATATGCAGGAAAATTAAAAAACACTGCTCTACACCAGGAAGAATAGCTAATGGATGCTGGGCTTAATACCTAGGTGATGGGATGATCTGTGCAGCAAACTACCATGGCACATGTTTACCTATGTAACAAACATGCACATCCTGCATACGTACCCCAGAATTTAAAATAAAAGTTGAAGAAGAAAATGGAAACATTGCTCTAGAAAGACATCCCATGAATGTAAGCCACACAGGATCCCCACCAAGTATGACTTACTAAATAAAATTTTACCACACTCAAAAAGCAATCCAGGTAAGCAAGAGTAGGTAGAAATAACAAAAAGCAGAGTTAGACTCCCAAGAACTTTAGAAAATAGAATTGTTTGTTATAGTCTATAAGAACATTTAAATTAATTAAAGACCAAAATCCCTAAAGCATGTAGAAATGATAAACATAAGCACTGGATTTTTAAAACCCCTTAAGTAGGTTAAATAGCAGATTAAAGACCTGTAGAAAGAAGTGGAGAACTAGATGACTGATCCGGAGAAATTAACTAGAATGCAGCATTGAAAAATGAATGATAATTTTTATAGCCACTGCAAAAGAGAAATGAAGAATCACATAGAATAAATGAAAATGTTCAACATATACCAAATCTATGTTCCAAAAGATGGGAAAAGAGAGAAATATTTTTATCTGTTGAGAACAGAGAAACATTTCTCTGTTGAGAAAATAAGACTCAGAAAATAATGACTATTTTTCTGAATTAATGAAAAATAAGAATCATGAAATTTGGGTTTTAAGCAGGATAAATCCATACCTAAACACATCATAGTGAAATTAAAATATCAAAGGTAAGGGCTGGGCGCCATGGCTCATGCTTGTAATCCCAGCACTTTGGGAGGCCGAGGCAGGTAGATCACCTAAGGTCAGGAGTTTGAAACCAGCCTGGCCAACATGGCGAAACCCCATCTCTACTAAAAATACAAAAATTAGCCAGGCATGGTGGTGGGTGCCTGTAATCCCAGCTACTCAGGAGGCTGAGGTAGGAGAATCGCTTGAACCTGGGAGGCAGAGGTTGCAGTGAGCCAAGATCGCGCCACTGCACTCCAGCCTGGGTGACAGAGCAAGGCTCTGTCTCAAAAAAAAAAAAGAAAAAAAAAATCAAAGGTAAGGAATGTTTCTTAAATGTCACAAAGAAAAATTATCTATAATGAAACAACTAGACCGACAATGAATTTCTCAACAGCAACCACTTGGAGGATTTTCAGAGCTCACCATATGCCCTACTGAGTCTACAGCCATAATACTTCCTCTCAGCTTCCATATACTCTACCTAATTGGAAAACCAGATTGAACTGAGTTTAGCTCCATTTGGAAGAAATTGGGACAAGAGAAGCTGAAAATGGTGATAATTTAAATATCAAATTTCTTGATAAATGTGGTATCTTTGGAGATTTATGGGGCATTAGCTATCCAAATGAAGAAACTACAGAGTCCCATCCACTCTTCATTCCCTTTCTGTCAAATGGCAAGCTTAGAAGAAACTAGTCTTTCTAAATTGATATAGTAAATGCTTCCTTTCACTGACAATACCAAGTGTTGGCAAGGATGTGGAGCAACTGGAATGCTCATAAATTGCTAGTGGGAATGTACAATGGTAAATCACTGTGGAAAACAGTTTGGCAGTTCTTAGAAAGTTGAAATTTATTTATCATAAAACTTAGCAATTCCACTATTGGGTATACATGCAAGAAAAGTGGAACATATGTTCACACAAAGACTTAAACATGAATGTTCAGAGTGGCTTTTTTCATAATATGGTTAGGCTTTGTGTCTCCACCCAAATCTCATCTTGAATTGTAATCCCCATAATTTCTACATGTCAAGGGAGAGACCAGGTGGAGGTAACTGAATCATGGGGGCAGTTTTGCCCATGCTGTTCTCATGATAGTGGGTGAATTCTCACAAGATCTGATGGTTTTATAAGGGGCTCTTCCTCCTTCACTCAGCACTTCTCCTTCCAGCCACCTTGTGAAGAAGGTACCTTGCTTCCCCTTCCTCTTCTGCCATAATCATAAATTTCCTGAAGTCTCCCCAGCCATGCAGAACTGAGAGTCAATTAAACCTCTTTCCTTTATAAATTACCAGTCTTGGGCAGTTCTTACAGAAGTATGAAAATGGACTAATACGATAGCCCAACACTAGAAACAATTCAAATGTCCACCAACAGATGAATAAACAAATTGTAGTATATCCATACGATGGAATATTATTCAGCATTAAAAAGGAATAAACTGGTTCAGCATGTAAGGAGCTTGGAAGTTGCTACTCCATCCTAACATCACGTAAAAACTGGAACAGACTGAAAAATCAACAACTCTTCTTAGAACCATCAGAAAAGTAGAGTTATAGGACAAACCACTGCCCCAAATATCAGAGAGACAGGCAGATACTGAGAATCACAACTTATCAGAACATAAACTCCCAGGCAAAAACCTCCACAGGAACAAGTGCTAGGATAGGAAAACCTGAACTGTAATTAATGGATTGCTAGAGGCTCAGTGAAGACAACTGTAAGTTTAAAACTCCAGAGAGACCCAGTCATATGGGGGCTTCCACACTTTTATGCGTTTTACATCCAGGAGCTCTACCTGACAGCAAATATCAGAGAAAAATTCCCTTATGATTCCAGCAGGGGGACACAAAATAAAACCAATTTTGAAATGTGCCAGAGCATTCTGTTCTTAAGAAAGCCTGGCCTCAGAAGAAACTATTTTACCAGAGCCTACTGGGGTTTGATCAGAGCCTGATCAAGCTGGGGAAAGGGAAATAGCCAACCCAGCTCCCTCTAGCTTTCCACATGGAAGAAAAGAAATACCCAATTCCAACCCCTTCTAAGTCATTCCTTCCCATGTAAAGTGTGGGAGTGGGAGTGGGGAGATGGAGAGAGATAGGGACAGAGAAACAGTGATGAAGTTCACAATTCAGGGGCATAAGCTCACCAAAAGACTGAGACCTACTCATAAGACCACAGAATGCTCCCTGATATGGTTTGGCTGTGTCCCCACCCAAATCTCACCTTGAATTGTAGCTCCCATAATCCCTACGTCATAAGAGGGACCCGGTGAGAGGTACTTGAATCATAGGGGTGGTTACCCCCATGCTGCTGTTCTCATGACAGTGAGTGAGTTCTCATGAGATCTGATGATTTTATAAGGGGTTTTTCCCCCTTTTTCTCGCCACTTCTCTCTTGCCTGCTGCCATGTAAGATGTGCCTTTGTTTCTCCTTCACCTTCTGCCATGATTGTGAGGCCTCCCCAGCCATGTGGAATTGTGAGTGCATTAAACCTCTTTTTATTTATAAATTACGCAGTCTCAGGTATTTCTTCATAGCAGTATGAAAATGAACTAATACACTTCCCCTTCTTCCTACACCTTACCACTACATTACTAAAGGCCTATTTACTGCAGTTCTTTTTACCCAGTACATCATGTGTACCTTTTAACCAAAAATTATAAGGCAAACTAAAAGACAAAAAACACAGTTTAAAGATCTGAAGAGACTGAACAAGCATATCTGGACAGAATCGCATATGGTAGAAACGCTAGAATTACCAGACCAGAAATTTAATGCTTCTATGGACTATGGACTATGCTAAGGACTTTAATGGAAAAAGTAGATAGCATGCAAGAACAGGTATATAATGTAAACAGAAACATGAAAATTCTAAAAGCAAAAAAGAAATCACAGAGATTACAAAAAAATATAGTGTAAGAGAAACAAAGAATGCCTTTGATGAACCCATTAGTAGACTGGACATGATGAAGAAAGAATCTCCAAGCTTGGGGACATAACAATAAAAATGTCCATGTAATCCCAGCACTTTGGGAGGCCAAGGCAGGTGGATCACGAGGTCATGAGATTGAGACCATCCTGGCCAACATGGTGAAACCCCATCTCTACTAAAAATACAAAAAATTAGCCGGGCATGGTGGCACATGCCTGTAATCCCAGCTACTTGGGAGACTGAGGCAGGAGAATCACTTGAACCCGGGAGGCGGAGGTTGCAGTGAGCCAAGATTGCACCACTGCCACTGCACTCCAGCCTGGCGACAGAGTGAGACTCCATCTCAAAAAAAAAAAAAAAGAAAAGAAAGTCCAATACCAAAAGCAAAAAGAAAACAGACTGAAAATAAAAACTCATAACAGAATATCCAAAAGCTGGGGGACAACTACAAAGGGTGTAAACATATGTAATGGAAATCCCAGGAGAGGAAAAAGAGAAAAGAGCAGAAGCAATATTTGAAGCAATAATGAGTGAAAATTTCCCCCAAATTAATGTTAGACACCAATCCACAGATCTAGGAAGCTCAGAGAACACCAAGCAAGATAAATGCAAAACAAAAAGAAAACAAAAAAAACTATGCTTAGGCATAGATATTCAAATTTCAAAAAATTAAACATAAAGAAAAAATCGCAGCCAGGTGTGGTGGCTCATGGCTCATGCCTGTAATCTGAACACTTTGGGAGGCTGAGGTGGTAGAATTGCTTGAGGCCAGGAGTTCCAGACAAGCCTGGGCAATATAGGGAGACACTATCTCTTAAAAAATTAAATTAAATTAAATTAAAAATAAATCATTAAACACCTTATGAACACAGAAGTAAAGATAAAAATTACACATGATTTCTCAAAAACAATGCAAGCAAGAAGAGAGTGGAAGAAAAAATTTAAAGTGTTGATAGAAAAAAACTCATCAACCTAGAATTCCACACCCTGTGAAATTAACGTTCAGAAGTGAAAGAGAAATACTTCCTCAGACAGGCAAAAATTGAGAGAATTTGTTGTCAGTAAGCCTGACCTGCAAGTAATATTTTTAAAAGTTCTTCAAAGAGAATGAAAATGATATAGCTCAGAAACTTGGATTTATATAAAGAAAGGAAGAGCATTTGAGAATGAATACGTAAAGGGTAAAATAAAAACTTTTATTTTTTTATTCGTAATTGATCTAACAGATGACTGTTTAAAAGGATATTAGCAACAATGCATTTAATTACACACAGACACACACACACACACACACACATATATATAAGCATGTAAGTAAAATAAATCACAGCAATGATACAAAAGATGAGAGAGTAGAAATATTTTGTTATTATATAGTACTTGTACTACCTGAAGCCGTATAGTGTTATTTGAAAGTGTACTTAGATTAGTTATAAATGAATATTACAAACTCTAAGACAATCACTGAAAAATGTTTAAAAAGAAGTAGAACTGATGTGCTAAGAAAGGACAGAAAAATACAATCATACAGATTGCTCAATAAAAAATATAAAAGGTTGAAAAAGTGTGGAAGGCAAAAATAGAAACAAAGAATAAGAGCAACAAATAAAAAACAGTATTAAATAAGGTAGATATTAATCCAAATACCAATAATTTCTTTAAACATCAATGATCTGGCTGGGCGCAATGGCTCACACCTGTAATCCCAGCACTTTGGGAGGCCAAGGAGGGCAGATCACCTGAGGTTGGGAGTTAGAGACACGCCTGACCACCATGAAGAAACCCCGTCTCTACTAAAAATACAAAAAATTAGCCAGGCATGGTGGCACATGCCTGTAATCCCAGCTACTCAGGAGGCTGAGGCTAGAGAATCGCTTGAACCTAGGAGGCAGAGGTTGCGGTGAGCCGAGATCGCGCCATTGCACTCCAGCCTAGGCAACAAGAGCAAAACTCCGTCTCAAAAAAATAAATAAATAAAAAATAAATCAATGATCTAAATACATCAATGAAAAGACAGATTGCCAGAATGATCTAAAAAAACAAAACCTGGCTATATGTTGTTTAAAAGAAACCCACTTTAAATATAAAGGCACATACAGATTGAAAGAGATAAAGAAAGATATACCATGCTAATAATAATCGAAAGAAAGAAGAGTAGCTACATTAATTTCAGAGCAAAGACAGTTGTCAAGAATAAAGAGAAGCATTACCAAATGGTTAAGGGATCAATACTCCAAGAAAACATACCAATGCTTAATGTGTGTGTGCCTAACAACAGAGTATCAAAATATGTGAAGCAAAAACAGATAGAACTTCAAGGCAAAAGATTAATCCAGTATTAAAATTGAAAACATTAACACTCCTCAATCAGAATGGGCAGATACAGCCTGCAGAAAATCAGTAAGGAAATAGCTGAACTCAATAGCACCATCAATCAACTGGATATAATTGACATTTATAAATTACTTCATTCAACACCATACATTCTTCTCAAGCTAACAGGAAACACTTACCAAATTGGCCATATTCTGGACCCTAAAACATACCTTCACAGATGTAAATGAATAGAAATCATACAGTGTCTGCTTTCAGACCACAGTGGAGTTACAACTAGAAATCAGAAACAGAAAGATAGCTGGAAAATTCCTGCCAGGCGTGGTGGCTCACACCTGTAATCCCAGCACTTTGTAAGGCTGAAATCAGGTGGATGGCCTGCGTTCAGGAGTCCGAGACCAGCCTGGGAAACATGGTGAAACCTCATCTCAATTTTTTAAAAAAGAAAAAAGAAAGATAGCTGGAAAATTCCAAAATACTTGGAAATTAAACAACGAAGTTCTAAATAATACATAGGTCAAAGAATAACTTGCAAGAGAAATTTAAAACTATTTTGAACTCAATGAAAATACAATGTTTCAAAATTTGGGGGATGCAGCAAAAGCAATAATTAGATGGAAATATATATAAAATGCATACATTAGAAAAAAAGAAAGACCTAGGCCCAGGCGCGGTGGCTCACGCCTGTAATCCCAGCACTTTCGGAGGCCGAGGCGGGTGGATCACCGGAGGTCGGGAGTTCGAGACCAGCCTGACCAACATGGAGAAACCCTGTCTCTACTAAAAATACAAAATTAGCCGAGTGTGGTGGTGCATGCCTGTAATCCCAGCTACTCTGGAGGCTGAGGCAGGAGAATCACTTGAACCCAGGAGGCAGAGGTTGCAGTGAGCCGAGATCACGCCATTGCACTCCAGCCTGGGCAAAAAGAGCGAAACTCCATCTCAAAAAAAAAAAAAAAAAGAAAAAAAGAAGACCTTCAGTCAATCATCTAGGCTTTCACTCTAGGAAACTAGAAAAAGCACAGCAAATTAAATTCAAAGTAAGCAGAAAAAAATGAAATAATAAAAACCAGTGCAGAAATCAATAAAATTAAAAATAGAAAAACAATGGAGAAAATCATTAAACCGAAAGCTGATAGGTTTTCTTTAGATCAATAAAATCAATAAGCCTCAAGCCAGGTTAACTAAGAAAAAACAGAAGGACACGAATTACTAATATCAGAAATGAAAGAGGGGACATCATCACTACGGATCTCACAGACATTAAAAGGATAATCAAGGAGCATGATGAACAATCTATGCTCACCTATTTGACAACCTAGATAAAATGGACGAACTCCTTGAAAGACACAATCTTCCAAAGCTTACATAAGATAAATAGGCAGTCTTAATGGGCCTATATCTATCAAAGAAATTCAATCAACAATTAACAACATTCCAAAACATATAGCACCAGGCACAGATAGGTTCACTGAATTCTACCAAAAATTTAAGGAAAATATTACACAATTATCTATAATGTCTTTCAGAAGATAGAAGCAAGTGAAAGACTTACTAACTCATTTTATGAGACCAGCATTACTCTAATACCAAAACCAGACAAAGACATTACAAGAAAACTACAGACCAATATCTCTCATGAACATAGATGTGAAAATTCTCAACGAAAGTATTAGCAAATTGAATTCAAGAATATATAAAAAGAATTACACATCACAACCAAGTGGGATTTGTCCCAGCTATGTAAAGCTGATTCAACATTTGAAAATCAGTTAATGTAATCCATCACATTAACAGGCTAAAGAAGAAAAATCATATGATTTTTCCACATATCAATGAATGTGGAAAAGGCATTTGACAAAATCTAACACCCATTAATGATTTTAAATACAAAAACTCTCTGCAAACTAGGAATAGACAGGAAATTTCTCACCTTGATTTTTAAAAAATCTACAACTAACATCATACTTAATGGTAAAAAACAATAAAGCTTTCCCACTAAGATCAGGAACAAGGCAAGGATGTCCCCTCCTACCACTGCTTTTCAACATTGTACTGGAAATCCTAGCTAACACAATAAGATTGGGAAAAAAAAGTATACAGGTTGGAAAGGAGGAAATAAAACTGTCTTTGTTTGCAGATGACATGATCATCTATGTAGACAATCCAAAAAGAATTGACCGAAAAACTCCTGGAACTATAATAAGCAATTACAGCAAGGTTACAGGATACAAAGTTAACATTTTTTTCTTGTCCTTAGCTTTATCACTGTCTCACTTTTGAAATACAATTTTCCCATTTATCTTAAGACTAGTTCATAAATTTGAAATTATTTTATTTTGCTCAAAAAGTAGGATGCGATAGCAGGATTATGGCATTAAAAAAAAAAAAAAGTATGCCCTCTGGAGTTAGAGTTAGAGTGCTCTGGGTTTAAATCTCAGCTCTGCCAGTTACTAGCTGTATAATCTTGAGCAAACAACTCTGAGCCCAAGTTCCTTTATTTGTCAAATAAAAATTATAATAATTCTAAACTAGTACAGATATGATGCATGTAAAATTGTTGCCACAGAGCACGTACTCAGTAAATGACATGATCCTATATGAAGAAAACCGTAAAGAACACAAAATGAATTAAGTTGCAGGATACAAAAATCAACACACAAAACACAGTTGCATCTCTTTACACCAATCATAATCTATCTGAAAAGGAAATCAAGAAAAATTCCCATTTATTTTTATTTTATTTTATTATTATTATACTTTAAGTTTTAGGGTACATGTGCACAATGGGCAGGTTAGTTACATATGTATACATGTGTCATGCTGGTGTGCTGCACCGATTAACTTGTCATTTAGCATTAGGTATATCTCCTAAAGCTATCCCTCCCCCCTCCCC
Source organism: Homo sapiens (assembly GCF_000001405.40). Lineage (NCBI taxonomy): Eukaryota > Metazoa > Chordata > Mammalia > Primates > Hominidae > Homo > Homo sapiens. The sequence continues at coordinate 183,664,070 of NC_000001.11, read as the reverse complement.
CCACCCCACAACAGTCCTCAGAGTGTGATGTTCCCCTTCCTGTGTCCATGTGTTCTCATTGTTCAATTCCCACCTATGAGTGAGAACATGCGGTGCTTGGTTTTTTGTTCTTGCAATGGTTTACTGAGAATGATGATTTCCAATTTCATCCATGTCCCTACAAAGGACATGAACTCATCATTTTTTATGGCTGCATAGTATTCCATGGTGTATATGTGCCACATTTTCTTAATCCAGTCTATCGTTGTTGGACATTTGGGTTGGCTCCAAGTCTTTGCTATTGTGAATAGTGCTGCAATAAACATACGTGTGCACGTGTCTTTATAGCAGCATGATTTATAGTCCTTTGGGTATATACCCAGTAATGGGATGGCTGGGTCAAATGGTATTTCTAGTTCTAGATCCCTGAGGAATCGCCACACTGACTTCCACAAGGGTTGAACTAGTTTACAGTCCCACCAACAGTGTAAAAGTGTTCCAATTTCTCCACATCCTCTCCAGCACCTGTTGTTTCCTGACTTTTTAATGATTGCCATTCTAACTGGTGTGAGATGGTATCTCATTGTGATTTTGATTTGCATTTCTCTGATGGCCAGTGATGGTGAGCATTTTTTCATGTGTTTTTTGGCTGCATAAATGTCTTCTTTTAAGAAGTGTATGCTCATATCCTTCGTCCACTTTTTGATGGGGTTGTTTGTTTTTTTCTTGTAAATTTGTTTGAGTTCATTGTAGATTCTGGATATTAGCCCTTTGTCAGATGAGTAGGTTGCGAAAATTTTCTCCCATTTTGTAGGTTGCCTGTTCACTCTGATGGTAGTTTCTTTTGCTGTGCAAAAACTCTTTAGTTTAATTAGATCCCATTTGTCAATTTTGGCTTTTGTTGCCATTGCTTTTGGTGTTTTAGACATGAAGTCCTTGCCCATGCCTATGTCCTGAATGGTAATGCCTAGGTTTTCTTCTAGGGTTTTTATGGTTTTAGGTCTAACGTTTAAGTCTTTAATCCATCTTGAATTAATTTTTGTATAAGGTGTAAGGAAGGGATCCAGTTTCAGCTTTCTACATATGGCTAGCCAGTTTTCCCAGCACCATTTATTAAATAGGGAATCCTTTCCCCATTGCTTATTTTTCTCAGATTTGTCAAAGATCAGATAGTTGTAGATATGCGGCGTTATTTGTGAGGGCTCTGTTCTGTTCCATTGATCTATGTCTCTGTTTTGGTACCAGTACCATGCTGTTTTGGTTACTGTAGCCTTGTAGTATAGTTTGAACTCAGGTAGCGTGATGCCTCCAGCTTTGTTCTTTTGGCTTAGGATTGACTTGGCAATGCGGGCTCTTTTTTGGTTCCATATGAACTTTAAAGTAGTTTTTTCCAATTCTGTGAAGAAGGTCATTGGTAGCTTGATGGGGATGGCATTGAATCTATAAATTACCTTGGGCAGTATGGCCATTTTTATGATATTGATTCTTCCTACCCATGAGCATGGAATGTTCTTCCATTTGTTTGTATCCTCTTTTATTTCAGTGAGCAGTGGTTTGTAGTTCTCCTTGAAGAGGTCCTTCACATCCCTTGTAAGTTGGATTCCTAGGTATTTTATTCTCTTTGAAGCAATTGTGAATGGGAGTTCACTCAAGATTTGGCTCTCTGTTTGTCTGTTATTGGTGTATAAGAATGCTTGTGATTTTTGCACATTGATTTTGTATCCTGAGACTTTGCTGAAGTTGCTTATCAGCTTAAGGAGATTTTGGGCTGAGACAATGGGGTTTTCTAGATATACAATCATGTCATCTGCAAACAGGGACAATTTGACTTCATCTTTTCCTAATTGAATACCCTTTATTTCCTTCTCCTGCCTAATTGCCCTGGCCAGAACTTCCAACACTATCTTGAATAGGAGTGGTGAGAGAGGGCATCCCTGTCTTGTGCCAGTTTTCAAAGGGAATGCTTCGAGTTTTTGCCCATTAAGTATGATATTGGCTGTGGGTTTGTCATAGATAGCTCTTATTATCTTGAAATATGTCCCATCAATACCTAATTTATTGAGAGTTTTTAGCATGAAAGGTTGTTGAATTTTGTCAAAGGCCTTTTCTGCATCTATTGAGATAATCATGTGGTTTTTGTCTTTGGTTCTGTTTATATGCTGGATTACATTTATTGATTTGTGTATATTGAACCAGCCTTGCATCCCAGGGATGAAGCCCACTTGATCATGGTGGATAAGCTTTTTGATGTGCTGCTGGATTCGGTTTGCCAGTATTTTATTGAGGATTTTTGCATCAATGTTCATCAAGGATATTGGTCTAAAATTCTCTTTTTTGGTTGTGTCTCTTCTGCCCGGCTTTGATATCAGGATGATGCTGGCCTCATAAAATGAGTTAGGGAGGATTCCCTCTTTTCTATTGATTGGAATACTTTCAGAAGGAATGGTACCAGTTCCTCCTTGTACCTCTGGTAGAATTCGGCTGTGAATCCATCTGGTCCTGGACTCTTTTTCGTTGGTAAGCTATTGATTATTGCCACAATTTCAGAGCCTGTTATTGGTCTATTCAGAGAGTCAACTTCTTCCTGGTTTAGTCTTGGGAAGGTGTATGTGTTGAGGAATTTATCCACTTCTTCTAGATTTTCTAGTTTATTTGCATAGAGGTGTTTGTAGTATTCTCTGATGGTAGTTTGCATTTCTGTGGGATTGGTGGTGATATCCCCTTTATCATTTTTTATTGCGTCTATTTGATTCTTCTCTCTTTTCTTCTTTACTAGTCTTGCTAGCGGTCTATCAATTTTGTTGATCCTTTCAAAAAACCAGCTCCTGGATTCATTAATTTTTTGAAGGGTTTTTTGTGTCTCTATTTCCTTCAGCTCTGCTCTGATTTTAGTTATTTCTTGCCTTCTGCTAGCTTTTGAATGTCTTTGCTCTTGCTTTTCTAGTTCTTTTAATTGTGATGTTAGGGTGTCAATTTTGGATCTTTCCTGCTTTCTCTTGTGGGCATTTAGTGCTATAAATTTCCCTCTACACACTGCTTTGAATGTGTCCCAGAGATTCTGGTATGTTCTGTCTTTGTTCTCGTTGGTTTCAAAGAACATCTTTATCTCTGCCTTCATTTCGTTACGTACCCAGTAGTCATTCAAGAGCAGGTTGTTCGGTTTCCATGTAGTTGAGCGGTTTTGAGTGAGTTTCTTATTCCTGAGTTCTAGTTTGATTGCACTGTGGTCTGAGAGACAGTTTGTTATAATTTCTGATCTTTTACATTTGCTGAGGAGAGCTTACTTCCAACTATGTGGTCAATTTTGGAATAGGTGTGGTGTGGTGCTGAAAAAAATGTATATTCTGTTGATTTGGGGTGGAGAGTTCTGTAGATGTCTATTAGGTCTGCTTGGTGCAGAGCTGAGTTCAATTCCTGGGTATCCTTGTTAACTTTCTGTCTCGTTGATCTGTCTAATGCTGACAGTGGGGTGTTAAAGTCTCCCATTATTATTGTGTGGGAGTCTAAGTCTCTTTGTAGGTCTCTCAGGACTTGCTTTATGAATCTGGGTGGTCCTGTATTGGGTGTATATATATTTAGGATAGTTAGCTCTTCTTGTTGCATTGATCCCTTTACCATTATGTAATGGCCTTCTTTGTCTCTTTTGATCTTTGTTGGTTTAAAGTCTGTTTTATCAGAGACTAGGATTGCAACCTCTGCCTTTTTGTGTTTTGCATTTGCTTGGTAGATCTTTCTCCATCCCTTTATTTTGAGCCTCTGTGTGTCTCTGCACGTGAGATGGGTTTCCTGAATACAGCACACTGATGGGTCTTGACTCTTTATCCAATTTGCCAGTCTGTGTCTTTTAATTGGAGCATTTAGTCCATTTACATTTAAAATTAATATTGTTATGGGTGAATTTGATCCTGTCATTATGATGTTAGCTGGTTATTTTGCTTGTTAGTTGATGCAGTTTCTTCCTAGCCTCGATGGTCTTTACAATTTGGCATGATTTTGCAGTGGCTAGTACCGGGTGTTCCTTTCCATGTTTAGTGCTTCCTTCAGGAGCTCTTTTAGGGCAGGCCTGGTGGTGACAAAATCTCTCAGCATTTGCTTGTCTGTAAAGTATTTTATTTCTCCTTCACTTATGAAGCTTAGTTTGGCTGGATATGAAGTTCTGGGTTGAAAATTCTTTTCTTTAAGAATGTTGAATATTGGCCCCCACTCTCTTCCGGCTTCTAGAGTTTCTGCCGAGAGATCCACTGTTAGTCTGATGGGCTTCCCTTTGTGGGTAACCCGACCTTTCTCTCTGGCTGCCCTTAACATTTTTTCCTTCATTTCAACTTTGGTGAATCTGACAATTATGTGTCTTGGAGTTGCTCTTCTCGAGGAGTATCTTTGTGGTGTTCTCTGTATTTCCTGAATCTGAATGTTGGCCTGCCTTGCTAGATTGGGGAAGTTCTCCTGGATAATACCCTGCAGAGTGTTTTCCAACTTGGTTCCATTCTCCCCGTCACTTTCAGGTACACCAATCAGACGTAGATTTGGTCTTTTCACATAGTCCCATATTTCTTGGAGGCTTTGTTCGTTTCTTTTTATTCTTTTTTCTCTAAACTTCCCTTCTCGCTTCATTTCATTCATCTCATCTTCCATCACTGATACCCTTTCTTTCAGTTGATCACATCGGCTCCTGAGGCTTCTGCATTCTTCCCATAGTTCTCGAGCCTTGGCTTTCAGCTCCATCAGCTCCTTTAAGCACTTCTCTGTATTGGTTATTCTAGTTATACATTAGTCTAAATTTTTTTCAAAGTTTTCAACTTCTTTGCCTTTGGTTTGAATTTCCTCCTGTAGCTCGGAGTAGTTTGATCGTCTGAAGCCTTCTTCTCTCAATTCGTCAAAGTCATTCTCCGTCCAGCTTTGTTCCATTGCCGGTGAGGAGCTGTATTCCTTTGGAGGAGGAGAGGCGCTCTGCTTTTTAGAGTTTCCAGTTTTTCTGCTCTGTTTTTTCCCCATCTTTGTGGTTTTATCTACTTTTGGTCTTTGATGATGGTGATGTACAGATGGGTTTTTGGTGTGGATGTCCTTTCTGTTTGTTAGTTTTCCTTCTAACAGACAGGACCCTCAGCTGCAGGTCTGTTGGAGTTTGCTAGAGGTCCACTCCAGACCCTGTTTGCCTGGGTACCAGCAGCGGTGGCTGCAGAACAGCAGATTTTCGTGAACCGTGAATGCTGCTGATTGTTCCTCTGGAAGTTTTGTCTCAGAGGAGTACCCGGCCCTGTGAGGTGTCAGTCTGCCCCTACTGGGGGGTGCCTCCCAGTTAGGCTACTCGGGGGTCAGGGGTCAGGGACCCACTTGAGGAGGCAGTCTGCCCGTTCTCAGATCTCCAGCTGTGTGCTGGGAGAACCACTGCTCTCTTCAAAGCTGTCAGACAGGGACACTTAAGTCTGCAGAGGTTACTGCTGTCTTTTTGTTTGTCTGTGCCCTGCCCCCAGAGGTGGAGCCTACAGAGGCAGGCAGGCCTCCTTGAGCTGTGGTGGGCTCCACCCAGTTCCAGCTTCCAGGCTGCTTTGTTTACCTAAGCAAGCCTGGGCAATGGCGGGCACCCCTCCCCCAGCCTCGCTGCCACCTTGCGGTTTGATCTCAGACTGCTGTGCTAGCAATCAGCGAGACTCCGTGGGCGTAGGACCCTCCGAGCCAGGTGCGGGACATAATCTCCTGGTGCGCCGTTTTTTAAGCCTGTTGGAAAAGTGCTGTATTGGGGTGGGAGTGACCTGATTTTCCAGGTGCCCTCTGTCAGCCCTTTCTTTGACTAGGAAAGGGAACTCCCTGACCCCTTGCGCTTCCCGAGTGAGGCAATGCCTCGCCCTGCTTCGGCTGGCGCATGGTGCACTGCACCCACTGTCCTGCGCCCACTGTCTGGCACTCCCTAGTGAGATGAACCCAGTACCTCAGATGGAAATGCAGAAATCAGCCATCTTCTGCGTCGCTCACGCTGGGAGCTGTAGACTGGAGCTGTTCCTATTCGGCCATCTCGGCTCCACCCCCGAAAAATTCCCGTTTATAAAAAGAATAAAATACTTAGGAATAAATGTAAGCAATGAGTTGAAAGATCTAATCTCACACCAGTTAGAATGGCAATCATTAAAAAGTCAGGAAACAACAGGTGCTGGAGAGGATGTGGAGAAATTGAAACACTTTTACACTGTTGGTGGGACTGTGAACTAGTTCAACGATTGTGGAAGTCAGTGTGGCGATTCCTCAGGGATCTAGAACTAGAAATACCATTTGACCCAGCCATCCCATTACTGGGTATATACCCAAAGGACTATAAATCATGCTGCTATAAAGACACATGCACACGTATGTTTATTGCGGCACTATTCACAATAGCAAAGACTTGGAACCAACCCAAATGTCCAACAACGATAGACTGGATTAAGAAAATGTGGCACATATACACCATGGAATACTATGCAGCCATAAAAAATGATGAGTTCATGTCCTTTGTAGGGACATGGATGAAACTGGAAACCATCATTCTCAGCAAACTATCGCAAGGACAAAAAACCAAACACTGCATGTTCTCACTCATAGGTGGGAATTGAACAATGAGAACACATGGACACAGGAAGGGGAACATCACACACTGGGGACTGTTGTGGGGTGGAGGGAGCGGGGAGGGATAGCATTAGGAGATATACCTAATGCTAAATGACAAGTTAATGGGTGCAGCACACCAACATGGCACATGTATACATATGTAACAAACCTGCACGTTGTGCACATGTACCCTAAAACTTAAAGTATAATAATAAAATTTTTTAAAAAAGAAAGATTTATACACTGAAAACTGTAAAACATTGATTAGAAAAACTGAACAAGACAAAGAAATGGAAAGATGTCTCAAGATGTCTCATATTCATGGACTGGAAGAATTAATATTGTTAAAATGTCCATATGACCTAAAGTGCTATACAGATTTAACAGAATCCCTTATCAAAATTCCAAGGACATTTTTCACAGAAATAAAAAAAATTCTAAAATTCATATGGAACTACAAAAGACCCCAATAAGCAAAGCAATCTTTTTTTTTTTTTTTTTGAGTCGATTTTGTGAACTTAGTTGAGTCTGCCTAAGTTCACTAATTTCATTTTGTGGGGAAAGAATGTAAAGCAAACATTGGGTAGTTTGGCTAGAGCATAATAATTAGATTTTCTGGTTTTCAAAAACCTTAAAAAGAAAGTTTGATGTGCTATTTTCACAATTAGTTTAACTAATTACCAAAAAATAGGTTTATGTTCTGTATGTCTTTTTTGTTCTTCTTTGTATAATATCATTTTTATTAACTTTTACAAAAGTATTAGTGTATGATGTGTTAAAACATTAGACAAATTAAATTTAACAGAGTTTAACTGAGCAAGGAACGACTGGCAAATTGGGCAGCTCCCCAAACCAGAATAGGTTCAAAGCATCTCCAGTGCTGCTGCATGGTCACAGAGGATTTGTGGACAAAAAAGGAAAGCAACATAAGGAAAATGGAAGTGAGGTACAGAAACAGCTGGATTTGTTACAGCTTGGCATTTCCCTGATTTGAACACAGTTTGAACAGTTGGCTGCCTTTGGCCAAAACTTGGTGATTGGTACAAGAGTAGGTTACAGTCTATTTACATTCCAGTTAGGTTACAATTCGCTGAGTACGAAGAAACCTTTAGGCTGAACTTAAAATATGTAAGGAGGCAGCTTTAGGCTAAACTTAATTTAACAATTCCCCACCTTTTGGTCAACCTCTCAATTTTGACACTGACCAAAACTTTAGGCATTGAGGTCACTCTGTTACCATCATAAATGTACTTATTTGGTCTCAGATCCCACGGGGAAAGAGCAGAACAGTTGGTTTTTAAGGTGGGAACATGGATTTCAGGTTACTTTTTTGTAAGAGTTAGAGAGCCAAGGGGACTTCCTTGTGCCGGAATCTCCTGTTTTCATGAGAAAAAAAAAAGAAAAGAAAAGAAAAAAAACTTGGTCTGCTTTGGGATCTATCTGTTTCCTTAAAATTTTAGTTTATGTCACATTTAGCATGAGTGACTCCATTTTGGTTTGGTCTGGTCGGCTGGGGCCTAGTGTACAAGCTTAGCCCAAAACAATGGCCTCCCATCACTGTTTAACATATGGTTTGGAAATGTCAATTGGTCCTTTCCCACAGAGAGTTGGAAGCCTTCTTTAGAGCATCTAAACAGTCTCTGGAAGTAAAGATGCTGCCTTTACCCTATACTTTTCCTCAGCTTAAGTTTTAGGAGTCATTTTTAATTCTAAACATTTGCTGCTGTTTCCCCTAGGATAATGAGGAAAATCAACATGGAGGAATTCTAAGAGAAAGTCTGTGGTGTTAGCAAATTAAGGGTGGCCCTACAGAAAGCTCTCTGCTGTTAAGACTGTGCTGCCACCTTGTGGCCATCTTGTTTATAACCCCCCGAGCTCGAAGATCCACCCTCTGCTTTTTCGTCTCCTTTTGGTCTCAACTCCAGTGCTTTTCTTATCTCATCTTTCCCATCTAACTCCTTAGTGAGCTCCATGAAATCTACTTAATCTTCTGATCTTTACTTGAAGCTTGCTTTCTAAATTCAGTTCCTTTTATCACGTAGTTTGTTACTGCTACATGAATTTGAGCATTGTTGTTCAGTGTCAACCAAACTGCTACTAAAGTGATGAATTATATAATTACTTGGGTACAGTAGGTTCAAATAAAACTTTAACATTTTAGCAATAACTTATAAATATTTTACTTCCTGCCACCCAAAGAGAAAGTTGCCTTATAAGCAGTAACTAGCAACACACAAGCCATCTTGGATATACCCCAAACTGGGTTGTCAGAACATAGATTAATAATTTTTGGAGTGCCAAACTGAGTAAATGTCTCTTAAAAATTTAGATCATTGCAGGATAGTTTAGTCTTTGTAAATCTTCTTCATTATAATCTCATAATATCTCTACATAAATAATATACATCATAACTCATCTGAATGAAGATGAAACATGGCAGATTAACAAAGGAAGACAGAAAAGAGAAGAAAGGAGTCTGTTGGGGAAGCTAGACATTTCTTCCAAGCATCTCCTTTCCAATACATGTCAATTTCACTGTGAACAGGAACCATGGTAAAGGCCTTTCATTTCCTCCTGATGAAGTTTAGTCTTAAAAGTCATTCTGTGCAACCTAAATGGAATGTTGCCAACTTAACATTCCTTGGAGTCTTCCTACATCTAACAGACAACTACCTTTAAAGAATAATGACTAATTGGGGTTGCCTATCCCTAAAATCACCCTAAAATGCAATTGATAAATGTGCTAGTGGACAAAGGCTCATTTTTCCTGTTTCTTTAGGCTTAACCTTCCATAGGTATATCATTTGCTGAGCATCTAATCCACCATGGAAGGTGCACAGTGCACATGGGATGCTGGTGCAGATTTGGGGACTATATTTTTTGTCTTTTCCTCCCCTCACTGGAACCTGTCAGACAGCTAATACTTTCTTACAGAACTGAGCAGGCCCTCAGAACTTGATTCTTCAGCTAGCGGGAGAAAAACCCCAACATGTTCTCTTCAACAGTCAGCTATTATCCTTTCACCCAGCTTTTGATAAGTAATATTTTTAAAGTAATGTTTGCAATAGATTGTCATTTATTAGGATTAAATAAAAGATGAGCTATGAGGATTGACTTTCAGTTCCATATTTACAAGTTCATTCAGTTAGAAGATGCAAGCAATGAGAAAAAAGGGATGACCCATGGCAAACTGTGGGGAAGGGACAGGATGCAGCAGTGACCATGTGCCAGAGCAAGCACCAAGGAAGATGAAACTGAAAATAACCAGCTGAGGAGTTCATGAATACACCTGAGGCCCTTAGGAGACAAAAACATCTCGTCTAGTAGGAGCACTCTGGATGAGAAAGGATGTGTGCTGTGGTGCAGACTGGAAGTCTGACAGTGGAAACAGGCGTGGCGAAGCTTCGAGAAGACAGAAGGTGCCCTCTGGGTGCTCAGTATCCCTGAGTTATTTTTAGAGTATGTCTGCTTACAGCCAATAGTTATTACTGGAATGTACACAATAGCAATCCCCACTCACTCCTTCAGGTGGCCTGGGAAAGGGGAATGAGGGAATAATCCAGAGTGATTGACAGTGAATTGTGACTATCAATGTGCCTTGTGTCTAGGAGATGATGTGGGGGTCAAGGGAGACTAAGGAAAAGAATGGAGAAGGACAAGTGGCTCTTCCGTTAGCCACAGAGAAGGGGCTACAACCGATCCTGGAACAAATCTTGTCTTAAACTGGAGGGAACCACATACATACCAATAGCAAGAGTCTTCCAGGCAATTTCTAAGAGGAGGGAAACCGCTAACACATAGCCTAGGTTTAGACAGAATCAAAAACACCCCCTTCAGGGACTATGGGCCTCTTGGAGGAAGTCAACTCTCTGCTCCCTCTCACAGAGGGCAAGCCTCCCAAGGAGAAGCCCTGGCACCCACGCAGGCAACAGAACCGCCAGGCCTGGCACCTACTCTAGACCAGGAGAAAGGTGCTGAGGAGCAGGCCCTCAGAACTTGATTCTTCAGCTAGCAGGAGAAAAACTGCAACATGTTCTCTTCAACAGTCAGCTATTATCCTTTTACCCAGACTGGGATATGCAGTCCTGTATATTTTCATCTTTGGAACAGGTGGCTTGATATGCAAATAAAGTAATAAGTGTCAGAGCTGTATCCTAGCAGTAGCTACTTTGCAAACGTTACCATGGCACCCAATCAACAGTGTTCTTAGAGGTAGCCACACCTCAGCAAGGGCTTTCTAACTTGGAACAGCAAAGTTCAAATGAACGAATAGACACAAACTGTGAAAGAGTCCTGAACCCATTACAAGGTGAATCTTTACAGCACAATTGCCTTCTGAAGCTACTTGAAACAGGGCATGGGACTTAAAGGAGAAAAAAAAGGAAATGGACCATCTCTTCTAACACCTGGAATGTGATCCAAGCCTGGAGACAAATTGATGGTAATTATAACTGCTAACATTTGTTTTTAGCTGCTAACAGATTGTGCACAGATTGTGAAGGGCAAACTCCATTCTCCAATTACTCCAGTGCAAACTGTGCTTTAACAGTACTCACTAAATCCTAGTTGAGTGAAATGAGAGCAGATTGTCCTTATGGTGTGGTTCATTTATGTTAAACTATGGAAAGCTGTCCTCCCACGGTCCCAGTCCAGGGGCCACTCACAGCCAGATGCAGAGAGCCCTCCAGCACGCTGGGCTCTACACATCTCTGTTCTTACTGCCAGCAAATCTGCTCTACAGAGTATAACATGTATTTCCCAAGCACAGACAAAGCAAAAGGAAAAGGGCTAGGCAGGAAGTAGGGACACCAGCTGCTGGGGAAACAAGTCTTAAGCAACCTGGCTTGTGAGCCAATCAAGGTTGCTAAGGTAGGTCCTGGGCCTAAACAGGGTACATTTCCACCTGGTTGGGGAGAATAAAATGACAGATACCAAAAGTTAACAAGATAATCTGTGGTCGATAACAAATTGATACAATAAACCATGAATTCTCTAAGAGTTCAAAGAGGGCAACAGTTCTTTCCTGCTTCCTCTTCAGATGAGGGTGATCAAAGAACAAGCCCAGAAAGACTCTGAAAAAGTGAAAACTTCACCAATAGGAAACTATAGTTGGTTGACACTGAAAAGTTGTCAGCAAGAATGAGACTACAGAGCTCCCTCCACTATGTGTTAAAGCCACAGTCCTCTCCATCTCCTTAAAGACAGTAATGATGTATCATTTCTGGCTAAAACAGCCACAGAAGATGGGGGTGCAAAGGAAGGCGTGCTTAGAAAAGCAATAGGGAGTTTCCATTTTGCTACCTTTATCTAAAAACACACAAAGACTTTTGTTTCCCAAAAGGGTAATTATGGGACCATTATATATAGTTAACTCCACATACACATCACCTTAAGAAATAGTAATAAAGACAGAAAAGTGCCTTTTGGTTCTGTTTCCATAACATTTAGCCAAATCAATCTGTAAATTGTCTATGGGTGAGTTGAAATTGTAATCTGAGCAGTAACCTGGATGTCCGGTGTACCACCCATAAGTCGACCACATCAAGGGCACAATATTAAAAAGCATGAAAGTTTGGGCTTGGTTTTGGCAAGTTCTGATGGAGAGATCCATCCAGCCTGATGAAGGCTAAGCAAGGAGGAGGTCCAGAGAGGAAACAATGCTCGGGAGTAAGCAGGAAATGGCGTCAGGTTCCAAGAGATCGTCCACTGCCAAGGGTTAAATCCAGCTCTCTAGAAGGAAAGCTATGACAAGGTCTAGGAAGCCTCAAGGCAGGAATTCAGTTACATCAGGAAAATATAGTACTAAGGAAAAAACAAAGCTAATGTCCAATCCTATGGATTAAGATGACACAGCAGAGGCTAGGAGAAATCTAGAATCTGGTGGGTATGTGGTGCCAGAGTTACTGCAGGATATTAGCCACTAAGATAATGGTGACATGAATAAAGCTACATTCCACCTACAGCTGGATTGAGGCTTTTAACATATTTTCTGCCCAGGATAGGATTAGCATAGGAACTCTGCAGGTTTCAGGCTAGAGATCAAGCTGTATCAAATACAGCAATGAATGAGCTGATGTGGGCTGAGGAAGACAGAAGGTGAACATAGCACTTCCATATGAGAGGCCATAATTTATTTATTAGCACAAGTATTCATACTTGTGATATGATAAGTGAGATTTTGAAAAGTGAAAAATATATTCTGTTGCAATGGTCAGTTTACCTCATTTAAATTTTCTGCCTTATCAGTTTTGTTATCTGACAAAGTTAAATGTAAAAAATGAAACCATAAATACTAGAAGAAAATATGGGGAATACTTAATTATGCTTTGATGAGGAAGGCATTTCTAAATACAATAAGAAAAAAAATCACAGGAGTAGAGACTGGACCACATAAAAATGTAAAATTTGGTGCAATTAAAATAACATTGGCATAATTAAAAGGCTGTATAAACCAGGTAAAATATTAGCAGCAAATGTGGCAGATTTAATATTCTTGATGCATAAAAATGTCTTGCAAACCAATAAGGAAAACTTCACGCAAAAAATAGGTAAAAAATCAAATATATTTCACAGAAGAATAAATACCACAGACCAATAAGCATGTCAAAAAGTGTTCAACTTCACTAGAAATAATAAAGGCACACATTATAGCAACAAAAAAATACCAATGCTCCCTTCTCAAATTGGGATAAACAACATTGTAAGAGAATGTGATAAGATTGGTACACCTTCCTAGGAAGCGATTTGACAATGTTTGACCTAATACTATGATTTCTAGTAATCTATTCTAAAAAAAAAAAAAAATCTGATTCTTTATAATAAATATTATATAATATATGCAATAGATAATTTCTCACAGAAATATTTATCAAAGTGTTATAATAATTAAAAGAGGCAAGAAACTGAATGTTACAGTTACATAATAAAAAACTAATTAGCCATGAATATTGTGTTTTTTGTTTTTCGTTTTGAGACAGAGTCTCGCTCTGTCACCCAGGCTGGAGTGCAGTGGTGGGATGTTGGCTCACTGCAAGCTCTGCCTCCTGGGTTCACGCTATTCTCCTGCCTCAGCCTCCCGAGTAACTGGGACTACAGGCGCATGCCACCACACCTGGCTAATTTTTTACATTTTTAGTAGAGACGGGGTTTCACCATGTTAGCCAGGATTGTCTCCATCTCCTGACCTCATGATCCGCCCACCCTGGCCTCCCAAAGTGCTGGGATTATAGGCGTGAGCCACCACGCCTGGCCGAATATTATTTTTAATAACATGGGAAAATGCTCATGGCACAATATTAAGTGAAAAAGCAGGGTATAAAACATGACTTTGTTTATATTATATGTAACATACACATATAGCAAAAAGACTGGAGGGAATAGACATGTTAATAGTGACGGAAGGCTGGACATGGTGGTTCACACCTGTAATCCCAGCACTTTGGGAGGCCAAGGTAGGAGGATCACTTGAGCCCAGGAGTTCGAGATCAGTGTGGGCAACATAGGGAGACTGTATCCCTCCTAAAAAATAAAAAAATTATCTGGGCATGGTGGTACATACCTGTGGTCTCAGCTATTTGGGAGGCTGAGGCAGGAGGATCACTTGAGCCCGGAAGGTTGGGGCCACAGTGAGCCATGATCATCTCACTGCACTGCAATCTGAGCAACAGAGCAAGACTGTCTCAAAAACAAACAAAATAGGTAGCTCCTAGAGCATTATAGGAACAACGATAACTGAAGGAATATTTTTTAAAGGAAAAAATCATTACTTAAAGATCTCAGCTTTTTGAGTTTAACATCCCAGAAACTACTAATTTGAAATATTCTAAAGAACCATATTTGCTTTCTGTAACAGTAATTTTTCAAAAGTCTTCTAACAAGACCCACTCACGGGAAAGAAAACTCTTACATGTCAATGAATGAGTGTCCACAATCCAAAGAATACTCAAGTGGCACTTTCCTAAGAAGTCTCTATCATTAAGCAAAAGAGATCCCATGATCCTAGTCTCAAAAAAAACCCAAAAACCTCCAAATTATTTCCAGTGATTTTAAGAAAGTTGATGTTAAATGCAAGCACACTGAATAGTTCTGCACAATACATTAGATGTTAACATATTCTGAGAAGAAAGATCATGAACAAAATGCAAAACACTTTTTTGTACTTTTATAATTAGGAATAATCTAGATAACCCTAGGATTTGTACTTTTACTACTAAGAGTTAATATTTACTGAGTCCTTACTATGTGACAAGCACATTAGTGAAGCATTTTATATTCATTCTGTTATTCAATGCTCAAGACAATCTTATCAGGTAAGTACTATTAATATCTTCATTTTACAGACAAGGAATCTGTGGCTCCCAAATGTTAAATAACTTGTCAAAGGCCACCAAGCTGATAATTGGCCAAGCCCAAATTTAAAACCAGACAGTCTGTTTCTAGAACTTGCATTGTTAACTCATTTGCTTTACTGACTTGGAATCTATGAAACAGGTAAAGTTGAAGAACGCCTTTCTCTTCTGTTTCCTCCCCATGCTCTAGGAGTCTCAATAAAGAATAATGAATCCTGAGCTTTTAAATCTATGCATATATCACTATCTTTATTGTGCTACTTCCTTTAAAGAAAGTATGGTTTAATAAATTAATGCACTGTCTTCAGTTTTTCCTGCGCTGGTTTTATATGTAATTTCTCTTCCTTGTTTAGGTTTGCAGCTAGAAGACAGTAAATCTAGCAATGGAGCCCATATATGAGGAGTACCTAGCAAATCATGGAACAATAGTAAAACCATATTACTGGCTAAGCTTCTCTCTCGATTGCTCTAATTGTCCTTACCATATTCGAACAGGTGAAGAAGCAAGAGTTTCCCTCACAGAATTTTGTCAGATTTTTGGATTCCCTTATGGGACAACATTTCCTCAAACAAAACACCTCACATTTTATGAACTAAAAACTTCTTCTGGTAGCCTGGTGCAAAAGGGCCATGCTAGCAGTTGCACTGGGAATTATATCCATCCAGAATCAATGCTCTTTGAAATGAATGGTTATCTTGACTCAGCCATATACAATAATGACAGCATCAGGCATATCATTCTGTATTCCAACAACTCCCCTTGTAATGAAGCTAACCACTGCTGCATCAGCAAAATGTATAATTTCCTGATTACGTATCCAGGCATCACTCTTAGTATTTATTTTTCTCAGCTCTATCATACTGAGATGGACTTTCCTGCCTCAGCATGGAACCGCGAAGCTCTCCGGAGCCTGGCCAGCTTATGGCCGCGGGTTGTTTTGAGTCCAATAAGTGGTGGGATCTGGCATTCTGTTCTCCACAGCTTTATAAGTGGTGTCTCAGGATCACATGTTTTTCAGCCCATTTTAACTGGGAGAGCACTGGCTGACAGGCACAACGCATATGAAATCAATGCCATAACAGGCGTAAAACCTTACTTCACTGATGTTCTTCTCCAGACAAAAAGGAATCCAAACACAAAAGCTCAGGAGGCTTTAGAGAGCTACCCCTTAAACAATGCCTTTCCTGGACAGTTTTTTCAAATGCCGAGTGGACAACTCCAACCCAACCTACCTCCAGACCTCAGGGCTCCTGTTGTTTTTGTGCTAGTGCCTCTCAGGGACTTACCACCAATGCATATGGGCCAAAACCCAAATAAACCCAGGAATATCGTAAGGCACTTAAATATGCCTCAAATGTCATTCCAGGAAACCAAGGACCTTGGAAGGCTTCCCACTGGAAGGTCAGTGGAGATAGTGGAAATCACAGAACAGTTTGCAAGTAGCAAGGAGGCAGATGAAAAGAAGAAGAAGAAAGGGAAGAAATAAAATCTACATTCCTACAGCATGAAACCAATTACCAAGGGACTTATTAGATAGGCAATAAAAATCTGGAAACTTTCTCTCTCAGGGCTGAGCCAAGATGGAGATAAACTGATGCACTAAAAGCAAACCTTGAATTATTTACCATATCAACTATTATAAAGTTACACTATTTTAAACATAATCCAAAATGTTTCCATAAGCAACTTGATCTCTCTCCTTTATTTTGAAAGTGGCAGTATCAAAATGGAACCATTAGCAGCTTGCTAATATTTTGATGCAGAAAAGGAATCTCATTATTCTATTTTACTCACATCATCTTTCCACTACAAAAGCCCATGGACAAAATAGCTACCTAAATTTGTTTCGGTAAAAAATTTACTGTAAAATTGAAAAACAGCCTGAAGCTACTGACATTAAGTGCTGTTTGCAGGAGCAAACCAGTGATTTTCTATTAATTGTTAATCATGGACAGAAGATTTTAGGCAGCTCATTTTTTTCTAAAGTGATTCAAAATAGTTTTGTGTGGGAAAAAGCTCTTCTGCTGATTACATATAGCTATAAAGATTAAAACCTAGCCACCTGCTCAGTTTGATCTTCCCCAGCTCAGACCTCTCCCTTCTGAGCAGATGATAGAGGTAAGATGATACATGAGAACCTCCAATGGCTCCTGTCATCACATACTGTATAAAATCCAAGTTCCTCTTACTGGCTTTCAAGGATCCTCCTTTAACTTCCTGTTGCCTTGTCTCATCAGCAAGATCATAAGTACCTACAGGTCAAGCACTGTCTCTCCCTTCTCTTTAGCTTTTCCCTTAGGATCTAGCACATTACCCAGCAAAATGTGAGTAGCAAGGCTGAAATGACATCTCAATAACTTCACCAATGATTGTAACTCAGCATCCCTTCTCCATCCCAGCTGAAAGCCTGCTTCACCATCCTGCAAGAGATGTTTTTTCTTTTTGTTAGCATCCATTCCCCTTTCTAATGCAGCTCCCAATGCATAATGTGTGTTTTACTTCCCTCTTTCTGACTCCATCCTCGTCACCAGTGAATATTTGTACCTTCTCTTAAAATCTTCAAAACACACTTCTAGGAAGTGCTCCTTGATTAATCCTCTAAGCACTTAAATGAAAGCACTTTGCTTATGCTTATTTCACATTTGCTGCCACTTGCCTCTTTGAAATATGTAAAGATACATTACAAGAAAAATGTACATTTTCTCGTAACTTGCTATTAATTTTTTTCTTTATATATATATATAAAGTAATCCTAAGCTAATAAAAGAGTTTGCCATGACATTAAAACATTTAATACTCCATAAGGGAGGAGGAGAAAGAAAAACATATTTTAGGAATAGCAATTAGTATTGTGGTTAAAATAAACATGAATAAAAATTTTAAAACAAAGTTTTATTGTTAGCATACAAATTTTAATGGAATTACTGGAATATAGTTTTATTCTGGGTATATAGTGAGTATTATTTAAAGAAGTACTGTTGAGGTTTATTTTTATTTCATGAAATCCTATGTCCACAATTTGGGATACTGAGTTAAAAAGATCCCAACATGACAAATCCAGCATCTCTGATCATTATTAAAATAGATCCAATTTGTTGCCAGAAAATGGCAGACTACAACATGAACCAGGCTACAGAGAATCCAATTAGAAACATGGTCTGAAATAGATGATGAACTGAACCTGGATATCAGTGGTATATAACAAAAGGAGAAGTTGTCAGAACTATAGGAAAGAAAGTGCCTTTGGCAGTTAAACTTTTGTACTGGTTCGATAAGACTAGGGCTACAAAGAAGATTACTCACAGGTCGTAAGTCCAGGCCAACCTTAGACAAAAGACTGTTAGAAGAGCATAAAGATATACTGTCCAAGGCAAGTAATCTGTTTCCTCATCTGTAAAACAAGAAATGTGGGCTAGTTCATCTTTAAGGTTCCTTTCAGCTCCGTCTGCTATAAGAAGGCATATAGCAAAGCAATAGTTCCACAAAGTGAGATCCTGCAGTGCAGTGATTAGCTTTCCTTGCTCACTACGCAGTGATTCTTGGTCATATCAGGCTGGCCGGGGATTGAGAGAGAGAAATTGGGTTGCTCCACCCCTCTTCAGCCAACTGGCAATGGTGATATGGAAGAATATCTCTGCCACCACACATATAGAACTAATGGAAATAAAGAAAATAGAAGTAAATTAAGGTAGCTAGTAATATGATGATCTGGAAAAGGCACTGGGATATATCCCAAGAAAACAATGAGACTGAAGAGACGGACACATTATCTTGGTGAATCTACCAAGGTCCAGGGTTTGGGGGTCTTAGCTTTATATGCTCAACTACCTACTTAGTAAGTACAGGGAGAATGGATTTACTCATCAGAAGCAGGTTTGGATTAACAAACCTCTTGAGATTGACATGTAAAGACAAAAAACTAATGTACTGATTTCTAGTAAGACTTATAACTGGATATGCAAGCATATATTCAAGTCATCCAGGTTACATAGCCTCTCCATGTAGATAAGCTACATAGCAAGCCAAATTATCATAAGGTTGCCTTATGGATTAGAGGAGTCCATTATGTGACTCAAATGTTTAGTGCTATCAGATTCTGCTTTAGTAGTGGTGACTGACATCTGCTTAGAATGAAGTGGTGGATGGGGTATGCACAAAGGCATCTCATTCCTGGACAATGTTTGGGAGGGTCTAGGCAACAAGAGACAACACAAACCTCTATGACCAGCTCCTGTCATAGCATCGATTTTCTATGTGACTAGAAATCCGTTTTCTATGTTTCATCAAGCTACAATCCAATTTATATAATACTAAATAGATTAGAATTCATCAAGCTATAATCTAATCCTGCTGATCGGACAGCAAATCCTATTTCTTTAAACTGCCGTTACATCTTTTTTATTCATAGTATAAGCAATCCAAAAAGTTTAACTCACAGAATGGAATCTTACTCTTCGTATTGGTTTTTAAGGAAAGCCACATAAATAAATTTAAAAATTAAAAAAATAAAATAAAATAAATTTTAAAAGGAAAGCCACATCATAACCTATGCTAATTTAAAATAATATTATTCGGCCAGGCGTGGTGGCTACTGCCTGTAATCTCAGTACTTTGGTAGGCTGAGGCAGGAGGACTGCTTCAGCCCAGGAAGTAGAGGCTGCAGCGAGCCATGATCACACCACTACACTCCAGCCTGGGCAACATAGCAAGACCCTGTTTCTAAAAAATAATATTATCATTATTACTAACATTGAGTGAGAGCTATATGTCAAGTATTTTTCTAAGCACTTACATGTATTAATTCATTTAATCCTCCCAATAATCCTATGAGGTAGATATTATTATAATAACTACTTTACATATAAGGAAATTGTGGCACAGATAATTTAAGTAACTGCCCAAGTAGTAAAAAAAGGCTGAGCTGAGCGTTAAACCCAAGAAGTCAAGCTCCAGAATCCATGTTCTTAATCATTATGCCTTAATGCTTCTCTAAATAATAACAATGCAGATTCACTACAAAGTCTGAAAGAATCCATATTTATTTAGGACCTGTCCTGTAGCTTTTCTGTCATTCTGCTCAAACCACAGTACCAATGGGCATCCTCTAAACTATGGAAGCCAGGTAGGCAGGGTGGGCTAGGGTGGAAAACTTTAGTAGGTTCTAGATCCCAGAACTTTGGCCCTCCCCCACTCCCCTGTCGCCCAGGACCTCATGCCAAACATAAATCCCAAGATTATCTTATCTTAGGTGTCCCTGACTTTCAGGGATGTACTAAATCTGGGACCCAAGGCAATAGAACATTGTTTTATTGCATTGTTTAGTTAAAATTAAGTGCAAATCGTTCCTCAAAAAATTAAAGAGAATTAATATATCATCAGGCAATTCCACTTCTGGGTATAAAATCAAGATCTTGGCCAAGCACGGTGGTTCATGCCTGTAATCCTAGCACTTTGGGAGGCTGAGGTGGGAGTATCGTTTTAGCCCAGGAGTTAAAGACCAGCCTGGGCAACATAACAAGACCCTGAATCTATTTAAAAAAGTAAAGTAATTTTTTTTATAAAACAGGACCTCGGGCCGGGCGCGGTGGCTCACGCCTGTAATCCCAGCACTTTGGGAGGCCGAGGTAGGCGGATCACGAGGTCAGGAGATCAAGACCATCCTGGCTAACATGGTGAAACCCCTTCTCTACTAAAAATACAAAAAGTTAGCCAGGCATGGTGGCATGCACCTGTAGTCCCAGCTACTTGGGAGGCTGAGGCAGGAGAATCACTTGAACCCAGGAAGCAGAGGTTGCAGTGAGCCGAGATTGCACCACTGCACTCCAGTCTGGCAACAGAGTGAGACCCCGTCTCAAAATAAATAAATAAATAAATAAATAAATAAATAAATAAATAAATAAAAAAACAGGACCTCAAAGAGATAGTTCTACACCCATGTTTATAGCAGTATTATTCACAATAGCCAAAAGGTAGAACCAAACCAAATGTCCATTGACAGATGAATGGATACCCACAATGTGGTATATACATACAATGGAATATTATTCGGCTTTAAAAAGGAAGGAAATCCATTCACCTGCCACAGCATGGATGAACCCTGAGGACATTATGCCAAGTTAAATAAACCAGTCAAAAATAGGCAAACACCACATGATTCCACTTACATGTGGTAAGTAGAAAATGGTGGTTGCCAGGGGCTGGGGAGCAGGGAACAGGGAGTTATTGTTTAATGGGTACAGAGTTAATTTTGTAAGATGAAAAGAGGTCTGGAGATGGATGTTGGTAATAGTTGTACAACAATGTGCTTAGTACTACTTAATTGTACACTTCAAAATGGTTAAGATAGTGACTTTATTATGTCTATTTTATCATAATCTTTTTTAAAAATTGAATTACTAGTTGACACCTACTGGTCTCTCTAAATACAAAAAAAGTGACATCTTTTCTGTTAGACTAAATATTAGAAATCAGGCTCTATGTCTAGTCTCAAAATACAGAGATAAGGTAAGGAAAGTTCACAGAAATATCTAAAAAACAAATATCCTTTAAAAAATCATTACAATAACAAGGTTTTTTTAGGTTCATAATTTACAGCGCATTTCAAGCTGTTATATGGGTTTATTTAGGCCTTTGATACTTGGTTATATACTAATTTTTAGAAAAAAGTAAGTATTATAATTTGGAATAATGAAAAAGATACCGAAAGTAGAGAGTGGTGATTAAATGCACAAACCCCAGAATCTGACATACTCGGTTCCCACATCATTCTGCCACTTGCTGATTGAATATCATTGGCCAAATTATATAACCTCTCTGAGCTTTAGTTTACTCATTCATAAAATGGGAACACTAATTTCTAGGCTATAGAGCTACTCTGGGAATTAAATAATGCAAGTAAAGGGTTTATTTACCAAGTGTCTGACACACAATAAACGTATTAAGTGGTTGCTATTACTAATAAAATATGAACAGGATAAGGACAAACAGTAGGAAATTATAAGGATTGCAGGATCTTTCAAATTTTATCAAACCTATGAGTCTTAGATAGTTGACTTCTTATTTTCTTTAAGAAGTTAAGATATGCTACTAGAATTTGTGATAATCAGGTTGGGGAAGAAAAAGTTGATTTCAATGTTTTGCTTAAAGAGTTAATAGTGGTAATGAGAAAAGAAAAACGTCCATGGTCATGGAAGATACTAAAATAATTATAAGAAAATATTTTGTGCAACTTCTTGCCAATAAATTGGCAATGTAGATGAGATGCATGATTTTCTAAAAACCATAAATTCTAAAATTGATTCAAGAAGAGAAAGACAATCAAACAAATCAATAATCATAGAAGAAAAGAATAATCAAAGATCTACCTCTAAAAGTATCAGCAAGCCCAGGTGGTTTTGCAGCACACTCTAACTTTCAAAAACCAAATAGCATGATAATTTTTCATCATTTAAACTATTGCAGAGCATAGAAAAAAAGGTGGAAATCTAAATTCATTTACAAAGTTAGACTAACACTAATATCAAAACTGGATAAAGATAGCACAAATAAATAAAACTATGGACCAATCTTACTTAAAAACTGAAATTATGGCCAGGTATGGTGGGGGGGGCTCATGCCTGTAATCTCATCATGTGGGAGACCAAGGAGGGAGAATCGCTTGAGGCCAGGAGTTGAAGACCAGCCTGGGCAACATAGGGAGACACTGTATCTACAAAACAAAGTTTGTAAAGGCAGCACACAGTGCCTCACACCTATAATCCTAGCACTGTGAGAGGCCGAGGCTGGCAGATTGCTTGTGCTCAGGAGTTCAAGACCAGCCTGGGCAATAGAGCAAAACCCCATCTCTACAAAAAATACAAAAATTAGCTAGGGGTAGTGGCGTACTCCTGTGGTCTCAGCTACTTGGTAGGCTGAGGTGGGAGGATGGCTTGAGCCTGGGAGGTCGAGGCTGCAGTAAGCCAAGATCATACCACTGCCCTCCAGCCTAGGCAACAGAGTGAGATCTTGTGGCAATTATTTAAAAAAAATTCTGAAACCATATAAACAAAATATAAACTAATCAAATCCAGCAAGTAATTAAAATGGTAATATTTCACAACCAAATAGAGTTTATTCTAGAAATGTGGGAATGTTTCAGTGTAGAAAAATATATATATTCACTACACTCATAAATTCAAAGATAGAAACTATATGATTTTTATCATTAGATCCCCATAAAAGGCATTTGATAATTTTAGCAGTCATTTCTAAAAGTCATAAAGCGAAAGTCAATATAATGTCAACTGGTGAAATACCAACGAAATTGAAATAGGAACAAAGCAGAAGAGCCCAGCACTCAATTTTTCAACACTCTTTTCACAATTCTAGCAAACACAAGATAAAATAGGTGACAGAAATATTAGAAAAGAAGATGTAAATTATCATTACCTCAAATATTATACAGTGTGATAAGAGATGCAACCTTAAAACGACTGTTAGCATTAATAAAAGACACCAGTGCTAAGAAAGAATACAGGATAAATATGTTTTAAAGTCCATAGCTTTCATTTTATATCATCATAAGCCATTAAAAAAATCAAATGAAACAAGTCTCATTCACAATATTTTAAAAATAAGACTTATTCTTTGGCACTAAATCTTTTTCTTGAGGCAAGAGATTTACAATTTTTTTTAATCTTTGAAGTACTAATATATAAATAAAGGTTTATGAAAGTTGCAGATACCAGGATGAAATCACTGTTTGTCAAACACAAACTAGAGCCAGGAGAGCACAAAGGAGTAGGGTTCATGATTGCATGGACGAGATAAAAGACATTTTTGGAAGTCCTGTCTCAAGGACTTTCTAAAATAAGAAATTCTGTAGGACTGCAGCAATTCAGATAAAATGCTCTCAAAACAATACCTGCCCAGTAACAGCATCTCTTCCTCTAAAATGGTGCCAACTCTGACTTTGAGTATCCAAAACCAATGTCTGTTTCCAAGCAGTTTATGTGAACTTCTCCTTTTGCCAAATAAAAGTTTCCCTTTGGCCAGGCACAGTGGCTCACACCTGTAATCCCAGCACTTCGGGAGCCCAAGGCGGGCAGACAAGGTCAGGAGATCAAGACCATCCTGGCCAACATGGTGAAACCCCGTCTCTACTAAAAATATAAAAATTAGCTGGGCATGGTGGTGTGCGCCTGTAATCCCAGCTACTTCGGAGGCTGACGCAGGAGAATGCTTGAACCAGGGAGTCGGAGGTTGCAGTGAGCTGAGATTGTGCCACTGCACTCTAGCCTGGCGACAGAGTGAGACTCTGTCTCAAAAAAAAAAAGAAAAAAAGAAAAACATTTCCCTTTATCCTCCCTTCTTTGATGTATATGTAGCTTGCCACAGCTGTGCATCTCAGGTTATAATCCTCTTTTCTAATTCCCAAATAAATTCAACGTATTTAGAGATTTTTTTCCCTGATTTTTTTTTTTTTGGCTTACAGGTTTTTAGTTGATAAGTTTCAGTAGAGAGTTCACCCTATCTATTCCACTTTAATGTGTAATCATAAAATTATGTAAAGGAAAAACTTGAAACAAAGAAAAAATGAAATTCTGAAGGTTCATGTTTTAAAGTTTAACACAGAACCAGTTGATGTAGATATTCATAGGAGTATTAAATCATAAGATAGTCTATGGACAACATGCTAAACATCTTTTTATATTTCAGTAATTATGTTGCCAGAGAACCCTGGTATTAAAGCATCCTTACCAGAACTGAAATTCACTTATTTATATTTATAATACATTTTACATATTTGATTAACATTGATTTTGCACTTCTATTTCAAATAATAAAAATAAATAATGTCACGTTGCAGGATTCAACGTCTTTTTTCTTTTTTTTTTTTTTTTGAGATGAAGTGTCTTGCTCTGTCAACCAGGCTGGAGTGCAATGGCACGATCTCAGCTCACTGCCATCTCCGCCTCCTAGGTTCAAGCAATTCTCCCACCTCACCCTCCCAAGTAACTGGGACTACAGGTGTGCACCACCACCCCCAGCTAATTTTTTGTATTTTTAGTAGAGACAGGGTTTCCCCATGTTGGCTAGGCTGGTCTTGAACTCCTCACCTCAAGTGATCTGCCCGTCTTGGCTTCCCAAAGTGCTGGGATTACAGGCATGAGCCACCACGCCCAGCCAGGATTCAATGTCTTTGTTGTTTAAGTATTTAGTGGCAAGTTTGGAGAAGAGAAGCACATGTTAGAATCCTTGGTTTAAAATGTCTGAAAAGAAAGACCTATTATAGCCTTACTAAAGTCCCTTCTAACTGAAAAGATCCTTGGCTGTTTGCATCATCACAGAAAATAAGGAACTACATATACAGCATTAACCTTGAGAAAATTCAGATTCGGTCCTGCTTCAGTATTGAACCAAACCAGGTTATTTGCACAACAAGTAAAATGTCTTAAAACCTTATAAATCTTTTATATCAGGGTAAGCACTCATTTGAAAAATTAAAATAAGGAAAATAATATTACCTAAGATGAATTAAGTATCATGATTAACATTAAAAATTTAGAATTTGCAAGGAAGTGAAATAATGAGTTTTCTAATTAAAAGATAATTAAAGACAGATTTCTCCACATACACACAAAAATTTCTCTTAAAGCTTTATAAAGATTTAACTACCTAATAAGGTAGAGAAGTAATTTATGTGCCCACTAAAAAATACTCAATTTCTGAATGTTCGTCCAAAATTAACTTGTCAGATCATTAAATCATTGACTAGAAACACGTTGAGTACCTATTATGTACTAGGCACTTAGATCATTGTGAGACAATAAAAAATACTGCATTAGAAAAGGACATTTTTCACATCTTAAATGCAATAAGCATTATTTGGCTGGCAGTTAATTACATTTAACACATTAAACATATAGAGCAAAATTCTGAGCAATCAAAATAATTATACCCTTGAGCAATCGATTATTTAAATTTCTTTCACTATTCCCTTAAGCTGATTTCTACTCTGGGATTCTTTCATAGTTCTCAAATAAGAAAATAAAAAATTTCCTAAATAAGGCAATACAAAAGAATAGAAATGTAAGAGAAGAGATATAT
Organism: Homo sapiens; assembly: GCF_000001405.40. Lineage (NCBI taxonomy): Eukaryota > Metazoa > Chordata > Mammalia > Primates > Hominidae > Homo > Homo sapiens. Next base: position 183,638,075 of record NC_000001.11, on the reverse strand, counting down.
TAGCTCTTGAATCCCTGTTTCCATTTGCTGTCAATAGTGCCTCTAATGTTCGATTTTCTCTTCAAAGAAAAATCTTGATTTAAAAGAAGAAAAAGTACAATCACCTTTAACAGCTAAAGTATACTGATTAGCATCTACTAAAGTTAGCAAAGACTGAAACTGAAAAAAAATTGTAAAATCTTTATTCTAAGTTATATAACGCCATTCACCATAGTAATGATTTTATACTTTGGTATATGGCTTTTTAAAATAAATATTGCCAACAGGTAAAAATTTTTCCTTTGCTGTCTTAAGGCATTCCTAAGAGAATTTTTACCAGTGTGTGTTCATAACTTGAATGTTAATTTAAACAATGTTACTTCTATCACCTAAATGATATACTTATAGAAGAGTGGTTTAATTGGGAACAGAAAAACACCACATTGCTTCTTCCCAAGAAAAAGGGATGTATTCCATTCTCGAGGTCTCTCTCCCACTCTCTATTTATATATAATATACTGCATAGATAAATATACACACATTATATATGTATTTTTTTGAACTTAAAGAAGACTGGACATATGTATTTACATGTATATATCCAACAAATATTTAATTTTGAGATCTCTCTCCCTCTTCTGATTTATTATTCTCAGTATGATTCTCAAACTGTACGGTCTTTCACATTTCATTCATTCATCAAGCATGTATCGAGTCCCTTCTGCATGCTTAGCTTTTTGTCATATGGAAGGAAGATACAAAAGAAAAACTGTTTCTGCCCTTCAGAATCTTTCCATCTCTTCTAGGAAGGAGATAAAACACCATATATCATTAAGAAATTTATAAGACTAGTCCCAAAACCAATGGTACAAGCAACATGCATTTTACATTTATGTAGAATTTTAGAGCTTGGAAACACTTTCGTGATATATAATCCTAAGAACAATCTTGTAAAGTGCACATTATTAGCTCCATTTCAGTGATGAGGAATCTGAGACAGAATTTTAAGTGACATGTCTCGTTCAAACATTATGAGTGGAAGAGTCAACACTTAAGCCTGAGTTTTCTGATTCTAAGCCTAGTGCTCTTTTCAACACAGCACTGGAAACCAAAGATTGTGGTACACAACAGGGCAACAGCCAGTCTTCTGCTCGAGGTCCAACTAAACTGGACCCATACCGAGCAGTGTCCAGCCAAATGTCCAAATTAATTTTATCCTGCAAATATTTGTTCTTCAGTGTAATACACACAGCACAACTACCATTTCCTTCGTCTTAGTGCCTTTATCTCCTACATTCCAGAAATGGGGATGTCAAATATTTTTTTAAATCTGGCCTAGATGGAATCATATAAATCTCAAATCATAATATAAATCTTAAAGGTCTGGTTTCCACCAATCCTTCCACATTTTGTTTTCCCCCAGCACTAGAGAGCCTAACCTACCCTCACCCCTTTCGAGCATTCTTGCTCCAAACGACCACCTATTTTAAGATGTCAATGACCCTTTCCCAAATTCTACAAATTCACCCCAGTTTTGCCACCCGACCCCAGCGCCTGCCCGGACACGTTCCCCTCCCTCCCAATAGATTTGATACCGAGTTCAGGTTCTGCAGATCCCGTTGCGATGCTGTCACACAGCACTGACAGATAAGATTTGACCTTTCGACTCCGTCCTTGGGGACTTCCCGCTGGCCAAGAAGGGTAGTTCCAATCCCAGGAAACGGGCTTCCTGCTCAGGAACGCAGCCTCTAGCAGCGCACAGTCTGAGGCAATGTCTCCGGCAATTAGAACGATGCTGGGCGCCCGGGTGTGCATCACTCTGCCTCATACTCCTACCAACTGCAGGGCACTCGGTCCGGCAGCCAGTCCATCCCACCCACAGCCAAGTCCCAGCCAGCCGGACCTTACGCAGGACCCCGATGATAGGTCGTTGACGGCTGCAGCAAAAGCCAAGGCCACCTGCCGCTGCTGCCCATCCCCGCCAATCTGAGACCCCCTAGACTGGACCGCAGAAAAGCGTTTCTATGGGAACCCCCCCACCGAGAATCACGTGACGCAATCGGACGACCAATCGCTTCTTACCTCTGCCCGCGGTCCAGCTTTTGGCCCTCCCTCTCGCCCCCGCCTCCTTCGCCCAGCCCCGCCCCTTGCCTGCGGAGAGCCCGCGCCTGCGCGCTGTGTCCTGCGCGCTCCTTCCCTCGCGCGCGCTCTCCGTGGAAGAGCAGGGGCAGCGTGGGAGGCGCCAAGGGAGCGCGAACCTGAGGAGGAAGAAACGGGGCTAGCGCGCAGGCCCAGAACGGTCCGAGCCGCGGCAGTCGGCGACGCCTCAGAGCGGAAGAGGGAAGTGAATCAGGCGCCGGGTAGTGGGTTGCTGGGCTGGGCTTGCTGAGGTAGAGGCAGCGCCAAGAAGAGGCCTTTGCCGCTGGTCGGGATTGGGATGTCGAAGAACACAGTGTCGTCGGCCCGCTTCCGGAAGGTGGACGTGGATGAATATGACGAGAACAAGTTCGTGGACGAAGAAGATGGGGGCGACGGCCAGGCCGGGCCCGACGAGGGCGAGGTGGACTCCTGCCTGCGGCAATATCCTTGCATTCACCGCCCTCCCCACCCCAGCCCAGCCCAGCCCGCCCTTCTCCTGGGACCCGGGAGCCTGCAGGATCCGCGGGGCACCGGCGCGGAGCTGCCCTCTCAACCTGCGGCTTAACCTGTCTCTTTGGGATCGCCCGCTCTGAGAGGGCAAGGGGGAAGCCCCCGTTTCCTACCCAGTCGGCAGGAGACGCGAGGGTCCCACTCTTGGAAGCCTGCCCTCCCCCGCGCGCCTTCCACGCCCCCAGATTCCTCAGGTTGCACCCGAGTGCCTGCCTGCCTCGGGAACTGGTCCCGCCGGCCGCGCCCTCGCGGCGCTGGGGAAGGCGGCCCCGGCTGGTGGGGAAGGCTGGTGCCGAGCGCCTTAGTTTTTCTTCCTAGAACTCTGATTTCCTGGGGTCACATTAGCTCCAGAAATTTCTGATTGTGGGGAACCTGCATCTTTCCTTAGTGGTTTTGTTTTTTGTTGTGTTTTTGTTATTGGTAGCGTTAAGGTAGTTTATTCCTTACCGGGGGGCGGGGGGAGATGGGACTGTTCGAAAATTGAGGGTCCCTGTGCTTTCAGCCCATTGGCCTTTTTAAAAAAAAAAAAAAAAGAAGAAGAAGAAGGGGATTTGGCAAAATATACATTGTACAGAATTTGTTAACTGGGGGAGGGGAATGAATACAAAAAATACAAAACTCCTAGAAGGAAGCTTGGAGCCTTTTACCTGCTAAGAAAAGGACAATAGAAAAAACAACGGGGAATGCGTGTGGAGAATCCTTGGAAATATTTAAAATAAACCCCAATGAATAAGATAGAAGATGAGTCATTCGTATAAAGCAGAATCATTTTTGTAATCCTAAAATTGTTTCCATTTTAGTTAAAATATGGCAGTCAGTTCCCGGTTTCTGTTTTTGCATATTTGAATATTCATAACTTTGGCTTCGCATTTGCATTACATCTTTTTTAGAAAAATGTAAATGTTGCAAAAAAACCGAAGCTGTAGTTTTAGAAAATCTCAGACACTGAATTTGTATGCATTTCTAATTCTTGGGTGTATTCATAAGGAAGACTCTCAACAATGTCCTGTTATAGTGGGGAAATATGAGAGTGAAAATATTTAATGGCAACAATATCCTTTTTTAAAGGCACCTAAATAGAGCATTAGACATTTATCAATATATAGATAGTGCTTTGCCACAACTTTCACAATTAATTAGCTGTTGCTCTTTTGCATTATTTAAATACTTAAGTGCTTGGAGTTATAAAAAATGAGCTAATCTACATCAGGCATGCTTCTCTAGAAATCCCTGCAGCCTTGAAAATAACAGCTTGTCAACCAGAGATTTTGTGTAAGAACTTTTTCTTTAGAAAATAAATGGTGAACATGCTTCCTAAAAACATTATTTGTGATGGATAGATGGTGTTTTATGAAACCCCAGTGTATTTTAGGTAATTTGTGGTGACTTTTAAATGGTACTGCTGTATCCATATCAGTGGATCTGCTTTTTGATCAGTTCATCTTAAAATATAAAGATACTGTCTCTTCTTACCGTTACATACAGCCAGGAAAGACAGCCCTAGTGGTGGGGTACTAGAGTTGGAGGAACAAGTGAACTCTGTGGTTTTCCTTTTAGGGGAATGTTTGTACATTCTGACAGTCTGATTGGCCTTCTGTTTCTCATGCTTGCTAACTCACTAGTGCTTTCAAAGAGAGCCTGAATTTAATAGGTATGGTCTAACACAGTTTGAATAACCTTTGTGAAATATGAGAGAAAATATCTAAAGCAAAAAATTAAGCTGCCACCTAAGGGACATATGAATTATTACATCTTCTGTGATGCCTCTTTTCATCAATATTGAGAGATTGCTAATGTGTATCATTCAGATTGCTAATCTGCCAGCATGTTCTACCAGCATTTCAGATAATACAGAATATGGTTCTAGCAAAAGTTTGGTCTTTATTTTTTCAATTAGAATCACAGGAAAAGACATATTTTGGTTGATAATAGGTTATTTCATTTGGGGGACTAATAATTCTGATATATATTTTAGGATTTCTTTAACACCACTCTAGGTAATGTTTGCATATGTATCTCACTGGGAAATGAAAGACTATCAAGGTGTTCACTTGATAGTTAGAACCAAGGGTGAAACAGTCTTTGCTTTATTAAAAAAAAGTCTAATGTTCTATTTTGCTTTTGATATTTTGCCTTTGATTAACATCCTGGAAACCAACACATTGAATTTCCAGTATTGAACATAGTGACCAAAGTAATTTTCTTTTTATATGTAAATCAAGTCATAAGAACCAGTGGTTATAATGCTTTCCTGGGGGCCATCCTTTGCTGTTACACCCTTAACTTCCATCACAGGAAACATGACAGCTGCCCTACAGGCAGCTCTGAAGAACCCCCCTATCAACACCAAGAGTCAGGCAGTGAAGGTGAGTCGCAGACTACAACACAGTGATCTCTGCTGATATCTTATTCTTAGTAAAATCCTCTGCAGTTGCAAAAAAAAATCAATATTTTAACTGTTTGCTATCTTTGACATAGAAGAGTTTATAATGTAGTTTGATAGGTAAAAATTTCACGTGAAAAAATAGCCCTATAATGTAGTTATGATAATGCTGCATGGTAAGATACAGTAAGTTCAAACGATAGTGAAATCATTTGTGTGTGTTTTTAGAGGAGACCACTCAGGCTGAATTTGAGCAAAGGTTTGAAAAATAAGTTAAACCTTTACAAAAATAAACAGATTGTAATTGCTTTTTAAAGATTTTTTAAAACCATACAAATACTAAATACTTATTATAGAAAGCTCAGACATATGAGAAGGTTAAAAAGATAGTGGTTTGTGGTCCCAGCACCCAGAGATAACAGTTACTACTTTGGGGCCTTGCTGTATTGTTACAGAGTTCCCTTTTGTTTTTTTAAGAATGAAATTTTATAACGTGCTTTTTCAGCTATATGCAATGTACATGAGCTTTCCTTCGCAATAAGTTTATAGCATTTTTAACACTTGTATATGGATAAGCTGCAGTGTATACATAACTAATCTTTTGTTATATATTTAGACTGACTTTTTTTTTCCTATTGTAAACCACTGAAATCAATATTTTTTGGTAAATTTTTAATTGTTCTCTTTGAGTAAATTGCTAGCAGTGAATTACTGGATCAAAGAATGCACTTTTTTTTAAGGCTTTTGGTATGCAGTATTGCCAAATTGCCCTTCAGAACAGTTGTGCAACTTACATTCTCTGCAGTCTTTTACTAATTCTTAACCTATTTACGTATTTATTTAAAATGATGCCCATAGCATCAACCCCGTTGTCCATAGCTATTCATACATCCTAGGAGCTTCAAGAATCTCAATTGAATAGTAGTAAGTAATAACTTAGGTAAATGCATAATAATTATCTAGGTAACATAATTTTTTATTGGGGAAAATTTCTTTGGTTTTTACAAGTTGTAAAGATTGTCGTTGAAATTTCATTTTTACCGTGGATGCAAAGATATTTTTCTAAATCTGGTAATTGCAGTCTTTAAACCAAAGATAACAGTAGGTGGTAGAAACATTCTGTGAAATCCTGACCAGTAGGAATGCTGGAGGTATCACTTTGTGTTGAATGGAAGGAGAAACGAATTGTTGAAAAGGTCAGTTAAGTGTTTCCTTTGCTTGGCCGGATGGGTAAGAAAATAACTGCTTTTGAAGCAGGCTTTTGCCAAAGAAAAAAGATCATTATTAATGAACATCACTATATTTCATATCTACAGTCAATTCATATAAATTACAGTCAATTTTCTTTTAAGACAGCTTGGTTTATTAAAATTTTTAAATAAAAAAGTTTTTAAGAAAAAATTACTTCTGAAGGATAATTCAAGGTGAAACTGCAAATCTGCCTCCTTGTTTTGTTGGGAATTTTTTTTTTTTTTTTTTTTTTTTGAGACGGAGTCTCACTCTATCACCCAGGTTGGAGTGCAGTGGTGCAATCTCAACTCACTGCACCCTCCGCCTCCCGGGTTTAAGCAATCCTCCTGCTTCAGCCTCCCGAGTAGCTGGGATCACAGGCACACACCACCATGCCTGGATAATTTCTGTATTTTTAGTAGAGACAGGGTTTTACCATTTTGGCCAGGCTGGTCTCGAACTCCTGACCTCAGGTGATCTGCCCATCTCGGCCTCCCAAAGTGCTGGGATTACAGCTGTGGGCCACCACACCCGGCCGTTTTGTTGGGATTTTTTTTTTTTAAGATCAAGACATAAATTTAAATGTTGTTTTAATAAATTGTTAAATTATCACATTGATCTGTTAGCAAATCCTCTCAGCTCTGCCTTCAATTATGTTAATAGTCTGTCTAGTTTCTTACCACCTCCACTGCTACTATGCTTACCACATCCAGCCTGTATTATTGCAATTGCCTCCTAATTGCTCTCCCTGCTTCTACCTTATCCCCTACTCCCACAGCTTATTTTCTGTAACATAGATGCCAAAGCAATCCTGTTAAAATGTGAGTCAGATTATGGCACTGCTCTTAAAACCTTCCAATGTCTTCTCATTTCTCTCAGTAAAAGCCAAACTCCTTACAATGCCTGTAGGCCTTACACGATCTGTCCTCCCATAACCTCTGACTTACTCACGTGCTTTTCTCCCACCAATCCACTCCAACCACATTGGGTTTTTTTCTGTTCCTGGAACACACTGAACACACACTAATAGCACTGTTCTTTCCTCTGTCTGAAACACTTTCCTCAGTTATCCCAAGCCTTCTTTCACGTCCTTCAGGTCCTTACTCAAATGTCACATTCATAGTGTAGACTTTCTGAAATTCTAAACCCTCCTCATACAGATATGTCTAAATGTTCTGTTATTTATTGACCCACCAGGACCGGGCAGGCAGCATTGTCTTGAAGGTGCTCATCTCTTTTAAAGCTAATGATATAGAAAAGGCAGTTCAATCTCTGGACAAGAATGGTGTGGATCTCCTAATGAAGTATATTTATAAAGGATTTGAGAGCCCGTCTGACAATAGCAGTGCTATGTTACTGCAATGGCATGAAAAGGTAAGTTATGAATTATAAATCTATATGACTGGTTCTTTTACAATAGGGAATGACAATGACAACCTCTCTCACCTAAATAACCATTTTGATTTGTTGTACATTTTTGTTATTACAAATAAAATGCATGAAAAGGATAGTTCATATTTATGTTTACTAGCCTTGGTCTTAAGAGATTCTGATTCCAACACTTGTGTTTATTCAACAATGATTATTAGTAATTAAACATAATCTTGAACTCTGAATTAAATCAAAACTTTGTAAAAGAAAATAAGCAATACAAATCAAGAATTCTTTCACAGTGACCAAAAGGTGAAAACAACACAAGGATCATAACAGATGAACAGCTAAATTGTGGTACATACATACAATGGAATATGATTCAACCATTAAAAGGAATGACATTCTGACACATGCTATAACATTAATAAACCTTGAAAACATACCAAGTGAAATGAGCCAAACACAAAAGAACTAATATTTTATAATTTTACTTATATGAAATAATCTAGGATAGGCAAACACAAAGGGACAGAAAGTCCTTAGAGGTTACTAGGAAGTAGGGAAAGCAAGGAATAGGGAGTTAGTGCTTAATAGGTACAGAGTTCCTCCTTGGAGTGGTAAAAAAGTTTTGGAAACAGATAGTGGTGATGGCTACAGTACATTGTGAATATAATTAATGCCAATGGATTTTACACTTAAAGATGGTTAAAATGGCAAATTTTGTGTTAGATATTTTACAACTTTTTTAAAGAATTAGGAGTTTGGAGGATCAAGAATTCTTAAATCATGTTTTTCTATTTTCATGTGTATATTTTGCAATGTAAGTAGATGCTGGTACATCATCTGTCAAAAGAGTATAAGTGATTTTGAGCTTTGGGTAAAAAACTGGATAACATGTAAATAGAACCAGTCATAAAAATATTGAGTGTTTGAAGTGTATCTGAGTGAAAACACAAACATAAGAAAAAAGCACATAGTAAAACAATAGTTCCCCCTTTTACTCTAAAATGCACCAATTTGGGTAGTAATTTATATGGCACCCTATTCATGGAACACTTTCTGTTGCCAGGTACCATACTATTAATGTTTTATTTAACCTTTACAACAACCCTGTGAAGTATATAAATATCTTTATCATCCTCAATTTACAGATGAAAAGCTAGCTTTAAAACCCAAGCAGCGTAGTTCTAGCATAGCCTCAAGATTGCAGTGAACATTGATTACTTATTATATTCCACATATTCTTCAAAGGACTTTATAAATATTAACTCATTTAATCCTCATAAAAATGGAGGGAAATGCTTGCTATTATTCCTCTTTTGTCACTGAGGAAACTGAGGCATGTGTGAAGTCTTCATTTCTTCCAAATGTCAGTCACCAGTTTTTACCAATCTTCGAAGTATTTCTGAAATCTATCTGTTCAAGCGTATCTAATGCAGCTGTTCACAGCATCTCTCCCAGTCTGTTGCCATAGCTTCCTGACTGGTTTCCCAGTTAACAGTTTTGCCTCCTTCAAATCTGTTCTCCACCCAGCCATCAAAATGATATCTTTAAAATCAAAATTGCCCTTGTCAGTCACCTGCAGGATAAAGTCAAAGTTCCCAAGTCTAGCTTCATCTTCCATGTCATTCTTCCCCTCAGGCTATAGCAATGCCAGCCTTTTTCCTGAATGCACCATATTGTTTCACACCTCCATACATTTGCTCATGATTTTCTGGTGTTAGCCTGTCACCTACTCATTCTTTTAATGTGTCATTTCCTCCATGAAGCCTTAGCTGAAACATTCCTCTATACTGTTAATCTGGGTATAAGCCTCTCCCTGGTGCTTTAATAGCACCTGCAGCACAACTCTCATTTCATACATTAGATTAAAATTACCTGTTTATATGTCTGTCTCCTCATGCTAGACCAGAAAATGCTGTATTTGTTCACTTTTGTATCCCCAGCATCTAGCACAGTACTCAGTATACAAAGGTATTCCATAAATATTTTTTGAACAGAAAGAAACCAGAGCTCAGATTCCTAATACTTGATCATTACTCTCTATTTTTCAAATTAGAGTCAGAGTTAAAGTTTCTAAGTTCTTAGCTATTAAACAATACCTTCTTTCTTTGGGAGAAAAAAAATCTGACAAAGGCTGACTAATCGAAGTGGAAGTTGGGATGGTTGATCCCAGTTTGAATTTTCTTCTGACTATGTGGTGAGAATGAGAAATGCAGAATGTCCACCTGTTTTGAGCAGGAACACTATGCTGCAGATTTTTTTTTTTTTTTTTTTTTTTTTTTTTTGAGACGGAGTCTTGCTCTGTCGCCCAGGCTGGAGTGCAGTGGCGCAATCTCGGCTCACTGCAAGCTCCGCCTCCTGGGTTCACACCATTGTCCTGCCTCAGCCTCCCGAGTAGCTGGGACTACAGGCACCCGCCACCACGCCCGGCTAATTTTTTGTATTTTTAGTAGAGACGGGGTTTCACCATGTTAGCCAGGATGGTCTTGATCTCCTGACCTCGTGATCCGCCGGCCTCGGCCTCCCAAAGTGCTGGGATTACAGGCGTGAGCCACCGCGCCCGGCCTATGCTGCAGATTTTTTAAAACATTATTTAGAATTAATGTACTAAAATGTAAACTAGTATCTCACTAGAATGTAACTTCATGAGGGCAGGGACTTTCAAGGTTTTGTTTATTACTGTAACCTCAGTGCCAAGAACAGTACCTGGTGCATAATTGGTGCTCAAGAATTTATTATTTGTTAACTAATAAATTCAGGGTCTATAGCAGTGCCCATTCCTTCTTTAAGAAAAATGTTTTACCAAATATGAGAATTGACCTTTTATTATTCTGTCAACATTTACATCTTGGTTTGTTTTTAGGCACTTGCTGCTGGAGGAGTAGGGTCCATTGTTCGTGTCTTGACTGCAAGAAAAACTGTGTAGTCTGGCAGGAAGTGGATTATCTGCCTCGGGAGTGGGAATTGCTGGTACAAAGACCAAAACAACCAAATGCCACCGCTGCCCTGTGGGTAGCATCTGTTTCTCTCAGCTTTGCCTTCTTGCTTTTTCATATCTGTAAAGAAAAAAATTACATATCAGTTGTCCTTTAATGAAAATTGGGATAATATAGAAGAAATTGTGTTAAAATAGAAGTGTTTCATCCTTTCAAAACCATTTCAGTGATGTTTATACCAATCTGTATATAGTATAATTTACATTCAAGTTTAATTGTGCAACTTTTAACCCCTGTTGGCTGGTTTTTTGTTCTGTTTTGTTTTGTATTATTTTTAACTAATACTGAGAGATTTGGTCAGAATTTGAGGCCAGTTTCCTAGCTCATTGCTAGTCAGGAAATGATATTTATAAAAAATATGAGAGACTGGCAGCTATTAACATTGCAAAACTGGACCATATTTCCCTTATTTAATAAGCAAAATATGTTTTTGGAATAAGTGGTGGGTGAATACCACTGCTAAGTTATAGCTTTGTTTTTGCTTGCCTCCTGATTATCTGTACTGTGGGTTTAAGTATGCTACTTTCTCTCAGCATCCAATAATCATGGCCCCTCAATTTATTTGTGGTCACCCAGGGTTCAGAGCAAGAAGTCTTGCTTTATACAAATGTATCCATAAAATATCAGAGCTTGTTGGGCATGAACATCAAACTTTTGTTCCACTAATATGGCTCTGTTTGGAAAAAACTGCAAATCAGAAAGAATGATTTGCAGAAAGAAAGAAAAACTATGGTGTAATTTAAACTCTGGGCAGCCTCTGAATGAAATGCTACTTTCTTTAGAAATATAATAGCTGCCTTAGACATTATGAGGTATACAACTAGTATTTAAGATACCATTTAATATGCCCCGTAAATGTCTTCAGTGTTCTTCAGGGTAGTTGGGATCTCAAAAGATTTGGTTCAGATCCAAACAAATACACATTCTGTGTTTTAGCTCAGTGTTTTCTAAAAAAAGAAACTGCCACACAGCAAAAAATTGTTTACTTTGTTGGACAAACCAAATCAGTTCTCAAAAAATGACCGGTGCTTATAAAAAGTTATAAATATCGAGTAGCTCTAAAACAAACCACCTGACCAAGAGGGAAGTGAGCTTGTGCTTAGTATTTACATTGGATGCCAGTTTTGTAATCACTGACTTATGTGCAAACTGGTGCAGAAATTCTATAAACTCTTTGCTGTTTTTGATACCTGCTTTTTGTTTCATTTTGTTTTGTTTTGTAAAAATGATAAAACTTCAGAAAATAAAATGTCAGTGTTGAATAATTTATTTTTCTCTGACTTTAACAATTATGAATGTATGGTTAATTAAGAGGAAAGGTTTTCTGCTTCTACCACCAAGTACTGTACTCTTAACAAGAACAGTTTGGTAGGGTTTTTATAAGACTATATAGATATAAGATGATAGAGAAGAGAGTCATGAATGATGTCAGAGCACTACTGAAGCCTTTGGAGTGATTCCATAGCCTTCTGGATGGCAGCTGAATACCTATATGTAGTATCACTGCCCAAAGACCTAGACTAGAAAGTGCAAAGTAGCTTAGCAGCTGCAGTCATTCACTCCCAGCCTCCAAAATTCTCTTTCTTTCACCTCAAATCTATTTCTTGTACTTACCTACTCACAGCGACTTCTGTTTGCTTTCGATCTTCACCTGACTAGATTCCCACTTTAAAACACTTCCAGGCAATTCAGGGTCCTATGGGTGAAGATAAGCTAAGCAATAGGTATTATTCTTAAATATTACTTAGAGATGGGGACTTGCTATGCTGCCCAGGCTGGAGTGCAGTGGCTGTTCACAGGTGTGATCATAGTGCACTGAGGCCTCAAACTCCTGGCTTCAAGCAGTCCTGCCTCAGCCTCCCGAAAAGGTGGAACTACAGGCACATGCCACTGTGCCTTAGCCAATAGGTATTAGAGGTAGTCAAGTAGGTATAGCATAACCAATTACAAACTTTAAAATCAAATGATACTGAATGCTTTTTCATAAAATCCTTCTTAACATCACTTTCATAACTGAAGCGTTTGGAAAAATTCTGGAGTTCATATTTGTTCACAAGAATGGGTGGGTGTATTTAGAATCTGCCAGTCTATCAGCTTTACTGAGGGGAGATACTAAAAATATTTAACAAGTAGTATAATATAGAGACCGAGTCAAAATGGATACTAGCTGGAAACAACTGGTTCAACTGTTGCCTCCTGACTAAATGTCAGCCCAGGGTATAGTAACCATGACACAGTACTATCCTTGGTGAAGAGTTGGGAATAGGATTAATTGCGGAAAAAATATATATAAATGCCATAGGACACTTTTAGCACAAAAGTAGTTGTTTACCTCCCATTCTCCTCCTTTAATCTCAGTGCTTTTACTATTTGGTTTCTTTTTTGGCATTTTACAAAAGGGAAGAAATGGAAAACATACCCCTTCTTGGTCATTGGGTAACAGCACCATTTCGGTAACAGTCATACTTGATGACAAGTATGATGATATTTTAAGGACATGAACATGGGTGAAATCAATGTGTAGATGGTACAAATTAACCGAATTCTTTTTAAAGCATTTCCTGTGGATCCCAGGATCATGAGGACATAACAGAAGAATAAGGTCTGAATCTTGTTCACCAGTTTGCTCTCAGCCTAATTGGGAAGTAAGGTTAAGCACCTGAAAATTATGTCATACAAAAAAAAAGAGAATTAACGTCATACAATTTAGCATTTGACTGTAAATGCAGTTAGTCAATGTTGGGAGAACAACAAAATCAGGGTGGATCAGAGTATTTAAAGTGAGACATTAATTTGAACTAATCCTTTGGAGGGGCAGAAAGGACAAACGGTCCAAGTGAAATGAACAGAGTAGAAAGAGAAAGTTAAAAGTGGGTTTAATAGTCACTGTTCTTGCAGTTTTAATGTTTTTTGTTTTGTTTTGTTTTGTTTTGTTTTGTTTTGTTTTTTTTGAGACAGAGTCTCGCTCTGTGGCCCAGGCGGGAGTGCAGTGGCGCGATCTCGGCTCACTGCAAGCTCTGCCTCCTGGGTTCACGCCATTCTCCTGCCTCAGCCTCCCAAGTAGCTGGGACTACAGGCGCCCGCCACCACGCCCGGCTAATTTTTTGTATTTTTAGTAGAGACGGGGTTTCATTCACCGTGTTAGCCAGGATGGTCTCGATCTCCTGACCTCGTGATCCGCCCACCTCGGCCTCCCAAAGTGCTGGGATTACATGCGTGAGCCACCGCGCCCAGCTGCAGTTTTAATGTTTTTAACATAAGAATTCTAGATGGTGCAAATTATTAACAGGATCAGAAACTATCTCCGTGATAGATTCAAGAAAGTAAAATTATAGGAAATCATAATGTTTTATTAGCTGAAATAGACATTGATGATCACTTAGTTTAACCCCATGTATAAAGGTAAAAAAGAAAATTAATTAATTAATTTTTTTTTTTTGAGATGGAGTCTTGCTCTGTTGCTCAGGCTGGAGTGCAATGGCACAATCTCGGCTCACTGCAGCCTCCACCTCCCAGGCTCAAGCGATTCTCCTGCCTCAGCCTCCTGAGTAGCTCGGATTACAGGCACGCATCACCGTGCCCAGCTAATTTTTGTATTTTTAGGAGAGATGGGGTTTCACCATGTTGCCCAGGCTGGTCTTGAACTCCTGACCTCAGGTGATCCACCCTCCTCCGCCTCCCAAAGCACTGGGATTACAGGCGTGACCACCGCGCCCAGCCAGATTGATTAATTTTTAGATACACAATTTTTCCTTTAGATTTACAACTAACATCCCCTTACAGACAAAATATGTTAAAAGCACCAAAATAATTGAAAAACACACCCAATTAAGGAACAGACCAACGGCCTCTGTAGAACCAAGTGCCCTTAAACAAGGCTGCTTCTGTCCATATTCCTGCCGCGGGACCTCTGCCCCACTCCCTCTCCCCCTCACCCCAATGTCACTAGTACAATATGTGAAAACCCCAATGTGAAAACGTTCTGTGCAGGTGCCTCTTGTATGATTCCAGATATGGAGGAGGCCCGGGAAGCCCACAGAGGTACAGCATGTCATCTGCCTCAAGGTGGTGCTACTTCACCACATTGATGATCCAACCACAAGCAACATGGGACACAGCATTCACTTTAACATTTCTATTTTCCTTTATCATTTCTGTTACTTGAGTGTGTAAGAGTAATCAACATAAATAATCTATGTTTACATCTCTTATTTCTCTCTGAAACAGTTCCCTAGAATCCACACCACATGAAACACAAATTGAGTAGTGTATGACCCACCTGAATTCCAAAGCATTCTAAAACTCCCGTATTTTCCAGCCTAGCAGTTAGCTCCTGCTCTGCAAGACACACCCTCTTGACCTTGCTGCTAGACTGTATGGGCCCCCTGAAGTCATAGTAGCTGGCTCTTACTCATCCCCACATTCACTTGGCATAGTTGATGTTCAACAAATATCTCTTGGTTGCATAACATTGAACGAGCCAAGTCACCTAAGAAATCCTTAATTTATACACAGGTTCTTAGGGTACCTGAATAGGGCAACACATCAGAAGTACAAATTGAGAACTATACAAAGAGTAAAATAATTCTTGGGTTCAAATACCCTAGAGCCAATCAAGTTTAGTCACAAAGAATTTCAATTCACTTCAATGTGGACAGTTAAGAAGGGAATTTATCAGCCTTAGGTGGAAATCAGAGCCACCATGAGTACCACGTGCAGCCCCTATAGTGTTTAGCTTTGCCAGAAGTCACCAGAGAAAGTGGCTGAGGAACAGAATTCCAGCTCATATCTGGCTAACAGTGGCACTATGGGAGTTTATATGATCTGTTCATTATTCTGTGGCATCACCTTCTAAGAGCAGAGATGTGACCCAATACCCCTTGTTTTCCTTAAAGATAACCATTAAATTATATCCATGAATTTATATCACCGTCCTTGACTTTATACGTAGATTTTTCTAATTCTGTCAACCCTTAGGGTAATGAATAACTTAAATGGCCAATGCCTCTGAATAACATCATACTTCCTTTTGTTTCTCCAAAAATTGAATCAAGATGCCAGGGCAACTAAGATTTTCTTCAATTTGCTAAGTTAAAGGTCAGTGTATTCATTAGCCAATGGTTCTGTATTTTATTCATTTTAGTTTTTATTCGTTTTCAAATAATTTGTTCATATTGTTCAATATTCAAAAGGTAAGAAATATGTACTGTGGTAATTTTCCATTCCACCCTAGTTCCTCTTTTGACAACCAACTATTGTCACTTAATTCTTAGGCATCCTTCCAGATACAGTGTATGCATTTACAGGCAAATACCTATATAAGATTTTACCCCTTTGTGTACATAAATACTAACATACTATATATAGTGTTCTGTTCCTTGCTTTTTTCATTAACAGTATATTTTGGTGGTAATTTCCTATCAATACATAAAGAACTTCCTTATTCCCTTCAGAGGCATTTGAACCAGAGCAATTCCTTCTTGAATAGAAGCTGGGTAAAATAAGGCTGAGACCTACTGGGCTGCATTCCCAGATGGTTAAGGCATTCTAAGTCACAGGATGAGATAGGAGGTCAACACAAGATACCGGTCATAAAGACCTTGCTGATAAAACAGTTTGCAGTAAAGAAGCTGGCCAAAACCCACCAAATCCAAGATGGCAATGAAAGTGACCTCTGCCTCTGGCCATCCTCACCGCTACGCTCCCACCGGCACCATGACAGTTTACAAATGCCATGGCAACATCAGGAAGTTATCCTATATGGTCTAAAAAGGGGAGGCATGAATAATACACCCCTTGTTTAGCATATCATCAAGAAATAACCGTTAAAATGGGCAACCAGCAGCCCTCGGGGCTGCTCTGCCTATGGAGTAGCCATTCTTTATTCCTTTACTTTCTTAATAAACTTGCTTTAACTTTACAGACTGGCCTTGAATTCTTTCTTGTGTGAGATCCAAGAACGCTCACTTGGGGTCTGGATTGGGACCACTTTCCGATAACAATTTTATTTTTATGACTGCATAATAATTCTATTATATAAATAAATGTACCATAATTTACTTAACCATTTCCCTATTGATTTAGGTGGTTTCTGATCTTTTGCAGTTACAAACAGTGCTACAGTGAATAGCATTATACACAAGTCATTTTACATATGTTCAAGCCTATTTGTAGATCAATTCCTAAAAGTGAAAGTTAAGGTCAGTTGGAGGGCATTTAAGGGAGATATTGCTAAATTGCCTTTCTTAAAGGTTTTATCAATTATACTTTCTCCAGCCGTGTAGAAGAATGCATGTTTTCCCACCCCTTTACCTATTCTATGTGTTTGTCATAAAACATTTTTTAATCTTTTCAAATCTGATGTTTTAAAAATGGTATCATATATTTGCATTTCTCTTAATGTAAATGAGATTGCACATCTTTTCACATGCCTAATAGCCAGTTGTATTTTCTTTTCTATATTTTTGTATTTCTATATTTTCTTTGCCCTTTTGATGGTCTTTTTCTTACTGATTTGTAGGAGCTCTTTTCAACAGGAATGTCAAATATTTCTTGCATTTTGAGTTTCGCTTTATAATAGCTTTTACTATAAATAAAAAGGTTATTTTTATTTTTATCTAATTGAGTTTATTAATCTTTTCTTATGGCATTTAGAGTTCAAGTCATACTTAGATTTTCCTGGCTCCAAAATTTAAAAATAGAAATTTCATGAAGTGTTCTTGGATGTTTTTATGATTTTAAATTTTAGTTTTTTTATTTTAAAATATTCATATTTTTCTTTTCAACAATTGCTGCTTCAAATGTAAACTAGAAGAGATTAGTTGGTCCCCATATGGAAGTCTTATCCTAATATATTGACTTGGTTGGTTTTCTCAGGACTTGAGGGTGTTTTCTTAAGACAAACTACCCAAAGTATTTCGCACGTGAAAGCACAGTTTCACTGTCATTCAGGCAAGTATTTACATGCTAAGGGCTGCTTAAAATATTTAAAATACAATCCTTATCCTGTGGGATCTAGATTCTAGGTAAGATACACAAGCAATGAATAAAATTCAATAGTAAACAAGCTATAATAGAGAAGAGAGTAAATTCATGTACAATAACAGATGGGGAGCAATTACTTCTCCAAGAGAGAATGTCAAGGAAAAGGTGTGAAAATGGGAGCATTTCAATGGGCCTTGAAGGCTATCTAAGAGTTTGGCAAATAGAAAACAGGAAGGGAATACCAAGCCGAGGAAACAACACGATTTCAGAATTCACACAATTAGTGAACATTCCAGAATCCTGTTCATTATTAGTATTAAATCAAGTTAATTAAGTGATACCATGTTACCACTAAGTTTGAAGACTGGTTCCAAATTTTCTGGGTCCTCAGATCAAAAGCAAAAGATTTCCTTAACTTTGATATAATACCCAGTGTTTATTCTAACGAGAGGGAAACCATCTGCTGCTGAGATACAGCTACTTATGAGTTTCATGTTATAGCTGTTGTCAGGCCAGGAAGTACATAGACAAAGTATATGCTGATTGATAGTGACTCTCTGGGGTGCTGTATTGAGTAGGACATGTTGGAGTTCAACAGGTAGGTGGACCATGAGAATTAGTGATGTCTGCCATGGGTTTTAGACATGTAGAATCACAACACATATTTTATTCCTGCTCTAAATGATATACAATATCTGCATTATTTGGCCCTGGCCTTTATCTACAGCCCCATCCCCAACTAAAAGTAGGACTGCCTCATAGCACAAGTCCAGGGGACACCATTCATGCCACACAGTTGTGCTGTAAGGGGTGCCGTTCATATGAAATCAGTATAAACCGGGCTTCTGGGAGCTGTAATAATATTGTTTAATACTGCATAAAGCTCTGCTTAACTTTTATATACCAGCCACTGAAAACTCATGCTTACATTTCTCTGCAGGTCTGCTCCATTCTTGCTTTTATCACCAATAATCAGTCTCCTCTGCTTTACCAGTAACATGACAAAACACTCCACCAGAAACCCCCTAAGTTTTCCATCATGATGTTCAGGCACCCAGACCAAAACTGACTTTTCTTTCTCAGTTCCACTTCCAGAGTCCCAGGTTTCATGCGCGTCCATGTGAAGAGACCACCAAACAGGCTTTGTGTGAGCAATAAAGCTGTTTATTTCACCTGGGTGCAGGTGGGCTGAGTCCAAAAAGAGAGTCAGTGAAGGGAAATAAGGGTGGGGCCGTTTTATAGGATTTGGGAAGGTAATGGAAAATTACAGTCAAAGGGGGTTGTTCTCTGGTGGGCAGGGGCGGGGGTCACAAGGTGCAGTGGGGGAGCTTCTGAGCCAGGAGAAGGAAATTCACAGGGTTAATCACTCAGTTAAGGTGGGGCAGGAACAAATCACAATGGTGGAATGTCATCAGTTAAGGCGGGGCAGGGCCTTTTCACTTCTTTTGTGATTCTTCAGTTACTTCAGGCCATCTGGGTGTATATGTGCAAGTCACAGGGGATGCGATGGCTTGGCTTGGGCTCAGAGGCCTGACGTTCCTGCCTTCTTATATTAATAAGAAAAATAAAACAAAATAGTGTTGAAGTGTCGGGGCAGTGAAAATTTTTGGGGGGTGGTATGGAGAGAGAATGGGCGATGTTTCTCAGGGCTGCTTCAAGCGGGATTAGGGGCGGTGTGGGAACCTAGAGTGGGAGAGATTAAGCTGAAGGGAGGTCTTGTGGTAAGGGGTGATATTGTGGGGTTGTTAGAAGAAACATTTGTCGTATAGAATGATTGGTGATGGCCTGGATACGGTTTTGTATGAATTGAAAAACTAAATGGAATAAGAGAAGGAGAAAAACAGGTATAAAAGGTCTAAGAATTGGGAGGACCTAGGACATCTGATTAGAGAGTGCCTAAGGACATTCAGCATAGTCCTGCCAGCAAAGATTATTTATTTACTTCAAGAGTTTAGAGTGGCAGTTTGGGGATAGCACCAGGAGATATCAGCTGTGATGGCTTGGAGAAACAGTGTAAACCGGCAGTGTAAACAAGAGCAGGGCATGTATGAGTAGTTGAGAATGGTGAATAGGAGTATGACTAGACAGAATATAGTAGGGATGACAAGTTTTTATGGGCACAGTCTAAGTTGGTCTGGTGTCGAATGAGACTGGGGCCTAATAAAAAGGAGCGTCTATACAGGAGCTTAAATGGGCTGTACCCTGTAGCATTCCGAGAACAGGCCTGAATTCTGAGAAGCGAAAGTGGTAAAAGTATTGTCCAGTCCTTTTTAAGTTGGTGGCTGAGCTTGGTGAGGTGTGTTTTTAAAAGACCTTTAGTCCATTCTACTTTTCTTGAAGACGGAGGACCGTAAGGGATATAAAGGTTTCACTGAATACTAAGAGCCTGAAAAACTGCTTGGCTGATTTGACTAATAAAGGCTGGTCTGTTATCAGGCTGTATAGAGGTGGGAAGGCTAAACTGAGGAATTATGTCTGACAGAAGGGAAGAAATGACTGCGGTGGCCTTCTCAGACCCTGTAGGAAAGGCCTTTACTTATTCAGTGAAAGTGTCTATTTAGACTAAGAGGTATTTTAGTCTCTTGACTCGGGCATGTTGAGTAAAGCTAATTTGCCAGTCCTGGGTGGGGGCAAATCCTCGAGCTTGATGTGTAGGGAAGGGAGGGGGCCTGAATAATCCCTGAGGAGTAGTAGAATAGCAGATGGAACACTGAGAAGTTATTTCCTTGAGGATAGATTTCCACGATGGAAAGGAAATGAGAGGTTCTAAGAGGCGGGCTAGTGGCTTGTACTATAGCATAACCTGCCTTTGCTGGTGTGCGGCGATTAGGCCTGGTGGAACTGCCATTAATAAATCAAGCATGATCAGGGTGAGGAACAGGAAAGAAGGAAATTTGGGGAAATGGGGTGAATATCAGGTGGATCAGAGAGATACAGTCATGGGGGTCAGGTGTGGTATCAGGAATAATGTGAGAGGCCAGATTGAAGTCCAGGCCAGGAAGAATGGTAATTGTGGGACTTAAAGAGTGAGTACAGCTGAAGGAGCCGGTGAGCAGAAAGTATATGCGTCAGGTATGAGGAAGAAAATAGATTTTGGAAGTTATGAGAACTGTAGAGAGTTAGTTGAGCATAGTTTGTGATTTTGAGAGCCTCTAAAAGTATTAAAGCAGTGGCAGCCGCTGCACGCAGACATGAGGGCTAGGCTAAAACAGTAAGGTCAAGTTGTTTGGACAGAAAGGCTACAGGGTGTGGTCCTGGCTCTTGTGTAAGAATTCTGACCGCGCTAACCATGCCTAGGAGGGAAAGGAGTTGTTTTGTAGAAGGTGCTGGGGTTTGAGAGATCAGTCGGATACGATTGGCAGGGAGAGCACGTGTGTTATTATGAGAATTATGCCGAGATAAGTAACAGATGAGGAAGAAATTTGGGCTTGATTAAAGTAATGGGGGCTGTCTGTGAAGCTTTGCGGCAGTACAGCCTGGGTCATTTGCTGAGCTTGATGGGTGTCAGGGTCAGTCCAAGTGAAAGCAAAGAGAGGCTGGGATTAAGGGTGCAAAGGAATAGTAAAGAAAGCATGTTTGAGATCCAGAACAGAATAATGGGTTGTAGAGGCAGGTATTGAGGATAGGAGAGTATATGGGTTTGGCACCACGGGGTGGATAGGCAAAACAATTTGGTTGATAAGGCGCAGATCCTGAACTAACTTGTAAGGCTTGTCTGGTTTTAGGACAGGTAAAATGGGGGAATTGTAAGGAGAGTTTATAGGCTTTAAAAGGCCATGCTGTAGCAGGCGAGTGATAACAGGCTTTAATCTTTTTAAAGCGTGCTGCGGGATGGGATATTGGTGTCGAGTGGGGTAAGGGTGATTAGGTTTTAATGAGATGGTAAGGGGTGCATGATCAGTCGCCAAGGAGGGAGTAGAGGTATCTTATACTTGTGGGTTAAGGTGGGGGGATACAAGAGGAGGACGCAAAGGAGGCTTTGGATTGGGAAGAAGGGCGGCAATGAGATATAGCTGTAGTCCAGGAATAGTCAGGGAAGCAGATAATTTAGTTAAGGTGTCTCAGCCTAATAAGGGAACTGGGCAGGTGGGGATAACTAAAAAGGAGTGCTTAAAAGAGTATTGTCTAAGTTGGCACCAGAGTTGGGGAGTTTTAAGAGGTTTAGAAGCCTGGCTGTCAATACCCACAACAGTTATGGAGGCAAGGGAAACAGGCCCTTGAAAAGAATGTAATGTGGAGCGGGTAGCCTCTGTATTGATTAAGAAGGGGACGGGCTTACCTTCCATTGTGAGAGTTACCTGAAGCTCGGCATCCGTGATGGTCTAGGGGGCTTCTGAGGCGATCGGGCAGTATCAGTCTTCAGCCGCTAAGCCGAGAAGATCTGGGAAGGAGTCAGTCAGAGAGCCTTGGGCCAGAGTTCCAGGGGCTCTGGGAGTGGCTGCCAGGTGAGTTGAACAGTCCGATTTTCAGTGGGGTCCTACACAGATGGGACGTGGCTTAGGAGGAATCCCGGGCTGAGGGCATTCCTTGGCCCAGTGGCCAGATTTCCGGCACGTGTAGCAAGCTCCTGGGGGAGGAGGTTCTGGAGGAAGGCCTGGCTGCTGCGGTTCAGGCGTTTGGAAGTTCTTGTGTGCTGGAGATGTGGCTGGGGTTTGTCTCACAGTGGAGGCAAGGAATTGCAACTTTTTTCTGTTATTGTACACCTTGAAGGTGAGGTTAATTAAGTCCTGTTTTGGGGTTTGAGGGCCAGATTCCAATTTTTGGAGTTTTATTTAATGTCGGGAGCAGATTGGGTAATAAAATGTATATTGAGAATAAGACGGCCTTTAGACCTTTTAGGGTCTAGGGCTGTAAAGCATCTCAGGGTTGCTGCCAAAGGAGCCATGAACTGGGCTGGATTTTTATATTTGATGAAAAAGAGCCTAAACACTTCTGATTTGGGATAAAGAAAAAGGAGCATTAACCTTGACTATGCCTTTGGCTCCAGCCACCTTTTTAAGAGTAAATTGCTGGGCAGGTGGGGGAGGGCTAGTCACGGAACGAAACTGTAAGCCAGACCAGGTGTGAGGAGGGGAGGTGACAAAAAGATTATAGGGTGGAGGAGCAGAGGCTGAGGAAGAATTGGGACCTAGCTCGGCCTGGAGAGGAGCAGCCTGGGGAGGAAGGGAGAGGTCAGATGGGTCTGTAGAAAAGGAAGATTAGAAAGACTCAGCGATGCTTGGGGTTGGTACTGAGGGGACAGGCGGGAGGGAAAGAAGGAAGATTTGGGACGAGTTGCACTGGGCACAGAGACTAGGAAGGGACTGATGTGTAAAAGAATGCCTGGACGTCAGGCACCTCAGACCATTTGCCTATTTTACAACAAGAATTATTTAGATCTTGCAAGATGGAAAAATTCAAAGTGCCATTTTCTGGTTATTTGGAACTACTGTCGAGTTTGTATTGGGGTCAAGCGGCATAGCAGAAGAAAATAAGGCATTTAGGTTTTAGGTCAGGTGTGAGTTGAAGAGGTTTTAAGTTTTGAGAACACAGGCTAAGGGAGAGAAGAAGGAGGAATGGAGGGTGGAAGGTTGCCCATAGTGAAGGAGACAAACCCAGAGGAAAGAGAGCGTAGAAACATGGAGGGAAGGGGTTCGGGGGTTCTTGCCCTCCCGAAAAGTGGGAAGGGGGTCGGGTCACGGAAATAAGGGATTGGGGCACAGAGATAAGAGGTTGGGGTGTGGAAATAAGGGATTGGGGGTTCTTGCCCCCTAGAAAAGTGGGACTTGTTGCTAAGGGTGAAGGAGAAGGGGTTGAGGGGAACTTGCCCCTCTCCCAGAAAAGCAGAGAAGGGGTAGAGACAAGGAGAGAAGGGGTTGGGGTACTTGCCCCTTCCCCAGAAAAGCAGAGAAGGGGTAGAGACAAGGACAGAAGGGGTTGGGGAACTTGCCCCTTCCCCAGAAAAGCAGAGAAGGGGTAGAGACAAGGACAGAAGAGGTTGGGGTACTTGCCCCTCCCCCAGAAAAGCAGAGAAGGGGTAGAGACAAGGACAGAAGGGGTTGGGGTACTTGCCCCTTCCCCAGAAAAGCAGAGAAGGGGTAGAGACAATGAGAGAAGGGGTTGGGGTACTTGCCCCTTCCCCAGAAAAGCAGAGAAGGGGTAGAGACAAGGACAGAAGGGGTTGGGGAACTTGCCCCTTCCCCAGAAAAGCAGAGAAGGGATAGAGACAAGGACAGAAGGGGTTGGGGTACTTGCCCCTTCCCCAGAAAAGCAGAGAAGGGGTAGAGACAAGGACAGAAGGGGTTGGGGTACTTGCCCCTTCCCCAGAAAAGCAGAGAAGGGATAGAGACAAGGAAAGAAGGGGTTGGGGTACTTGCCCCTTCCTCAGAAAAGCGGGACTTGCCGCTAAGGGTGAAGGACCAAGGCAGGTGTCCCTGCGTGGTCTGACACCTTTGAAACATGGGTGAATGATCAGAGAGGTGTGCCTGCAATGATTAAACACCAAGGGAAGGCTGCCTTCCCAGTCCGTGACTGGCGCCGGAGTTTTGGGTCTACGGATAAAACATGTCTCCTTTGTCTCTACTGGAAAATGAAAGGAATTGAAATTAAGAGAAGGGAGAGATTGAAGTGTGGCGCCAAGATTGAAAGGAGAAAGAGGTTGAGGGATAGTGAGGGAGGTTGGAGAAGAGAGTAAAAAGAGGCCGCTTACCGGATTTGAAATTGGTGAGATGTTTCTTGGGCTGGTCGGTCTGAGGACCTGAGGTCGTAGGTGGATCTTTCTCATGGAGCAAAGAGCAGGAGGACGGGGGATTGATCTCCCAAGGGAGGTCCCCCGATCCGAGTCACGGCACCAAATTTCACACGTGTCTGTGTGAAGAGACCACCAAACAGGCTTTGTGTGAGCAATAAAGCTGTTTATTTCACCTGGGTGCAGGTGGGCTGAGTCCAAAAAGAGAGTCAGTGAAGGGAAATAAGGGTGGGGCCGTTTTATAGGATTTGGGAAGGTAATGGAAAATTACAGTCAAAGGGGGTTGTTCTCTGGTGGGCAGGGGCAGGGGTCACAAGGTGCTCAGTTGGGGAGCTTCTGAGCCAGGAGAAGGAAATTCACAGGGTTAATCACTCAGTTAAGGTGGGGCAGGAACAAATCACAATGGTGGAATGTCATCAGTTAAGGCGGGGCAGGGCCTTTTCACTTATTTTGTGATTCTTCAGTTACTTCAGGCCATCTGGGCGTATATGTGCAAGTCACAGGGGATGCGATGGCTTGGCTTGGGCTCAGAGGCCTGACACCAGGGAAGGCTTCTGATTGATCCAGCTTGAGTCTAGACTCAACCTCTAGATCAGTCAACTGAGACCTAGTCTGGATCACATTTTACTAATATAGTGACTTTCACTGTAACTCTGTAGATGGAGTGTAAGGACCAAAAGGTCTCAGAAATGAGATTCTTATTACACAAAATAATAAATGTGTGTTTCATACATAGGTTGTGCTAGGTTAGGGTCCATGGATTATTTATCTTTGGTCACTTTATGAAACCTTGTGCATAATTGGGGTCCCTTATATTTATTGAAGTATTAGGCAGCTTTTGGTGAATAAATGAATATAGGTATTATTGCCCCATTTTAATGAGGTTAACTTAGAGAAGTATATTGCCTAGAAAAAATACATGTTATGGTGATCAACTAGAATTTAGGTGTCTGATTATTAACAAGACTTTTTTCACTTCAAGAAGGACTGCAAATAGAGTCTTATAAGAAGTATGGGCAATGTGGTATAAAAAACGAGTTTTTACTTTGGAAAAACAGATTCAGCAAGCTATGTGGCCTCTGTCCAGTAACTTAACCTTTCTGAGCCTGTTTCTTCGTCTGTAAAGTAAACATAATATCATCTACAACATGAAGTTGTTATGAGGCATAAATCAATAAGGCGTGCCATATGTCTGGCTTATCTAGTAGGTTTTCAAGTAAGTTATATTTCCTTTATGTGCTAATTGATGGATTGATCTGGGTTTTACCTGGATTCATTTCTCAAATTTTCATCTATCTTATGTGTCTGCATGTTATTCTATTTGAACCTACCATTTTTTAAATTTTGTTTTTATTTTTTAGGGGGTAGACTCTGGGAGGCCAGAAACTATGTCTATAGAAATTACTCTTTTTAAAGAATACCAAGCAAAAGGCTAACTATGCCTGGGAATTGTAAACATGCTATTTGATGATAACAATATCAAGATTACTGTTAACTGCATAACTGGTCTCCTGACTGGTGATCTTCAACCAATTCTCTACACAGCAAGATATTTTTAATCAAAAAATTTAAAATCAAAATTATATTTTTCTACTTCTTAAAAGGCTTTAAAGGCTTCCCATTGCTTTTAGTATCAAATCCAAACTCTTCAGTATGGCCACACAATTTTGTGTGGCCTGACCTCTGTCTTCAGCCTCACTGCCCATCCTTCATCTCTGAGTCCTAGTCACAGTGGCTTTCCCTCTGCCACTCTGCTCCTTCTAGCACAGGGCCTTTGCACATGCTACTTCCTCTGCCTGGTATGCTCGTCTCCTATCCTTCCCATTCACCAAACTCCTCATTCAGTTCACTTTCTCAGAGAAACTGTTCCTAACCCCATCTATCTAAATTAGATCCTCCTCAACCAGGCACAGTGGCTCATACCTATAATCCCATCACTTTGGGAGGCTGAGGCGGGAGGATCACTTGAGCCCATGAGTTCAAGACCAGCCTGGGCAACATAGGGCGACCCCATCTCAAAAAAAAAAAAAAAAATAGCTAGATGTGGTAGTGCACACCCATGCTCCCAGCTAATTGGGAGGCTGAGGCAGGAGGATCACCTGAGCCCTGGAGATCGAGGCTGCAGTGAGCCATGGTCATGCCACTGCACTCTAGCCTTGGTGACAGAGTAAGACTCTGTCTCAAAAAATGTGTATAATAAATAAATAAATAAAGCTCCCCTCATAGCCTTGACTAGATATTGCCCTTTTCCCATGTAGTGCTTGGCATTATTGTAATTTATGTTTATTATTTGTATTTTACAAATATGATTATTTGATTATCTGTCTCACCACTACATGGCCCACTCCATGCAGACAGGCAGTGTGTCTGTTTCTGCTCACCTCAGATCTCCCATGTCTAGCACCCAGTACAAATTACTTGTCTGTTACTAGACAAGGTAACTATGTCTAGTTGCCCAGTAGATAGCAGGTATGCAGAAAATATTGGTTGAATACCTAAATGCTGAACAATAAAACGGACAAAGAATGTATTTGCTACCAATTGCTACATAACAAATTACTCTACAACATAGTAGCTTAGAACAACAATGATTATTAAGACCTCTCGTTGAAAATATGTATACAAAAGAGGCAGGGCACCATTCCTTGGAGGCTTCTCTACCCTCCCTAGAAGGCTTAGTTTCCAAATTCAGAAATCCTAGACAGTGAAGGTCATAAGAGGTGATCTTCCATACAGATATAGTTAATTTACATGTTATTGCCCCCAACAACATGTTTCTGCCCCATTCGAATGACTAGAAGGTCAATTTAGTTTTCCTACTCTATCACTTATCTACTGCTACATTAAAAATTACCATCAAACTTAGAGGCTTAAAACAACATGTATTTATTTATTATCCACAGTTGCTGGGGGTTGGGACTTTGAGCACAGCTAAGCTGGGTCCTCTGGCTGAGGGTGTCCCCCAGGCTACAATTAAGAGGTGGGGCTGGAAGCTGCACTCATCTCAAGGTTCAACAAAGGCAGTGCCAGTTTTGCACAGGTTGCTGGACTAAGGACCTCAGTGTATCCTGCCTGGCTCAACCCCAAACACATCTCTCTTCAGGATGCTGAGAGAACAAAAGACCTGTGGAACTTCTGCCCTGAGCTCCAGCCTGTCCCAAGTGAAGCCCCTGGTGTTGGCCCTGAGCCCTTTGCTCAGCAATGGTGCATTCATTGTCGATAGTGAACAGTTCCAGGGATGGAGTAACAGGAGACAGGAGAGCATCTCAGCACAAACAAAATTTGCGACGTGATACTGTGAAGTATTCATGGATGAGTCCCCCACCCACCCTCCCTTTTATTTTGTGACTTCCTCCACCTGCCCCCATTCCTGTGGAGAAGCAAGAGGCTGCCATTTGTCCTACAGAATAGCCACGGTGGAGCCAGAGAAAAGAAATGACAAATAGTTGGCAATGGTCCACAAGTCCCAGTGAAAGACAGGATGAAGAGTGTTTGCTGACCAGTCTCCACTCTCCACCAGCCTTTCCTCTTCCAGCCACACCCTGCTCCTGCCCTCCCCTCCACCCCCCAGAAGATTAAGAAGGGAGAGAGACCAGCTGGGGGAGAAACAAAAGTTATACCCTGGACAGGGATGCTGGAGTCCAGAGGAGGGATGCTGGAAGCCCACCTCTCCCAGAAATAGCTAGCTTCAAAGGGAGATATGACAGACCCCTGAGAAAAGTTTGGGGATTTCAGAGTAGGGAAACTTGAGTAGGTTTAAACGTGAAGTGCCTAAGAATGCCTGGAACTGAATGAGATTATATTTTCTGCCAGAAGAAACAGAACTAAAAATAGAGAGTTTGGAAAAAATACAGACTTTTGTTTTTAGTATTTGTATTAGTGGGAATATGCATATTTGCCACAGAAGTGCAATTTTCTGAAGTGGATGTTTTTTGCTTTTGTTCTGCATCCCTCTTATCGTGAAGACATGTTTTCTAAGTCTAGAAATCACATGTATACTAACTGGTACAGTTTTAAAAAGAAAAAAAAAAGGATAATTATGGTTCAGCTCCAGCCCTCTGGAGATTTTCATCCGGAATGTCAGCTTAGATACCGAATGGGAAAATAGAGGGCACTAGATTTCCCCTCTACCCTTGCCAAAAAGATATGTTTCCCAGGCCCCTGTGCCCGGGCCTGCCAGACCCAATTAGAGAAAAAGAACCACATGACACTAAGGCTCATTTCACAGCCCTTTTTACTTCCCTGTTCTGAATGTGACTCAGGAGACACCCAGAAACTGGATGAGGATGAGAGAGCTCCATTTATCATTTCACAAGTGCCGCCTGGTGGCCTGCTATGGAGCATGCAAAAAGAGAGACTATGAATAAGATTCATGCAAAAGAGACACTATGAATTCTCAAGCCTGGACTCACCACCCGTGCCTGGGTCCTTTCTCCTCTGCCCTCCTCACACCCTAGCCTATCCTTGGCCTCCCCCAGAAGCAGAAAGTCTCCTCTTTTTCACCCTGGATGTGGGTGGTTTAGTTCTGAGACCTGAATTGGGGGATCAATTGGCCAAAAGTAACAGGTGTTTTCCCTCCAAGTTCAGGAAGAGCAAATGAACCTAAGAGTCTATGATTTTACCTCCCCAAATGGGTGCTGGGTGGACGGAAGCATGGAGTAATCAGCAGAAGTACAGAAACCTCAACTTGAATGATTAAATGCTTGGGAAATAACTTCTAAAGCAACAGCGATAATGACAACCAATCAAATGCTGGCTTGAGATGCAGCAAACTGGACCCCAAAGAGCCATCTGAGGTCTAGACAGGTGCTTTAGTTTCACACATTATAAAAGGCACAGAAAATCTTACTGAAGGCCAAGGGGCTGAAAGATAGCCAAAGAAAAAAGAAAAAAGAAACAGACATCCTTTTGGTTCACTGAAGTGGCACATCAGAACAGCCAATCTTCTGGAACACTTTAATTCTGGAACAAGGCAGAATTCATTTGAATATATGTGTTCAAAGTCCTAGGAAATTAAGCACAAGGCAGTGACATCTTCTGGAAATGGTATCCAGCCCATACCACATAGAGCTTATAGGAGTCCCTCCTTATCCATGCTTTCACTTTCTGATGTTTCCTTTACCTGAGGTTTCAGTTACCCCTGGTCAACTGCAGTCCCAAAATATTCCATGGAAAATTCCAGAAATTAGTAATTCATAGTTTTAAATGCACATCATTCTGAGTAACATGATGAAATCTCATACAATCAGGATCTACCCTGCCTAGGATGTGAATCATCCCTTTGTCCAGTGTATCCACACTGTATATGCTCCCTACTCATTACTATACAGCAAAAAACATAGTGTATATAGGGCTTGGTACTATCTGAGGTTTCAGGGATCCACTGGGGGTCTTGGAATGCATCCACTGCAGATAAGGGGGGACTACTGTATTTTCTTTTTTTGTTTGTTTGTTTGAGAAAGAGTCTCACTCTGTTTCTCAGGCTGGAGTGCAGTGGCCTGATCTCAGCTCACTGCAACCTCTGCCTCCCAGGCTCAAGCAATTCTCCTGCCTCAGCCTCCCAAGTAGCTGGGATTACAGATGCCCACCACCAGCCTGGCTAATTTTTGTATTTTTAGTAGAGACAGAGTTTCACCATGTTGGCCAGGCTGGTCTCGAACTCCTGACTTCAGGTGATCTACCTGCCTCAGCCTCCCAAAGTGCTAAGATTACACGCATGAGCCACCGTGCCCAGCCAACTACTGTATTTTCATTTGGCCTAGCACTGTTCCCTGAAGGTTTTACCCAAGCCCTTCTATATAATCCTGAATTACATATAAGATTTTTCAGGGCAAGGATCACATCCTAGTCTTTGCTCAAGAGACCACTGCCAAATGTGAATTGGTGCTTTGTAATGATTTGAAGACTTAACTAAGTTTGCCATCAACCCTAGATTTCAGTTCTCCTTTTCCTTTTCTTAGTTAAAACAACAGTGAGAATAAGGACTGATGAGAAAATGATCACAATGTAGTTTAGAAGATATTAATATTAATAATTAATTCACAGATACAGCATTTTGAATTTTGCATAAACAAAATGAAGGAATTGCTAGACCTTGAATTGCTAAACTTAAAAGCATGACCATTTGGCCTAAAGATATAACAAAGAGCCAATTTGTTAATTAGTTACCTGAATTGAGTAGGTAGTATCTGATATTTAAAGCTACTTCATGGTCAACTAAACACATTTTTTTCTTCCTCAGAACTCTATCTTGAAAAAAAACCAAAGTCCTCTGCAAAAGGACATTTCCTGTTTGTGAACTGTGCGGTGCTCTTCCTCAGGCCCGGTAGGCCAACCCCACTGTGTGTCTGGGTGTCCAGCTGGTACCCAGTTTGCTCTAGAACCTAGAATCTGAAAACAGCTCAGTGGGAACATCAGCAGATGACACAGATTTTTTCCAGAGAGTTAAAATGAAAGTCCCAGGGTGCCAAGATTCATCTGCTTCTTCCTCAGGCAGAGAAAATCTAAGTAGTTGAGTGTCTCTATGTGGCTTTGGCAAATTACATTAGCAGGACTTTATTTGTAGTTTCACAAATAATCTCGGGAAAGCTAGAAGGCACCAAACTCCAGTCCTACTATTAAAGAGCAGGACAATCAGATCCTCTGCCTAGATTTTCTTTTGTCTTTTATTTGTTTGTTTTAGACAGGGTCTCACTCTGTAGCCCAGGCTGGAGTGTAGTGCCACAATCATGGCTCACTGCAACGTCAACCTCCCTGGCTTACAAGATCCTCCTACCTCAGCCTCCCAAGTAACTGAGACTACAGGTGTGTGCCACCACACTGGGCTAATTTTTTTAATTTTTTATTTGTAGAGACAGGGTCTCATTTTGTTGCTCAGGCTGGTCTCGAACTCCTGGGCTGAAGTGATCCTCCTGCCTCAGCCTCCCAAAGTGCTGAGATTACAGCCTCCCAAAGTGCTAGGCACACCTGCCCCCCGCTGCCTACCTTTCTGTCAAGATGTCCCAGCCCAAGCCAGGGAAGAAATCTGGGAACGTGCAGGTGGCCCTATGGGATTTGAAAAGGCAGTTAGGTCCAGGGAGCTCACTGACAGCATGGATGGAGCTACAGGCCCAGCTCCCTTCAGCCAGCACCTTTGAGGCTGAGGCAATGGGGTGAGCTCTTAGGAGGCCAGCACCACAGCTCAAACAGGAAAAACACAGCACCATGCCAGGAACTCCAAATTCCAAATGTCTTGGACATTTTTAAAAGGAGTCCCTCCTTATCCATGCTTTCATGGCTTTCATATCCATGCTTTCCTTAACCATGCTTTCATATCCATGGCTATTTTGTATTTATTTTTACATGTATTTACCTTTACAGAAACTTGTTTTGGTCCCCATGGTAAGGAAACATTTCTAGTTTATTTAAACTTTTAAATGTTAGGAGGCAAGGCTGTGAATTCAAGTATGAAGTCCCTCAAGATACAATGTGCCCTAGCAGGCTCTCATGCTGACTTCTCCTGCTCCCAACCTCTTCCCCAGTTGCCAAGTTCTGGCCTTAGTCCCTGCTACCCTCAAGAAATGACAGCTTTTGTACTTGTGTCAGTAGAAGGGTTTGGGTCTATCAGGTCATGGATCAGAATTTTAGAACACTTCTAAGGGCCAAGTCATTCCCTGCCCTAGGCAGAATAGCATCTCTGCTTTTATTGTTTGTTTGCTTGTTTGCTTTTCAAGACAAGGTCTCTGTCGCCCAGGGTGGAGTACAGTGGCAGGATCACCACGGCTCACTGCAGCCTCAACTTCCCAAGGCTCAGGTGATCCTCCTGCCACAGCCCCCTGAGTAGCTGTAACTACAGGCACATGCCATTGCATCCGGCTAATTTTTGTATTTTTTTGTAAAGACGGGGTTTCATCATGTTGCCCAGGCTGGTCTTGAACTCCTGAGCCCAAGTGATCTGCCTGCCTTGGCCTCCCAAAGTGCTGGGATTACACGGGTCAGCCACTCACTGTGCCTGGCCCATCATGTTTGTTCTTAATAGGAAAAAATAACCAGGTTTATGGCTGAAATGTCTTTGACATGCTTTGGATTCCAGGAAAGAAAAAAATAAAATGTATTTAGATTCAATGAAATGCTGGGGAGGTGGCAATTTCTCTTTCCCTCTTCTCTACAGAGCACAGATTGGCTTTAGAGTCAGACAAACCTGGGTTTAATCCTCATCATTTATGAGGTCTGTAACCTTAAACAAGTGATTAATACTTAACCTAAGAATTAGCTTCTTTTACTATCAATGGATTTGGGTAAGGAACAAATGAAATGATGCATATCAAGCACTTCAGAGCTTTCTTGGCACATAAGAACTTATAGAGAATAACTGTTACTGCCAGGACCTCTCCTGCCCCTGAAGGATTCTAAGCCTCTGCAGCCACAGCAATCAGATATATAATTGTCTTCAGGGCAAAGCTTGCAAATATGGACTCAGGCTCACCTTTGGGGAGCCACCATGACAATGGGCAGTGACAGTAGAAAAAGAGGTTGTAGCGGAGAAGGTGTCGGGCAGGTCCTGCTCATTTTTGGCAGAGGCCTGAGAACTCTGCACACAGTTGGTTTCAGCCTTCTGTTCCCCAGCCTTCTCTAAAGTAAAGAGAGAACATGGGTAGACGTGTGCCCTTCCCACTTCCGCACACCTATTTGGGGAGGACTTAACGCTGGTTGGCTGCAGCCATCACTTCCTCTCCACATCCACACTGCCTTTGAGGCACGTCCTACATCCTAACTTCTGTGTCCGGAAGAGGGGAAGTGCATGTGGAACATGGCTGCTTCTTTACCTCAGACCTCGGCTCCGTGCAGCTGGGGTCTGAAGAGCCCCTGAGTCCCTGTGACTTGACACTGACTCCTGTGAGGCCGTAGAGATTTCTCAGCTTATTTGGTGAACTTTGTTGGAAATGAGTTGGGGTTTTGGCCTAATTTAGCTGCCGAGTTCTGTTTAGGAGGAAGGCAACTAATGAAGATGCAGAAAGGGGAAGAAAAAACATGTTTCATCATGGGAAAGGTGTTACCACAGACTGACCAAAGTTTCAGAAAGACTCAAGCCTACACAGGCTTGGGAGCCCAGTGTGAGGAAGACACAGAGGCAGAGGGGCGGGGGCTGCAGACCCAGGGTTGCCCTTCTCCTGGGCTACTCCACCTGTGGGCAGCATGATTTCTTCCTTTTCACAGTTCAGGGAGAGCATCCAGCCCTTCTATCCTCTCAGCCCCCACTATCTCCTCAGCTCTTCACAACCTGACTTCCGCCTCCTCTGCCCACTGCCCCAGCTCGGCCATGACGTCATCATGGTCTTCAGCTTCCCCTCCCCTCCAGCAGCTCTCCGCACCGTCCACCTCCCTCCTTGAAGAGCTGAGTCAGATGTGGCTGACCGCAGTGGTCTCACCTTCCTCCTGCCTCTCTGACATTTTCCCACAGTCTCCACTGGCTCCTTTTCCCCAGGGCTCCAGCTGTCTTTAATTAGGGCCTCCCCAAAGTTCAGTCCCCATTTATTAAAGGCCATATCAGTTGTCTTCAGATTTCTGCTCTCGGGAGACAATATGGCCAGAAGCATGCCTTGAGAGTCACTTGTATGAAAGTGTAGGGGTGGATGAGGTTACCACTCCATTTCCTGTGGCAGTCACGGGTGTCACCAGCCTCCCAGTCACTCTCCTTTGTCTCCATGTGAAATGCCACATTGTATTTGGCATTTATCCACATCCATCCTCTCTTCCTGTGGCTGCCTTAGCATTATTTCTTGCCTGAAATATTGCAATAGCTTCTTGTATGTTTCTTTGCTCTGCTAGAAACCACTTCTCTAGAATTCAGGACACCTCTCCCCCATCTTCCTTCCACCATTCTACGTCCCAGCGGACAGAAGTGGAAGGAGAGAGCAAGAGAGAATCTGGAAAAGCAGTGGATATAATAAAGAGATGTCCACAGCTGGGTGCGTTGGCTCACGCCTGTAATCCCAGCCCTTTGGGAGGCCAAGGCGGGCGGATCACCTGAGGTTAGAAGTTCGAGACCAGCCTGGCCAACGTGGTAAAACCCCGTCTCTACTAAAAATACAAAAATTAGCCGGGCGTGGTGGCAGGTGCCTGTCTGTACTCCTAGCTACTTGGGAGGCTGAGGCAGGAGAATCGCCTGAACCTGGGAGGCAGAGGTTGCAGTGAGCCGAGATCATGCTGTTGCACTCGAGCCTGGGCAACAAGAGCAAAACTCCATTAAAAAAAAAAGAGATGTCCACTTACTAAGCAGATTGTACTAAGCAGACAATCCAAACAGGGAGGCGGAGAAGTATGAGAAACTGTTTAGTGACAAATGACAATCAATTCTAAAGTAGAAAGTCCAGTGTTCTGTGTGAAAGGGGACTTCCACAGCATTTAATGACCCTGGACTATGTCATGAACTATATGGCTTTAATAGTACTGCAGTGTGATGAACTATTCTGCAAACCTTTTGCGTGCTAGGAATTCTAAGGATGAAATGGCTACAGAGCAAACTGCAGCTGAGAGAAAACTGCTTGGAGTTTGGACAGAGGTGGAATTGAGTGTCCACAGGCCAGCTGAGGAGGTGGTACCCAGCACTCTATGAACCCTTCGCTCAAGTCAGCCTGGAGTAGGAGGTGGGAATGTCAGGACAGAGGACTAACACCCCATGAAACAAACAAAGGCTATGCTCATTTTTCTGTCATAAATTTCAGTCTCACAATAAACCAGCAAGTTAGGCATTGCTCTATAATCACTTT
Source organism: Homo sapiens (assembly GCF_000001405.40). Lineage (NCBI taxonomy): Eukaryota > Metazoa > Chordata > Mammalia > Primates > Hominidae > Homo > Homo sapiens. Next base: position 183,603,002 of record NC_000001.11, on the reverse strand, counting down.
GCAGATGAGGAAACTGAAGCTTTTGAGAATTGGAGGGACTTGTGAAAGTTCACTCGGGTAGCACAAAACACAGTCAGGATTTGAATCCAGGATTTCAGACCCCAGGCATGTTGCTTCCTTGGTCTAAACACAGAATAAGCGGGGAACAGGCAGTTAAGTGCTTCCATAGAGCTCAGGGGCCTAATGGGGAAAAACATCACCAAGGTGCCTCCAGACCCAGGCTCTGATCAGTGAAGACCCCCCAGAATACCCAGGGGAAGTTGGTACTAGCCTCCCAAAGCCACTCTCCTGAGTGACATTGAGAGCATCCTATAGAGAAGGCCATGAGAGAGATAGCACTGGGACAGATGGTGTCAGCAGAGGGGACTCCAGACCACAGCAGAAGTGACCAAGCTTTAGCTTCCTTAGATGGCCCCAAGGGTGGGAGGCTTCACACAGCAGTAACCTTCAAGAGCAATAGGAGGCAGTTGGTAGGTGGAGGTGGATGATAGGAGGGAGGAGGCCATGTGTGAGTGCTTACAGAATTTGCAGGGTCTCCATGCAAAATGAAAATATGGGCCTCTTATTCTGAATTATTAAGAATTTTAAGATGGTGACAGCAAAGAAAGCAAGGGTGGGGACTTTCTAAGCATGGGCCCCTGTGTGACTGCACAGGTCACACACATGATTATATACTGTATCTGGCTTAATTTCAGGCTGCCATCATAAATGTGTTTATGGAGAAGGCATGTTGAAAGGGAAAGGTGCTAGCCAGAACAAAGATTCTGACTTCTCTTTCTTCCCCAAATTCACTCAGACTGGCTGAATTATAATAGCCACCAAGCAACACACCTTTCCACATAAGAAAAATGAGGCTGCAAGACTCACAGCCAGCTAGAGGAAAATCAAGATTCAAACCCAAATCCCTTAACTCAAAGCTCTCTCTTTCCCGGTACCCTACCTATGACAACTTTGAACCCTGTAAGAAATACAGACTTTAGGAGCTTCTGGTAGGGAATGTGATAATTCTGTTCTAGGTCAGTGTTTCTCAAACTCCAGCCCTTTACTTACTACTTTCATAATTTTTAGCCATATTTTCAAACCACCAATGCTGAGATTTGCTTAATATTTCTCTCTCACTGATTCATAATTTTTTTTTTTTTTTTTGAGACAGATCTCTCTCTGTCGCCCAGTCTGGAGTGCAATGGCACGATCCTGGCTCACTGCAAGCTCCGCCTCCTGGGTTCACGCCATTCTTCTGCCTCAGCCTCCAGAGTAGGTGAGACTACAGGTGCCCGCCGCCATGCCCAGCTAATTTTTTTGTATTTTTAGTAGAGACGGGGTTTCACCGTGTTAGGCAGGATGGTCTTGATCTTCTGACCTCGTGACCCACCCGCCTCAACCTCCCAAAGTGCTGGGATTACAGGCATGACACACCGTGCTCAGCCTGATTCACCATTTTAAAACCTACCCTCATTATAAAAAATGCTAATAATGAAATTGTGGATTTGGTGTGCTAGTTATACTTTTAAAAAAATGCACATTAGAATAAATAAACACTGTGACTCAGATATTCTAATTCTATAAGTTTATCCTATAAATATGTTTACAGACGTGTGAAATGATGTATATACAAGAACATTCCTCACAATATGATGATAGTATACAATTGGAGACACTGTATTGGAATTGGAAAATGGGGCACTCATTATACGACAGAAAATTACACAGCCATAAACAAAGAATGAGGAAGCTTTCTATGTACTGATAAGAGACTGTTGTTAAAGAGTGAGAAGCAGAACTTTACCTCTAATGATATGTGCGTAGAAGAGGAGGGGACAGAGGGTCTGCATTTGCATATGCTTAAAATCTTCTCTGAGGGAAGAATACCAAGAAACTAATAAAAGTGGTTTCTGATGGGCAGGAAGAGTTTGACACTGAGAGGAGGAAAATTTTTTGTATTTGTTAATTTTTGAACCATGTGAATATATTCTTTTTCCAAAAAAATTAAGGAACTAAAGTAAAACAATAAATATTATGATAAAAATGTGTGTCCATGTAGTGCCTCAAATGATCTCGCAAGCTCTTGATGGTATATATCCCTGCATGGGGAACCACAGCTCTGATGCGGTCAGTGGGATGATGGCCCTGGTGTGTGCTGTCAACCTCTCAAGTAGGTGAAAGTCCTGGACAAGCTAAGCCCAACCCTAGTGCTGAGAAGGAAGTGAAGGAACCCATCATTCTGGGAGGCTCTTCTGTCAGATGATCTGCTGATGAAGGCCATGTTGCTGACTGTCCTGAAACCCAGAAAAGAGTCTAAGCCCCAGAGTGAAGAGCCTGTGTCTCTTGGTGGAGAATGTGCAAGCCATGTCTGCGTTGGTAGTTGAACTGTGACCAGATGAAAAAAAAAAGACTGAAATAAAGACTTTCTAGACAATGTCTTCTAATCTGAGCCAAGAGTTCTGGGGAAATGGATGGGAACACTGGTCAGTTCAGAACGAGAGCCCTGGATGACAGATAATAGTTGCTATGAACAGAAGACAATCTTTGAGAGCTTGTTTTGAATTGGGGAATGGTGCCAGTTTCCTGCTCTGGCCAATAGAGAGATTACCCATGTCTCTGGCTAGGGCAGGTTGTTGAGTCAAGAACCATCTGACACAAGAGTTGGGTGCACTTCTGTTAATGCAGCCTAAGATTGCATTAGCTGTTTTGGCAACCACATGATTTTGTTGACTCATACTGAGCTTGCAGTCAATCCAAATGGCTAGGCCTTCTTCTGATGGACTGCTTTTAAGAATTGTCAAGAATTGTCATCTTCCGATGTTTGGGCAGTTGGGTTTTTAAACTTAGGAGCCGATCTTTACATTTGTCTTTATCAAACTCCATTTGGAGCTTTTGTGAATCTATATGAGTCAAGAAATATTTTAATTCTGATGTACATGTTGATACTCTCTCTCCAAACTTTGAGCTATTTGTGAATCTGATTCAAGGTGTTTATAGAAAGGTTAAAAGCACAAGGTGACATTAATATGTTAAGAAGATTCAGTGAACATAATATTTAGCCAAGTAAATTGTCTAAGGAATATCTTGGCCAAATATCTTACTGATATTGGTAGATGGCACCTTCCCAATTCACCTACCAGGAAAATCCTCTCAAAAAAAGAAAAAGAGGGCAGGGTACGGTGGCTCACACCTGTAATCCCAGCATTTTGGGAGGCTGAGGTGGGCGTTTCACCTGAGGTCAGGAGTTTGAGACCAGCCTGGCCAACATGGAGAAGCCCTGTCTCTACTAAAAATACAAAAAATTAGCCAGGCGTGGTGGTGCTCGCCTGTAATCCCAGCTACTTGGGAGGCTGAGGCAGGAGAATTGCTTGAACCCGGGAGGTGGAGGTTGCAGTGAGCAGAGATAGTGCCACTGCATTCCAGCCTGGGTGACACAGCGAGACTCCATCTCAAAAGAAAGAAAGAAAGAAAGAAGGAAAGAAAGAAAGAAAGAGAGAGAAAGAAGGAAGGAAGGAAGAAAAGAGAAAGAAAGAAAAGAGAAAGAAAGAAAGAAAGAAAGAAAGAAAGAAAGAAAGAAAGAAAGAAAGAAAGAAAGAAGGAAAGAAAGAAAGAAAGAAAAAGAGGTTTGGTTTTGTTTTGTTTTTAGAGACAAGGTCTCTGTCTACAGGCTGGAGTACAGAGGTGCAATCATAGTTCACTGCAGCCTCAAACTCCTGGGCTCAAGCAATCCTCCTGCCTCAAACTCCTGATTAGATAGGACTACAGGTGCTCACCTTGACACCCAGCTAATTTTTTTTTCTAGTAGAGATGGGATCTTGCTATGTTTCCCAGGGTGGTCTCAAACTCCTGACTTCAAGTAAATCCTCCCACTTCAGTCTCCTAAAGTGCTGGGATTACAGGCATGAGCCGCTGTACCTGGTCAAGAGTTTGTTTTGACCTGACTTATTTTGAGTAAACTCATGCTAGTTCCTAAATGTAATAGCTTCCTTTTGGTTTGTAAGTGCCTTTGTTTAATAATCTGTATTTTATAATTATTTCTAGGGCTCAGCCCATAAGTCTTTGATACCACTTCTAGAATTCACAGCTTTTAGAAGACTGGACTCATACTTGCCCATACATCCTGGCTTCCTGAATCTCAATGCTGATAAGATTTTAGGGATCACACTTACAAATTCTATCGATTCCTGGTTTTTAACGAGTCTACATTTGATAAAATGAATTTCTTTAAAGCAGCTAGCAACTTTCTCACCATCCTCTATCTGGGTCTTCAATTATCTGTATAGCTGGAAGCAAAATAGGAGCTGAGCAGTTTTGCTTTCACTCTGACATCTGTGAAAATGACACCATCTCCACCAAGCCATGACTCTCCCTCTCCCTGCTCTTCTTTCTCTGATACTAAAAAGACCTTTGTGCTGTCCTTAGTAATTTTTTTTTTTTTATGCAGCCTCAGCTCACTCTGGGCTTTGTCTTTCCTTATACTCTGCCTTTGATCTCTGCCAAGCATTTGGATTTCTCCTTGGTCAGAAGCCATGGCTTCCATCATCTGTGCATGTCTGGCCTCCTCAGAGCGTTCTCTGGGGAGTCTCATTGCCTCCCCACTTCCCTCATCTCCGTATTCCTGAGTAACACATGGTTATGTTTGTTTCTGAGAATCTCCTGTCTCTCTTTAGCAATTGATTATTTTAGAGTCTTGGGCCTGGGGCTTACATCTATTTTTCACTTTGTATTAGTCAAGTCTATTTTTTGGCATACAACAAAACTAATTACAGCAAACTTAAGCAAACACTGAAATTTATTGCAAGGGTCTAAGCTTGGGGCAGGAATTTGGATGGGGCTCAGGAAAGGCTGGAACCGGAGACTGAAAAGTTTCTGTGTCTCTTGTCTCTGCTCCTCGCTGGGCATCTGTTCCATTCTCTCTGAGTAGTCTGGCTTCCTCTGCTTTCCGGGGCCTCAGGGCACAGCATGATAGAACTGCAGCTCCTAGGTTTATACACCTCTCAGTCCTAAATCCTGAATCACAGGAGACATAACCTAATGAGGCCAGCTTGTCAGATGCCCACCAGGGTCCAACCAGCCAGGACTCAGGCAGTACAAATGTGGCCACAGGGCCTACCATCCTTCTATGGATTACACAGGCAGGTCCCAGAGAAGAGACAGGCATATACCCTAACAGATGTCCACTCTTCACTTGTTCATTCATTCAGTGATTCAGCAAATAGTTATTGTATGTCCAGACACGGTCGTTAGGGACACTACAGGGAAAGCAAAAGGGAATCTTTAAAAATTTTGTTTTGCAGAAAATCTAATCTTGCATGTTCTCACTTATAAGTGGTAGCTAAACATTGAGTATACATGAACACAAAGATGGGAACAATAGACACTGGGGACTCCAAAAGTGGGAAAGGAGACGGGTGGGCAAGAGTTGAAAAACCACCTATCGGGTACTATGTTCACTATTTGGGTGACAGGATCAATAGAAGTCCAGACCTCAGCATCCTGCAATATACCACGTGACAAACCTACACATGTACCTCCTGAATCTAAATTTTTTTAAAAAATTCTGTTCTGCTAAATAGGGGGTAGATTTCTAACTCTTCTGTGCCCCCTCCGCTTTTTTGTACAATGACGTGATCAGTTTCTACTCCTTCAACATCAGTAACTGTCTTGTTAGAGCATCATTTCCCCTTAGATACTCACTGGCTTGGGAAACACACACAAAAACTATCCTGAGACAGGAATCTTCCTAAAGAAAAAGACCCACGGAGTTTTGAACACATGTAAAAGAGATCCCTGGCTCTATGACTAGATTGCATTTAGTGAATGGGTACTCTAGACGAAAAATGCAGGACTGAAAAGGCCAACTGCATCCAAAAAGGGAAAGTTCCTAAGATATGCAGGACTAGAATCATGCCACATCAACCATATTTCTTTTTTACTTTTCAGATCAGCACATATTTATTAAGACTTTGATATAAGATGTTAGGTGCCAGTTCTGTGGAAAATGTAAAGAAATAGAAAGCCTGTTCCCTGCCCTCAAAGAACCTATTTATAGCTAGCTGGATAGATAAGGTAGAAAACAGATAATGTGATAGAGTGCTTGTGTTTTGGGGTTTGATCATAAAATGCTATAGGAATTCAGAGAAAAAAATTACTGAGACTAACTTACATCAGGGAAGACTTTACGTAGGATGTGAGTCTAAGCTGAGCTTTTACAGATGGACAGATGGACAGGATTTGGATCTGCAGAGAAATGTCAAAGGGCAATTTTTTTTTTTTTTTAAGATGGAGTCTCGCTCTGTAGCCCAGGCTGGAGTGCAGTGATGCAATGTCGGCTCACTGCAACTTCTGCCTGCCAGGTCCAAGAGAGTCTCCTACCTCAGCCTCCTGAGTACTATTTTTAGTACTATTTTTAGTAGAGACAGGGTTTCACCATGTTGGTCAGGCTGGTCTCCAACTCCTCACCTCGTGATCCGCCCACCTTGGCCTCTCAAAGTGCTGGGATTATAGGTGTGAGCCACTGTGCCTGGCCCAAAGGACAATTTATAGTGAGGATCCAGTGTATTTACTTGCTTCATTCAGGATTCAGATCTTTAATCTCTATGCATTCATTCATTTATTCATCAAACTTTTACTGAGTGACCACCTATGCAGGTACTAGACATTGTGTGTGTAAAGGGTACAAATATGAAAAAGAGTGCTTAATATGAGGTGTCTTTAAATGAATAGGCATTATACATTCCCTCATTTTCATCTAGGATGCTAGGACACATATATTTAGCCAAGCAAATTAAGTAATCACACTGACTTTAAAAGCACCTTCCATGGCATCGCTATTTAACAGATATGTTAAAAATCCACCATATCATGGGCACAAAAGATACAGTGGAAAAATCAGACACAGATCTTGTATTTTCGGGGCTTACAGTCTAGTTGAGAGACAGTCGTTTAAACAAGTAATTACAATCACATGTGCTTGAACACACATTAGGAGAGGTAGAGAGAAACCTCCTTGAGTGCACATGGCAGGAATAATTAATCTCACTGGTAAGTCAGGGAAGAAGACTGGAGCTGCTGAGGTGTGGCAGGTGGAATTCTAAGATGATCCCTGATGATCCTTGCCTTTGTGTAATCCCCTCCCCTTGAGTGGGAGAGACCTGTAACTTGCTTTTAATCAATAGAACATGGCAAAGGTGAAGGGATTTTTGCAGAGATGATTAACATCCCTAAGCAGTTGGCTTTAAATTAATCAAAAGGGAGAATATTCTGGGTGGGCCTGGCCTAATCAGGTGACTCCTTTAAGAGAAGGTCTAGAGGTAAGAGACTTAATGAAGCAGAGATTCTCTCTGCCTCCATTGCTGGCCTTGAAGAAGGAAGCTTTCATGAATTCTATAGCTACAGATGAATTCCACCAACAAACCAAGGGAGCTTGGCAGCAGATGCCGTCAAGTCTCCAGATGAGAAAGCAGCCTAGATAACACCTCGATCTCAGCCTTGTGAGACCCTGAGCACAGGGCCCAACTAAGCCGTGCCCAGACTCCTGACCCATGAAAACTGTGACATAGTACATGTGTGTTATTTTAAGCCATTAAGTTTGTGGTAATTTGTCATGCAGCAACGGAAAACCAACCCAACGACAGATTAGACAGGACTAACTTGCCTTCCTGGAGAAAGACGATTTCAAGCCCTGAGGCTTTCAATAGCATTGCTGAACAACAGGACCCCTGTTGACTTTTCTGTATCCTTCATGTGAGATCCAGGCCAAGTTTATATCTAATAAATGAGGTCTCCTCCCTGCCTCCTTCAGGGTTTCCTGTCTTGTACTCAATGAAACTATCTACTCAATGTTAGAGTTGACGGCAAAAAAGTGCGTTCTTTTCCCTACTAGTCTAAATGTACCTCACTTTATGCAACTAACATGATACTGACAAACTTTACAAAATTATATTTTTCCAAGTAGGATTCAGTTTTCTCATTTTTCAGTTCATTTAATTAATTAGCCAATGATCACGGAGCAGCTACTACGTGCTAAACATGGCGAAAGACTGAAGGACAGTGGAGAGTTGGCTCTATCCTTTGAGGAGCTTAAGAAAGAAGTCTCATGTACCAGAAAAAGTTAAAGAGCGATAGAACACTAAAATCTAAATGTAGGAATGAAAAAGTATTTCCTGAGTGCCCAGGAATAATGAGTTTTATTTTGATTTTACAGGCTTCTTCCTCAGAAAAAAAAAGGAGGGTCTTGGGAGTGTTCTTGGCTTCCAGCTGAATAAATACATGCAACAGTAGTTTGTAGTGTTAACCAATCATATGCAAATCTTGCTTATTTGGAATTTTGGAATAATTTTGAAAATATCGAGATGAAACTGAGTTACCCAACCAATGCCTCAACAAATTTTATTTAACAAGTAATGTTTATTGAACACCTGCTATATGCCAAGCCCTGTACTAGGTACCGAGAATCCAGTGGTGTGTGTGTCAGAACATTTTAAACCATAACTAATAGAAAACTTGATATGAATGACTTAAACAATAAACAAACTTATTATCTAACCAAACAAGAAATTCCAAGGTAGATCAGTTTCAGACTTGTAGAAAACGTTATTTTTATCTTTTAAGAGATGGAGTCTTGCTCAGTCACCTAGGCTGGAATGCAGTGGCGTGATCATCACTCACTGCAGCCTTTGAAGTCCTGAGCTCAAATGATCCTCCCACCTTAGCCTCCTGAGAAGCTGGGGCTACAGGCATGTGCCACCATGCCTGGCTAATTTTTAGTGTTTTTCTGTAGAGATGGGGTCTGGCTTCATTGCCCAGGCTGGTCTCTAACTCCTGACCTCAAGGGATCTTCCCACCTAAGTGTTGGGATTACAGATGTGAGCCATTGTGCCCAGCCAGATTTGCAGAAAACAGATAATGCAACACATCTCATCAGCATAACTAAGCATCTGAGCTCTTTGTAATTTTCCATTCTCTTTTCTTTCAGACAATGGCTTGTTCTTAGTTGTCTCCCCTCATGATTATAAGACAGCTGCCATATTCCAGACACATCTCACAATGCTGTCTAGTAGAGAAACAAGTGCTGTTTCTTCTCATGTGTTTTATTTTTTATCACTGGGGAAGAAATCTTTCCCAGAAATTCTTAGCAGACTTTCCCTCCTGAAGCGCATGGCTTCAGGAAACTGGAGGCTTGAACAGAACTGGGGTTCTACCAAAAGGAGGAAGGCGAATGGACAGTGGCTGAACAGACCGTCTACTAACAGCACCAAGTAATGATTAAATAGACTGCCCCTGCATTGAGGGACAGAAACAATGTCACAGATGACATACAGTTACAAACTGTAACAAATACATGATCAGAGAGAACCGTGCACATAGCAAGGTCATGGATCTAGAAAGGCCACTCATTGAGGAAGTGAAAGATGAGTAGGAACTAGCCAGGCAGGCTTGGGGGAAGAGTGTTACATGGGCGGAGGAAGAGGCTGGCTCATATGAAACCATGAAAGGAGGCCTGTGTAGCTGGAGTTCTTGGGAGAGGAGGAGGGGAAATGACCTGGAATGAGCACAGGGCAGCAGGCAGGGGGCTTCCTGCAGCATGGGAAGGAGTTCGGGTTATATCCTGAGAGCAGTGCAAAGCCATGGAAGGTTTAAAAACAGGGGCCATGAAGTGATCTGACTTGTGTTTTTAAAAGCTCAATCTGGATGGAGAGGCAAAGAAATGTTAAAAGACTATCATGTTCACCTGGGAGTTGATAGTGGCTTGGCCTGAGTGGTGACAGGAGAAGGGGAGGGAAAGTGGATGAAATGGAGCATGAATGGCTTTGCTAGTGCCCTGGGGGATACAAACATGGGTTAGCCCAGGACTTCCTCCTGAGGCACACTATTTGAGGTGCTAAGACTTGCATGCACATACATTGGTGAAGAGTGATTAAGGGCCACATGGGAGGTGCGGAGAAGGAGATGCAGGAGTTCAGAAGGCGAGATCATGGGTTTGAGCGCTTTCAGGCAGGACTGATTTCAGGGCAGTGTGTTAAGGAGAGTGCTATTTTAGCAGGCCTTCGAAGGCTATGCAAGGTGGGTTTGAAGGTGCAGACATGGGAGAGGGCAGCCTAGAAAGAGGAACTAGCACGAGTCGCACAGATGCAGGAATGAAGGCATAGCGGGAGAAGAGTAAGCAGCAGAGTTTGTATGGGATTGTGAAGGAAAGTTCTGGGGATAAGGCTAGAAAAGTCTTGGCAGTCAGATTAAGGAGAGTTCTGAGTGTCAGGGTGGGATAATAGGAGGGCAAAAACATTTTTTAAAAATGAAGTCTAATTTAGCTACAAATCCATTTGGTTTTCTCAGGAATAATTAATGTGCTATTCAAGTCCTGATTATTTATTCACTAGATGGAATAGCAATACCTCTTTCTGCCATCACTGCTACCTGCAGGTCATTTACCAATGATTTCTAATTTCTTTTAGAATGTATCCCTTCATCATGTATTGAGTATCTGTGCTAGAGATCCTAGAATGAAAAGGCATGGTCCCAACTTCCAAGGAGCCCATGAATTGAGCAGATAAAGAGATAAATTGCAGTAAGTATGATGCAAGTTTTTGGGTAAAGGTGGTACAAAGGAGAGGAAAATTCTCCTACTACCCAGAGTTCAGGGCTAGATTTAGCACAGTTGGTGACATTTAAACTGGGCTTTGAAAGATGAGTAGGAGTTTGCCAGGCAAAGAAGAGAGCTGGGAAGGCCTTGTAAACACAGGAAAACAATCTGGACAAAGACACACATGTCTTCTTAATTCTCACACCTTCAATCCTACAAGCACTGTGGAGTATACATTTTTAAGTTTTATTTTCAGGCTTTTAGGGGAAGCTTGGTGATAATGAGTGAATTCTTTCAGTTGCTACAAAACAAGAGTTTGCATCTAAGTATTTGACCCCCATAAACATGCATTTTACCTAAAAAGAAGCCTGGATTTTAGCAAGCCAAATTGGCTATACCCTTTACCCCCAGTTATTCCTCTGGGAGGTTTTACTGATTTTTACTTTTCTGGAAAAGCAAGGAAAGAACTCTTAAATCTGTTTTTTCAGAGACTAGTAAATCCATTAGTCATCAGTGCAGGACTTTCATCTCTTCAATTTTTCACTGGAAGATGGGAGAAGTCATAATTCACTGTCATGTGGCTCCCAATTTTGACATTTGCAGGAAATTGGTCCCCTCTGAACTTCATGAATGTTCATAAAAGTTATTTCGGCTGGGCACGGTGGCTCACTCCTGTAATCCCAGCACTTTGAGGGGAGGCCGAGGAGGCCGAATCACCTGAGGTCAGGAGTTCGAGACCATCAGCCTGGCCAACATGGTGAAACCCCATCTCTACTAAAAATACAAAAATTAGCAGGGCGTGGTGGCAGGCTTCTGTAATCCCAGCTACTCAGGAGGCTGAGGCAGGAGAATTGCTTGAACCCAGGAGGCAGAGGTTGCAATGAGCTGAGATCGTGTCACTGCATTCCAGCCTGGGCAACAAGAGTGAAACTCCGTCTCAAAAAAAAAAAAAAAAAAGTTATTTCAGGCCCAGATCAGATGGATCTCCAAAGATTATCCTGTCTCAAAAATTTGTTAATGATAATTTCAGCTCAAGATAAACACTAACATATTAATACAGCCTATGGGATTACAAAAAAGTGAGCAAGGAATTCATTCAAGACTGGAAAGAATTATCCTCTCATCTGACACTCCCATTTAACAAGGGTGTGGAAATCAAGGCCCAGTGACACAGGATTTTTTCTCCATCACTTTGTAAGCCAGGAACCTCTGGCTGGTGACACCCTGCCCAGGCCTCAGTGGGCCACACTACCTGCTGCAGGAGATGGCCTGCCCACTCGGCCTGGGTGGGGAGTTTTATTGAGTGATGAAAACAGCTTTCAGTGGAGAGGGGATGCAGGGGTGGTTCCCCTACCCAAAGGCAGGAAAGTCCCCCCAGTGCGGGTGAGTCTGGGGCTTTTATGGGCTCAGAATAGGGGAGGGGCAGGACATAGGTAGTACTGGAAAAGGCAACATTCAATTGGTTAAAAGGCATTAGTCAGAAATAATTAATTGGGAAAGAGCAGACAAACAGGAACAGAAGTTCTCACTCTAGGTCACGGGTTTCATTTGGGACCAGTAGCCTAGTCTTTCAGCCTTCAGGCTGTTTTTGGCTTGAAGGTGGGGTTTCACCAGGGACCTGCCCCTATCTGCCTAGGCATTTGGCTGCCTCCTGTCATTATCACCAGGGAGGTGCCTCTACCTGCCAAGGTTACCCTGGCTCTAGAAGCAGAACTTTGGCCAGAAGCTGCCACAGAACAGGGGTGGGAGAGAGAAGAGGAGCTGGGTGACAGAGCAGAAGCATTTTGGGGAACTGATCCTTCAGGCAGCAGCTGATGTACTTCCTCTCTCCTCCACACTCCACCCCTACTCGCCCTCTCTCTCTCTGCTTCTTTCCTTTTCTCTCTCATGGTAGGGTTATGAGTCAGTTGCCAAAAGGTGGGGACATTTCCTGATGCATTTGCAACACTGAGAAGTTATCTTAAGGGAGGCTGGGCCCCATTCTACTCATCTGGCCCAGAAAGTGAACACCTTGGGGGCCACTAAGGCAGCCCTGCTAGGGGAGACGCTCCAACCTGTCTTCTCTCTGTCTCCTGGCAGCTCTCTTGGCCTCCTAGTTTCTACCTAATCATGTCCCTGGTGGAGGCCATCAGCCTCTGGAATGAAGGGGTGCTGGCAGCGGACAAGAAGGACTGGAAGGGAGCCCTGGATGCCTTCAGTGCCGTCCAGGACCCCCACTCCCGGATTTGCTTCAACATTGGCTGCATGTACACTATCCTGAAGAACATGACTGAAGCAGAGAAGGTGAGTGGAGGTGCCTCTTTCCGGGCCTCCTCTGTGCATTTGTTATTATGATTCTCAACCCCATTGCATTTCGGAAACCTAACCTCTGGGGAGATTGAAAAGAACAAAAGTTGCCCAAGCTCCACCCCTAGACAGCCTGATTTAACTGGTCTGGGAGGGGCCCCAGGCAGCCAGTTTTAAAAGCTCTCCAGGTGGAGAGCAGGTGAGGGGCAGCCAGGGTTGCCTCTTTCTCCATCTTCTAAATTAAAATCATTCTACAAGTGTCTTTAACACCTTTGTGAAGGCTGTCCTAGTCGTACTTTCTTCTACACAGAACTCCTTCTGGGCACAGAATCTCTATCTATCCCAGCGCTTTACACCTGATTATTGATTCTAAGGCACCTCTTTTGGCTTTCCAAGACTTTCATGTGTGTCGACTTTGCCTGCTCAAGAGATTTAAGGGAGGCACTTACAAAAAATAGCTTTTATCCCAAGTGACAATTCTGATCAATTATAAAGGAGACTCTTTTAAAGATGCTGAGGCTGGCAAGAGGAAATTGTACTGTGATTGACTAGTGATGTCTGCTGGGGGCATGGTGTGGGATGTCTCGCATCTTTTTCGTTATGTTTTCTCACTCAAATACCATAGTATGGAGTTAAGCATTCTCGATAATTATTTTTTTGATTGGTTGTGGTAAGGTGGAAAGGGTATGGAGTTTGGAAGGAGAAGATCTAGGATCGAATCCTAGCCTCTGTCTCTCTCTGGACTTTTAGTCTTAAGCAAGCTATGTAGCCTATGTAGACATCTGGCTTTCAGCTTCCTGAGTTTCTAAATATCATGAAAATTAAGTGAGATGCCAAACTATTAATGTCTCGTGGAACTTCACACCACTGTATAAGAGTTAGTTATTATTTTTACCGATTACTGCCAGTCTTTGCAAGGTGTGGCAGTGGTTGACTCCCCAGGTCCCTTAAAGAATCAGTCCCTTCCACACTCCAACAGTAGGTAAACAAGCCTCAGCCACACCCTCCTGACAGGAAGACAGAGAAGTGACTGAAATGTTCTCACATAGCTTGACAAGTCAATCTCAGGCTCTAAGGCAGAGCATGGCAGGACCCCCCACCTCTGGCTGGAGGAAGGACATGGCCCCACCTCCTCTCAGGGGCCTGCTGAGGGGCTGAGTGAACAGCACCACACATTCTGAGGGCTGATGGACACAAAGTGCACATTGTCCAGGAGAAGAGATTGGCAGCTAGTCTGGGCACAGCTATGCCAGCAGGGACTGTAGCCTCCTGCCTTGGCCTGGATATGGGATCCTTGGCAAGGTTGTGTGGGCCACCACTCACTTCTCAGCTCCCAGGCCTTCAGGCCCACATGTCTCTGTTTCTCCTGGCATTCCTCTGCTTCTAGCCTTCTCATTCCTTCTGCCTTTCTTTGTTTTCCTGCTTGAGCCCTTCCTACTAGCATTTATATGCATTCTTATTCATTATCATTTTAATTGTATACTATTCATGTATAAGTTTGTATAGTAAACAAATATAACAATTTATATAATATTTTAATTATTTTCATTTGCAATAAATTTTATTATTTATTTAAACTGAATGTTCAATACATTCATAGGAATACAAGAAATGCAACAAGGGTTAAAATTTCATTATTACATTAGATATCATTTTTTCTTTCTTTTTTTTTTTTTTTGAGATGGAGTCTCACTCTGTCACCCAGGCTGGAGTGCAGTGGTGCAATCTCGGCTCACTGCAACCTCTGCCTCCTGGGTTCAAGTGATTCTCCTGCCTCAGCCTCCCAAGTAGCTGGGATTACAGGCATGCACCACCAAGCCCGTCTAATGATGTTTCATTTTTCAAAGAAGCTTCTCCTATTTCCCTATCTTTTTTATCTTCCACAGAGCAATAAATAGTAATTACTACTCTCCTGGACAAGGTGCTCTGTTGTGTTGGATAGGAATTGTATCTTTAAGTTTGACATCATTATCACCTCCAAAAACTCTACCTTCACTTCATAGCACAGTCTCGCTGCATTGTTTCACAGTAAAATTGTACTCTACTCAAACTAGGAGAACTCAAAGAAATTAGAGCAAACAGCAGTTAAATTCATATGAATGAAAGACAGAAGACCAAAGATTTTAAAGTACTGATTTAGTAACATAGTGTCTACTGGCTCAAAGCTTCTATCTAATCATATTAAATCATATTATTAAAACAGCGATAATAGAAATGAAAGCTACACTAATGAAAAAGGAACTTGGGAATGAGGTCATTAAATATAACTAACTATATTTTAAATATAGATATGTATTTTTTATTAGTATCAGGTAAATGTCTAAATTATCTATTCTGAATTCTAGTCTCAGAGAAGGTCAGAGACAGTTACAAAGAAGGCGCTTCATATTGTCAAGTCCATTTTTAAAATGATGAGCTCCTTTGGGAAAATGCTTTAGTGTTTCTTTTCTTCTAAGATTTCTGTTGGTGATAATCCATTAGTGTCTGCACCCTTATAGTCCACTTTGTCTTTATTTGTATCATTGGATTTTTTTTTTTTTTTTTTTTTTTTTTTTTTGAGACAGGGTGCCTTACTTTGTTGCCCAGGCTGGAGTGCAGTGGTGCCGTCACAGCTCACGGCAGTCTCCACCTCCTGGGCTTGAGCGATTGACCTACCTCAGTCCCCCAAGTAGCTGGGACCACAGGCATGTGCCACCACATCTGACTAATTTTTAAATTTTTCGTAGAGATGGAGTCTCACTATTTTGCCCAGGTTGGTCTTGAACTCCTGGGCTCAAGTGATCCACCTGCCTTGGCCTCCCAAAGTGCTGGGATTACAGGTGTGAGCAACCGCACCTGGGAATTATTGGATTCTTGTGTAGCTTTTCTAGGCCATATATGACTAACAAAAGCAGAAATCAGATGGTATATGTATGGCTCCAGGAATGTTTTGTAGATCCACAGCAGAACTGGAATGACAATACAAGGAATGCACACCATTGTCCCAGACTTCAGCTTCTAAATGTGAGAGCGAAGTGGGGTGCACCGTGAGAGCACAGGGTGGGCCTCGAGGTGCCGACGAGGGCAGACAGCAGAGCTGGGCACCACAGGGAGCTAGGGCTCTGTGAGCCGTGGCTCATCTCACACCTCCTCACTGCCTTGCATCATGGCCATGTCTGGACCCTTCTCTCCTCAGGCCTTTACCAGAAGCATTAACCGAGACAAGCACTTGGCAGTGGCTTACTTCCAACGAGGGATGCTCTACTACCAGACAGAGAAGTAAGTGGTTCAATGTTGCACCAACTGGAGGATTTCAGAGAGAAACCCAAGGGGTCTCAGTGTTGCGGGCTTGGTGTTTGAGCAGTACCTTCCCAACCTCTGTTGGGAAATGTGACTGGCCCTTCTGGGGACAGTTATGCAATAAATCAGCAGGTGAGGCAGAAGCTCTCACTGGGGAGGCAAGGCAGGTCTGCCACCAGATTATAAATCAGCTGTGTCATAGGCACAATGAGCCTAGGTAACCACCATGGGCCTGATACTCAGCTGGTGTGACACCCCACCAGTGTCCCTGATGGGGTCACCCATGTAGGTCTCCTATGAGGTACTGAGCTGTCACAGAATGGGGATGATCATGAAACTGCATCAAAACCTGGCTTCATCCCAGCAAAATGCATTTCCAAAACCTGGTTTAATCCATTTGAGGAAATATACTTCAGCTGCAAAAATGATAATACAAATTAACATTATATGTATAAGAATAAATTACTACAGATAAGTAAGTAGCGTATGCACTTATACAGAAAAAGTTTGCAGTAGATGTTAATTTTTTTTCTTTTTCCGAGACAGAGTTTCACTCTTGTTGCCCAGGCTGGAGTGCAAGGGCTCGATCTCAGCTCACCGCAGCCTCCGCCTCCCAGGCTCAAGCGATTCTCCTGGCTTACCCTCCCGAGTAGCTGGGACTACAGGCATGCGCCACCACACCCAGCTAATTTTGTATTTTTAGTAGAGATGGGGTTTCTCCATGTTGGTCAGGCTGGTCTTGAACTCCCGACCTCAGGTGATCTGCCCACCTCAGCCCCCCAAAGTGCTGGGATTACAGGCATGTGCCACCACGCCCAGCCAGATGTTAAATTTAAAAACAGATTTCAAAACAGTTCATATAGCATAGTCCCATTTCTGTATCACAGAATAAAGTCTGGAAGGCCATAGATCAAAATGTTATCAATAATTCTCTCTGGATGGTGGGATTATAGGAAAATCCATTTTCTTCTATCACCCTGTCTGCATTTTTAGGTTTGTTTATAGTCAACATGGAATAATTAGTACAAAGATTAATAAATTCAAAATGAAAGTTAATCTCAATTCCTCCTCCCTCTCATCCTGCACAAATACCTCATAACAAATAACAAAGGAAAAAAATTCTAAGTGATAATTTCAAATGTTTTGGGGCATGGGAAACTGACCCTTTGTAGAAACTGTTCCACCAGTGTGCATCAGTTCTAGGGAAGAGGAATTTGGCTCAGGCTAATGAAGAATTTTTTTTTTTTTTGAGACGGAGTTTCGCCCTGTCACCCAGGCTGGAGTGCAGTGGCGCGATCTCGGCTCACTGCAACCTCTGCCTTCCACGTTCAAACAATTCTCTTGCCTCAGCCTCCCAAGTAGCTGGGATTACAGGTGCCCGCCACTACGTCCAGCTAATTTGTGTATTTTTCAGTAGAGACAGGGTTTCACCATGTTGGCCACGCTGGTCTCGAACTCCTGACCTTGTGATCCACCCGCCTCGGCCTCCCAAAGTACTGGGATTACAGGCATGAGTCACTGAGCCCAGCCTAATAAAGAACTTTCTGACAGTGAAAATGATCTGTGCATGGTGTGGGTGGGGTGAGGGTGAGGCCGGGCGTGGATGGAGCAGCAGGGAGGTTGTAGACAATGTCCAGACATCAGAGAGAGGGCTGGGCTCTGATCCTGTGCCACCCTGAAAGGCTTTGATCCTATGGTTTGGTCAGAAACAGAGCCTGTAAAACCCATGTATGCAGCTGTTGCTAAGGGCAACCACAAGATGCTCAAAGGACCTTAAAGATGTAGATGCAGTTAGTTACCTGAAGAAGTGAAAGTAGAAGTGAAGTCTTTTCTAAAAGAAAAACCACAGACACAATGGCAATCTGGGGAGAAAGAGAGCCTGGGATTGGGAGAAGATATCCAGGCATTTAGCTCTCTCTTCCCCCCATATTTAGTGTGACATATTTATTGTGACTTTATAAATTCTTTTTTTAATTTTAATTTTTTATTTTAATGTTTGTGGGTATGCAGTAGGTGTATATATTTATGGGACACATGAGATATTTTGGTACAGCAGGTGTTTATCTTGACCGACGTCTTGCCTCTAACTGCCTGTCCCCGCTCTTAACATCCTTCTCTTTCTCACTCCCCCTTACCCCGTCTCCAGACTATAGAATATGCAGGGAGGCCTAACAACAAATCCTTCAGCCGATCTTAAATCTCAAAACGCAAACTCTAAGGTCATTCCTTAGTGACCTCTAATAGTCTATAAAGAAGAGATACAACTGGCAAAAGAGTGAAGGCTCCCAGAAAGAATTTCCTCCAAAAAATGCCCGTGAGTCCCAGGATCTGGAAGGCCACGGTTTTGAGTGATTAGAAAGATCTTGGAAACTTCTAAAAGTAAGACCCAGGATTCAATTAATCTGTGATTGGTAATATTAATAGTTACACCTGAGAGAAAAATCTACCGAGTTTTATCTGTAATTCAACAATGAGGAAATTATACAAATGAGGCACTAATCTCAACCTCAAGCAGGCCCTCTTGCGCAATTCCCTAGGTGTTGGTATTCCCTTTGAAGTTCTGTTCTTGACCCTTTTCCCTTTTACAACTGCAGCAGTGGTTGTTAAATGGCAAAATGTGTTTCCAGAAATACACTTTCAAGCACACACATTCGTTTATGTACAATTCAGGGGCTATAGATATGAAGTCCGTATGTGAACCTTGAGGATCCATTCCTGGGCAAGGCCACCCTCTCCCATATGGCTGGCCTCCATTTCTCACAGAATCTGTACCTGAGATCCATCCAGGGAATGTCTCTTTCCCTAAACCTCATCAGGTTGACCTCTTAAATATTTCTTAAATCCACCTATTTCTCTCCATCCCCACTAGCACTGCCTTGGTTGAGACCCTCATTTTTCACCAGGACTACTGCAGTCACTTCCAAACTGATTTTCCAGCCACTGCTCTTGTCCCCTCCATTCATATTCCAGAGTGATCTTGTAAAATAAAAAAAAATTTAAAAAAAGCAATCTCTGTGAGAACTTCCAGTGGCTTCCATGACTGCAAGATAAAGGCCAAATTCCCTTGCCTGTTCCTATGTGGTCCAGCTGCTGCCACCCACTCATGCATCCTCCGTGCCTTTGCCCCAGCCATGCCCAACCACTAAGGCAGCGTCTGCTCCCTCTTTTGAGCCTCCTTTTGTAATATGTCTGGCCCGTGACAGATATTTGCTTCCTGTATATATTTGTCTTCTCCACTACTCTACGAATTTCGTAAGAAATCTTTACTTACTCATGCTTGTATTTCAGTATCTAGCATAGTAGTTACTCAATAAATGAGTGTTGGATTAAATAAAAGTGAGCAAAATATAGTCTCCGTTTCAAGGAACTTATAAATTAAAAAGGGGAAACAAGTCAAGAACACCAGTAACTGTAATGCAAGGCAGAAGTGGGTAACTGCTGTAAGAGGTAGTTTTAAGTAAGCGGGATGGGGGCTAGAGAAATTACTTCTTAATGTGTGGGACAGAAATTCCCTCAGATTGGCTGGGCACAGTGGCTCACACCTGTAATCCCAGCACTTTAGGAGGCCAAGGTAGGCGGATCACCTGAGGTCAAGAGTTTGAAACCAGCCTGGCCAACATGGCGAAACCTTGTCTCTACTAAAAATACAAAAAATTAGCAGCACATGGTGGTGGGTGCCTGTAATCCCAGCTACTTGGGACGCTGAGGCAGGAGAATAGCTTGGACCTGGGAGGCAGATGTTGCAGTGAACCGAGATAACACCACTGCACTCCAACCTGGGCAACAGAGCAAGATTCTGTCTGAATAAAAAAAAAAGGAATTCCCTCAGATTACAAAAGGGAATTGTTTAAGGCTGATAATGTTATGGATGGAGGTTTTTCCCCCTCTATTTCCCTCTATTTTCCCCACTTTCGTATGTTTTTGTGTTGCTCTTCCGTCATTATAAAGTTCCAACAGAACAAAGTTAGAGCACATTTCTGAAAAGGCAAGCAGAGTCTCAGGGATAACAGCCAAGCTGTCTCGCCTCTCTAGCCCCAGCGTTGTCATCTGAAAGGCACAGGGGCTCGAAGCTGTCTTTCAGATCCTGTGCCTTATGAATCTTAGGGCATGACAATAAGGGTGAGACCCATTCCATGGAGCTGGCTTAAAGAGGCTCCATAGCAAAGCCTTCTTCCTGCTGACTTGGAAACAGGAAAGGGAGTGGGCCCAAACCTCTGTCACAGCAGCCACTGCAGCATCCCAAAGATGCCTGAAGTTTTGACTTCTTTCAGCTTGCTGAGATTCCATTGTCCTGGGTGCAGGTGTATGAGCTGTGGACTCTGGACGCATGGGGCACTGGCAGCATGGGAACAAGCAGGTTACTAAGAAACCTCCCAGGAGTATTACAGAAATGGGGATTATAAACTCTCTCAAGCCTGGAGCTTGTGAAAAGCTATGGCAAGGTTGCTGCTTCAGCTGGTGGATCCCCTGCCTGGGAGGGGAGGGGCTTTGGGTCCAGTGCAGCCAAGGCGCCCCAAGGGGTGTCACTGAAGTGTGGGTGTGAAGAAAGCACCCATGCCCAGCCCAGCAGAGCCCTGCAGGAAGCTGCCAGCACCTTGGCTGCCTCCTGGGGGATGCTTCCAAATGGCCACGAAGAGAACCGCTGAAGAAGGGCTAGAGGGAGGCGGGGGCTGCCGCAGCACGGCCCACTGGCACACAGCGCTGAATGCTATTTTGGGATTCTCATACTGAGATTATTGCGAACCTGTGTAATGGGAAAAGAGCTGTGTGTCAAAGCGGAACCCCCTTCAGGGCTGCAGCTCTGGGTAAACAAGTGGAGAGGCCGAAAAGAGGCCTGCAGCAGGGAACGAGGGGGCTGGGAAGCAGGCCGGTGCTTTCAGAGACATGTTTAAAAACGACACTTAGTTGGCGAGGCGAGGTGGCTCACGCCTGTAATCCCAGCACTTTGGGAGGCCGAGGCGGGCGGATCACGAGGTAAGGAGATCGAGACCATCCTGGCTAACACGGTGAAACCCTGGCTCTACTAAAAACACAAAAAATTAGCCGGGCGCGGTGGCGGACGCCTGTAGTCCCAGCTACTCGGGAGGCTGAGGCAGGAGAATGGCGTGAACCGGGAGGCGGAGCTTCCAGTGAGCCGAGATCGCGCCACTGCACTCCAGCCAGGGCAACAGAGCGAGACTCTGTCTCAAAAAAAAAAAACACTTAGCAAGGATGCCCCTTCCCCGTTTTAAAAATTAATTAATTAGGCCCTGTGCAGTGGCTCACAGTTGCAGTCTTTGTACTTTGGGAGGCTGAGGTGGGAGGATTGCTTGAACCCAGGAGTTCGAGACCAGCCTGAGCAACATAGTGAGACCCCCGTCTCTATAACAAAATTAATAAATAAAATAAGTAATCTTTTTTTTTTTAGAGAAGGGGTCTCACTATATTGTCCAGGCTGGCCTCAAACTCCTGGGCTCAAGTGATCCTCCTGCCCCAGCCTCTGGCGGAGTAGCTGGAACTGCAGGCTCAAACCTCAGCCCCTGGCCCCACCCTGTTTTTTTGGTTGTTGGACTTTCTTTTCTTTCTTTCTTTCTTTCTTTTTTTTTTTTTTTTGAGTCAGGATTTCATTCTGTCGTCCAGGCTGGAGTGGAGTGGTGCAATCATGTCTCACTGCAGTCTTGACTTCCTGGGCTCAGGTGATTCTCCAACCTCAGCTTCCCGGGTAGCTGGGACTACAGGCACGTACCACTATGCCTGGCTAATTTTTTGTACTTTTAGTAGAGGTGGGGTTTCTCCATATTGCCTAGGCGGGTCCACCCTGTCTTTAAAACAAAGCAAACCCTCTGAATAATTTGTCAGTTCTTTCTCTCTCTCTCCTACCAGGCCCAAATCTGTAGACACCTTTTTTTTTTTTTTGAGTTGGAGTCTCGCTCTGTCAACCAGGCTGGAGTGCAGTGGCATGGTTTTGGCTCATTTCAACCTCCACCTCCTGGGTTCAAGTGATTCTCCTGCCTCACCCTCCTGAGTAGCTGGAACTATAGGCACGCACCACCACGCCCGGCTAATTTTTAAATATTTTTAGTAGAGACGGGGTTTCACCATGTTGGCCAGGCTGGTCTCGAACCCCTGACCTCAAGTGATCCGCCTGCCTTGGCCTCCCAAAATGCTGGGATTACCGGCACGAGCCACTGCACCGGGCCTCTGTAGACATCTTGATGGGCTAGGGAATTATTAGGAGGATTTTGCTGGGCTCATGCAATGCCAGATAGACCCAGGTGGTGTCACTTCCCAGCTGAAATCCATCTGCTTAGCCAACTCAGCAGGGAGGAAGGCACGTTGGTAGGTTGATGCTGACGGCAGTTAAAGTGTGTGCCCTCTGAGACCTTCAGCGAGCTCCCAAACAGGCAATAGAACACAGTGGAAATTGCAGCTGCCAGGAAACAGGAAACCTCTGCTTCTGCCTGTCCTCTTCGCGATGGAAGAGGCTCAGTGAATTGAAGCTAGTTACCCCACCTTCTGGCTTAGAAAGCGGAACCTGATTTCTGGCGTACTTCTGGGTACCTTCTTCCTCTTTCCAGGAACCCAGAAAGATGCGTGGAAAAGACATGAAAGGCCCCATTGCTACTTAAAGAATGGCCTGCATGCATTTAGTAGGTTTTACAACCATCTTTATTAACAGGGATACTAGAGAAAGCCATCCTCCTATTTCAAACCCAAGCTCTCTTCTTTTATTTCCCGCATAGCCACTGCTACCATGTGTGACTTACCTCAACCCTAATGGTGATGGCTTCTCCCCCAGCCACACTGGCACCCGTTCCTTATGACTCTCTTGGCCAACCAGCCCTTGTGCTCAGCTCTAAACTTCCATGAGATCAGAGTTCCAGCTTCTATGCCATGTATTTTTAAAATATCCTGATAATAGCTTATATGGCACGGAGCTTTAAGTAAACACGTAATAAGTGGCTGATGTATGGATTAATTGGTAGAGTGTTAGAGCTAAAGAAAATAAAACAACAAAAACAATAGTAAAAAAATTATGGTGTGTGCCAGGCACTGTCTGAAGTACCCAAATGCTTCATCTCCTTTAGTTCTCACAATGAACCTGTGAGGTATATGCTGTTATTATTCTCTTTTTTTTTTTTTTTTTTTTTTTTTTGAGACAGAGTCTCACTCTGTCACCCAGGCTGGAGTGCAGTGGTGTGATCTCTGCTCACTGCAAGCTCTGCCTCCTGGGTTCATGCCATTCTCCTGCCTCAGCCTCCTGAGTAGCTGGGACTACAGGCGCCCACCACCATGCCCAGCTAATTTTTATTTTTTTATTTTTTTATTTTTAGTAGAGATGGGGTTTCACCATTTTAGCCAGGATGGTCTCGATCTCCTGACCTCGTGATCCACCCGCCTCGGTCTCCCAAAGTGCTGGGATTTCAGGCGTGAGCCACTGCGCCCGGCCTTATTATTCTCTTATTCTAAAGATGGGGAAACAGACTTAGGGAAGCTAGGTAACTTGCCGTTTCTCACCAGATAGTAAGTGACGGAGCCAAGACTCAAACCAGGTGGTTTTGACTCCAGAAGTGGGATCCATATGCTGGCAAGCTCCCTATATGATACATTCTTTGCATATAATATGTCCCTGTATACAATATGCTGCCATAATATTGGTGTGGAACTTCAGGCCAGGAAAGTGACTTGCTAGGGTCCCCCAGTTAGTGGCAGAGCTGTTGGATCTGGACTCTGGCTCCTGGCCCCTTTACTACATCACACTGCCTCTTGAGGATTCCTGCCAGCCTGTGTCCACATTCCAGGCTTATCTCCAAGAGAAGCCGGGTTGGTAGCTCTGGGTCAGATGGTGGCCTAGGGACTTACAGACTTACAGTCCAGTTGCCCAGGTGTGAGCCACAACCAGGCAGCCAAATTTGTTCCTGCCAGGTCAGGGGACTGAGTGGAGTGAGGCTGGCGTAGCTTATGCCTGCTGCTCCCACCCCCTATAGCCCAGCAATGGCTCCCTCCCACCAGGGCCTCTGTGGAGCCCATGGTCAAGGCCTGGGCCAGCATCCTCAGAAGTGTGTGTCCAGGTCCCACCTACATGCCTGTGGGCCCTATTGATGTGGTCAGCTCCCATTCTCTGCTACAAGTCCCAGGACAGCAGCCCTGGTATACATCGAGCCAGTCAGCTCCACGCCAATCCAGCAGCACAAGGCAGTGGGAGCAGCATTAGAAAAACTATCTGGGGCTGGGCATGGTGGCTCATGCCTGTAATTCCAGAACTTTTGGGAGGCCAAGGCGGGCAGATCAGTCGAGGTCAGGAGTTTGAGACCAGCCTGGCCAACATGGTGAAACCTGGTCTCTACTTAAAATATAAAAAATTAGCCGGGCGTGGTGGCGCTCGCCCGTAGTCCCAGCTCAGTCCCACTCAGGTGGCTGAGGCAGGAGAATCACTTGAACCTGGGAGGTGGAGCTTGCAGCGAGCTGAAATCCCACCACTGCACTCCAGCCTGGGCAATACAGTGAGACCCTGTCTCAAAAAAAAAGAAAAAAAAAAGGAGGAAATACTATATAGCATAAGTGGTTGTTTTTTTTTCTTTTCCAAAGTGTAGGGAGGAGGCAGAAGTGGCGGGCGGTGAGGAAACAAAGAAGACCACAAAACCAAGCTCTAAGTTGAACTCAAAAGAAGCCATGGGCGAAGGCAGTGGGCAGGAGGGTGATGGTGGCAGCTATAAGAAGGGGCCCCTCCAAGCTGTGCCAGGCTGGCCTGGCCTGATGGTGGGAGCCAGGAGTGAGCAGTATTCCAAATCAGCTCTGAACACTCTGCAGGGACACAGGCAGGGGGCAGGTGCTGGCTCTGCTTGGAGCTCTCAAGAGAGAATGAGAGCTGCATCGGAAAGCGACAAGTCAGGTTGTCAGAAAGGTGACAGTTGTATGCAGTCAATAGAGAAGAAACTCCCTGTGACTGTCCAAGACGAGGCACTCAGGGTTGCTTTGAGGCACAGCCCTGGGGGGAACACCATTCCCAAGGAGTTGTATAGAATACTTGGACTCAGGGTTGCTGAAAACTAGAACAGGTCAAAAGGAACTGAAAGGCTTCTTGTCCCAGTGAAATAGATGGGGAAGGGAGAAGCAGACTCACATTTTATGCTGCATTTATTTCTCCATCCACTAGACTGCTGTATTTTCTCCCTCTGTCCTGCAGATATGATTTGGCTATCAAAGACCTTAAAGAAGCCTTGATTCAGCTTCGAGGGAACCAGCTGATAGACTATAAGATCCTGGGGCTCCAGTTCAAGCTGTTTGCCTGTGAGGTAAGGAGAACAGGGCCTGGCCTGGGCAGGAGGGGATCATGGCTGGATGGATGGCTGACAGTTCAGATGCACAGTGATCTGTTGACACCTCCAGGAGCTTGGAAAAGCCATTTTGCCTCCTCTGCCTTGAGACTCAGATTTTCCTTGAAGAAAAGACTGAGATGGATTATTTCAGGCTCATCAAGGCATTGTCATCAGTTACCTGGGGGCATACATTTTATTAATGTGAAGCGCAAAGGACCATGCAAAAATGAGCCCCCCGGGCTCTCTGAAGGGAGGCTGGACACGAGTGTGTTGGCTTGTGGAAATATTCATGATAATTTGCATGTTTTGATTGGCACTTCAGATTGACAAGCTATTTGTTCAGCATTTTGCTAGCAAATCCAAAATCATGAGTTCATTGTCCGTGCAGGACCTGCCAGAAGCTTGCTCAGTTCCCAAGTTTATAGACCACACTCTTTACTATCCATGGTTCTTACCCCATGTACTTGATTGATACCTAAAGAGAGACTGAGGATAATTTGGCATAAATCTGTCCCCTCTTGCTCAAAGAACAGCTCAAGGCACATATTTAGGTAAAGGTTTCTGCAAAACAACTTCTTTTCTCTATTATCAAAAGGGAGAGACATGACTGGCTTTGACTTTGCAGGTTCATTTACTTTTTCCGGTTGGCCCTTCCCACCCCTCCCACTTCCAAATATATACTAGCAGTTTTGAAAACCAAAATTCCTGTAAATGTCAAAGACCTTTCTTTAGAAAAATCACTGACAAAAGTCCCCTTGCTTTAGTTTCTCAGGCACAAGAAGTCAAGTGTTCCCAGGGTCGCTCAGGGCTAATAATAGAGTCTGTAGCCGCCCTCGGCCCCTGGGGACATATGGCCCCATCCCAACCCTGCAGCAGGCTAGCAACTAACTTCACGTCTCACAGTCTGAGAAGATGGGGCTTTGCAGTTGGAATTGGCTGCCATTCGACCAACTTCTCGAGTAAGGTTTCTCAGCTGTAGCTCTGTTAATATGTTGGACCAGACAATCTTGTATTGTAGCAGAGGCGAGAGAGGGGTTGTGGTGCGTCCTGCGCATCGTGGGAACTTTGACGGCATCTCTAGCTTTTAGATGCTACTAGCACTGCCACCACCACTCCCCACCCAATGTGACAACCTAAAATCCCTCCAGACATTGCTAATAAGCCAATGACAGCCACTTATACAGATTAGAAAGTTGGGGGACAAGTGGCTCTAGAAAAAGGATTATGTCACAGCAGCATCAAAGTACAGTTCCATGGGAGGAATGTTTCCCCTGGAGTTGGGGTTAAAATGGCCCTGAGAGGACAGAAAATACTGGCTGAGTGGCCCTCTCTGCAAGTAAAGCTGAACTTTTCAGGGTCTAAGGCCCTCTTTGTCACATGGGACCTTCCAGTCATTTCCCTACTTATAATCCTTCTCTTCCTGATGTGGTATGACCCTGGCTTCTGAGAATCACATCATTATTTTTGAAGAGTGTCAAGGTTTTTCTCATCATTAGTTCATAAAAACTGATTGTAGAGAAATGTCTTAAGAGAAGGTGGCTGAGAACCAAATAGGAAATTTTAAACGATCTGAGTTCTTTCTTTCTGCACACAAGGTCAGGAGTGGGCTGGAGAAGCCAACGAATTCAGAAGGCAGTAGCTCATTGAATCTCAGAAATAGGACTGAAAGGAGTCCAGATTTCCACTTCCGGGGTTGATCCTGGCCCCCACCATTCAGCACCAGCCACTAATGCCACAGAAACATCAATCCTTCCACCTGTCTGAGTTTGGCAAGTTCACGTCATTGTTGGCAGGAGGCCTCAGTTCTTCGCTACATGAACTTCTCTCTAGGGCTGCCTAAGTCTTGTCATGACATGGCAGCTGGCGTCTCTGAGAGCAAGTGACCCAAGAGCAAGACAGTGTCAATGTCTTTTATAATCTAGCCTCAAATGTCACACCCCCTAATTTCCATAATATCCTATTTAAAAAATTTATTTCAGTCGGGCCATTTTTTAGATCTTGGTAATGCATCCAAACGATTATTTGATTCTGTGTGTAAATTGTGAAGCACAATAGTAAAATAGACACTCAAGAACCACAGCCCAACTCAAGACCTGGAAAAGTATGACACTGTTGCATTTACCATTCCCCCCCCACCTGAGGTGAAGGTGCCCCTGGCTTCTGTGCTAACCTCTGTCTTCTGGGTTCAAGCAATTCTCCTGCTTCAGCCTCCAAGTAGCTGAGATTACAGGTGCCTGCCACCATGCCCAGCTAATTTTTGTATTTTTAGTAGAGACAGGGTTTCTCCATGTTGGCCAGGCTGATCTCAAACTCCTGACCTCAAGTGATTCACCCGCCTTGGCCTCCCAAAGTGCTGGGATTACAGGCATGAGCCACTGCGCCTGGCCTGTGTTGCTACATTAGTCTTGTTACTCACATGGTCTGGGCCAGGTTCTGCTGGTGCTGGTACAGGAGGTTGCATCTTGATCCATCTTCCGGCTCTGTACCTGTCCAGTGTTTCAGCCTAGGTACAGTGGCAGGAGGTGGACTGGAAGACCACACACCTGTATTTTATTCCCAACCCTGTGTCTGCCTCTAGAAGGGGCCTTGAGCAAGTCACTCTTTTACTAAAGCAACTCATACTAAAACAACACAACAATTCTTCTTCTTTTTTTTAACCTGGTTTGAACACACTGTATACAATAATTCTTGTCCCTTCCTGACCTATTTCGTTGTTGGAAGAGTACAAATGATGTTGCATTTACGCATTCCATGGTGTTTTCTTAACACCATGTTTGTGTTTGACATAACTCAATAGCAAGACTAATTGCACTATATTTTAGATATTCCCAGGAGAGCTGAGAAAGGGAGAAAGGCTACCAGGCAACATTCTCAGAGTATACGTGTGAGCCTTTCCCTGGCACCTTGATTTGGAGTAGTCTCAAGTTTTATGTTGCGGTCTGTACTTTTCTAGGTGTTATATAACATTGCTTTCATGTATGCCAAGAAGGAGGAATGGAAAAAAGCTGAAGAACAGTTAGCATTGGCCACGAGCATGAAGTCTGAGCCCAGACATTCCAAAATCGACAAGGCGATGGAGTGTGTCTGGGTAAGCGTATTGGTGATGCAGGTGTTGAGAGGATGTCACTGGATTCTCATTTGTCTCAGAGGACATGCCATTGAGAAGCCATAAAAGTGGTGCTTTTACTTTCTGTGAGTCTGGGTAACACTGATCTTAGGGTATAGTTCCACTTAAGATCTTGAATCTGTGCTGAGAAGCTGAGGCCTAGAGTATGGGATGGCAGAGCCCTGGCATCACACCACCCTTGGAGTGGGGCTCCTTGGCAATGCAGGAGAACAGGATATTGGATGCTGGAGCAGTGCTGCACAGACTCTAAGCACTGAGAGGGCAGAGTCCATGTCTGCTTGATCACCACTGAGTCCTCACAGCCTGGCACAGTGCTAGGCACATAACAGCTCTCAGCAAAAATGTTTTGTTTTGTTTTGAGATGGAGTCTCGCTCTGTTGCCCAGCCTGGAGTGCAGTGGTGTGATCTCAGCTCACTGCAGCCTCTGCCTCCTGGGTTCAAGCAATTCTGCTGCCTCAGCCGCCCAAGTAGCTGGGATTACAGGTGCATGCCACCATGCCTGGCTAATTTTTGTATTTTTAATAGAGACGGGGTTTTGCCATGTTGGCCAGGCAGGTCTCGAACTGCTGACCTCAGGTGATCTGCCCTCCTTGGCCTCCCAAAGTGCAGGGATTACAGGCATGAGCCACCGCACCTGCCTAAAATATGTTTTGATTTTGTGAATGAGTGATAAAAACTATTTATCGTTCAAGCATATTTGTGAATAAGGCTAGCTTTAAATCTGATTTTTAAAACACAGAGAAGAGGACTCAAGCCAGTCTTTATATGTCTATCCTCATCAGCAAACACCCATCCAAGGGAGCACTGTCATGAGCCTTGCTTGATCCCGGGCCAGCCTTGTCGTGGTGGTGCCCTCTACACCATGAGAGAACCCCACGGACAGCACACAGAGTGGGAGAGGAGCAGTTCCTCTGGGAAAAGAGGGTGCTGAATAGCAACAAATAGCAGCAATGTCCATGTGGCCTCGCAGCAGAAGGTGGTATTGAAACCAAGGGTTCCTACCTTAACACCCTAGAGGAATGACAACACTCATTTGGAAAAGGGCTTCTATGTGGTTATCTCAATGAATTCTTGCATCTATTCACTGAGGGAGGCAGGACAAGCATCGTCACCCCCATTTTCACATAAGGGAATGCTACGTTTTCTGTGTTACAGAAGCAGAAGCTATATGAGCCAGTGGTGATCCCTGTGGGCAAGCTGTTTCGACCAAATGAGAGACAAGTGGCTCAGCTGGCCAAGAAGGATTACCTAGGCAAGGCGACGGTAGGTGGGATTGCTCAGCTTCCCCTGAGTCTCCTGTGGCCCGGGCCATGTGGAGCAAGGTGGGAGGGACTCTTGAGAAGAGGGTAGCCTCCTTGTGGCTCTGTCCCTGGGATGGCAATGAGAGACTTGTTTATAGGACAGAGGTTTGGCTGAAAGATAGGCAACCATGTCTAGTTTATTTTCTCCAAGCTGCTCCCATTTCTCCCTTCCAGCTCGACCCTGGGTGAGAGCCACAGGGTTACTCACAGGATGCTGAGTCTTAGGGACTGAGCCAATGGAGGGAAAACACAGCCATGAGGAGCTCACTAAATGTGAAGAGAGGGCCAGGCAGGGTAGCTCATGCCTGTAATCCCAGTGCTTTGGAAGGCTGAAGTGGGAGGATCACTTGAGGCCAGGAGTTTGAGACCAGCCTAGCTAGTGGAGAGGCTGAGGTGAGAGGATCACTTGAGCCCAGGAGTTCAAGGCTACAGTGAGCTATGATTGCACCACTGTACTCTAGCTTGGGCAACAGATTGAGACTCTGTTTCTAAAAAATAAAAATAAATATGAAGAGAACATGTTAGGGAAAGAGATCAGCATGGGATCCTCTTGGATTAATGCTCCTTGTAGTTCACGTTTTAGTGGGCTGAGGAGTCTTTCCCCACTTCCACAGCCCTATGTTTAGACTATGTCTTAAATTGGACTTCTTCTAAATCCAGGTCTTGGCTGTGCATGGTGACTCATGCCTGTAATCCCAGCACTTTGGGAGGCTGAGGCAGGTGGATCACGAGGTCAGGAGTTCAAGACCAGGCTGGCCAACATGGTGAAACCCCATCTCTACTAAAAATACAAAATTAGCTGGGTGCTGCGGTGCATGCCTGTAATCCCAGCTACCTGGGAGGCTGAGGCAGGAGAATCGCTTGAATCCGGGTGGTGGAGGTTGCAGTGAGCTGAGATCATGCCATTGCACTCCAGCCTGGGCAACAAGAATGAAACTCCATCTCAAAATAGTAATAATAATAATAAATCCAAGTCTTAAATTCTTTCAGACATGGTCTGAAGTGAGTCAGCAGTGCCCTTCCAAAACCACATTTGACTTGACACATTCATAGGGCTAAAGTTGCCCAGTGGTCGGGTAGCTGGGTCTAGCATAGCAGCAGAGGTCAAGAAAGCCTGGGTGAGTGGAAGCCCTCCAAATATCTATCAACTGATGAATGAGTAATCAAAATGTGATATATCCATGCAACAGAATACTACGTAGCCATAAAAAGGAATGGAGTATGATTCATGATACAACATGGATGGACCTTGAAAACATTATGCTATGTGAAGGAAGCCAGATACGAAAGGCCACATGTTGTACAATTCCGTTTATAGGAAATATCTGGTGCAGCCTCTAAGCACTGAGAGAGCAGAGACCATGTCTGCTTGATCTCCACTGAGTCCTCACAGCCTGGCACAGTGCTAGACACATAACAGCTCTCAGCAAAAATGTTTTGATTATATGAATGAATGATGAAAATTATCTATAGTTTAAGCATATTTGTGAATAAAGCTAGCTTTACATCTGATTTTTAAAACTCAGAGAAGAGGGCTCAAGTCAGTCACAGAAAGCAAACCGGTTGTTGCCAGTTTAGGGGAAAGGGGAGTGTGGACACACTGCTTAATGGGTACAGCATTTTCTTCTGAGGTGATGAAAATATTTTGGAATTAGAGAGAGGCAGTAGTTGCACAGCATTGTGAATGTGATAAATGCCACTGAATCATTCACTTTAAAATGATTAATTTGGGCTGGGCGTGGTGGCTCATGCCTATAATCCCAGCACTTTGGGAGGCTGGATGGGTAGATCACCTGAGGTCAGAAGTTTGAGACCAGCCTGGCCAACATGGTGAAAACCTGTCTCTACTGAAAATACAAAAATTAGCCGGGCACAGTGGCGGGTGCCTGTAATATCAGCTACTCGGGAGGCTGAGGCAGGAGAATCACTTGAACCTGGAAGGCAGAGGTTGCAGTGAGCTGAGATCACGCCACTGCACTCCAGTCTGGGTAACAGAGCGTGACTCCGTCTCAAAAAAAAAAAAAAAAAAAAAGATAATTTGATGTTATACAAATTGCACCTCAATTAAAAACATTTCTTTTTTAAGAGAGAAGAAAGCAAGCCTGTGTTAGCAGGGGTGGGGTGAATGCTCGTTTCTTCAGTTGCTGAAATCCTAATCCAGAGGCTCAGGAATCTAATCCTTAGTTACTGTCCACGTCTGAAACCAGGCTCACGTAAGAACAGGTCTAGGGCATGAGCAAAGAGGGAGACCCAGAAGAATGGAAACAGTGCTGGCAGAGCCTCACACCCTCCTGTCCTTGATTTTAGGTCGTGGCATCTGTGGTGGATCAAGACAGTTTCTCTGGGTTTGCCCCTCTGCAACCACAGGTAAGGCAGTCCTGACCTTCTCCATGGACCTAGGTCTCGAGAGCTTTCTGTGAAGCATTCAATTCGAGAGACTATGTGTGCTGAGTTGCCTGATTGTAAGGGCTCCTTCAAGTGGCCCTCAGTGCAGCTGAGGGATCTGCCTGCCCTCTCTCAGTCCTGGTTTCCATGGCTGGTGAGGAAATAAGGCAGTGTCAGGCTTCACCCCAAGTCCTCTGAAGCTAACTCTCCTGCTTCCCCACAAATGCCGGTCTTCACATCTCTAAAGAGATCTGCTGATCCTCTCTCTGAAGCCTCAACTATTCTCTCAGGAAGCTGAAACACAAGCTATGGAAGGCTTATTAACAAAGCCTCTTCTTGAGTACAGGGGCAAGTGGGGAACCCTGTGGGGCCTGGGCCTGAGGTTTGGGCTCTCCTGGCTCTACCCATCTGCTCATGTGCAGGGGTTTCCTTCGGGAACACAGGCAGCGCACTGAGAGTGAACCCTTTTTCTGCCCAAGCTGGGCTTGGAGAGGTGAGCTCAGATGAACTGGATGATAGTGGATCTAGAAATGCACACAGAGCTTCCTTGTGAAGGAAAGAGGGGAAAACACATTAAGGAAAATACGAACTCTGTGGCAATGAACCTGTGATGGGCAAGAGTGTTGGTCAGCACTAGCAGAGGGCGGTTTTCTGAGCAGGGGCAGGTATGTTCCAGATCTAGATTCCTTGATCTCTTTCTTCACAATAAAGCTGATGAAAGCCTTGCTGAAGTCCCTTGAGCTTCAGTTCAGCCAGAGGCCATGAGGGGAATGCAGCCCAGGTAACTGGATTCCATGGTATTCAGTGTAGAACAGGGGAGGAGATTCTTGCCCAGTCAGTGGATCCTGTGTCAATTTTAAATACTCAGAAGTGGCCAGGCACAGTGGCTCACGCCTATAATCCCACCATTTTGGGAGGCTGAGGTGAGCAGATCACTTGAGGCCAGGAGTTCCAGACCAGCCTGGCCAACATGGTGAAACCCCTGTCCCTACTAAAAATACAAAAATTAGCAGGGTGTGGTGGCACATGCCTGTAATTCTAGCAACATGGGAGGCTGAGGCAGGAGAATCACCTCAATGAGGGAGGCAGAGGTTGCAGTGAGCCAAGATCGCGCCACTGCACTCCAGCCTGGGCGACAGAGTGAAACTCCATCTCAAAAAAAATTTTTTTTAAATTAATTTAAAAATACTCAGAAGTGTCATGTGACATAGTAGACATTAATTACAGAACAGAGCTTTTGGAAACTGTCCTGGGAAAAGGACAGAGCTCAAGGTCAAAGCATTCTTGTGACACCATGTTGCTGTGTGACTGCTAACCTCCAGAAACTAGCTCTGGCTCAAAATGAATTGCTGTGCTAGTGAAACCTGTACCTGGGGAGCTGGTGGGAGGTGTTATTTCCCAGTGTTTAGTCAGGGTGACTGTGCCCTCTTCCTAGACAGTGTTCTCATCAGTCAGAAATGCGTTATTTGATTTTCTGGTCTGGAAGAATGCTCAAATTACCATTAGCCGTTTGTTGTCTCTCCCCTGCTTTCCCTCATTGCCTTTTCCGTTTTCACTTCTCCTGAATGTTCAATAGGCAGCTGAGCCTCCACCCAGACCGAAAACCCCAGAGATCTTCAGGTAAGTTAGATTCAAATCCATAAATAGAATATCCAAGCGCCAAGCCTGAGCTGATGGCAAGAAAGGGAGGGAAGAAGATGAAGGTGGGGTCAGGGTCTAAATCTTGTTGAATTTTCTGGAATGTCAGGCTTCTTCTAGAATGTCAGGCTAGAAAGGAATGCCTAGAAGAATGTCTTCTAGAATGTCAGGCTAGAAAGGAATGATATGATGGGGATGGGAGTCTTGACTGTGGTGGGGCTGGCCATCAGGGCTTGGCTGCAGCTACGTGGTGTCCCATTGGCCCTCTGTCCACGTGCACAGCCACCCACATGGCAAGGGGTTGTTGCTGAGGGGCAGTGGTGTTCTGTGGAACATAGCTACCCTGGGGACCAGGATGCTGACCTCAGGTTGGAGATCGGTTTCGCACTGGCTGCAGTCCCCTCTGACGGGGGCAGGCCAGAGCTCTCTGGAGTCAGGAATCTAGAATGACGTCCTTTTTCCTGTGTGGATGTTTTCCACTCCCTATCGGCACATGCTTTCTGAAGAAGTAAAGAGGAAGGACTGAAGAAAAGGAAGTCCTTCTTCTGTAAGATGAAAAACAAAGGGTGACATAACCTACAGCTTTCTTAAGAATTCTCTCAAAGTGATGAAGCAAGCCTGGTCCTCCCACCCAAAAAGGAGGTTTTAAAAAGTGATTGGCCAGGTGTGTGGCTCATGCCTGAAATCACAGCACTTTGGGAGACTGAGGTGGGCGGATCACTTGAGATCAGGAGTTCGAGACCAGCCGGGCCAACGTGGCAAAACCCCATGTCTACTAAACATGAAAAAATTAGCTGAGTGTGGTGACTGACATGTGCCTGTAATACCAGCTACTTGGGAGGCTGAGGCAGGAGGCTCACTTGCACTCAGGAGGTGGAGGTTGCAGTGAACCAAGATCATGTCACTGCACTCCAGCCTGGGCAACAGACCAAGATTCCGTCTCAAAAAAAAAAAAGTGACAAAAGTACCAAAGCAACTACAAAAATGAGGGGGCTGGATGAGCTCATTCCTAAGCTCCCTGTCAGCTGGAAGGGCCTGTATTCCCTACAGGAGTAGGCACGATGTCTGGAAACAAGGATGGGCCGAGGGGAAAGTAACAGAGTGGGGAGTAAAGGGAGGGAAGCCTGAAACCTGAACACCAGCCTCTCAGTCACACGTTCCAAAGTGATGCCAATCAGAGCCTCAAAGCCTAAAAGCATGAAGTCAGACTTAAGGGAACCGACACTGCACCACGGCAGCTGGGCAGCCTCAGAGCCCTCTATGTGCATCCCTCACGCTCCCTGTCACCTACCCTGCTCACGGTCTCTCTATCCTGGCCCAACACTGGTTCTAGGTGGTTTCTCCTTCCTCCTCTCCCACCAATCTTTCTGGCCCAGCTGGCTCTCACCTGACTTCTGCTTTGTGCTGTTCCCCTGACCACAGTCACCTGATCCACCCCACCCCAGCCCAGCCTTGGGTGCTGGCCAAGATGACACAGCCAGGGACCTTCCTCCTCAGAGCAGAAGGGAGGGCAAGGATTGTAAGTCCTCACTATCTAGTGTTGTGGGGTTTTTGCTTTATTCTTGCCCCTCTGCATATATGGTTATGAGCAGGTGTACACCAGTTTCTTGCTGAGACCTCTTGGGAGCCCAGGCAGGCTCAGTGTCATCTCGGCAGTTGCAGTTAGATGTGGAGTTAGAGCCAGGCTGGAGCCAAGTCCCTGGCTCCAAGTTCAGTGTATTTGCGCCATGGCATCATGTGAGGGGATGGGGGCTGGATCTTGTGTCTATCCTCTGCAGGGCTCTGGAAGGGGAGGCTCACCGTGTGCTATTTGGGTTTGTGCCTGAGACAAAAGAAGAGCTCCAGGTCATGCCAGGGAACATTGTCTTTGTCTTGAAGAAGGGCAATGATAACTGGGCCACGGTCATGTTCAACGGGCAGGTATGCAGAGGATCAGGGGCTGGTGCGATGGGCATGGGATCCTGGCAGCAAATGCAGTCTCTGTGGAGCAGTATCTGCTGCCTTCTTTGCAGACCAGCCAAGTTCTTTTGTCTGTTCGTCATCCCTTCCCCAGGACTCTGGGCTGTTCTGTGGTGTGGGTACTGATGAGCACATCTTTATTTTTTCCTTTCTGATTCTGTGGTGCTGCACTGCAGAAGGGGCTTGTTCCCTGCAACTACCTTGAACCAGTTGAGCTGCGGATCCACCCTCAGCAGCAGCCCCAGGTAATGTGATGCCAAGGCCTGACCCATTTCCTCTCACCCTTTAGGGATCTCTCCCTGGAGGGGAGAAAAGCAGTGTAAAAGAGGTGTTGTCAGGACCCCTGGAGAAAGATTCACTAGTCTTGAGCCCGCCTTGAGATGGCACCAGCTACCCAGAGCTGAACCTGGGAATGAGGGGAAAAAAGCCCAGATGTGCTAAGTTGGAGGCATCTGTAGGTCCCATTGGGCCCACCCACCTCTGTGACTCTTCCTGGTCAGAAGTCACTTGGGAAGCAAAGCCTACAGTATATGAGTGGGTTAGGTCTTCCCAAGTGTGTCTGCTTCACGTGGAAGAGTAGTCAATGTGTTGGCTGGTACAATGCCATTAGAAAGAAAATGAGGCCAGCTGCAGTTGCTCATGGCTGTAATCCTAGCACTTTGGAAGGCTGAGGTGAGAGGATCACTTGAACTCAGGAGTTCGAGACCAGCCTGGGCAAAATAGAGAGATGCCACCTCTATACAAATAAAAATAATAAAATGAGATCTGCCTTAGAGCTTTGAATCAGAGTGGGCCTTGCCAGCCACTGCTTCTAAACTGCTGCTACTCCCTCCCTCACACTTCAAAAGTCTGTCCTTCTGCCAGGCCTAGAGAGCTGTCTTTGTCAGATCTGAGCATCCCTGTAAGTGACTCAATGGCAGTGGAGACTGTCTGTCTCTAGACTGTGCAACCAGTTGTATATGAGCTCAGCCCTCCCTGGTCAGTCACCATATCCAAATGCTTTGAAAAGCTTCAAATGCCTTGCAAATGAGAAGTGGAATTTTTCCTTTCTCAATGCCCTCTGCAGTGGAGACAAGAGCTCAGTCCTGCCCCACGGCCAGTGGATTTCCAATATGGCTGAAAGAGTTGCTAAAGCGGCAAGGGCGTTTTAGCGGGTTAGGATTCTTCTTTCTACTGTGATTTTCATTTTCATCAGGCCAACTCCACCTCCTCTTTTGGCCAACATTTCCTTCGTCTTCCCCAAATGTCACTACCATTCCAACTTTTAGGACGTTATCTGCATGTGGCTCCTTTACATGGGGTCTCTGTAGGGGTGTTTCCCCACATCCACCCCTGCCTGGGAACTTTGAATGAAGGTTCTGACCGTCGCTCCCTGTTGCCTTCAGGAGGAAAGCTCTCCGCAGTCCGACATCCCAGCTCCTCCTAGTTCCAAAGCCCCTGGAAGACCCCAGCTGTCACCAGGTGAGTGGTCCTGGAGCCACAGCCTAGGTCTGGGTGCAGCAGCATGCCAGGCTGCTTCCTGAGTTCCTCTCCCTGCCTTCCAGGAAATTCTGGTTTCTTCTTCTCCCAACATGTCACTCAGCTAATGACCACGCAGCCCCAGAATCCCCCTTTCCTGCACCACCCACCCCAAACATGAAATCAGTGCCCTCTCTCCCTGCCTTCTGCAGAACACTCACGGGGCTTGGGTGAATGCAGCTGGTTCCTGAGTGACTCACGTAGTCACCAAACCCCTTGATCATTAGGTAGGGAAACGATGTCTCAGGAAGAAAAGTTGAAGTAACTATACCTGCTTATCTCTGAGGGGCATGGAGTGGCTGTTTTCAAATGTCTGAGGCACTGTATCTGGAAAAGAAATTGCTCTGTGGAGCCCTGAGGATGAACAAAGAACCAATGGGCAGATGTGAAATGGAAATGTTCTCTCTGAAAGGCTGTTTCCTAGTGTGGAGAGGGCTGTCTTGGGAAGTGCACTTGAAGCAGATTCTGGATAAGCGCTTGGTAGAGACGCAGAGTGAGTGGTTGGCCAGATTCTAGATCAATGATTGCCACACGCGCCTGATCATCAGAATCACTCGGGATGTCCCTTCCCCCATTTTTATTTTGAAAAATGTCCAACCTACAGAAAAGCTGACAGTAGAATACAATAAACATCAGAATATCTTTCACTTAAACTCACCAATTGTTAACATTTTGCACCATGAACTCGCCCTGCTCCATTCTATTTTTCTCCCCCGAGCCAGTTGAAAAGTTACAGACTCGTGACACTTCACCCTACACAGCTGCAAAAACGCAGTCTCCTGCATAATCACAATAGAATCATGGTATCTAGGACACTAAACATTCATATGATAGTATTATATAATGTATATTCCATATTCAAATTTCTCCCGTTGCTCCTGCTCAATGTCCTTGACAGGTTTTTTGTTGTTATCTTTTGTCTAGAGGCTCATCAAGGATCACATATAAACCTAGGATGATTTTGTGAATACAGAGTCCTAGGCTACTGGCTCTGATATTTTAGGACTGGAATGGGGCTCGGGAATTTGTATTTTAGAAAAAAACTTCCCATGTGATTCTAATGATCAGCTAGGTTTGAGATCAGTGGCCTTCTCTGATCATGTACCCCCTATAGTAAATATCTTTATGCATGCTACTCTTACATAAATTAGATTAATATTAGATTGCTTGATTAATAGATTAGATTAAATTAATAAACTTTAGGAAACATACACAAAAATAAAGAATAAGGTGAGGATCAGTGGTTCTAATACTTCTTCCTGTGGCCTCTGGCTCACCTTGCACTCCGATTTTCATTGCTTTGGATCCCGTGGGCTTAATTGACCTTTGGGATCCCTGCTAACCTTGTGGGTTGGTGAGGATATGCTGGTCCTTTGGTAATTACCTATAGGCTCCCTAGAAGCAGAGACTGAGTTTGTTCATGTGTTCATGACCTTCATGCTTCCCCAGGGCGAGATTTTCCCCACAGTTTACTAAGGTTAATAATTGCCCCACAAATTAAAGGGTAAGAGGTTGGGGGCCCTATTTGAAGAGGTTTCATCTGTGTGTGGCAGGGGCTGGCCAAGGATGTTCATTCACCATCTTCTTTTGTTTTACTCCCTACTTTTTCCATTCAGGCCAGAAACAAAAAGAAGA
This sequence comes from Homo sapiens, assembly GCF_000001405.40. Taxonomy (NCBI): domain Eukaryota; kingdom Metazoa; phylum Chordata; class Mammalia; order Primates; family Hominidae; genus Homo; species Homo sapiens. The sequence goes on along the minus strand of NC_000001.11, from coordinate 183,564,011 downwards.
GCCTAAGGTAACATTTTTCCCTCATACTGTTTCAAGTGGTAGAAGATGGGATAGCTTGGGCTATCAACCACAGACATGTCTGTCTGGATTATAGGAAGAGCCCCAAAGGGAGGGTCGAACCAGTTGCTACCTTACAGAGTCCATGAGCTAGGGACCTTCTTAATAGCCTCCTCCACTATCATGCACACACTTCCTACTACCCAAGCTAGTGGGCCAGATCTTACTCAGTAGGAATTCCTGTCCAAGCAAGGGTTGGGCTAAAGGACCTCTGAAGGCCTTTTAGGCTACTGTGAAACCAGTTACTTACTGGCCTCTCCCCTGCTGTATTGGGTACCCCCTGTGCCAAATCACGAAACTGCGGTGATCCAGGATGTTGAGAGAAAGCCTCAGACACTCAGGAGTTCCCTTTGTTTCCTCCCCACTCAGGAAGTGAAGCTCAGTGTTCCCATGCCCTACACACTCAAGGTGCACTACAAGTACACGGTAGTCATGAAGACTCAGCCCGGGCTCCCCTACAGCCAGGTCCGGGACATGGTGTCTAAGAAACTGGAGCTCCGGCTGGAACACACTAAGCTGAGGTGAGCTCCATGCAGGCAGCTGTGAGGGGTACAGTGGGAACCTTGTGCTGGCCTGGAGGAGGGAAGAGGAGGATGGTTTTTGTGATGATGTTCTTTGACTGGATTCTTACTCATTATCCCCACCCAGCTATCGGCCTCGGGACAGCAATGAGCTGGTGCCCCTTTCAGAAGACAGCATGAAGGATGCCTGGGGCCAGGTGAAAAACTACTGCCTGACTCTGTGGTGTGAGAACACAGTGGTGAGTGCAATGAGGGGCATCTAAAGTTACATTTCCACTGAGCCACTTCCTCAACAATTTGAAATTTATCAAGCACCTTCTGTGTACTAGGCACTATATGTGGTGTTGGGGATATGGTGTGTAATAAGTCACAGCTCTGCCTCCCTTTTACCTGCATCCTCACCCCATTTGCAGCAGGGAGAGAGTTTCCCACAAGAGAACAGCAGGCCCAGCAGGGCAGGAGCTCACAGAAAGCCTCCTGCCCCTCCATCAGCTCCCTGCCTGACTGTGTCAAACATCCCATCCATTACTGTCAAGCAAGGTTGGAATGAAGTCATATCATAGCTTAAGGCTCAGCTCATAGCCATTCTTCACCTTTTTTTTTTTTTTTTGAGATGGAGTCTCACTCTGTCGCCCAAGCTGGGTGTGATCTTGGCTCACTGAAACCTCTGCCGCCCAGGTTCAAGAAATTCTCCTGCCTCAGCCTCCTGAGTAGCTGGGATTACAGGCACCTGCCACTGCACCCAGCTAATTTTTGTATTTTTAGTAGAGACGGGGTTTCACCATCTTGGCCAGGCTGGTTTTGAACTCCTGACCTTGTGATCCACCTGCCTCGGCCTCCCAAAGTGCTGGGATTACAGACATGAGCTGGGAGAAGAAGAGTGAAAGAGAATGAGCCTAGAAAAGGGCAGTGTATAAAGCTGTTTAAGGTATCTTCCCCGTTCAGAAAATTGCCTTCAGGAAATACAGCCACTGGGGATGAGACTCCCTGGTGTCTCTGGCTGAGACAAAAGGCCCCAGGATCCTGGGGGTAAGAGTGAGTGTGAGTGTAAGGGGTCTCTTGGAAGTCTGAAAAGTCACTCTAGGTTTTCCAGCTGTCTGTCTTTGGACTAACCCCTTCAGCATCTTTTTTAAAAGATTCTTCCTAGAAGGAGTTCTGCTCTAAATGTGAACTACTTCACTTAAACTTTTTTTTAATTAAAATTTTTTCCTTTGACAGCAGCTTCAATCTATTTGGTGGCTGCACATAGCCAACCCTCTTACAACTCCCCACAATCTTTTGCAATTTAATCCAGGCTCAGGAGTCACTGTTGAATGTTCTTTATCACTATCCATTACTTTTGGAGGCAACAAAGCAGGCTTTCACTTACTAGGAGAAAGAAAACCAGGCGCAGTGGCTCATGCCTGTAATTCCAACACTTTGGGAGGCTGAGGCAACATGGTGAAACCCCATCTCTACTGAAAATACAAAAATTAGCTGGGTGTGGTGGTGTGCACCTGTAGTCCCAGCTACTTGGGAGGCTGAGGCAGAATTGCTTGAACCCAGGAGGCGGAGGTTACAGTGAGCTGATATCATACCACTGCACTCCAGTCTGGGTGACAGAGAGATTCTGCCTCAAAAAAAAAAAAAAAAAAAAAAAAAAAAAAAAAAAAAAGAGGCCTGGTATGGTTTATGCCTGAAATCCTAGCACTTTGGGAGGCCGAGATGGGCCAGATCACCTGAGGTCAGGAGTTTAAGACCAGCCTGGCCAACATGGTGAAACCCCATCTGTACTAAAAATACAAAAAAAAAAGAAAAGAAAAGAAAGAAAAATAAAATGAACTAACATTTATTAAGCATCTACTCTATGCAGGAACACTTACCATTAACCAAGTCTAAATATTTATACATATTTAGAAGAGTACTGCCACAGAGTAAGTGTTCAATAAATGTCAACTACTATTATTGTATGTCATCTCATTGAATTCTTCTAGCCTCAATTTCAGGTGAGGTAACTGAGGTTCTGAGAAGTTACACTGCTTGCTTAGGGACACAGAGCTGGTAAGCAGTGGAGGTGGGATACAAACCTTTCTCTGTGGACTCTCTAGGGCCATTTCCACCTCATTGTATTGCCTCTCAATAAAAATATACCAACGTTCAACAAACAACATTAAGAAGCTAGAACTTATAATGCTCGGTACATACAAGCCTAGCAGCATTTCTAATGTTGATTTGTTAAATTCTATGATTCACATCTGTAGAAACCGCATCCTTCTCCTTCATTTGTGAAGCAAAAGTGACAATAATGTGGAAGAAGTCTAAGATCATAAGTCTAAGATGTATAAGAAATGTTGTTACAGATAAAACAAGTATGGCATTGTGCAGTGGTTTTTGAACTTTAGCAAGTATCAGAATTCCCTAGAGGACTTAAAATACAGATTGCAGGATTCACCTTCAGGGAGTTTCTGATTTAGTAGTTTTGGGATGGAGTTGAAAGTCTGCATTTCTAACAAGGTCCCTAGTGTTGCTGTTAGAGTTGATGCTAAGAAAGCCAGTTTTGACTTAGGGCTCTGTCCCCATCTGTAAAGAAATAATAATGCCCATTCTACCTGTCTCAAGATTATTGTAAGGTTTCAGTAAGATATTTTAAGACTGTATATGATTTTGCAGACCTTTTGGTTTCATTTATCCCAGGGGTCCCCAACCTCCAGGCCACGGGCCAGCACAGGGCTGCACAGCAGGTGAGCTGCAGGTATACTGGCCTGAGCTCTGCCTCCTGTCAGATCAGCAGCAGCATTAGATTCTCATAGGAGTGTGAACCCTATTGTGAACTGTGCATGCAAGGGATCTAGGTCGCATGCTCTTTATGAGAATCTAATGCCTGACGATCTGAGGTGGAACAATTTTATCCTGAAACCACCCCCCAACCCACCACCCACCACCATTCATCTAAAAACTGTCTTCCATGAAACTGGTCCCTCGTGCCAAAAAGGTTGGGGACTGATTTACCCAACCATCCAGTATTCATAAAGAGCATATAAGCTCTACACAAGGCACTGATCACAAACTTTATGAGTTTATATCCCAGGTTCTACTTTGACATTTCGCTGTTTCCTTTAGTGATGTTCAGTGTTCACTTGGCAGGAAATTGGGAAAATTAACAGGCCCTTTATTATTTCAGGGTGACCAAGGCTTTCCAGATGAACCCAAGGAAAGTGAAAAAGCTGATGCTAATAACCAGACAACAGAACCTCAGCTTAAGAAAGGCAGCCAAGTGGAGGCACTCTTCAGTTATGAGGCTACCCAACCAGAGGACCTGGAGTTTCAGGAAGGGGATATAATCCTGGTGTTATCAAAGGGTAAGTGCTACTCCAAGACTATAGAAACAAATTTACATGTTAGCAGAAACAAGGTCAAGGGCAGAGAGAAGAAAATATCAATAATCTACAAACAAAACTTTAGCCAGTGTTTTCAACCCCCTTCCTAGCATCTAGCTGGAGGGAGCAAAGTTGAGCACTCAGACTTTCCCTGTCTATTGCTCTAGTAGCCAGGAAAGCAACAAGAAGCTGAGTTGTTTTGTTTTTGTTTTTGTTTTTGAGACAGAGTCCCCCTCTGTTGCCCAGGCTGGAGTGCAGTGGCACAATCTCGGCTCACTGCAACCTCCCCCTCCTGGGTTCAAGCAATTCTCCTGCCTCAGCCTCCTGAGTAGCTAGGATTACAGGCGCCCACCACCATGCCTAGCTAATTTTTGTGTATTTAGTAGAGATGGGGTTTTGCCATGTTGACCAGGCTGGTCTCAAACTCCTGGCCTCAAGTGATCCAACTGCCTCGGCCTCCTAAAGTACTGAGATTACAGGCATGAGCCACCGCACCTGGCCGGCGATAAACATCTTGATTATTAAAGAGGAGTATGCTTTGGAAACCATGGATTCTCATTCCCAGAGGTAACAAATTGGGCTGGAATCACTTTGCCTTTGCATCAAGCTGTATGACCTTCTGCAAACCATAGTTCTTTGAATTAATGTACTTTTCAAAGAGAAAAGTAGGTAAATTTTGCCTTAAAAACCAGCTATTCAGAACTATCCTGTGTCTCTGGTGACTTTCTTGATTCTGTTTGTAATGAACAGACTAAAAATTGAAACAGCATGCCTGTAATCCTAGCCACTAGGGAGGCTGAGGTAGGAGGATCACTTGAGGCCAGGAGTTCAAGGCTGTTGCCTGGGCAACACAGCAAGACCCACCTCTTAAAAGTGGAGAGTTCTAAGAATCCCTGGAAGAGTTTGTTAAATCAATTCCTGGGCCCACCCTCCAGAGATTCTGATTCAGGTCTGGGGTGGGGCCCACCAACTTGCATTTCTACCAAGTTTCCAGGTGATGCTGGTCTACTGCCTACACTCTTAAGAAGCACCATTCCAACTCGTGGTTTGCCAGCCTAATTCTCTACCTCGACACAAAAAAGTCCCATCATAAAAGCCCTGCTCATACGCTGAGTCTGTGCACTACCAATGCAAAGCAGTGAAAAACTACCATCAATTATAACAGAAAATCCAACAGACAAAGAGAGGGGGAAATTTTAAAGTTAATGAGGGTAGGCTGGGCCTGGTGGCTCACACCTGTAATCCCAGCACTTTGGGAGGCTGAGGTGGTGGATCACTTGAGGCCAGGAGTTGAAGACCAACCTGGCCAACATGGTGAAACCCCATCTCTACTAAAAATGTAAAAATTAGCTGGGCGTGGTGATGCACATCTGTAGTCCCAGCTGCTAGGGAGGCTGAGGCAAGAGAATCGCTTGAACCCGGGAGTGGAGGTTGCAGTGAGCCGAGATTGCACCACTGCCCTCCAGCCTGGGTGACAGAGCGAGACTCTGTCTTAAAAAAAATAAAAATAGGCCGGGTGCAGTGGATTATGCCTGTAATCCCAGCACCTTGGGAGGTCAATGTGGGCTGACTGCTTGAGGTCAGGAGTTCAAGACCAGCCTGGCCAACATGGTGAAACTCTGTCTCTGCTACAAATACAAAAATTAGCCGGGTATAGTGGTAGGTGCTTGTAATCCCAGCTATTCAGGAGGCTGAGGCAGGACAATCTCTTGAACCCAGGAGGAGGAGGTTGCAGTGAGCTGAGATTGTGCCACTGCACTCCAGCCTGGGTTACAGAGTGAGACTCAGTCTCAAAAAAAAAACAAAAACAAAAACAAAAAAATTAAAATTAAAAAAAAAGTTAATGGGGGTAGAGAGAGTATACAACAAGTGTGTAGCAATTAATTAAAAATATGAGTAGTATAGGCTGGGCGTGGTGGCTCATGCTGGTAACCCCAGCACTTTGGGAGGCCAAGGTGAGTGGATCACTTGGGGTCAGGATTTGAGACCAGCCTGGCCAACATGGTGAAACCCCATCTCTACTAAAAATAAAAAAATTAGCCAGGCGTGGTGGCGTGCACTTGTAGTTCCAGCTCCTTGGGAGGCTGAGGCAGGAGAATCACTTGAACTAGGGACATGGAGCTTGCAGTGAGTCAAGATTGCACCTTTGCACCCCAGTCTGGGCAACAGAGTGAGATTCTGTCTCAAAAAAAAAAATATGAGTAGTAGTAATATAGAAGCAGAGTGTTCCAACAAGAGAGAATGGTAACTCAGTGGGAAGAACTGGGTTGAACACCTCCAAGTGCCACTTTAAAGGTGCCTAAATCAACCAACCAGCTCAATTGTCTGGAGTTTGGGAGAGGGAGCAGGAATACAATGAAAGAACACACTAAAACAACCTTTTGGGTAGATATGGAGAGAAGCCAGTATGCGTCTTACTATGACCTATCTGTACAAGTCTAAGTTGAGGAAATACCCATATTGTAGCACTTCAACAGAAAACAGAATTTAGCGGTCAGGGTAGGACAGAGGGGAGTTCAATTGCATTCAAGTTATGAGATGGTCTCATCTACAAAGTGTTTCTCAAACTTTAATGTGCATGTGAATCACCTGCGAATCTTCCTAAATGGATTCTGACTCTGGTTTGGATCTGGGATTTTTCATTTCTAATATGCTTCCAGTCCACGACCTACCCTGTAAGAAGAATCAAGACAGTGATTTGCAGTTAGAATTACCTAAGGGAACTTTTGAAAAAACTGCTGCCCAGTCACACCACACATTAAAGCAAAATTTCTGGGGGCAGGATCCAGGCACCAGTGCCTTAATGTCTGATCTAGATGTACAAAGACAAACTTCTGAACTGGCTGTGTGGTCAGGTAGGTGGGCTTTGGAGATCATACCTAAGTTGTCTGATTTTTACTGGCAGAATGGCTCTGAACAAACTATTCATCTCTCTGGGTCTCCTTTTCCTTAGTAAAATATGGATACCTACAAGTTATTATGAAGTCTGAATATATTTTTTAAGTACAATGCCTGCACTCTATTAAAGGCTCTGAGTAGGAGCTATTAAAATATTTATATTTAACAAACATGTACTAACCCATCACTAGCTCCAGCTCACCTGTTTAATGGAGTTCAGTGAAAAGAAGAAAGTTTACTAAAGAACTTTCATTTTTAATATATTTAACCAATGGCATGTCCCTTTTCTGTAGTCAAAACAAAGATTCCCAACAAAGCGCAGGTAAAATTCTCTCCTCTCTTAAAAAATTGGGCCAGGCACGGTGGCTCACCCCTATCACCACAGCACTTTGGGAGGCTGAGTTGGGTGGATCACTTGAGCCCAGGAGTTTGAGACCAGCCTGAGCAACATGGCGAGATCCTGTCTCTAATAAATACAAAAATTAACCAAGCGTGGTGGCACAGCCTGTAGTTGCAGTTACTTGGGAGTCTGAGGTGGGAGGATTACTTGAGCCCAGGAGGCAGAGGTTGCAGTAAGCCCAGATTGTGCCACTGCACTCCAGCCTGGGTGACAGTGAGACCCTGTCAAGGTTGGGGGTGGGGAAAGGACAGAAATTCTATTTAAGGATTCGTTGTTCAATTTCTTTGACCCTTCTTCTCTATCTGGTAACTTTTTGAAAAACATAATTTATCCTTCTTCATTTTGCTCATTATCATGTTTAAGACAGATCAATAAGATGGTTAAACCCTGTGTTCACTCTCAAACCACTTTGCAATACTGTCTTTTCCCTGTTGATCACAATTAGGGGTGGGGAAGGGTGACAGATAACAAATTCTGTGTGGAATAGCCAGACAGGGTAATCTTCCTACAGTGGTTTTAGAAATCCATGTGTACTTTTCCTTTTATCAGTGAATGAAGAATGGCTGGAAGGGGAGTGCAAAGGGAAGGTGGGCATTTTCCCCAAAGTTTTTGTTGAAGACTGCGCAACTACAGATTTGGAAAGCACTCGGAGAGAAGTCTAGGATGTTTCACAAACTACAAAGCTGAAGAAAATGAAGCCCTATTACTTGTTTGTAAGATTTAGCACCCTTCTGCTGTATACTGTACTGAGACATTACAGTTTGGAAGTGTTAACTATTTATTCCCTGTTAAAATTTAACCTACTAGACAATGATGTGAGTACCCAGGATGATTTCCTGGGGCACAGTGGGTGAGGAGATGGGGACAGGTGAATGGAGGAGTTAGGGGAGAGGAAAAGTGGATGGAAGTGTCTGGAAAGGGCACGAGAGAGTCTTCCAGGTACTGATCCTGTTTCTTGCTCTGAGTGCTAGCTAGCCAGCTGTGTTCACACTGTAAACATTCATCAAGCTGTACATTTGGTGCACTTTTCTGTGTCATACCACAATAAAAAAAAACCTAGCATCTTACAAAAACAAGACACCCAAGTCCAGGCCCAAGGAGTAAGTACAAATATTCCTGTTTCTGAACCATTACTGTAATTGGCTCTTAAGGCTTGAAGTAACCTTATAGGTTACTCATAAGGCATATACAAATAAACTTGTTTGTTTTCTTTTTTCATTATGTCTTGTTGCTTAAACAGAACCTAGACTGAGTTAGGTTCTCATGGACTACAACACTCAATTCCACAGAGAATTAATAGAATTACATACCTTTGTACATTCTCAGAGAGGAACATGTGTTAAGAACTCAATACTGAATATATATCAATCGCCAACATTTAAGTGATGAAAAGCAGCGGTGTTCATGAAGCTAGTTCGTAAGTAGTATCTTGTTAGCTGACACTTCGTAATACAGTTATGCACTGCTTCACAATGGAGACATGATCTGAGAAACGTGTTGTGCAAACTCATCTAGAGTGCACTTACACAAGACTAGATGGTATAGCCTACTACACAGCTAGGTTACCAGGTATAGCCTACTACTCCTAGGCTACAAACCTGTACAGCATGTTACTATGTTGAATTCTGCAGGCAACTATACCACAATGGTAAGTAAGTATCATCAGTGTAAACAAACATAGAGAAGGTCAGCAAAAATGTATTATAATCTTATGGGAGCATCATTGTATATGCAGTCCATTGTTGACCAAAACATTGTTATATGGTAAATGACTGCATATACTATGCTATACTAATATACATAACAGAATGCTATGGATTTGGCTAACCCAATTGTCCAATTTTTCAGGATTAACTTGGGTGAAGGATTCTGTAACTAACTAAACTATTAGACCTTAAGGCCTGGCCTTAGTTCCTCTCCCTACCCACTTCTTGTTGTAGCGTATGTGGAGCTTTGCTAACAATTTTTCAAGTGTGCAGGCGCCTGTGAAAAGCAGAATAAGGAAGTGAACTGCAGACTGAATCAACATGCAGGTGAAAGGATAGCCGGTCAGGGTGAGCACACAGGCATTAAGGTTAGCTATACCACTGGCTTCCAGCACACAGTTGGAAGACCCAGCAAGCTACCAATCACTGGAAACTTTGGACACAACTCAAAGAAAAGAAACCCCAAAGCTAAGAAGAAGAATTAATTAATGTTGCTGCTAATCAGATTCAGTGAATTTTTACAGGCCAAAAGGATAAACTCTCTGAACTGCCTCAGTAACAGCTACAATAGGAATAAAAATAAAAATGATGGGCTCTTAATTCCTTAACATAAGGCATTCTTTTATTAAATAAAAGAATTTTGATAATCGATTTCTTACTACTCATGCCTTTCCATTACAATTAATTATAATTTCCGTAATTCATTGGTTTGGAATGCTACTAAAAGCAAAATTAACCCTGAAAAATATTCAAGTTCTGACCATTTATGCCTTTCCCTGGATGACCTGTGAGTAGTTGAAATTCTTGCCTTTTAAGTTGGATTTTCTTCAATACTTCTTTTATATCTTTTAGGATAGAAAAGAAAGAATCGATACACAGATCTGGTTGGAGAGAACATGGTTTAATTAAAGGCAAAGCTGATTTTCAGCAGCTGCAGGTCTTGCACAGACAAAAACAAAAAACAAAACCCAGAAAACAAAACAAAAAACCACAAAAGAAAGTTTACTACACAAAACCAGTTTCTGATAAAGATTCTCCTCCCCCTCATTACTCCACAGTGAGGATGATAAGGCGAGGAATCCCGCCCCAAGAGTCAGAAAACATTCCAAACACCAAATTCTCATGCAGAATGGGGCTTTAGATAGGAGCTGGGTATTACTGGGAGTGAGATGGTAAACCTGGTTAGCTTGTCTAGGGCGCAAGAATCAGTGACAGTTCAAACACTGGAATGTTGCAGCTGCCTGAATGCAGAGCTCAAACACACAAACTGGGTAAAGGTAGTAGGAAAAAGGCTTGGGAAGAGGAGAGAAAGGTGGACACAGGGAAGGGGCTGAAGAGAAGCACAAAAGGTTTCATATTGCCATTGGGTAGGGGGCTTCACCTTTTCAGACCTTTCAAAAAAACAAAACCCAAACACCATGTCAAACTAAAAGAGCAATAATGTAAGCATACGGGGCGGGGGGGGCTCCAACCACTCTCTCTGAAGAGCAATGAGCGTTATCTCACCCCTTTTCATTGCTGGGGTTGCCCAGACTGCAGTGACAACTGGGGCTCCTGGATGTGCTTTGCTCTACAGCTGTCTTCCAGCTCTTAAGTTCCACACTAACTCCATACACTCGCACACACAACCCCTCCCCTCTGGGACAGCAGATGGGCACGTGTGTGTACACAAACATACAGACACACAAAGGAGAGACCTCCCAGAAAATAAACCCTACCACTAGCACAGCAATTGAACAATTAGATTGTTTCCATAATTTCCCCTTAAAATATTACTTTTCCAGGAAATGACTAACAGAAATGCTGTCCTTCTGTTTCTACACAAGAACATTTTCAGTCCTCTTTCCTCCTAATAAATATCATACAAAGAGTTTATTTTCCTTTCTTTCGTCTCTTCCAAAATGGACGACGTCGTGTTTTCTTCTGTGCCTGATGGGCACATGTCCGTGCTGCCTTGAATTTCACTCTGAAAGTGGAGGCTGGGAGACTGCAGCTGGGCAGGGGCCTGGGCCCTCTGTGGGCTACGCAGATACTGCTGCTTCCTTCCTCTTCAGACTGTCTTTTGGGCCCCAACTGCTGGACCCCATGCTGTTGCTTCTTGGGGAGATGTGATGTTGCACACATTAGGAATAAAAACAATTACTAGCATACAGCATTGGGTAAAAGAAGGGATGGAGATGGGGCAGGAGGGTGGGAAGTAGAATGGGGGCACAAAAACCAACCAAAGAAAAAATAACCACACTGAAAGCTTCTACCTATTAGAACGTGTCAGGCTGTGAATGGACTAGCCTGCCTTCTGTGAGACTGCTTGCTGTGCGACTGTAAAATGTACAGGAATCAAAAACGTAATTTGAAATCCTACAGCAGTCTACCTGCTAGTCCAGCCCAGCACCACCACCCACACTGTATCCTCGATTGGGGCTCGAGCACCTACAGAGTGAAGGGCATTCCCTGCTGGAGTCTCCTGGCCAGAGGAAGGCCTACCAGAGCCTTCTGACAGGCCTTGAACTCTCCCTTATGGAACATTTCCACTGGCTGAAGAGGTCGGTTCCCCATCCTGTCACCACCAACCTCTCACAGGAGCAGTGAACGGGGCTTTCCTTGCTACACACTGACTAGAAGCACACCTGTGTATGGAAGAATTCAGTGTGATATTTTACTACTGAGAGTAATAATAATAAAAGATGTTTAAGAATAATTTCAACTACATTCTCAGTCAGCAAAGCAATCATTAATGGATTCCTATTTTATTCCCCAAAGAGGAAAAAAGGACTGAGAAGTTCCCATTGGCTTCTCCCATCTGCCTTCCCTTCTCAGCTTTCACTTCCCATGTGGCTGGGGACATGCACGATGGAGAAGGTGAGAGGCGGTGATACCAAGTAACTGAGTGAGATAAACAGCAGTTCCTCTCTCTCTCCCTCCGGAGGGCCCCGGGGGGACGGAGAGTTCCTGATGGATTTTTCTTTTTGTTGCACTGCGAACATTTCGTGCACACTCAGCGGGCTGGTGGAATACTTACACCCTCTTGACAGCGAGAAACAGAAAAGAGGGCTGCCACCTGCAGGGGACTGTGTGGGCCAGTCCTGCAAACCCAACATGCCATGGTTTATGGAGCCTTCATTCCCAGGTTGCCACTTTGGCCTCAGTGTGGAGGGTTCATGGTGCCTTGTCCCCGTTGCTGTTTCTGCTTCTGCTGCATTAACAGCTGCTCCAGAGCAGAAGGTCCAGGATGCATCATGGAACTGGACCAGATAGACTGAAAAACAGTCCAGATCTTGTCAGCAGAGGTCAAATGCCAAGTTGTCTGAAAGGGATTTTTCAATCCCAGCCAAATATAAAGGCATATATATGGCCCCAAAACCCAACCCCACTCCCCATAAAAATCCAGCTATTAGAAAAAGTCATTATAAGACTCTTAAAGCTAGTTAGTTTCCATTAAGACTATTTTAAACCAGAAGAAGTGAAATCACATTTTATGTCAAGTCTTTTTACTGAAACTCAGCTGTATGTGGTACCACACAGGGCATTTACTATAAAGTTTTCAGGCAAATAAAACATTTCTAAAATTAGATACTCTTATTTTGTCAGAAAAGGCTTAAATCAAACATTCCAAAATGAATCAGAATTTTCTTAACCTTAGAATGAAACTAAAACCTTTGTTTTTGTCCTCCTGAAGATACTGCTTTACCACTAGTGAATTCAGAAATTAAAAATTATCACTCAAGAATCTTGTAAGGCAGACCATGTTTCTAGGACTTTGTTATATATGTGCTATGTATCAGTCAACTCCGAGGGCCTGAGAAGTCTAGCTATTTATGTGAATGAAAGCAGAGACACCTTTGCTGTAATAATCTTGTGGTTCTTGTTCCTGAAATCTACTCACCTTTAGGCTTTCCATGAGGACAGCAGAGGAATCCTCCATGGAAGGGCCATGGCCTGTCCAGGTGCCACTCGGAGTGCTGGCCTGATGCCAACTGCTCTCAGAGGATGACGTTGCTGAGAGATAATCAATGCCAAACCCACCCATGGCTAAGGGATGAAAAGAGATAAGAAAAATTCAAGAAGATGTTCTATCACTGCCAATTGCCAGACCCCAGGGAAGGATAGAGTAAATTCTTTCAATTTTGCCTGGCAATGAAATGTAGATCTCACCTGGCTTATCAGTTTTCCACCGATCTGCAGTCCTTCTATCCCTGTTATCTGGAGTCCCAATGGGTCCAAAATTGGAGAATGGAACAGAATTATGGTTGTGTGTTGGAGGAGAGCTGGGTAGGCTGCTTGGGTTAGAGGAATGAGGAGACTGGCTGGCTGGTGTTGAATGATCTATTAAATAATAGCAACACAGGATATAGTAAATCATTGTTTCACAAACATACAAAGAACTACAGGTTCCTGTAGATCTGATCACTAAAATTCTACTAACAATAACCACAGGGCTTTGAAGGAAAGGGAAACTAAAGGCTCCAAAGAGATCTGCTAGATGCACTAATTTGCCCTGCCACACATATCTAAGGCATATTCTTCGCCTTAAAAAAGCAAAATAAAATAGTAGGCAATTTTTGTCAACTGAATGAATGCCCTATTCTCACACGGCTATTTCAGATACATGTTTATTGGTCTTATGTATCAGAAAGAATTTGCTAACCTTAAGAATTACTATTAAGTCAGACTCTAAGTTAAAAATCTCAATTTTAAAAAGTGCAGAGCTGGGCACAGTGGTGTGCACCTGTAGTCCCAGCTACTTGGGAGGCTGAGATGGAAGGACTGCTTGAGCCCAGGAGTTTGAGTCTAGAGTGGGCAACACCACAAGACACTGTCTCAAAAAAAAAAGTGCAATTTTTCTGCAAAGAATGAACACCTACAAATAAAACTAAAAAGCAGCTGAGAACCATAAGATAGAACCTCTATTTTCTCCCTTACATCTCTGCTGGCTACTGAGGATGTAAAAAGTTTTGTCAGTAGCATTTATTACATAAACCGGCTTCTTCTTTTTTTTTTTCTATTTCCTTTCAGAAGTTACAAAAACAAACAAACAAAAAATAAAAATAACCCAACAAATGATATATTTGTAATTACAGAATCTCACTATCCCTTAATCAATCTGAGTGTACAGGAAATGTAAGGTCTATAATTTAAAGAGTAGTTAATACCTGAACTGGCAGGAAGTGATGGAGACCACGGAGTCCCTTCAAAAAGGGAATACAGAGATGTTTCCTGGGGGGCCATTGAGGGACTGAGTTCTGCTTTGGAGCTGGATGTCAGGTTTTTCCCATATACCTCATTGAACATACTATTATTTGGGTATCTTTCCTGAAAGACATGACAGTGAAGTTATAAACTCACCCCAAGGAAAGAGATTTGAGAAAATCCAATGTCTTGTTCATGGATGCTTGGTACACCTTAAGCTTTTCTTAGGAAGAGAAATTTTGAAGGCTTTTATTTCTTTTTGTTTCAATTTTCCAGTCAAATTAATTTTCCTCTTTGCTTTCTCTCACCCTTAAATTTGCTCTGTGTAAACTATCCAGGTTGAAAATGTGAATAATTTATTTGGCTCAAAAAGAGAGCCCTAAGGGTTTCAATATTAATGAGAAGTTAAAGGGTTTTAATTCATGATGTACAAGTCACTAGTATGCCCCAATCAGAGACAAGGGGGATAAAATCAAATATCTGGAATACACTAATACATGGAAAATAAAGAAAAAACAGACATACTGAAACAGTATGAGAAAGACAATGATCAGTCTACACTAAAAGCACACAGCAGGATTCTTCATTGTTCACCTACCTGATTGAGAGAGAATCCGGTGAGGGACAGGAAAGAGGATGAATGTGACATGAGCTCTGAGGGCTTCTCCAATAAGGATTTCTTCACAGTCCCAGAAAAAAAGGTAATTAAGTTATACCTTCTATTTTCTTAATATTAATCTTACCATACTATGGAACCAAAGCAAAAGCATGCCTGTATTCGCCCACTGAGTACAATTTGAGGCTCAGAAGATGTGAATTCAAATCTGTTAACACCAAGACACCGCCTAAGTGCCAGTTGCCACAGGTGCATAGAATCCTCCTTTTAGATCAAACCTAGTCAGAGATTATATTCTGGCAGGGACCAGAGACCCTGGTAAACAGCACTCTGAGTGTTTATGAGGCATGGACCTCAGGAATCCCCTTGTCAATAGTTGCACTTAATCTCAAAACAAAATGCTGAACTGTTCCAACACTGTTTCTCTCCACCCCACAATTTTTAAAACATTAACATTGGTGACTTTTAAAAAGCCTTTCAAATCCATTTGACAAATGGCTTTGTTAATATGCTTTTTAAGCAGCTCTATTTGCAGTATATAGTAAAACAGTTGCTAAAAGTCAAGCTTACATTTATTGGCCCTAGCAAAGTTATTAGGAGAAACAAAGCTGAATCTCTAATGCTGTCACTGAATAGCTGGCTAATAAAACATTACTAAATACCTACGACAAGAGAAGCACTTTGACATACGTTGTATCATTAATGTTAAATATTGGAAGGGTTATAGTCGAAGTTTTTTTTATTCATTGTTGTCTTTTAAACATGAAAAAAAAACCCTGAAAATACTCCCACTTGTTCTACCATCAGCTCCATTTCCAATGAAAGGGACACTAAGGGAACAGGAACAGGAACTAAGGGATTAGGAAACAAGTGGACAGAGAAGCACTACCCTCAGTCCTTAAAGCCACTCTAGCATAAAAGCCACAAGAAAGGCAAACATAGAGAGGCAACAGTATAGCAGCTGAGCTTCCACAATCCCTGTGCGCTCAGCCATGGCACTGCTACCATTTAAGTCTCCAGGGGGATCTTTTATTGCTATTATTTAATAACTTGGTATGGGGCCCCTACTGCTACTACCCAGGCAAATTCTTAAGGGAACTTCAAGTGCCAGGGATGGCAGCAATGTCATGAAAGCTGTTAAGGTTTTATTTCTCTTGACACTAAAATTAATGTACTTTAATTTTACGAATGTGTTCTTGCCCTGTGTTTATGAGAAAGAAACAGCAAGAAAGTAAAATTTACTATCTTTTTATGTTTTATTAAGGTGTAATAAAGAGAGGGGAAAAAGCCTCATAGCATACATCTTTCTTTCCATCTTTTATACTCCCCACCCACAGTAAAATATAATATGAACACTGACAAGCATATAGAATGATGTTCTTTGAAATGCAGGCTGAGTTCTCAGATTTTATTTTATGTGATTCTAGTTATTTTCATATTTACTCATTTATGACACTCTGACAATGTTTATAAATAGAATCCTCTTCATTTTTACTCATTCTGTTTATGAATCCAACTTTGAATTTAGATCAGGGCTCTTTCTGCATTTAGTTAACCAAACAAAAAAGAGCCATATACTGTTCAGTAATGTCAGTCAAAAAAAAAATCAAGAACATATTTCCTTTCATATTTTGGCTACATATGAGAAATAAATCTCACTGTTCCTAAGCAAGATTAAATGATACTTAAAATTTCTGGGTCCAGATGGAAGTGTCACCTGCAAAGTGAGTTAATTTGTCACCATCACATCGTGTGTGTGACCAGCTCTGCAGAATGCTTTCTGGATAACACATAAAACCAAGGTATGTCTCCATGATTTGGGAGAACTATAAAGGCAGAAATGTTTTGCTATATCCTACTACCAACTTAAGGTTGGTTTAGGCAATTAGAAAATATGTTTTACAGTTCTGAAAAGGACAGCCCCAGGAAGAGAAGAAATCACCTAATCTGTGTACTACAGTATCTCAGAGAAGCAGCTGGGGGTTAGACCAAGAAGCAGAATTATGTCAAATACATACAAAAAGGCTTCGTCCAGGAAGAGAGGCGAGAGGCCCCAGCAGAGCCGGGTAAAGATCAGGAGGGTTAGAAAAAATCAGCTCTTCCTCTTCCTCCAAGGCAGCCAGACTCTTTAACAGGTCCGGAGGAAGCAGAGGGGAGCTCTTGGGGTCCTAGTGACAGAAAGCATCACAGTGAGAAGCAATAAGGGATAACAAAAGCATAAAGGAATAGTAGCATAATTAGGTGGAAGAAGACAACTAAAGTCAAGGGGATAGTGAGATAGATGGTATTAGGCAAAGAGAAAAAACGCTCTGAAATGCAAAGGCAAAGCGACACAAGGACAATAATGGAGAAAGTTCAAGACAATAGAAAAGCAAAAATACTGACAGAGCAGAACACAAAAGGTTAATGTGGCTAGTGAGTAAAACAATGCTATGGAGCAAAATGATTAGCATATCTTGTGCTAACAGAGAAACAGATCTTTTAAAAAGTTACTAACATTCACCTGTTTCTCATGAATAAAAAGGGCAAAGAAAGGGACCTCCACTGTCCAAGATAACTGGCTAACCTTGTTCCTCTCAGAGAGCAATTTATTTAAATATCAGTAAACCTATTTTTAAACTTAGATGATTCAGCCCAACTGAGAGGAGTGCTTTGTCTCAGAATTCTCTAACATGCTGTTTTAGAGATTTCTGTACATGGTTTCTTTGCCAGACCATCAGAGTTCAAAATCAGTTACGGAATTCTTCAGCTTCCAAACTAAAACATACTGTGCAACTCTGAGGAGGAAACCAAGAGCTACACCAATACTCAGTGGCATTCTATAGTACTAACGAATAAGAGTGGCCTTTTTATAAGATCTATTTGAGATATTCAAAAGACAGTCAACCTCAGACCTATCTCCAAATTGCCTGGTG
The DNA here is from genome assembly GCF_000001405.40 of Homo sapiens. NCBI lineage: Eukaryota > Metazoa > Chordata > Mammalia > Primates > Hominidae > Homo > Homo sapiens. The sequence continues at coordinate 183,546,355 of NC_000001.11, read as the reverse complement.
ATAGGAAAGAACACACACCTCAAACGGCATTCTGGGTACAGGATCCTGCTCTGGACGGAAGACTCCTGGTGACCGTTTGCCCCTGCGGTCTATGTTTGCTTGCTGTGCCATTACAGATCTGTTATCAGCCATGCTGTAGGAAGAATCCCAGTAGAATTCTGGGACCTTGACTTCTGAGGGATTATGGTTATATGGCTCCATGGGAAAAGGCTTCATTTTTTTTTCTAGAGGCTGCTGCTGCATTACAGGAGGTTGCAATGACGGCTCAAACAGTTTTATGGGGTCTTGGGTCTGAAGGTAGTAGGGCTGTTTCACAGGCATAATTTTCCCTAATGGGCCTTGAACCTGAGGGGGATTCCACAGCTGTTTGGAGGCATCTGCCTGTTGATACTAAAAAAGAGACGCCTGTCATAAAGGTGAGGATAAAATGCAATATTACTTATAATGAATGCTAAAGAATCACAGAATGAACTTGGGGTGTTTTCCAACCAACAAAACTCTAGGCAAGGCAGCAGTTTCCTTTACCTTTTGGGCTATTCAATACTCAGAGCTTTTTGGAAACAGATTATGGGCACCACACTCATATTTTCTTTTAATTCAACTATTTAAGAGGTTTAATGAATGAATGAATATATTTGCATAAGAGTGTTTGTTTCCCCTTTCTGCTTCAAGTGCTGTGCTTCCAACGACAACATTTAAGATTGGTGTCACATCTGTCTTAGCACCTCATCAAGACTGTGATTCTATTTCCCTAGTAGTTTATGTTCCTATAGGAGAATTATTTGCAGAAAATCCATTTTCAATAAAATGGACACTTAGTAGCAGCCAAGAATGGTACTTAAGATCTAGTATTTTATCCTTTACAAGAGTAAGGAAAACATTTGAACTTTCATAAACAGTAGAGACAATACTTTTGTTTTCCCATAATCACTATAAATCTAAGCAAGAAGTATGTCAAAGTTTAATGAGCATTTCTAACATTGAATCTTTCAGCATTTCCCCTTATTTCATTCAGCTGGATAGTACACACAACTGTAACTTACCTGCTGGAATCCAGAGTGGTGAGGCGGGCTTTTCCCCAAAGCCGGCACAGCTTTTGTAGGGGATTGTTGTTGCTGAGTTAGAGCTTGAACCTGCAGCTGGCTTGTAGACTGTGCTGTTGGCTGAGCTGGTAAAGATGTAAGGGGTTGCTGGGAAGGTGGCTGTGATTGTTGAGGTCCCTGGTTCATTGGCCCTGGTCCAGAGGGCCGTTGCTGGCTGTAAGGAATGTGGGACTGTTTCCCAGCTTGCACCTGGTTTCCTGCTGGAGAGTGAGCTGTAGGCTGAAGAAAGGTTCCTGGGACAGAAACACCAGCTGGGAAGGTGTAACCTGAGCCCATAGAAAATGCCACAGGCGGGGGGATAACATATGTTGGGGGCGGAAACCCTTCAAAACAGAAGAACACAGCTTTAGTTTTAAGGAAACAGCAAAAAATTGCAAAAAAAGTCATTTTTTTTTTAACAGGTAGGTAGAGGGAGTCTTCTAACACATCACAAAAGAGATTAGTCATGTTGTCAATCTTTAACTTGATTTGAAGAACTAAAAATAGACTTGATATTTTTCCTCTATCCACTGAAGTAATCAGTGTTCTGTGAGTAGCTTCTGTATTTAGTGATAGGATTTCCTTCATAATAACAAACATGCACTTGTATGTACACTACACACAAACAGTTCAAAAATAATTTTATAAGTATTAGGGAAAATAGAACTTTTTATGGCTTAGTAACATTACTCCAACAGAAAACACATTTCTCAGTGACTGAATAGAAATTCTTGCACAGAAAAGATTAAGTAGAAGAAATTACAAAACATATTTACCTGGCCTGCTGGGAAGAGGAGGGAAGGCTCCAGGGTGATGAATGGGGATGAACTGGGAGTTACTTGCTTGAGTTGGGGTTTGAGTTACAGGTGTTTTTCTGGCTTCAGACACTGGAGTCTTTCTTAGTTCTGTCTGGGATTTTACCTGTAACCAATAGAAGCAAAACTATCTATAATAAATTGAAACTCAAATGTGCTAGAAAGAAGACCCTACTCCTAAGAAAGTATTTAAAACCTCATTAGATCAAAAAGTACATGCTGAAGATATTTAAATTCACCTAAGTTAAAAATGGAAAATCAAAGCAAATTATTTAATAGCCAATAAAAGATAATTTTACTATCTTAGTTTTACTAATTATTTTGCTTTCCCATGATCACAAAAATCCAAAAATGTAAAGGACCTTAGAGCCCATTTGTTTTACAAATGAGATGCCTGATGCTAACAAGTTGAAAAAAACTTGTCTATGACTTTAAGTTGCTTGTTCTGGGGCCCAGGGTTCTCTATACTCTAATTCATTAAACGACATACATGAATTATGAACTAATAATGACTATTAACCCATAGGTGAGTTATTTTGGCCCTCAGTTTGATTTCATCTGGGTAGCCATATGTGCAGTCAGGCATCCACCTTCCACCCTGCAACTTTACCACCCTTCAGAATAAATAAGGATACTTTCAGCAGTAAGGAACAGGCCCTGAGATCCTATAGATGGAGCCAGAGAGTAGATGTCATATGCACTGCTCAAAGTTGAGCAAAATGAGGGAACATGAGTAGCATTTATAGAAAACCCAGGACGAGGTACAGAGTGTGGTGATATGTTTACTCTTTCTTTCTTTAATCATTTATAGGTGATTTGAGATGGATGAGAAACCAAAAAAGGAGATTGTATTTTCAGTCTGGACCTTATTGTGAGCAGTTACAGAGAATGGAGGAAAGGTAAACAGAAAATGCTGGACTCATTATCTCTAAAACTCGGATCCTTTGGCTTTCTAGTTCATTTTTTTTTTTCTTGCCTTTCCCTAGCATCTCTCTCTCTCCCCTATGTCTTAATTTCTACCTTGTCTTTCTGTTTCTCTCCTTGCTATAATGTTAAAATGGAACTATTATTTTCTTATTTCTCTTTCTCAAAAAAATTAGAGAAATACTTCAAAGGTACTATTTATTTGTAAGCAGCCTTCAACAATGTAAAGTTTCTCATGCAAACACATACATTTGCTAAAATGTGTTAACAACTCACATGGCTGCTTAAGTATTTATTCAAACATTAATAGTATTAATAAAACCATCACAGAATAAAGGCCCTTTTCTGTTTACATGAAACCATCTTTTCTATTTGGGAAAATATATTAATAAAAAGAAAGTCACAAATAACTGAGCAGTGCTTATCTTTTCCCAGCAAGAAACCTGGGTTCTTCCTTTATAAATTCCCAGGATCCAGGATAAGATTAAAGTGATATTAATACCAATAGCCGGGACAAGTATAATTGTCAATAAAAAAGTCTCATATTTTTCCAAGAAAAAAAATACACACACACACACACACACACACACACACACACACACACACATATATATATATTATAGTGAATCTAAAAAAAAAAACTGCATAAGCCTTAATATACTCTTGGTTCTACTGGATCTACAGAAGACCCCAAATCTCCACTATAGCATTGACAAATGGTAGTTATATCTTCTAAATAAAATATAATCCTGTGTGAAACTGACAACTCTGCAACTAATCCTTTCAAACTGCTTAAATTGGTGAAGACTGACGAAAGTGTCAAATCAGGCTGAGATTTTTTTTTCACTCACAATTCCCAAGAATTGAAAAAGTAACCATCTATCACAGCTCTTTATATAACCTTACTATGCAATTAAATAATGCATTTAAACTTCCAGGACGGCCAATTCTCATGGCTTTAGAACAAAATGAAAAATCTTGCCTTTTGTGTGAGCCTTCCTCTACCTGCTTTATAGTTCAAATACAGCTTACCTGCACTGCCACATTCTGCTTTCCTGTTTCCTGTAACTTTTCTAAGGTGCATTTCTTGGTTTCAGTTTTCCTCTTGTTGTTGTCCTTCTTTCCATCATTCTTAGTTACAGTTATTCCTTTGCTATAGTCCCTTCTCACCTCTTTGGGAGGAAAACTTCTTCCTTGGTCTCTGTTCACTTCTCGTGTCTTAATGTTTTCTTTGAAGGTAACCACTGGCTTCTCTCCTGTGTCACAGTTGTTGCTTAAATTTCGGCTTGTAGATAGCACTGATTTTAGCCCTGGGCTCCCATCTGCAGCCAGCGACTCTATCACAGATGTTTCTTGCAGAATGAGGTTCTCTTTGGCTTCACTGGGGTCTTCCAGTATTAATTCTGGGATTTCTGTGATAAACAACAATTTCCCTACCTCATTTTCACACTGAATCAGCCTAAAAAAGCAAAAATAAATCCATATATAAAAAACATTAACTTAAAAAATAACAACTGAATTGTGTGTGGATCCAAGTCAATATATTCCTAGCACTAATAACCATGAAAACAGCAGGATATAACAATGTGGATTCAGGTAACACAAAAAGTAGTTATGTAGAAACTGAGGTTCTCATTATCACACTTAACATCGTCACAACCTATCCCTCTGGCTCTTTCAACGTTTGCTAGAATTTACATTTTCTGAGCATGCTTCAAGTGCAAGACACTGGTCTAGGGCCCTTGATATGTCCTATAAGGTAGCTATATATAATTCCTATTCTATAGATGTGAAAATTGAAGCTTGGAGGTGGTAAGTTCATTCAAACATGGAAGCATTTAACTACCTACTGTATGACAGAAACCTGAATACAAAAATGAGGAAGTAGTTAGTGACTTTGGAAAGGTTATAATCTACTGGGGAGATCCCAAGGACACCCACTTGAGAAGCTGCGGAACTCGAAACGGAACTCAAACCAATGGAATTACAAAACCTGCGTTCTTTTCCCTACACTAACGACCACATCTGCTTTGTACTTAACTGGCTACTAGCACGATCTTGGTCTGTCCTGCCTGAAACTGACTACCATGCCCAGGCCAATACAAATTACCATGACTGTGAAAGTACAGTTCAGTTAGATTTACAGAGATATTTATAAATTAGAGCAGAAACTCACGATAAACAAGAAAGACCTCTGTAATACACAATAGGGAGAACAGAGATTCTAAATAAAGAGTATACTTACTCACTAGGGTTATAATTAGATGTTGTGCTACCAACATGTCGATTTAAGAGTTCATGATTGACAATATTTATACCAAAGCCTAAAATACGTAACATATGAGATGTGTGTGTGTGCGCGCGCGTGTGCGCGCATGTGTTTATCTAAAAAGGTGGTTAAAAAGGGGTAGACCAGAAGTTCCAGACTTACCTTGGCTGATTATCAGCAATCCATTTGCCTATAGAGATCAAGCGTTGCTGTCGTATTCGTCGTTGCTGGCCTTCTTTGTCCCCTGTAATACCCTGGTGACCTTTGGAAAAATCCAAGTTCCTAAAATTGACACAAGCAAGTTATGAGAATATTAAATTGCTAAAGATATTTTCCAGGCAACCAAGTTCACCTGATTAACTGTAATGGCTTCAGATTACTTCCCACATAGGTTAGCTACTTGATGTAATCAACTGCATTTATTAGAATTTATACTACCAGAGATTTTTACAAACTATGAAACAAAGCAGAAAAGAAAATATACAAATTCATTACATTAATGTAATATTTTTACTCACATTTCACTTTCTAGTCAGGGAGCTCAAATAAACCACAACTTTTTATTAGGAAAGATTCTTTTATCATTTTAAGAATAAAGTTTTATAAACATTTATCTTGCATGCCAAGTAATTTGCTTGAAATGACCATGGCAATGCTAAGAGTCTCTGAGGTGCCTATTTTAATAAATAATATTAATCTATCCACTTTGTGGTGGACCATTCTAAATCAGAAAAATGTATAAATATCGTAAAGCATATAGAATAACTCATTGATATCAGAAGGGTAAACCAACCTGAAAAAATAAAGATTTTTCAGATTTCTCCTTATTAAACTTTTTTTTTTTTTAAGAAGATTTAAGAATTGCCAGGCAGAAGGCTAGATGCTGAGGACACAAAGATAAATAAGAGTCCCTACCTTTGGGAATAAATAATTATGATTCAATCTGATAAGCATAATAAGAACTATGTAAAGAATTAAGTGAATATAGTAAAAGGAGGATGAGTTCCTTCTGAGAAGCTCTGAAAGGTTTCATAGAGTGATACCTGAGCTGGACCTTGACAGGTATGGCTAAGTGCTTACCAGGCTGGTGATGGAAGGGCAGTAGAGGAGAAGGAAATGTTCTAGGCACAACATGAACAAAGGTGTGGAGGAATAAAAATAGTGAGCTATTCAAGTATAGCACATAGTGTATAGAGTTTATAAATACTGGGGGAAATGGAAGAAAATAAGGCTGAACAACTAGGAGCTGGATAGTGCTGGAACTTGAGCATCAAGCTAAAAGAGACAGTGGAGCAACTGGGAATGGGTAAATAAAAATATTAGTCATGCAACATCACTATTTCCATACTTAAAAACTATAGGCAGTGTAGAAACAGACTATAGGAGGAGAAGAACTATACGTAGGAAGGTTTTTATACTTCAGGTAAACTGGTGAGAAAAGCCTGAACTATGTATAGGGAAATAAACGGAAGGACTTGAACCTAAGAAGCATTTCAGACACATAATTATAAAGGCTTGGTGAGAAAGACAAATAGAAACAAGGGTTTTTCAGATTTCTAGCTTGGTCATATAGATGGGTAATGCCACAGGCACAGACAGAAAATAGAGAAAGAAGATTGCTTTTTGGCTGACCAAATCGGAAAATATAAGCTCAGTTTTTGGTCACGTTAAAGTTTAAAATGCGTAAGGGAGGTCAGATTGTTAGAATATGCATCCAAACTTCAAGAGAAGTCAAAGCTGAAAATTTGGGACATACCATTCAAGAGACATAGGGATGGATTTGATTAACAGGGTGAATGTACAAAGTGAGAAGGAAAGGGCAAGAAAAGAATCCTGGAAAACAACAACATTCAGAGGCATGTAGTTTAAAAGAAATAGTGAAAAAGACTGAGTGCTAAGGGTGGGAAAAATTGCATCACAGAGCTAAGGAAAAAGGTTTCATGAAGGAAGGAAATCGACGGACTCAATGCTGAAGAAAATTCAATAGGATAAAGACTATAGTCACTGGATTTTGGTATCTAGAAGGCACTGATAGTTTAAACCACAGTAGGCTGAAAATGATCAGGAGTTGAAGTGGAGTCAGTCAGGTTGGCCCACGCTACTCTTTTTTTTTTGAGACGGAGTCTCACTCTGTCACCCAGGCTGGAGTGCAGTGGCGTGATCTCTCAGCTCACTGCAGCCTCTGCCTCCTGGGTTCAAGCGATTCTCCTGCCTCAGCTTCCTGGGTAGCTGGGACTATAGGCACCCGCCACCATGCCCGGCTAATTTTTTTTTTTGTATTTTTAGTAGAGACGGGGTTTCACCGGGTTAGCCAGGATGGTCTCGATCTCCTGACCTCATGATTCACCTGCCTCCGCCTCCCAAAGTGCATACTACTCTTTTTAAGAAGTTTGATGATGAAAAGATAAGGCAACGTAGGAAAATAGAGGGATGTAAATTCATTTTACCTTTTTAAAAGAATGGGGCACACTTAAATGTTACTAGGCTAAAGATAATTAGTTGTTTAAAAAAGAAAGGAAAGAAAGACAAGACACTGGAAATACAATGCAGAGAGGATAACAGATGGAGCAAGGTTCTTAGGGAGGTGAGAAGGGATGGGATCAAGGGCACAGATGGAAAGGTTACATTTTAATTTTTATTACACAGGAATTGAAGGCGTGACATACACAAATCCAATTCACAACAACTTTCAGTATTAGTTGACGTTACAAAAATAACACACAGCTGGGACAGATCAAAGGTTCCTCTACATCCAAGCCCAATTCTCTGCTAATTTTAATACTGCAATCACTGGCAATGATAAAGGTACTTCAGCTATCACCTACCTGAAAGAAGGTCTCAATGCCAAAAATCCTTGTAATTCAAACTCCTCTGGAAGTGGTGTCGCTAAAGGGTCAAAATCAAAATTTGCAAACATTTTAATTAAAATGTTGTTTGGTGGAATACTGTTCACTAAATTTTTTTAAAAATTAACATACAGAAAGAAATTATAATGCTTATTGTTCTCTGCTCTTCTTTATCATGATCCTGATGAAAATAACTCACCTGTCAAAACTCTGCATGTTATCTTTGGGACACAGACATTCCCCTAACACTCACCTAATACTCAATGCTGAGGAGAATGGCTTTTTAAAAAATCAGCAGTCTTAAAAATTCATAGTCTTGGATCCAGTAAGCCCAATGTTTAGATTACCTGTCTCTTTTTACTGAAAGTATTGAATAACATTGACATCATCTGAGAGCTTGTAAGAAATGCAGAATCTTGGGCACTAATTCAAACCTACTGAATCATAAACTGTATTTTAAAAAGATTCAGGTGATTTATGTGCAAATTAATGCCTGAGGAGCATGGATTTAAGAGGAAAAAAAAAGTCAGAAAGAAGCCAAGCCAGAGGTTGTTCAGTGCAGCATTATTTATTTATAATGGGGAAAATTTTAAAGCAACAGAAAGTGCGTAAATAGATTATAGCACTTCCATAGGATGGAATATTATGAAGCCAGTAAAAGTCATGTTTTCAAAATGCTTAATGACAAAAGAAAATGCTAACAATATAATACTAAATTTCAAAATCAGGCACAAAACTTTATTTGATATGAATCATTTCCTGTGTGTGTGTACACACGTAAGAAAAAGGCCCGAAGAAGATATACTATCGTGACTAGTAAAAGGTATCTCTGTATGGGAGATTTGTGTTCTTTTTCTTTGTACCAAATTTTCTACGATGAGTAAGTATTACTTTGACAGAGCAATGTTCATGTTAATTGCTTTTTTTAAAATAGTAAGAATGAGGAGGAAGGAATGAAAGAATCTGAAGGTATTACACTCTCTGAACTCCTATTTGAATGATGCTAAATGAGAATAAGCTGCCAGAAGAACTGGGAGAACATTATCTACTTCCACCCACCCACTTATGTAGAGTTCACAGTCACTTCTGAGATACTGAATTTAAAATCAATCATTCATCACCAAAAACCTCTTTTTCTCTGGCATTAAGCCACCATTAATGATGGAGAACCACATCAACAACACAAGGTTAGGGTAGCCCTTACCACTAATACTTGAGAGGTCCTCTTCATGGGGATGGAAACTATTCAGAAGAGAAATCAACCAGGGCCAAATGCTGTAAATTAAAGAAAGAGTTCAGACTTTATTTTTATGTAAGAGAAACCAGAACACTAATAAGCCATGAAAATGGTATCTATAGGTCCTGGACTTTATGTATTTTTCCCTTATTTCAGCATTTCAAAGGCTGTATAATTTTTAAAAATGTACTTTCAAAGATACACTAGATAATGATAAAGATACAACAAAAGGGACAAATTTCCATGACAGAGACCTACTACCACTGTAGATCATTTCCCATGCTCCTAATTCAACAAATGGTGAAAATAATTTGTCAGTTTTAAACATGGAAAACTGAAATAGGCTGAGAAAATTCTGAGCAAAGAAATAACATACTATGTTTTTATAGAGCTTTCACATACATTATGAGTTGTGGAAGCCGCTGTTAGTTCTTTAATCTGTGACAGGGTATGGTTATACCACACAAATCACATTCCCTGTTCAAAGTGATAATGCCTCTTTTTTTATGGTACAAAAAGTCCACATTTTTACAAAAGCCTTAACTCTAAACTCTGTTTCTTAATACACAATTTTTGTGAAAGCTTACACATGAAATATTAGAACATATTCTTTCCACTATTCAGAAGTACGTACTATATATGTATTTGTTAACTGTGTCCTTGGTTCCTGAGTGAGGTATGTTAAAGTTTCCATTATGGATACAGATTTATAAATATCACTTTACATATAAACATTTGTATCAAAATCTCTGTTATCTTTCAAACATAAGAGCAATTTATAAATCTGATGTATTATATATGACAGGGCAAGATTTTTGAAGTGAGACAAATCCAAGTAGTTTGAGTGTTCATTTGCTGGGGTGAGGAATAGATGTGATGGGTGGAAGTAGCCATGTTGCTTAAAATTATTTGGTTAAAGTAATTAGCTTAAAATAATTGGTTTTGGCCTGGAAACAATTACTTTGATTTTCCTACAGTAGACTCATCTGTCTAATCACATTCTCCTTAATATGAAGCTTACCTCTGAATATGTATCAACCAATTTTTATTAAAAAAGAAAGAAAGAAAAAGAAAAGCATGAGGTGAAGTGCCCAGGATAGAGAAACTGGACGTAAATAATCACACTACGGAAAATTGTAAGTTAACTATTTGGGACAGTTGTACACTCTGAAATATGGGAATATGCTACTTTAAAAATATCAACAAATATATACACATATTAAAAATATATAAACAAATATTGAAGAATAAACGTCTGCTACAAACCTTTGGAGATGTAACAGATTACAAGAGATAGTTGGAAAAAAAGGTCAGTAAACTAAAAGAGAATACTATACTGTACAATGTCTTCATGCAACACACATAAGCTCTCGAGAAAACACTGTAGAAAAAGCGCATGAGTGGATTACCTAATGATATACTGCTTTACCCTATAACTATTTTCTACAAAGGAAAATCACTATTCCATGTATTCATTAGCTTAAGAGAGTATGTTCTCAAAAAAGTACAAGGGAAAGTAAATTCTAGAAATTGAGAAGGCCCAGATATAAGAAACTGAAGATTATTTGAATATACATAAAATTCTGAGTTCACAAAAGAAACAGTCATTGTTTTTCCATTACTTAAAAGATATAAATGAACATTATAACTTTAGTGTATTAGACACACAAGGAAAAATCTTCAGTTTTAAAGTGATATCCCATGCTAGTCTTTAAAATGAGTACTAACATAATTTAACACAGAATCAAACACCTACAAGGGCATAATTCTAAAGATTTTGGTAAATCTGATAGGAGGAAGTGGAAAGAGTAAATGACAGAAAAAAATGGAGGGAAAAAATGTTTGCCAATAAAGCTGTTCCTTCTGGTTCAACATCTTTTGCCATGAGAAGAAATGGGAACACACAGAATGGGCCAAAAGGATCACTGTACAAGAACAACAATAAGAAAAAACAAAACACAATGAAAATAACAATTCCTACCCATAAATATAAAAACTCTATAAGCAAATGGTAAAACATGCAGTTCTTCTTTTGTAACATTACTGATATAATATATTGAATTAAACATAAATTTGAGTTCTAGAGTACACAAGAGTAGAAAAACTGTATAGCCTGAGTTAAGAAATAAAAATTTTATGCAAGGAAGCAATGTCTGAAAATCCGTATTACTAAAACCAATGCTAACATTAAAAGGAGATGTATATAGTATGCTGTGCTATGTTCCTAAACTCTATTCATGATAATGTCAATATATCATGGAAAGAGCTTATAACTACATGAGAGAAAAGACAATTATGAAGCAGACAGACCATAAGGTCTTTCTTTTTTTTTTTTTGAGACAGGCTGGAGTACAATGGCGCGATCTCAGCTCACCGCAACCTCTGCTTCCTGGGTTCAAGCGATTTTCCTGTCTCAGCCTCCCGAAGTGGTGGGATTACAGGCATATGCCACAATGCCTGGCTAATATCTTTTGTATTTTTAGTAAAAGAGATGGGGTTTCACCATGTTGGCCAGGCTGGTCTCAAACTCCTGACCTCAAGTGATCCGCCTGCCTCAGCCTCCCCAAGTGCTGGGATTACAGGCATGAGCCACAGTGCTTGGCCCACAGGGTCTTAAATGTGGCTTAAAAAAGGCATTTTCTAAGTTGTGACCTTGGTCAATATACATGCTGGGCCACAAAGCAAAACTTTCAAAGAGATTCTCCTTAAATATACCATCAAAATATGCAGGGGAGGAACTTCCTATTTGGTGCCAAGCCACCTTGGAAGTATTTATTTCTATAATCAAAGGTACACTGAAAGTTTTCATTTGTCATTGTAAAATCAATGGTTCCTAAGAGCTGTCAGAATTACTGTGAGTAGAGATGACAGAGAAAATGGTGAGAATCAAAATAACTTTCAATCTTTATGCTTCAAATAAACAAATATTATTCAAATTGAGTGTTACTGTAAGGCAACATCAAACAGTTCATGTACAGAAAAAAATGGAATAAAAATCTCTTCCCTTCAACTCAAACAAAAAATTAAGGAATACTGTAATAGATAAGAAACAAACTGGTTTTACTTCAAGTTCACTTTGAAATGTGAAAAATGCCTTTTCCCCAGGACAGCAACTGGGAACAAGGGAGTGTACAAGGAGTCACAAATCCTTAAGACTAAGCCTCACATGAAGAATTCAAATAAACAAATGAAAAGCGTACAAAGAGGTCTTCAGTTCAATTCCCGAGAGTCGGCAGAAAATACAGTATTCTATTGTTCAAATGTTGTATTTTAGAAGGCAGTTTTTACATATTTATGGATATCAAACAAACAAAGCACACAAGTTAACATGAAATTCTAAAAATACTTACTACTGTCTTTCATCCACCACTGCCTCCTGAAAGACCCTGGGTCTGAGTCTTAGCCAGTCCATGGAGACCTTGACTGCTGGAAGAGGATAGGCATTGTAGGACTCCTCCTGAGACTCATTCTGTAGAGGACACTTGCACAGGATGCCAAGAAAAGACACTTGAAAAAAAAATGTATTCAAAAAGCATAAGAAATATGAAACTGTGCCAGTTCAAATTAAAATATTATGTGCCTTCTACTATATTCTGTTTAACACTTGAGTATCTTACAGCTTCTTTCTAAAAAGACGCTTTCTTTCCCATATTAAAAATGTTATAGTTACAACTTGATGAGGGGGTATCAGCAGATAAAAGGATAGAACTTGGGGTTGAAAGTTATTATGAACTCCTGATTCAGTGTAAGAAATACACTATGCTTTTTTATGTCACTGTGCTTTGCTACATCGATGAAATGCCTAAGATGATGTTTTTCAAAAAAGATGGCACATGTTAAGTAATTCAATACTCACTAAAGAGGGCCAGCAACTGTGTCCAACATAGCTGCTCATCTTGGCTATAAGTGTGCTGCTCGGTTTCATTGCTAAAGTCACGAAGGTGATGAAGTTGAAACAGGTTAATGACAGTGACATGAACTAACTGCTGAGAGTTGAAAGCTTTTTGGAATAGCAGCCTCTGTAAAAGAAGACAGACGTACTGCATATATTATCAAGAACAGGAACCATCTTTGACACAAGAAATTAAACTGGTAGTCTGCATTTAGAACCACCATGTGTAATAGAATTACAGATGAGTAAATGGTTCTGCCCTCAATCCCAGTATTTTGACTGGGTCTAATTATTTCCCAAACTGACTTTTTGTCTTGAAAGGAATTAATCTAGACACCACAGAGTTGTTTGAATTGTTTATCAACAAACTTTTTTCTCCTAGGAAACTATATATTTTTAAATATGACCTGACAAAAGTCTTTGAGTGTTCATCCATAAATTTATACAACTTAATCCTTTAGAAATTGTTTTATACAAGATGTATACATATTAAAATATTAAGTTGGGACAAATGACTAGAAAGCAACAGACTCAAAAAATAATTTTTTGAACTCCCAGTACATAAAGCATGACTTCCCAGATTTGTCATAAAATTTACTCTTTCAGAGGCTTGATACATTAAAACTTATTTTATAAACAAGGCATAGCAAGTACATATTCTGGAACACAGGGTAAATGGCATACTAAAACAACATTAGGATGTATTATAGGTACTTCTACAAATTATCAACTGGTATTTTCCCCTCTTAGAGAAGTACATGCGTGATCATCAAATTTCATTTACCTTCTAATAACTGTGTTCACAGTGATCTGTTAACCAGCACTATAAAAAATCACCCAGATGCTCTCAGTTGGTGTCTCAATGGAATTACCCTTCTACTTTAATATCTGCAATTATTTTAGATTACCTGCAGGCAAAAATACTTTTCTAACAGAAGTTCCTAGTTTCATCCTACACTTTAGCCATAGCCAGTCTTCCTCTATGCCCAGGGGAAATTTTTGCAGAGAGCAGGGATTCATTATCACTAGCATTATGGCGGAAAACAGATAATCCTTACTTACAGTTCTACCAGCAGTGACAGGAGATCCTACCATGTCAGAAACTTACAGCTGTCTCTGCCCAGACTACTCTGAGATTTTTGTTTTTATTTACATAAAGAACCTGAAATAGCCATAGTAAGCTCTACGATTCTAAGAGGGAAGTCTTTTACATTATCATTAGAGAATATAATTCCATTCTACATGAACTCTTTCTATCACACTGTCAGTCTTCTTGCAATCTATTTCATTGTATATGTCTAGAATGATTAGCCCTTTTCCAAAGACATCAAGCATTAATCTTTCCTCAAAATTTCCTGAAATCCTGTCTCTTCTCTAGAATTTTCCCACAAAATTTCTCCTTCAGTTTCTACAACTAACCTTCTAAATCAGCTGGCGTTTATTCAAATAATACTGGCATAAAATGAGAATATGTAGTTGTATTTCTCAAAAAGCAGTTTCTTACAAGCACAATATGGTAATGTATTTCCTGTATCTATAAATCCGCTGGCATTAATTTTAGAAGGCAATATCCTACTGAAGAGGGTCACAGCCCATTAAAGAATTTTCTAGCGTATGCACAGAAGTATTAATGAATATGAATACACCCTAGTACTAACAAATGATAATATAAGTTCATGAAGGTCCAGACTTTGTCATGTTTTCCCCTATATCTCTAAAAGCCTAGAAAAGTGCATGGTACATAGCGGGTACTTAATAAACACTTAGTGAATGAACAACCTATCCATTCAGAAATAAGGTTGAAGTTATTCAGTTGTAATTTCCTAAAATTTAGATTATATTGTAGAGAGTCTTCCAAGGAATAAAGTCAGATTAGAACTGATAAGATTTTTGCTACTCAAACTTTCAACTACAGTTGAGAAATATACTGAAATAAATACCATTAACAAACAGCCCACATTTAACTTACAGAAAATGTATTACATCTCAATTCCCAGATCCCAGGCCTTAAATCCCTTAGTGGACCTCAACTTGGTAAACATTTCTGCTTAGTAGCTAAAGGTTGTTAGAAACACTGAAGTATACATGTTGATGATACTAATTATCTACATATGCTTTAGAAATACTTTGGAAATTTTACTCCACTATGTTAAAATTTCACTCCAGCAATGTTCTAGTTCAACACTGGGTAAGCTTTCAAATAGATCTGCCTCATACTATGTTTTATGTTTAACTTTAGAGTGCTGGAATGATACTTCAAAGTATATTTTAGAAACTGCCCACCCACACTTACCAGAACTTCACATACAGAAATATATATGTGAAGAGAGTGTTAGTGTTTGAGGTTGAACCAAATGCAAAACTTACTAGGTTTTTAGACTAGAATAACTTAGTTAGTGAAGATCTCATTAAGGTAGGGACCACCCACCACCACCAATTTAGAGAGTATTTCACAGAACCAGAGCTGGAAGCAATCTCAAGAAGTTTTCTAGTCCAATCCCCTATTTAGTAGGACTGCACTTAAATAATCCAAGAAAGATGGCTGTCAATCTGACTGTTAAGCTCTCCAAAATGGAGAATCCACAACATCCCACGGTCAGCCCCCTATAGATTTCAACTTAAAATTTAAGATTTTAGTTTTGACTTCAGGAAAGATACAGGTATGTTCTTTTCAAATAATCCTTCACATGTCTGAATACTTACTATGAAAACTATTTAGACTTGTTTGTTCTTTTCCAGGCTGAACAGCCTAGGACATGACAAAGTTAGCTGTTCCTTTCACACACCCAACCTTATACATCATATGTCACAGGCTAAGTATATTTTAAAACAAAACAAACTATTGCTATTTATAATTATCTATTCTAATATCTTGCACATAGAAAGTATCAACCAAAAAGCGATTACCTGTAAAAACTATTTCGCATTGACTATTTTTGGCTAAGTGACACCTTAACTGTCCAAGTTCTACAATCTCTTAAAATGCCTGACTTATAAAGAACTTACAGAAATACTATGAAGCAGTTATACACAATTACCCAAGTATATAGATACCTAGAAATAACCAAGAAATATAAAATGTTCTTTGAAATTGTCATTTACTGTTTAACACAGTGCCTAAAACAATGACCGATGAGTAGTCAAATATTTATTTGAATACATGAACTGAAAAAAAGTTAATACTTTTGACTTTCTCCTTATTTTATGCATTATACATTTAAACTGCTAATATCTTAACATACTAATAAAAGATCATTTTCACATATATAAATAGAATGAAGGTTAATGTTATCTCTTCAAATTAGTAAAATATATCCCTGTTAAATGAAACTCTCATTCCTTTCATTCAAACTACCACAATCCTGATGAATGCAAGCACAATAAAAATAATGAACTTGGTTTGGAGAATGCCAATATCTATAAAGCAGGTAACATAATCATATCTAAGAATACACAAACCATCAAAAGTAGTAGTAGTTTCAAAACTGAGGAGTTATTTATTTTTTTCCACTTTGATAATTTTTGTCAAATGGCAACTACTCAAGTGAAAACACTGCTATATTATATTTGTTTATACAGACTGTACCTCAGTTTAAATTGAAGGGATGATAAATGCAAAGATTTCACATACTTCGAATATAATTTTTACCAATAGTTCACACAGTTAAGTAACTACAAAAACTGGGAGTCAGTTTCCTCCAAATGTTATGCTTCCTGATTTAGACAAGACAAAAATTCTCTATTTCTGAAATCTAACCTTAAACTGTTCTTCCAATTTCTCTCGAAGAGGGCTCAACTTTTCCAAGCTCTTACTCAGGTACACATGACCGTGGAATTTAATAAAGGCCTTGATGAAGTCAGAAACACCCCACTTGGTTTTCACCTCATCTCGGCTGAAATGAAAGAAAAAAATTCCATGAATCATAAGCAGCAAATTGGCTACAACTGTTTAAGGAGGCACTGGCTTGCTAAATACTTGATACACAAAAGAGCTGTATTTGACTGATTTTTCAACTGCAACACACTCAAGATGAGTCAGTATTAACAGCCTGTGTACTCTTTTACTGGGACTGAATCAGATATTGATTGGATGAAATTCAGTGACTATACACAAATTATGAAAAATCTATATGTTTAGAAATAAGAGAAGCATAGGCCGTTATTTTCTGTAAACCAAATTATGAGGAATTAAGGCTCCAGGTTACAAAGTCCTCTTGGAAAGAGAAAAAAAAAACCAAACAACCCTACCTTTCCAGTGCTTTAGAAAGTGCTTTTTGCAGATTAGTGGAGGCAGCTGGGAAAGGGAACTTCACAGCAATGCTTCTGCAGTAGTAGAAAATTGTGGTCAGATGGTCTCCTTTGGAAGAAGCTAAGATAGCCAACTGATTATAAGGCTGACCTACAGGAGAAAGTTAAGATTCTGGAGTAACCCCAAGAGTGACAAAGTCTTGCTATAAGAATACAAATGATCAGTGTTTAAATACTCAAACAATGGGGAGTATTTTTATAAGGTAAATATGACTGCCTCATTGCAAACCAGCGTAAGGTCCAACAGCACACTTCAGCGACAGTACACACTATCATATACAGGTTAAACAGTCAATATTAGGGTAGAGAGCGGCTTCAGCAAGGGCTAGATTATAAATAATTTCAGTTTTGTAGGCCAAAGGGTCTCTATCACAACCACTCAACTCTGCCACTGTAGTGTGAAAGCAGCCATAAACAAATATGAAACAAGTAGTGTGGTCAGACTATCATCCCTGCTTTAGACTCTTTCTAGAATCTAAAGGAATTTCAACGTCTTAGTAAGAATGATTTAAATAATTAAATATCTGCTGTAATTTCTGTAACTCAAGAACTACTGCTAATGCCTAGTTTGGGGCCATTAAAAGATTATCTTTTAGGTAATAGATTGTTTTTCTGGGGGGAGGGGAATGGTGGTATCTAAAGAAATAATTATTCTATAAGCAATTAAGGAAGCCAGAGTTGTAGAAACAATATCAGATTACATTAAGAGATTCTATCTATATTGCTTTACTGACAATAATAAATAATAAAATAAAATAAATAATAAAAGTCATCTTACTTGTAAAAAAAATTCATTTTAGTTTACATGGAATGTACAGTTAAATGGAAAAACATGACAATAACAAAACTCATTTATTGCTTTCATAAAACTTCAAAGGTGAGCCCTGAGTTATCTGCCACATTGTTATAAAGAACAAAGTGTCACGGTCAATCTCAGGTTGACAGGTCCACTCACCATTGGAGGGGACAAGCTGAGCTGCATGCCTATAGTAGGACTCTGCCTGGCTGGTCTGGTTTCTGTATCGAGCTAAGAAGAAGAAAATTAGTTTTAAAAAACCCAAAAAACAAACAGTAGGGTAGTATTTCCAAAACAGCTATAGTTTTAAGTTCTAAAGATAATAAAGACATTAAAGTTAATTTAAAATTAAAGACAAAATACTTTAAAACAAATTAACTATAGGATTATGTGTGAAGTGTCCATCAGCCTTCCTTATTTGGGACATTCAGCATGTAACCAATTTTAAAGCTTACCTAGACCCCATTTTCAGGTCCTCCAGTGTCATGCATCACCAGCTCCCACTATGGACTATGCTGGTGACCTGGAGCCGGCCCACAAGAAGGGGTGAGTTATATGGCACTTAAAAACAAAACAAAACAAAATACACTATACAATATGATCTGAAAATTATGTATTTTTCAATATTTTATAAAGTGATTTTGAAAAATGTCTCATTCCTATTGCAATATTAAATATGTGTGTGCAAAGATTATATTTAAAGCAAAACAACCTAAACACAGTATCAATGAATCTCCCTGCCAAACTCACTGCTTACTCTGATGTGACCTCCTCATGGAACCGCTGACTTACAATATTAAGAAATCTAAAATTTCAAACTTAAAAGCAGTAATGTTCTCCATTCTTTGTTATTTGAGGACAAGCAAAACATAATCCTATAGTTAATTTGTTTTACAACCTTTCTAGGTCACCTTAAAGGAATGAACAAGAATAAATAAGTTATATAATATTCCCAGATAAAATGCAAATAATAGAAATACAAATTAAACTTTAAAAAGGAAGCAAAATTAAAAATCAACTTTTAGTCCATTGGTAAGAAAGAAAGAAGGCAATTTCGCTTCAGGAGTAATTTATAAACCTCATTTATTCCAGAAGAGTACATTTAATTTAGAAATTATGGCACCACTTTGAAAAATTAAGCTTTGATTATGTTTTTGCTGTTTATTATTTGCCTATATAAATTACATAAAGTTGGAATAAAATTTAAATCTTAATATGAAAGTTACTTTCTTCACGATGCTCTGCCAATCCCAAAAATATTGAGAAATTTTAAGTTCCTTAGAATACATTTTATAGTTTCTTCTTATGACAATCTAAATTGTGTGTGTATGCTCCGCTTAAAGGAAAACAGTTTCTTTCTATGACTATTCCAAAGAAAAGGAGGAACATATTATCAATTCCTTCACAGCAAAGGCTCACCAATGTCTCCAAGGTGGACGAGGCAGTGCTGGCAGATATAGGAACAGGAGCTAGACTGTGGCTTCACTATGGCGCTGGTATGCGTCTGTTTATTGCTGATAATTCCCAATTGGGAAGACTTCACACGGCATGGTAAATCTACATTAAATACTGTACACAGTTCTTGTAATAACTAAAAGAAAAACAAACAAAATTTAGTAGTAAGTCACAAGTGCTCTAAAAGTAAAGTTTATAAACTGTAAGATGTGTACCTAGTACCACATACTGCTGAAATCTGAACAAAAACTGCATGAAAATTATATGGTAATCTTTCGGGCCTGGCACAGGGGCTCACGCCTATAATCCCAGCACTTTAGGAGGCCAAGGCGGGCGGATCACTTGAGCTCAGGAGTTTGAGACCAGCCTGGCCAACATGATGAAACCCCGTCTCTACTAAAAATACAAAAAAAAAATCAGCCGGGAGTGGTGGTGAGCACCTGTAGTCTCAGCTACAAGGGAGGCTGAGGCACAAGAATCGCTTGAACCCAGGAGGCGGAGGTTGCAGTGAGCCGAGATCACGCCACTGCACTCCAGCCTGGGTGAGAGAGCAAGACTGTCTCCAAAAAAAAAAATATATATATATATATATATTATACGTTAATCTTTCACAGGATAACTAGTATCATTCATTATAAATCATACCTTTTGAATTCTCAAGTATTACAGCAATCTAGGATGTGCATACAGCAGCATTTTAAAAAAAGATTATTTAACTGGATAGGATTTTCAGACACGATTTTCAGACACATTAAGCAAGCAAAGAAAGCTACTACTCTCAGAAACCCAAAAATTATTAAATATTGGTTACAAATTTGACTTAAATGTAAGCCAAGGTATTTGTCAGACTTTAGGTATTTCTTGCAATTTATTTTCTTAAGCTGTATGCCAATTCACATGTCTTTGCATATACAACGAATCTCACCGTAGTGTACACCTTTACTGTATCACCCATTCCTACCTCCTCTCTTCTCTGTTCTTAAAGTATGAGGGGCTCTTCTTCCTAGTCAGAGCTAACTCTTCTGCCTATGTGTGCCTATTGCTACATTCTTTTCTGGTTCCTGTCTGTCTCCCACCTCTCCATTCTTTCATCTACTGTCAACTTTTCATGCTTCTTTCCTATGGCCTACACACCACGTCTCCCACAGAAAAAAACAAGAACAAAAAACAAAACAGAGCTAAAACACTCTCCTCTTGACTTTATAGCAACCTTTTAATGTCTCTCCTTCTTCTCAACCAAATGCCTTCAAAGGAGTCCACACTTTTCATATCTGCTTTCTCAATTTCTATTTACTCCTTAATCCATTATCATCTGGCTTCCACACAACCCCTCTCCCTCCTCTCACCCAACCATCCATTACCACTCTACTGAAACTACTATCAGACAATTGGTTACCTAATAGCCAAATACAACGGATATTTTTCAGACATCATCTTATTGGACCTCTTTGCTGCACTTAAAACATCTGATCTTATGGTTGATTACTGAGCTGTTCTAGTTCTCTGTCATCTCTCCAATCACTCCTTTTCAGTCTCCTTCATAGAAAGGCTTTTCTCCTCTCACTTTGCTTGCCAAGGGCTTATTTCTTGCCCCGCACACAGTTCTTCACACTGTGAAGAATATTTACTTCACAGTTATTCAAATATTTACTTACAAATATCGTCATTCAAATATTATTATATTCATCCAAGTATGTGCTAGTATATCAGACACCCAGTAAACAAGAAAGATACAAAGACAAGTAAGAAAATATGTTTCCTTCATGAGCTTGTAGCTAAATGGGCAAGTCAGGTACAAAAAGAGAAGTAGAGGGGAGAGAGGGAGGGAGAGGGAAAAGGGAAAGGAGAGAAGGACAGACAACATGACACACAATATAACCAACAGAATATTCTACATTTATAACGTAACTTATTTCCCTAGGTTATCTGATAAATTTGTCTCACTTTATCCTTGTGATAAACTAGTAGCAACACAGTATACATAGATATAAAGCTCAATTTTTTTCAGATGAGGATGTGAAGGCAGAAATAATCAAGCGACTGGACTAAGGTTATAGAATTAGAAATATTTTGATTCTATCACCACTCTTTCTAGCATGTACAGAATTCAAAATACAAAATAAGACACCCTAAGGGCTCAACTCAGAAGGATCTGAATCATGCCACCTTTTTCCTAAGATAAAAATCACCTCCATAACTAAATATAAATTCTGCGCACCCTTTCTCACTGGGCATGGAAATTATTTACTCCATCTTTACTTGTACATTTGTAATGGGCAAGAAATTCACTAACATAAAATTGGGTAAACAAGGCCAGGCATGGTAGCTCATGCCTGTAATCCCAACACTTTGGGAGGTCAAGGCGGAAGGATCACTTGAGGTCAGGAGTTCAAGACCAGCCTGGACAGCAAAGCAAGAATCTGTCTCTACAAAATAAACAAATGAATGAATATAAAAATGAAAATAAAGTGAAACAAAAAATTAGCCACGTGTGGTGGCATGCAGTGCTATAGTCCCCGTACTTTGGAAGGGTGAGGCGGGAGGCTCACTTAAGCCCCAGAGTTCCAGGCCGCAGTGAGCTATGATATACACTGCACTCCAGCCTGGGTGACAGAGAGAGACCCCGTCTTAAAAAATGAATAAATAAAATAAAATAAAATGAATACATAAAAAAACAGGGTAAATAAGTTAATGTCCTGAACGGGATGGGTTAAGAAATAGAAAAAGCACAAGGCACAGGGCAGGAACAAAAAAAATATATATATGTAAATATATATATACCTACATATATATTATGAAAAAAACAAAAAACAAAAGTGGATAACTAAGAAACATGAGAGGGTTAAAGAACTGACTTCAATAGGTAATGAAAAAACAGACTGGAAAACTAGGCAAGGCTGCACATCTAGCAAAAACAAAAAAGAAAGATCACAAAAAATAAATAAAATTATGGTTGGAACATCATGTAGAATGTCTTGTAATAAAATTTCTGCCTGAGCCCAAGAGTTTAAGTGGTGATATCAGACAGAAAAGCTCCTACTGGCTCAAAGATTCTGAGAAAGAGAGCTCTAGTTGGTTTAGAGGCAGTAACAAGATGGAACTAAAGAAGAGAAAAGGATGTTTCATAAATTGAACAAAACAATGTCCTACCTTCATATAGGTTGACCCTGATGTACATTACTTTGTAGTAGTTTCCTCAGTCTGATAAGAACTTAGTTACTTCATTATACAGAAGTATTGACTGGGAGATATTCCTAAGGCTGTAGCTGAATATTAATGCCTCTAGTTCTTCCCAAATTATAATCATGGAACTATAAAACTGGAAAATGAACCTATAAGCATTTGTCAACTCTCTTTTTTACAATCAGAAAGCTAAGCACCACAGAGGTAGTGACTTGTCCAAATAGTCACAATTAGCCCTAGAGCAGTACTAGAACAGTTTCTGGGTTCCTATTTATCAATTTTTACACTATCTCTTGTCTCCTCAGCTCTTTATTCCATGCCAAGAATGAAAGATTGATTATGAAGGTATAGAATATTACCTTTTAAACTAATACAGAAACTCAGTGATTATACTTTCTTTTTGGTTCCTATTTTCTTAGAATAAAGGCTACCGTTCTGTTCTTTGATGTTTAAAAACAACCTACAGCAGAATGGTATGTCTTTACTTTGACCAGGAATTTGGTTCTGCTTTAAGCCCCATGCTTTAACTGGTTAACAAAATGGTAGCTAAGAAGTTAAAACTAAACCAGCCTGGGTAACATAGTGAGACTCCATTCTACAAAAAATAAAAAAAGGTAGCTGGTATGAGCCTGTAGTCCTAGGTATTTGGGAGGCTGAGGTGGGGAAGGATCACTTGAGCCAAGGAGTCTGAGGCTTCAGTGAGCTATGATTAAGCACCGTACTCAGCCAAAATGATAGAGTGAGCGCCTGTCTTTAAAAAAAAAAAACAAAAAACTAAAAAACTATCTTCACAGAAAATGTTACTGTGGATAACCAAGTACTAGTCTCTTCTCAATCCACTCTAATCAGGTTTCTATCCCCAACACTGCTGAAGTTACATTTCATCAATACAAAGACACCATAAATTATAAGATGAACCATCATCTTATATAATATTGAGAAAAAACCACAAGTTATATGGTCACTTGTCATCTGTTATAAACTTATCTCTATTTCAGATATGTTAAAATATGAAAAAAAAAGTTTCAGAAATGAAGAAATATGGTATTCATTAAGTTCACCAATGACTTTCATGTTGTCAAACCTAATTGGTCACTTTAAATCTTACTTTAATTCTCAGCAGCACTCAACAGGGCTGATGACTCCCTTCCTTATTCAGATGTTTTTCTCTTGGCTTCCAAGGCACCTTCTCTCTCTCATTTTCTTGATTGCAATGGTGGCTCCTCCTGTGCTAAATCTGTTACCATCTGACTAAGTCAGGGTTCTTTACTATAATCATAAAATTTTTATGATTTTATGATGTTTCCACTGGGCTCCAACCTTGTTTATTCAATTGCTTATTTCAAATCTCTACTTAGATGTCAAACAGGCATCTACTTTAATAGGGAAAAAGCTACTTTCCCCCTAGTGTTTCCCATCTCAGTAAATGGTACAACCACTCGACTAGCTGCTCACACTGATAATTGTATTTGCTTTGACTCCTCCTTTACTCTGATTCCAGAAATTCAATCCAATCCATCTAATCCAAGTATGGCCAACAGGAATTAATAGAGTTAACTTCCATAGCTAGCTTCCATAGCTGATCCCTTTATCCAGGGTTATCGTTTAAAAATGCAAATCTGATCATGTTCTTCCTTTGCTTACTTTCCAACTCCAGTGACTTGCAACTCCTTCTTTTTTTTTTTTTTTTGAGACAAGGTCTCACTCTGTCACCCAGGCAGGTGGCGCAAATATGGCTCACTGCAACCTCAACCTCCTGGGCTCAAGTGATCCTCCTGCCTCAGCTTCCTAGAGTAGCTGGTACTACAGGTGTGCGCCACCGTGCCTGGTTGATTTTTAGATTCTTTGTAGAATAGGGTCTCACCACGTTACCCAGGCTGGTCTCAAGTGATCCTCCCATCTCAGCTTCCCAAAGTGTCAGGATTACAGGAATGAGCCACCATGCCTGGCCTGCAACTACACTTAAAATTAAAATTCAAAACTCATCTTAGCTTATAAGGCCATATAACAATCTGGAATTTGTCTACTTTCTCAATCTGGTGCTAAATATGCACTGCATGTAATCAAGAAAGATTTGTGGAACACTATTGTTAGTAACACCATTATCCGTTTCAATTATTGATTAAAGACAATATAAAAATGCAAGTGAGGCCAGGTGCAGTGGCTCACGCCTGTAATCCCAGCACTTAGGGGAGGCAGAGGTGGGTGGATCACCTGAGGTCAGAAGTTTGAGACCAGCCTGGCCAACATGGCGAAAGTCCATCTCTACTAAAAATACAAAAATTAGCTGGATGTGATGGTGCGCACCTGTAATCCCAGCTATTCAGGAGGCTGAGGCAGAAGAATCGCTTGAACCCAGGAGGCGGAGGTTGCAGTGAGCGCCACTGCACTCCAGTGGCAGAGATTGTGCCACTGCACTCCAGCCTCCAGCCTGGGCAACAGAGCAAGACTCTGTCTTAAAAAAAAAAAAAAAAAAGCAAGTGAAAAATTCTATTAATATTGTTAACTGATATCATAATGTGAAAATAAAGACGTTTATTGATGCTTATTCTACAATTATCATAATTGCTCAATCACTGCCTGTGGAATGCAGTCGGGGAGAATCAATGCTTATTATAAAAAGTTTTAAAAAAATTTCAGAGAGTATCCATATTTTCCCTTTAAAAAACAATTTTTGAGACATTTACATGATTTTATTATTCCCTTGCTTATAAAATGTTTTTACAAATACCATACTCCCTCAATAAAAATGATGATTCTTTCTTTACTTCCTTACAGATCTGTTTTGGTTTACCAATTTCTAGTTAAACCCTTGGGAATATATCACATGTATGTCATGTAACGAAAAAAGATTAAGAATCATTTTTCAAGATGACAAACCAATCTGTATAATGGCTATTATAAAAATGTACTGCAGAAGGTAGATGCCTTCCCCCTCCCCCCAACAGAGCCAGCTGCACCACCTCCTTCCTACTCCCCCTACTTTAGTCATGTTCCCAGTTCTAGCTTCTATTCATGGGGGAAGGAAATGAGATTTGAATCAGAAACAAAACTAAGGTTTTAAAACTGAATTATGCTTCAAAAATGGAAAGCAACCAGAATGTTATAGAATCTGTCCAAGAAATGATGGGAATCTGGGAATCCAACAGAGCATAGTTGAAAGCAGTGATTGAAAAAAAAGTTACCATTTTCATTAATATCCCACTGAACTGAGACTACTCAATTAACATGTAGAATCAAATTATATATATATAATTTTATATGATTTTCACTTAACAACAACAAAACAATCTTTTCATCTTATAAAATCTTGATAAATATCAACCTGTAATCATTTTGTGTTTCCATTCTACAGTTATGCCATAATTTAACTATTATTCTCTTGTAGAACATTGGTGTTGTTTCCAAATGTTAAGATTTGAATTATAATATCTATTTGTTTCCTTAAATGTGATTATTTCCCTCATTATTAAATATGCACTGATCTATGGACAAAGGAAAAGGTATTGCAAAAAAAAAAAAATCCTGGTAACTTCTGTACTTCAAACAACTCTAAATAAAATGAAAGGACAACAGAAGAAACTAGTGAAAAATGTTATAAATGATGAACTTTTGGGAAAACGACAAAATGGTGTCAACAGTATTTAAACTTTCACTTTAAACTTTCTAATGATTTCAATTTGAACAACTGGTCCTCAGGAAATAATACAGTATTAGAGAAAATGCTTTATACACAAAAATGCTAAACTGTTAACAAGGAAAAGCTTACATTATGTTTATAAAACAGATACAAAAATGGATATATAGTGTGGTCTTAAATATGCAAAAAAGTATAGAAACACAAGAAGAGTATATATTAAAGTGGCAATTTATCCAGAATGGGAGGATTAATGAACTTTTTGGGACTTTGTATAATTCACAAATTTCTTGAAATTGGTATGCATTATTTTTACAATCAGAAAAGAAAACAAATATACTTACTAATGTATCCATCTTTTCATTTAGTCTAGATATTTCTTTGAAGGTAAAGATTCTGTCTAATTTACCTCCATATCCTCAGCATCTAGTATCGTGCCTTACAAATAGTAGCCTTTTGACAGCTACTTGTAAAATGAATTAATCTTTAACATCTGCTTTAAGGACCAATCCCTCTCTCGAGAAGCATTCCCCAAAAAGTATCAACTTTTTGGTTGCTGCTAAAAGTTGGCATAAATTTTAAAATAAATTTTGAGACTAAGAACCATACTTGAGTTCTTTCAAAAATGAACTGTGATGAATGTTTTAGTCTAAGTAAAACATAAATAATCTCAGAAATGACAGTTATCTGAATTGTTCCAACACAGGGATTCTTTTTTTTGAGACAGGTCTTGCTCTGTTGCTCTGGCTGGAGTACAGTGGCACAATCACGGTTCACTGCAGCCTCAAACTCCTGGGCTCAAGTGATCCTCCTGCCTCAGCCTCCAGAGTAGCTGGGATTACAGGCAGGTAGCACCACAACCTGCTTGAATTCCTGGGCTCAAGTGATCCTCCCACCTTGGCTTCCCAAAGTGTTGTGATTACAGGCCTGAGCCACTGCACCCAGCAGAGATTCTTTTCTCTTCATTCAAAGAAATGATAAAATCAGAATGAAGCCAAAATATAGGCAGCAATAGTCAGGCAGTACTATATAGTAAGAACTGGCCAAAGATTTCTTTCAGTGCAAGATTCTCAAAACCCTGTCTTAACATTCATTATAAGATACTAATTTATATACAAAAATTTTGTTAATTACAAATGCTATTACAAATGGATGACATGGTAATTTTCTAACAGATTCTGCTTAAAGAAAATCCCATGGTCAAAAATAAGATTTATTTATTCTCTTACCTTGCCTGATTTAGAAGTTCTATCAGGACGTGACTAAGGAAAAAGAAAATCTCTGGGGACAATGAATAATAGCTTATTATTCAAACAGAGGAAAAGCTACTCTACTTCTTAGTTTAATAACATCTCAAAATCCAGATAAATTCCATTGTATAAATAATACTATGAAAACTCACTTGATATTACAAATTTTGACTATTTCTTATCTGGCGCAACATAGCTATTATTTTAATGACTATAGCTATATCCATAAATTCACATTTCCTCTAATACCACTTGTAACTGACTACTTCCACTGTTTCACTAAGGCTTTGTGCTCAATTATCCCTTTTATATTCATACAGTTAAACTTCCAACCTTTAAGCTAAACATCAACCCTTTTAAAAGCACAGCGTTTTTTTTTTTAAAGGTCTTATGGACATTTGCATTGAGATTATAGGCTGGGCACAGTGGCTCAGGTATGCAATCCCAGCACTTTGGTAGGCTGAGGTGGGCGGATCACTTGAGCCCAGGAATTCAAGACTAGCATGGGCAACATAGCGAGACTCCATCTCTACAAAAAATACAAAAATTAGTCAGGCGTGTTGGCATGCACCTTAGTCCCAGCTACTGGGGAAGGCTGAGGTGAGAGGATCACTTCAGTCAGGGAGGCTGAGGCTGCAGGAAGCCATGACGGCACCACTACACTCCAGCCTGGGGTGACAAAGTCAGACTCTGTCGCCAAAAAAGAAAAGATTATAGGTGATCAATCCCTGGATGGCCCACATAGTGGTTACAAGAATTGTTTACATGCATTAAGACGTGTACAAAGAGCAGAATATTTACCACTAATAGTAAGAAAACTGGTATACAATGCAGAACTCACCTGAGTATAGAAGCCACTAGCTGCCTCTAGGAACAGAGAAAGGTTTGCCTGAACTTCACTCCGATTCGGATTTGCTCGATTCTTTGCCTGGCCTTGCAGTGTTGTGATCTGATTCTTAAAGGCGTGATTCCAGCTGAAAACAAAATGTAATTCTATTTGGTATAGCAGTGACTCACTGGGCAGACACTGGTCCCCCTGAGAACAAGAAAGAACTGTCTGTTATAATTATACCACACGAGACAGTAAACCTGCATTAAAGTTATTCATTTATTTAAATAACTTTATGCTTCCCTTTGAACAAGACTAGACATGCAGTAGAATCCAACTGACCTTAGTAAACACTTACCAAATGTTCGAATAATCAGATTGTGGCTTCAGCTATTAATCTTTTAGAACTACTAGAGTTTATTTAGGAATCCCGGTAGAAATTCAGAACAATGGTGGCAAGATCAAAGTAAAAATAAGGTATTAACAAATTTCTACATATAGTGCCAAATGTGATGGACTATACCCTAACAAGTGACATGTATATGGGGGCAGGGATTTTGTAAATAGTAAGCCATATCTCTTACTTCCCCAAAAGTTATTTCCCAGAGCATTCAGTTTCACTGCTATTTAATAGTTTTGTTTATTTCTCTTGTGATTGAAACATAAGCCACATTTCAAATTTGGCTATTTACAATAAGAAACAATATAATGCTGAAATATGGCATACCAAAATCCTGTTATAAAATGCTTTTCTTTAATCTAGTTATATATGGAATCAGTTTAAGTCCAGTTATGATGAATACAGTCACTCTCTCACCTGGAAACCACAGTGGGGAATAAAAAACTAGAACAAAGGGAAGATATTACTGGCCTGATTAAAGGAAGCAAACACAGATAAGAGGTTTACAACTTACCTGGAAAGCATGGAAGTACCTAATTCTATATCAACATCAGCTTCTGAGGCTCTAGAGCACTAGGCTTTTTAATGACTTAGGAGGACAATCACTTCCCTCAGCATTTCTGATGACATCTTATCCTTGACTCTAACATCACAGGATAAGGATTTTGATGGTCGTAATTTAGCTGTATTACTCGACTTCCTAAAAATATAAAGTATCTAAGGCAGATGTAAATGATAGAAAAAACTAATCTTCACCAAAACTTAGGGTAACGGACATTAGTAGACAAAGTACTCTTAATTGATTTTTAAATTTCTATCAGGCTAATGTCCCTGTTCCAATTTGTAAGGCAAAGCCTTCCACAAAAGACAATTACTCACTTGGGAATCTGGTTATCTGCCATTTTGCCCCTTATAGAAAGAAGAAGCGGAAAAGTCTAAATACACAAAATTTTTCATTTTATTGGGGGTAGGGGAGGAAATACTACCAACTTATTTAATTAAAAGAAGGAACTTTCCTTACAATGCAAATACATTTTCCTGACAGGGAAATTATAGAATCACGTTTAACAAAGAAAGATTTTTCTAAAGCCTATTCTTGTATTTTTTTTTTAAATCGCGGCTTAATTATAAGACTGACCACAGACAATCCAAACACTCTTAGTATTTGAAATAGATATATTTGTTTTTTTTGACAGGCCCTAAAAGAGCTGCCGTAATGACCTTAATAGAATTCAACTCTAAACATTTCTCTTCTTACCTCCTCCAAAGACTGTATTTGAAATAATACCAATGGCCAAATATCACAAATACTAGAATTACTTTCCATTGAAAAAGTTTATTCTGCAACAGGTTGAAAAATAAATAACGAACCAAACTGTTTTAAAGTCTCGGTGAAATTCTTGATCTTACAGGGACTTCTCAAATGATAGGTAATACTTACAGATCCTGTTCTACTTTCTTGTCTAAAGCGTATTCCAAATCGGTAACTAGCATTTTCTGGTACAGGTCCTGCAGAGCCTGCCTGGATGTCCAGACTTCAGCTGGACCCAGCTTAGAATCTGAGTAACAAAAACAAAAACATAACGGTAGATAGATAAACCCCAGCAGTTAAAACCATTATACCACACCAGTGACTCCTTCCTGCTCTATCCCCAAGGCAAAACCTGCTCTAAATATATTCCATAGAATGCTGCAGAAGTTTTATACTACTATATTTCAAATGACTTTCAACTTTTGACTAATGACTAAGTCTGGTTTACAATGCTTCTGTTTTTAGTTTTGAAATAATATCATGAAATGAAAAGGGCTAAAAAAAAAAAAAAAAAAGAATGGTTTGCCCTTTGCTTTTTGTTTGTATTTCTGCCTTTTCATATAACAGGAAACTATATGCCTTACAGTAAGCCAACCCATTTGAAATAACAGACTGTCAAGTTGGTCTGTTTACTCTCATACTGTATCTCTTTTTCCAAAGCAACTTTTTCTTTCTTTTTTGTCTCTGTAAGGGAGTCTCTGTAAGGACTCCCACAAATGTCCTTACAGAATTCTCACATCAGCTGATTATCTAGCAGTTGCTTTGGTATTCTGCAGTTACTCCTCTCTCAATATATTGACCGAATAAGCCATGACAGTATTATTTTAATGAGCGGTAGACTGTTTCCTAAGATACTTTTGTGAGCAATCCACATTAGTCATTTAATGTAAACAAAGACTTAGAAGACTAGGATTAAATTGCTAAAGAGGTCAGATGAGAGACTGGGTGTAGAATGTAATCAGAAAGTCAGGCTATGACTACACATAATACAAAATTGGGGCCATGCTGTCTGCCAGAGTCATGCAAGGCACATTAACCTTTGCAATCACTGGGATTATGATTGCAATAACTGACAGTAAACTCCCTCAGTAGGTGAACTTAATAATGGGCTTTTCAATTATATATTTCCCATAACTAGCTGGGCTACTTCGTTTTGCTACTA
Organism: Homo sapiens; assembly: GCF_000001405.40. NCBI lineage: Eukaryota > Metazoa > Chordata > Mammalia > Primates > Hominidae > Homo > Homo sapiens. The sequence goes on along the minus strand of NC_000001.11, from coordinate 183,514,958 downwards.
CACAATGGAATAATCATCACTCTTCTTTAGGTTTGCTATTAGCATCTATAGCCACCACAATCCTATTTTGCAAAGAGAATCTCCTGGATTTGAGTTAATGCTCCTAAGAGTTTACAGGCTAGTTAAGAATAGAGTTTACTATCAGCTCCTCATCCCTAGTTAAATTGTTAATCACTAACTAATAGATTTAGTCAACCCTGCTTTAATTCACTTATGGCAAGAAAAAGAAGTGTAAAAGATTACTAATTCTCATCTATCAAGACCATCATTCAAATGAGCAGACATTATCTTAGTTAAAGTTTCTGGGCAGCCAAAGGTCCCCTATAAAGGTCAAACCCTAAGACTATTTACTAAGGTTGTTCAATGTCTAAGAAAAGGTAAATGGTACAGATAGCCTGATATTGCTCCATGTTCTGTTTTCATCACACAATAGATTATGTTTTCAATGCCAATTCAAGAGCATAATACAGTAACTCAGAGCAGACACTGATATACACAATATAGATGATGACAAATCTGTTAATAATGGAAAGAACTGAGTAGTACCTTTTACTGAGTAAATATACAAGCTATTCACCCCCCAACACACTTTTCCTTGAACAAGATGACACGAGATTATCCATGAACTCTTAGGACATTAGCCTAAGTGACTCTAGAGCTGACAAAAAGATATTTTAATAGTCCTTTTCCTCTTTGCAAATCTTGGCAGGTATGCTGTTTAATTCTTTTTTTTTTTTTTTTTGTGAATTTCACTGCAGAACTAAATTATTGAGAAATTAGAATAAGATTCACTAGTACCTATCCTTCTTATTACATTTTAGGATGGCATATGCTGTTACGGAGGGCATACTGACCAGTATACGGTGATTACAACATATTTCCTAATTTCGTATTTAAATCATTTACTCTTTTTTTTTTTTTTTTTTTTTGAGACGGAGTCTTTTTCTGTCGCCCAGGCTGGAGTGCAGGGGTTTGATCTCTGCTCACTGCAACCTCCACCTCCCCAGTTAAAGTGATTCTCCTGCCTCAGCCTCCAGAGTAGCTGGGATTGCAGGTGCATGCCACCACGCCCAGCTAATTTTTGTATTTTTAATACAGACGGGGTTTCACTATGTTGGCCAGACTGGTCTCGAACTCTTGGCCTCAGGTGATCCACTCACCTGGGCTTCCAAAAGTGCTGGGATTACAGGCGTGAGCCACCGCACCATGCCTCATTTACTCCTTTCAATGGCTAAGCCTGGCAGTTATTCTTCCAAAAGACCTCAGCCATTATTTAAAGCAACAAAGATGGCCAGGCGCAGTGGCTCACGCCTATAATCCCAGCACTTTGGGAGGCTGAGGCAGGAGGATCATGAAGTCAGGAGTTCGAGACCAGCCTGACCAACATGGTGAATCCCCATCTCTACCAAAAATACAAAAATTAGTCAGATGTAATGGCGTGTGCCTATAATCACACCTACTCAGGAGGCTGAGGCAGGAGAATCGCTTGAACCAGGGAGGCGGAGGTTACAGTGAGCCGAGATCACGCCACTGCATTCTAGCCTAGGTGACAGAGTGAGACTCCATCTCAAAAAAAAAAAAAAAAAAAAGTAACAAAGATATGGGAGAAAAGAAAGGCAGCAAGGTAGCTCACTCAATTTCAAGGACTTCCAATAGAATTTTTCTATAAATATTTTTTCTGAAGGTTTACCTACTAAAGTTTGGTTAATTATTAATAGAAAAAAAAATTTCCCAGAAAGATATTAGCCTAACACTGTAAGATATTTTGGTTTATATGGGGTATGTTATTTTTTCTGTATGTCTTAAATCATTAATAAAAAGTTTCATAAAAATTAAGTGATTATATAAACTAAATTAGGTAACATTCAATTCAGTATACCATATATTAGTATTACATGCAATTCCCAACAGTTATTTAAGCAAGAATTCAAACTACATAAACAATAAATATTTAAAGCAGATAGTAAATGATCATCCCTTTTGGCAACTAAGATGGGATTTAGTGCTGTGCATAATATAAGAAAGAGGATATCCTTCCATTAATTTAATATATAAAATATGTTGTGAAAAAGAAATAAGCCAGCCAATACCTGTCATGTCAGCCTTCAGGACTTCTGCCTGCCTAGATAGAAAAAAAAAAAAAAAAAAAAGAGTATCAGTTAGAAACAAACGAGGCCTAACTAACATATAAATAACACTAAAAGTTAGGTGAAATCATATACTACGATAAGGATATACAGCAGCTATATTTGTGGCACTGCAAACAGCATCCCTACTTTAACATCAGGGTAGCACAAGGTCTTGGCAAATTAATGCCAATACTTAAAAGTTTAAGGACCACTTAAAAGTTAAGTGACCTCTTCTGCTAAGTAGAGTCCACTTTCTTGCTGTTTTCCTTCACATGTGATTTACTTAAGATAATATTAAATGATATTAACTTTTTAAAAATTCTCTCAATGCTGCCAAAAAAACCTACTATGTTTCTCAATTCACTAGTCACCATAACTATTTCAAATTTCCCCTCTTCTCAAGCTACTGATTCCTATGTCCCTTCCTCACCTCCAAATGACAGTTCCATACCTCAGGGAAAACAATTCCCACTTACTAAATATGTACTACATTTATACAGCTTGCTTCTTACTTTCTCTTGTTAAAACACTAGAGGTATTGCACCTCTTATTTAATATTTAAGAACAATAATTCCACTTAGGTATGTTCTTGCTAACCCTTCTTAAGGACTGTTCCTTTGATTTACCCCTTCCCTTGCACCAATTTTGAGACTTCCCTCACTTCATTTGGATCTTTCCTTCTCTTCAGCATTTTAACATGTCCAAGTATCTCACACATTTTAAAAACCTTCTGCCCCACGTTCCCCTCTAGCTGCTGCCTCTTTTTTCCCCTCTCAAATTCATCAAGAATTGCCTGTGTTCAAGAGGTCCAAAACTGAACTCAGGACCCATTCCCATCCCCTATCTCTAGTTCTCTTTGTAAGGTTGTTTCATCTTAGCAAATGCATCATAGCTTTCCAATTGTGGAAGGAAGAAACCTGGAAGTCCTCCATGACAACTTTCTCCCAAACCCCTAACATCTATCAACTCCAAAAAATGTTATCTACTAACTATATCTTGAATCTGTTGATTTCTCTTTATTTCTTCTTCAGCCACTCTCATTCAAGAACCATCCCTTGGCTTTGTTTCCTCCACTTCATTCTTGCCCCATTTCATTCTGTTCTCCCAACAGCTGTCAGAGGAATCTTTTAAAAATGCAAATCTGATCTATCAATTGTCCCTTTAAAACACTTTAATGACTTCCCACTACTCTGAGGGTAAAGAACAAAATCTAAACTGTCCTACAACATTCGACAGTCTCTGAACTCTACTTCCACTACTCTTCACTCCTTGATCTCCGGGCTCATTTCTGGACTTCTGGACTGGACTTCTAGTTTCTCCAGTATACCCTGCTTCTTTCACACTAGGGGTCTTTATAAAAGACTCTGCTAGCAACACCTCTTCCCCCTTCGTCTGCTTAATTACCACTCATCTTTTATCTCAGTCAGAACATTACTGCTTCAGAAAGCCCCACCTGAACTCCATCTAGATTAAGGATAATCCTATTTTATGCTCTCACAGCACTTCTAGTTTTTCTTCATATTACATATTACAGATTTTAAGAATGCTCATCACAACTCCTTGTCTACTAGCACAGCACCTTGCACACAACAGACACTCAATATTTTTAATGAGAGGAAAAGTATAAATCAGACTCATACTCTATTTAAGAAGGTAGGTATATAAACTTAAGAGAGATTTTTTTTTTTTTTGAGAGAGAGAGACTGGGCCTTGCTATGTTGCCCAGGATGGTCTTCAACTCCTGGGCTCAAGAGATCCTCCTGCCTCAGCCTGCAAAGTAGCTGGGATTACAGGCGCATGCCACAATGCCAGGCTGAGATTTCCATTTTTTTTTTTCTTAAGACGGAGTCTCGCTCTGTTGCCCAGGCTGGAGTGCAGCAGCACGATCTCGGCTCACTGCAAGCTCCGCCTCCCAGGTTCACACCATTCTCCTGCCTCAGCCTCCCAAGTAGCTGGGACTACAGGCGCCTGCACTTTTAGCATGAAAGCTAGAGAATATTAAGGTTTTGAAATTTTTACTGTAAATATTGTTTTATATAATTTATTAAGTATTTAATGTCAATTGTATTAGGATGAAAAAGTAATCATGGTTTTTGCCATTTTTTAACATAGCAAAAACCATGATTACTTTTGCACCAACCTAATAAATTTGTTTCATTAAAATGTAAAGCAAATCCTTTCATTCTCTTAGCCTTTAAAAGATATTTACATCTTTTTAAAAATTAAGCTTTCAAACAACAGAATCTCAATGTAGTGCTAAGGAGGTAACCATAAGCCCTATAAGAACTAGCAACATAAATGAAGAATACTAAACAAATAGCCACACTTAGTCGTAAAATGTAACATCATATCAAATTCCATTATCCATATAGCCTGACTTCACTCTTCACTTCAGGTGTTAACTTTTGCCATTAAAAAAAAATACATATTTGCAAAGCTGTTGGCTTATGCCTTTAAAACCTAAGTTTATACAATTTAATAAAGCATACCATGTACCCTATCCTACCAATGTCACAAATGTCGCTCCTCCCCTGAAAAATCCTATTGGAGAGTACTAATTTATAAACCTTATAGTGAGAAAGCTAGGGTTAATTATGTACCTTTACTAGATTCAATGAATGACCTTTCATTTTGTCCTTGAGTTGCGAAGTTACAAAGGATATACTTTACTATGCTTCCCTATGTTAGCTAAAAATTTATACTCAAGTATGTTCAGGATATATACTGCATCTAAAGGTTGTTTTCTCATTCCAAACATGATTTGTTTTGTAAAGATGAACAAGTAACATTTCAGTATGCTAACATCCACCTAATGATGTTACCAACTTCCAGTCAAAGATTATATGGGGTATATAATAGTAATGTAATTTACAAACAATCTGCTTTTCTTATAAGCTGTCAGGTGATGAACTATAGTTCTTGCAGACTCTGGAGCAGGCTTCCATTGATAAACACAGATCTAAAATTTTACTCTGTTATTTTTACCATGCTATAATCTGTCCAAGAAAAACCGTAAAACTAAAAAGTCAAGCACTAATAGAAATATAAAAATGTCACAAAAACTGACATAAAAGTTAAAATATTTTGAAATTCCAGCTTTGATTCCTCAGTATAACAAGGGTAGAGGCGCTCATTTCTGGGCAGTTCTTTCCTAGGTTCTGAAAGAAGCACAAGTTAATTACTTTTATTAGCTTTCTAATAATGACAATTATTAGCTTTCTTTTTAAAAGTAACCTTGCTAAATTGAATTGATAAAGACAGCTAAATGGAAAATATAACAACCCTACGGGATAGCTATACTTATTCCTGTTTTATAAATGGAAAAACTGAAGCTCCGAGATGTAAAATAATTCTTCCAGTCACAAAGCAGTCAGGTACAATTAGGTACAAATTTTGTTCTTAAATGACTCCACAAAGTCCAAGTCATTTCTATTTCTTTCAAAGTAGAATAACAAAATTACTATGACATAAAAAGCTAATGTTGGCTTATCTAGGAACATTCACATTTAAGTCAGTTAGCCTAAATTAAAAGATCTGTTCATAAAGGAAATAGATTATATCTGAAATTTTTATCAAAAGGACCACAAGAAATAAATTTTATACTCGAATGCCGTGGTCGGCTTGTGGATGAAATTCCCTTTCATCCTGGATCTATTTTTGTGAAGACAGTTTTATTGGAACACAGCCACACACATTCATTTCCATGTTGTCTGTGGCTGTTTTCAGCTACCAAGGCAGAGTTGAGACAACAACCACATGGCCCACCAACCCTAAAATATTTACTATCTGATCCTTTAACAGAAAAAGTTTGCCATCTCCTGCTCTAAGGAATATCTGACGAAAAGAACAAAAGTAAAACTTCTTTAAGTTCCCAAACCAAATTATGGTTATAAGGAATCATCAACAATAGTGTCTGCAGAGTAAAAGTCTGTTTTTATTAGTTAATATCTTGATCTTGTCACAAAGTGGACTATCTTAAAAAATACAGTCTCATATAATTAGAAACAGTACTTGCAGGCCATGCTATGTTTTTGATAAAATCTAGTGGCAAACTCTTTAAAACAAAGTTTGGCTTATATACTATTATCCACTAACTTTTTTTTCTGTATCCCCAAAATATCCATTTAGACAGGTGGGAGGGTTAAGCTAAGAGTTACTGCCTCACAAGAAAAGGAATCTCTATCTTCCCACCCCTAAGCAACTATTAGCTTTCTTTTTAAAAAACAGTGTACAATATATGAGAAATCAAATCAATGGATACGTAACCTTATATAAATGTTTTAATAGATTAGCACAAAATTGGCTATATCATTATTTTACTTTATAAAGAAAAAAATAGGCCAGGCATGGTGGCTCACACCTGTAATCACAGTACTTTGGGAGGCTGAGGCAGGAGGATCACTGGAGCCAGGAGTTCAAGACCAGCCTGGACACCAGAGGAAGACTTCATCTCTACAAAAAATAAAAAATTAGCTGGCGTGGTGGTGTGCACTTGTAGTCCCAGCTACTCAAGAGCCTGAGGTGGGAGGACTGCTTGAGCCTAGGAGTTCTGAAGCTGCAGTGAACCGTGTTTGTGCCACTGCATTCCAACCTGGGCAATGGAGTGAGACTTTGTCTCCAAAGAAGAAGAAGAAAAAAATACTATACCTCAATTGTTCTATGGTTTTGTTATAAAAACCATCAATGAATTAACATTGAAGTTTACAGCCAATGCTCATACAGAGAGGCAAGAACTTTAAAATGTTTTCTCTTGGTAGAGGGTATGGCAACATGAATTCCTTTTAATTCTTTAAGCTGAAGGAATTAATGAAAATAATGAATGAACCAAGAATAAAATCACCATGATTTCAATAACAAAATAACACTATTAAACATAGCTATCGAAATATATTGTCTTAGTTATTAAATAATAGGAAAAATTAAGCAATTCTATTAAGCAATAAAAAAAGAAAAAGTCATTAAAAGGCTGAATAAAATATGGAACATTCAGTGACAGCCAACTATGTTGAAAGCTAATAAACTGAAACAATAAATACTCGTGGAATAATCAACATCTATAAATACATTTAATGCATTCTAAACACTCAGTACTATATACTATACTACAGGTACTACAGAAGAGGTAGTATAGGTACTAGGTACATTAGAATACATATAGATATTATAGTGCCTATAGGTACAGCTAACACTATATGTAGCGTTTACTATTGCCATTGTTCTAAGAGCTTTACATAAATTATTTACTTCACACTAAGTACTGTTATTGTTCCCACTTTATAGTGCAAGAAACCCAAGGAGACAGAGGTTAAGTAGTATCGTTAGTTAAGGTCATAGTAAGTAGCAGAAGTAGCATAATCAATATGGCTCCAGAGTATAACTCCTAACCATTATTTTATGATATTATATAATAGTTCCTCTCTTACACAAGAGTATAAGAAAAAAAAATTGAAATGTTTGATAGTAACAACCCATAGAACTGGGGCTTTCAATACTTAAGCATTTTATGATAATTTTTCAAATAATGTTACTAGAGGAAAATACTAAAATTTGGGTTATCTTCTTTAACAAATATCTTGATTATACATATAGCACTTATGTAACAATGCTAGGTAACAAATACAGGATAATCTCTTTTAAGAATATATAGCCTAACAGCTGGGCACTGGCTCACGCCTGTAATCCCAACACTTTGGGAGGCTGAGGTGGGCAGACCACCTGAGGTCATGAGTTCAAGACCAGCCTAGCCAACATAGCGAAGCCTCGTCTCTACTAAAAATACAAAAATTAGCCTGGCGTGGTGGCATGTACCCGTAGTCCCAGCTACTCTGGAGGCTGAGGCAGGAGAATCACTTGAACCTGGGGGGCGTAGGTTGCAGCGAGCCAAGATCACACCACTGCACTCCAGCCTAGGTGACAGAGTGAGACTCCGTCTCCAAAAAAAAAAAAAAAAAAAAGAATATATAGTCTAAGATTCATGGTTTAAAAATGTAAGATATTTCCAAATCAGGGCACATAAAATGGGAGATTCCTTCTGCCTGAACTCCCAATCCCCTTTGAGCAGAATTCAGGAATATAACTCAACATCTTCTAAACTCACAGCTGCTAAGGAAAAGTGAATCACTCTCTTTTATTTTGGGAGAACACGCTGGGAGTTTTTTCGTGTTTTTTTTTTTTTTAAGAAATTTAACCAAAAGCCACAAGTTAATTTGTTCACTTGTTTCATAGAGTTCTAAGGAATACTTGGGATAATAACAGCATTTCTCAATCATAACCATAAACACAATAATCTAATCATAATTATTTATGCTGAATAATTGGCCAGACATAAAGTAAGCATGCACTTAATGTGCACATGCGTATACACCCACACACACATCAAGTCTCGCAATATTAATCAGAGAAAAATAAATCATATTGCTCTACTGTTGAATGTCATTTGGAAAAGAAAATCTAGAGAAGATGCTGCTCCTAAAGGAGCTTTTCTTGCACACGTTAATAAAAATACTAATTTGCTTTCTCTTTACAGCACTTTAGGGCTCATGAAGGATTTTCAAATCTCCCAACACTACAATACTCTATACCACAACATTCGCTCCATAATTTATATTCTTTAAAAATGTGTACCTAGTTTTATTAAGGACCAACACTGGTCTGAGAATTTCAAAGGATGAGAAGGAGTTATTCTTCCAAGCAGAAGAAATAACAGAACAATAAAAAGCAAAGCTAAGCTAGTGAGTGAGCATCAAATGCAAGGCAGAAAGCCACAGATAATGAAGCTGAAGAATCCAGACAGAACAAATTGTGAGAGGCCTTGCATGACTTGCATGACATGCCTTGGAGTTCAGATTCTGTCCTTCAATAGAAAACCAGTGCAGAATTTAAAGCAAGAGCATAGCATTGTTAGATTTACATTTTAGAAAGATTACTACAGATATAAGACTGAAGTAAGGAAGTGGTAATACAGATGAACGGAAAAACCCAGATTCAAGAAATACCTGGTAAGTTAAGCCAAAAGAAAGGAAGATAAAGCAGAGGAAAGAGTCTGTCACTCCCAGATTGTTAGTTTGGCCAGCTGGGTATATGAGAAGGTAAAGAATGCAAAAAAGATAGTGTTCAGGGCTACACCCATAACAGCTACAATAATGCCTTGACCGTAGCAGCTGTTCACTAAAAATGCGTTCAATTTGTTGAATTAATGAATGCGTAAGCAGGCATTCAGAGATAAGTATCAAGCACAGGGGAGACTTGAGACTAGGGATACAGCACTGACGTGATCAGTACATTGATGGCAGTTAAAACCATGAGAGTAAATGTAACTGCCCACAAACTCAGAAGGGTGGAGCTAGTTCTCTGTTTTCATTTTTAAAGAGTAGATGAAAGACACTCCATGAAGGACACCAAGAAGAAATTGGTGAATAGTATGACAGCAAGGGAAGAGTGGAGTATAGAAAATAAGAGAACAAAAAGGAAGAGTAGTCATCAATATCACAGACAGCAGAAAAGTACTATGAGATAAATAAGGACTGAAAAGTGTGTCAGATTTGGTGAAATAAGGGTCAATGATAGCCTTGCCAGAGAAAAGATTATATCAGGATGCAGGAGGTTGAGGAACAAATAAGAGGGAGAAGTTTACGTCAACTCTTAGGATGCTGGACTGTGTAAAGAGACAGAGATGGAGGCCACGGCTAAACAGAAGTTTCTTCTTTTTTTTTTTTCTTCTCCCAATGGGAGACACTTGAGAGTGTTTAGAATAAAGGAAAGAAGGTGGAAGAAATGAATAGGTTGAAGAAGGAGAAATATAAAATATAAAAAATAAAAAATAGGAGAAAATAAAACTGACAGCACTGTTCTGGAAGAGATAGAAGGAAATAAGAATGGTATTATTAAGACAGGAAGAGGACTGGCCTTGAAAAAGAGTCAGAATAAAATTGGAGGTTGGTAAGGTTAAATAGAAATGTGTTAGAACTAGGAAATACTGGGGGTAGGGAGACGTCAAGAGAATTTACAGCTGTATTTCCTCAATTTCAGAGATAAGGTAGATCCAATCTGTGTCTGAAAGTAAGAGGGGGATAAGCTGAGGAGAATGGTAAATATTTGGGATAATTACAAAATGACAAAGAAAAGAATGCAGAGAAAGTGTTAAGAGCCATGTGGACTAGACAAAATTGAAAAATTAATACAAAAATATATTGGCCAGGTGCTGTGGCTCACGCCTGTAATCCCAGTACTTTGGGAGGCCGAGGCAGGCAGATCACGGGAGGTCAGGAGTTTGAGACCAGCCTGGCCAACATGGTGAAACTGTCTCTACTAAAAATATAAAAATTAGCCGGGCATGGTGACGGGTGCCTGTCATCCCAGCTACCCGGGAGGCTGAAGCAGGAGAATCACTTGAACCTGGGAGATGGAGGTTGCAGTGAGCCGAGATCACACCATTGTACTACAGCCTGGACAACAAGAGCGAGACTCGGTCTCAAAATAAATAAATAAATAAATAAATAAATAAATCAAGATATCAACAGAAAAATCGCTAGAAGACCAAACTGATAATTCAAAAAAGGAAATACTACCAGTAAGTACAAATTAAAATAAGTCAATTTTTTTTTACTCTAAATAGTCAAAATGATAACACTGGTAGATACCTACTTTTAAGGAACTCTAGGTAAGGTGACAGATACAAAGGCATGTACATAATTTCAATACAATAAAAGTCAGTGCAAGAATAGACATATGCCTAGAATACAACTAAAAAGATGAGCCACTGGGAGTGTTGGAAAAGATGAGGGCCATAACAACTAGAATAATGCCTCGGCCCATGGCAGCTGTTCACTAAAAATTGTTGAATTTGTTGAATTATTGAGTGATAAAATATGAACCATACAGGAGGCAGTTTTATGTAATGGAAAATAATATGAAGCAAAAAGACTCAGGTCTGAATTTGGGCTTTCCTACAAATTAGTAATGCTATCTTGGAGCTTTTAAGAAGACTGTTTCCTCATCCATAAAATGAGGATAGAAACTACTTTTCAAAGTTGCTATGAGGAATAAATAAGACAAGTAAGTTATATAAAAGAACCTAAATGATCATTTGAATAAGGAGGGGTAATCTGATTGTGACATGAATAGTTCAATGACCATCAAATTACTTTTGCTAATCTGGTTACTGACTGGCTAGTCAGGTGTCCCTCCCTCCCCTCACTGCTTCATGAGATCCCTTTTGAAGGGGCACATTGGGTTGAAAAAGACATTTCAAAGTTGTAGTAAAAAACCCTATGTCCTCTACCACCACAAGTGACAAAAGAAAAACAGTTTAGATGTCATGAAGACTATGTTCTTAGTATAAACAGAAAATAAAACCAGAGGCAGATACATAAAAATTACAAAATAATTGAGTCAGGATGTTATTTTTTTTTATTTTTCTCCAAACATTAGTTCTGATTACGTTATTTAACAAATACATTTTTAAAATTGGACCTGATATATCAAGACAATTATAAATTATAGAAATACCACACTAACTGATAACAGACTAAACTCATCTGTTAAGAATTAACCAGCAGTCAAACAATAATATAGTTTAATCACTTATTATTTGCCAGGTCTTAGCTTTCATATATTACTAAATCTTTGATTCTCACAACAATTCTATCAGGTAAGTAACAATATTATGCCCATTTTGATGATGAGGGAATAGATGCACAGAGTGGTTAAATAACTTGCCCAAGGTCACATAACTAGGAAATGGCAGAGCTTGGGTTCCACCCTTGCAATCTAGTTCCAAACCCCAGAGCTCATAAACATATTTAAGGCCTTCTGAAATGGCCAGGCTAGAGGTATCACTCTCGCAGAGGCAACTATCATCTCTCAGTTAAAAGCTGCATCTTTGAGATCAAGCATCTTTGCATTTTCTGTCATTATAAGCTGCTGTAGCAATAGTTACTAATTCACATGTACAAGAGGGCTTCTCTAGCATACTATCATACACCTATTTCTACAGGCACTTGGGAGGCTTGATTGCATCCACGCTGACATACAGAACTGCAAGCTGATGTTACCTGCACTCACATGATTTACTAAGTATGTAAAAAAACCACAGAAACTTTCATTCTAAAGGATGAGGTATAAATCATGTGTCCCTACGTTTATCATAAATATTCAGAGACCTCATATAAAACAAAATTTTTAAAAATTTACTTCAGTAAAATTTTCAAAAGCTTCCTTGGACCACAAGATAAAAATGCTCAAGACAAAGTATAAACATAAGCCAAGGTTCTCAAGAAGTCACATAAATAATAAAACTTTAGCATGCCCCATCCCGATCTTGGCCAAAATCAAATGTTTCAGGAAGTTTCTAATTTTATTAGTATTCACAGAGTATGAATAATACACATCTCCAAAAGGAATAAAAACATGTAGAAATCCCTTGTAATTTTCATCCTACCTAATATTACTTGATTTCAGATGCTCCTCTGATTTCAAGTTTTCGGTCCTCATCTGGGACTTAAATGAAACGTTTTCTCCCACAATGACTATCTGCAAGAACATCCAATTTCTCATAAGGTAGAATGGTTTAAGACATTCTAGATAGAGGAGAGGAGGAAAATATGAGTTAACCCACAATAACAGAGAACCCCTATGAAGAAAATTATTTTATCTTTATTTGAAATGACTTCATGTGAAAGGTAAAGGAAAAATGTCAAAGCCTTTTTCTTTTTTTGTTTAATGTTTCTTAGAACAAACATTTAAAAATTCTGTCTCATATATTTCTAACAGATTCTAGTTATAGACCAAAATGTTATTCTAATGTTCCTCACTGTCTGAAAACTGAGTGATCACTACAGGACAAACAGATACCGGTTACCAAGCAGGGCTCTTTTAAGACCAGGATGAGAATGCCCTGTAGAACACAGAAGCAGATGGACTCCTTACTGAAGAAAAAATATGTAAAACAAAACAATTATGTAAAAAATATGTAAAACAATTAAAACACAATTATAGGTAGTATGAATAATGCTAAGATCAGTTGAAAATGTCACGTTTTTCGATTCTCATTTACTGTACAAATTTGGTCATTTTTATATCATAGATACAGTGTTAAGGACTAAGTGTACCATGATGAAAAAAATGGATATGGTCCCTGCCATGGATTTAAAATCTAATGTAGAGACAGACCAACAAGGAAGGAGGCGGCAGTGGTTAAAAGCATGGCTTTGGGAGTCACACTTTCTGCACCCCAGTGGTATGTCAGGTGTAAATCAAGTCACAAGAAAAACAGCACAATTTCTTGGGGACTTCAATTTAACTCAAAGATTTGGACAAAGTAAGTTATTATTATTGCTATTGATAATTGCTTACATTTATAATTAGTACGTGCCAGATACAAAGCTAAATATTCTATATGCATGATATCATAAAATGGGAGTATAATATAGTAAGAATGTCTTATATTCAAACTGCCTAGGTTCAAACCAAGCTCTGCCACTTACTAGCTGTGTAACCTTAGGTGAATTACTTCTCTATGCCCCAGTTTTGTTAGAAATAAGATGGAGATAGTAAAATACCTACCTCATTGAGGTGTTTTGAGGATTAAATGAGGTAACAGAAGTAAAGCACTTAGGACTGTTCCTTGGTAAGTAAGCCCTCAAAAAATGTTGGCCATTATTGTCATTATCATTTTATAGTTATTACTCCTCCCAGCAATCCTAAAAGGTAAATGCTATTATTATCCTCAGTCTATAAATTAGGAACTTAAGAACTCACACTAATCAATTCTAGAATAGAACATTTTTCATAATTCTTCACAATAAAATACGTCTTAGGAGAAATTTCAAATATGTGGCAGGTCTATGCGCACTTTGCTGCCATACTTCCAAAGCATGTATTCAATCTCCTGTGACTTTAGTCGCACTTTAGTGGAAAAGAATGAGAGAAAATATGATAAAACTCAAGTTCCTCAGCATAGCATATAAAGTGCCACAGCTTTTCACTTTACACTTTGTGATCCAATAAACCTGAATTACTTTTAATTTCTTGTTGTTTTGCCCCTCAGTATCCTTATTCATGCTTTTTCACTCATCCTAGAATGCCCTCCCACTTCCCTCCTTGTTTGGTTAACCCATTCTTGTATTTTAAACTCAGTAACTCCTAAAAGCAGGTCTTAGTTTGGCTGAGTACTCCCAGTGCATCTTAATGCCCACATCTATTATTGGACTCACAGGACTACAATAAAGTTATTTGTGTACACATTTCCTTCACTAGAAACTGTCCTATTCAATTACGCATATGTAGTGCCTCACATAGTGCACAGCATACAAGTTGCTCAAATAAATTCAGGTTAATTTGGACTAAACAGTTTCTCAATAAAAGGTAAAGATCCTAAAAACTCAAGGTTTCTAAAACCTGACAATAGTTTTAAAAGTCTTCACCAAAAACAATCTGAAAGGTTTTCCATCTGAGAACCAGGAATAACATCCTTTTTCTTAAGAAAACCTACCATTTTATACAGTCAATCAGATAAATACATAATCATTTACTTGGCTCTCTGAAATTCACACTTTGTTTTCATCGTAGTGGAATCTATATAATATATACAGAACATTAAATATTTCTAAAACTTCAAACAGAACATAATATAAATATAAAATCTATAACTTCAAACAGAACATAAGCTCACAACCCAAATGAATGAAACAAGCAAAGTAGGTTAAGCCATAAACAACAGGAAAGCTATTTCCCCTCATCTCAATTTTTACATTAAACAAGGTATGCCAAAACAATGCTTTCCAAAGCAATGAACCCAATGCCTTTTTAAAAATAGTCCTTTTTTTGCAACAACCCCTGTACCTTCTTGAAATAATAAACAGATTAAAATTAGTATCTCAATATATAAATGGTCAGATAAGACCACCTTAGAAGACATAACAAAGTAATCAGATGCTTGCACATACAGATAAAAGGTTAACAGAATTCCAAACAAGAAGGATACCAAAATGAAAGCAAAAATATGAGTAGATACTAGAATTAAAAGTAGTGTTAATGTAAGTAACGGCACACCAAATTTATTTGGAAATGGTAATATGAAAAAACTGACAAAGGGACATTACAAGACAAAGTACAAGGAGTTAATATGGAGAAAACAGGCTGTCCAGAGAACAACAAGCCACAAAGTCGAAGATAAAACACGCATTTCATAAATGACTTATCTGAAATATACAAAGAACTCTTGAACATTAAGAAAACAAGCAACTCGATTAAAAAATGAGCCAAAACCTTAACAGACACCTTGCCAAAGAAGATACACAGATGGCAAATAAGCATGTGAAAAGATGCTCCACATAAAACGTCTCAGGGAAATGCAAGTTAAAACAATAATGATCTACGACTACACTATTAGAATGGTCGAAATCCAGAACAATTACAAAACCAAATGCGAATGAGAATGTGGAGCATCGGGAACTCTCATTCACTGCTGTTGGGAATGCAAAATAGTACAGTCACTTTGGAAGTTTAGCAGTTACTCACAAAGCTAAACATAATCTTACCATATGACTCTAGGTATTTATTCAATTGAGCTGAAAACTGATGTCTACACAAAAACCTGCACATGAATATCATATCGGCTTTATTTATAATCACTGAAAACTAATTTATCCATTCACCTACTGAAGCAACCAAGATATCCTTCAGTAGGGGAAAGGATAAATAATCTATGGCACATCCAGACAACAGATTATTATTTCGCACTAAAAAGAAATGAACTATCAAACCATGAAAAGACATGAAGGAAACTTAAATGCATGTTACAATCTAAAATGACTATATACCATAGGATTCCAACCATATGACATTCCGGAAAAGGCAAGAACTATGGAGGTAGTAAAAAGATCAGTGGTTGCCAGGAGTTGGAGGGGAAGAGAGGGGGAATGAACAGGTGGAGCAAAGAGGATTTTTAGGGCAGTGAAAATACTCTGTACTATACAACGGTGGATACATGTCATTACACACTGGTCCAAACCCACAGAGTGTACAACACCAAGAGTGAACTATAATGTAAAATGAACTTTGGGTGAATATGATGTGTCAATGTAAGTTCACGAGTTATAACAAATGTACCACTCTGGTGGGGAATGTTCATAACAGGGGAGGCTATTCATGTGTGTGAGCAAGGGGTATATGGGAAATCTCTATACCTTTCTCGCAATTTGTCTGTAAACCTAAAGCTGCTTTAAAGGAAAAAGAAAACAAGAGTGTAACCACATCCTTTGACAGGTGACGGTGAACAAAAATTAGGTTGGAAAAAGAAACAGTGTTTTTTGTTTTTTGTTTTAAACTCTATTGCCCAGACTGGAGTGCAGTGGTACAATCATGCCTTACTGCAGCCTCAACCTCCTAGGCTCCTTCTTTAGCCACCCAAGTAGCTGCAACTAGAGGCACGTGCCACCACAGATGGCTAATTTTTGTATCTGCAGTAGAGACAGAGTTTTGTCATGTTGCCCAGGCTGATCTTGAACTCCTAGGCTCAAGATCTTCCCGCCTCGGCCTCCCAAAGTGCTGGGATTACAGGTATGAGCCACTGCACTCAGCTGAAACAGTGCTTTATAAAATGCAAAGCTCCATATAATTTTAGATTAGGGAGAAATAAAGTTCAACTTTCTAACTTGGAACAGGTAGATAACATGAAAGATGGACAAGTTAATTAACTAGCAACAATATTCAAGATACTGTCTGATTTAACTAAATAAAATATTCTATAAATTATTGTGGTACAAATAGTACATTCTCTACTTCCAGGTGCTCTCTGAAACTGAAAAACAAAAGATACTCAAAAGTCAAACTTGATATTCTCACAAGAGCCATTATTTAGCCCATACTTCCAGATGACAATTTAATTATCTAGACAGTTCTTTTTCTTGATTATTTTCCTGAGCAAAGAAATGGGTGCTGTATAATAATAAAATAATTTTGGCCAGGTGCAGTGGCTCACGCCTGTAATCCCAGCACTTTGGGAGGCCGAGGCAGGTGGGATCATGAGGTCAGGAGTTCTAGACCAGCCTGGCCAAGATGGTGAAACCTCCCTCTCTACTAAAAAGACAAAAATTAGCCGGGCACGGTGGCGGGCGCCTATAATCCCAGCTACTCCAGAGGCTGAGGCAGGAGAATCGCATGAACCGGGGAGGCAGAGGTTGCAGTGAGCCAAGATCGCGCCACTGCACTCCAGCCTGGGCCACAGAACAAGACTCCATCGCAAAATAAATAAATAAATAAAATAAAAAATAATTTAACAAATTAAACCAGATGCAGATTATATAAAACCTGTGATACATTATTAACTGCCCCCAATGAATCACACACCTCTTGGCATTTGCACCCCTGGAACTCCTACCAATCCTGGGTTTGGTCATGTGACTTACTTTGGCCAACTGGACTTCAGTAAATGTGACACTGAGACTTTGTAAGCACTGGCACATTTGGGCTTGCCCTTTTGGAACACCATCAAAACACTATGAAGCTGAGGATGACAGACCACTTGGGAAGAGAGACCCAGTTTTCTTAGCTATCACAGCCATTCCAGTTGAGGGCCCAGACATTTGAGCGAAGTTGTTCTGGACTATGCAGGTCAGACTTAACTTGATCTAGATAGTCTGAGATATGAGAAACCACCAAGCAAAATTTTTGGACATTTTAAGCAAAGGTATGACATGAATGTAATTAACTGGTAGTTTCTTAAAGAGTTTTGTTAAAGGGGTCAGAGGAAAGTGGGAGTACAGATATCATTTGGGAGTCATCAGCATACAGATATTCGTTAAAGCCCATAAGACGGGATGACATTACCAAGGGAGTGTTAAGAGTAACAAGTCTGAGAAACTCCAATATTTAAGGGCTAGACTAAGCCTGTCCAATCCATGGCCCACAGACCACATGCAGCCCAGGACGGCTTTAACTGCGGCCCAACACAAATTCACAAACTTTCTTAAAACATTCTAAGATTTTTTTTGCAATTTTTAAAAGCTCATCAGCTATCATTAGTGTTAGCATATTTTATGTGTGGCCCAAGACAATTCTTCTTTTTCCAATGTAACCCAGGGAAGCCAAAACACTGGACACTCCTGGCTAGACTGAGAAGGAAACAAATAGTAAACAGATTGAGAACAAGTGGCCAGAGAAGTAGGAGGTAAATTTGTCAAACGAAGTGTCCCAGAAGCCAAATAAAGAAAAAGCTTCAAGAAAAGAGGGCAGAATCAATAAATGCTCCTGAAAAATAAAGTAAAATGAGGCCTGAGAACTAATCACTGGATTTAGTAATGTGGAAGTCACTGAGGATCTTGTTATAAGAGGATAGGAACTGAGGTTAAAATTGAATTTAGACAATAGTCTGGGAAAAGAAAGAGGCAGTAGCTACAGAGAGATGTAAAGGTCAAAAGCGTTTTTAAGATGGAATACATAACATGTTTTTTAATAGGATGGGATAAACAACAACATAGAAAAGATCCAATAGAGAAACATAATGGGTAAATACAGTCTCATGAGGGCCATAGGGACTTGTTTAACTATTGCATATATTTAAAAGGAAAAAAAGTCCCTGAATGAAAGAATAAAAAGTTAATATATAAAGAAGGAAAGATAACTAATAATTATTGGGGATCTACTAAATGACAAGTGAAGAACATAAGCCATCCTGGGTTTAGTTTTCATGACAACCTGAGATTATAACCATTTTTCCAATTTTATGATTAAAGAAACTCCTAGAGATTTTAGGAAACTTGCCCAATGCCACAAAGATGGTAAGTGCTAGGACTGGAATTCAAATCCAGGCACAGTATCAGAATTCTGGAGCCTAAACTTTTTTTGCTCATTATTTTACAATGCATGACAGGCCTCAATTTTCAACAGTTCATATATTAAAAGCTAAAGTGTAAATATCTCATTGCTTATGATTTATTCAGTTTGCCTTTTTTTTTTTTCCATTGAGAAAAGGTCTTGCTCGTCACCTAGGCTGGAGCACAGTGGCACAATCTGGGCTCATTGCAACCTCTGCCTCCTGGGTTCAAGCGATTCTCTTGTCTTAGCCTCCCGAGTAGGTGGGATTACAGGCACGCACCACCACACTCGGCTAATTTTTGTATTTTTAGTAGAGATGGGTTTCCCCATGTTGTCCAGGCTAGTCTCGAACTCCTGACCTCATGATCCGCCCGACTCGGCCTCCCAAAGTGCTGGGATTAGGGGCGTGAGCCACCTCGCTTGGCCCAGTTTGCCTTTTTGAACAGCATAAGACACACCCACATCCTACTTCCCTTGAATCTGATAAAGAACTCTTCAAGAAATCCTCCTGGTTTTAGCTTCTAGCGTAAGTTCTTTCCCAGGAGTTCTCTCTAGTTGTTTTCCTCACTCTCTCTTCCTCCTCAACATAATGTAAAACAAAAATCCTAATTTTAGAAATTTTTTATTAATGAGAATTACCAGATAACACAGGTTTACCGTATTTTCTCACATGAATTATACATGAGAAATGAACATACAGACTTCAATGGCAATTGCAGGATCCAAATTTGATGAAAATTATAAGCCTATAAATCTAAGAAGCTCAACTACAAGCATTTAAACACAAAAGAAAACCACACAAAGGCATTTTAATCAAATCGCTGAAAAACAATGATAAAAGGAGAGAAAAAAATATATATATATTACCTAAGAAGGATTAAAATAAGAGGCTGGGCACGGTGGCTCACGCCTGTAATCCCAGCACTTTGAGAGGCCGAGGTGGATGGATCATGAGGTCAGGAGTTGGAGACCAGCCTGGCCAACATAGTGAAACCCTGTCTCTACTAAAAACACCAAAATTAGCTGGGCATGGTGGCGTGTGTCTGTAGTCCCAGCTGCTCGGGAGGCTGAGGCAGGAGAATCGCTTGAACCCGGGAGGCAAGGTTGTGGTGAGCCGAGATTGCACCACTGCACTCCAGCCTGGGCAACAGAGCGAGACACCCAAGGTTGTGGTGAGCCGAGATTGCACCACTGCACTCCAGCCTGGGCAACAGAGCGAGACACCATCTCAAAAAAAAAAAAAAAAAAAAAAAAAAAAGAACAAGGGCTAGCTAAGTTCTTATCAGAAAAAAGACAAGCCAGAAGATAATAGAATAACATCTTTAAAATACTAGGGAAAAAATGCCAATCTATAATTTTATACCCAGCAAAAATATTCTTTAAAACCAAAGGTGAAAAAAATACGTTTTTTTTTTTAGAAACATAAGAGCTGAGGAAATTTGATGCCAAGAGATCAATACCATAAGGAATATTAAAAAGGAAACTCTTTGGGCTGGAAGAAAATGATACCAGATGGAAGCCTTGAACTAAACAAAGAGATGACGAGTGCCAGAAATAGTAAATATATGAGTAAATATAAAATAACTTTTTTCTCTTTGTTTTAAAACTTATTTAAAAGTCAATTTATTGTTTTAAGAAAAAAAAAACAAAAACCAAAAAAGTCCCCTAAATTTTGAAACTTAAAACAAATATAGAAGCTGTTTGACAATAGTAGTACAAACAAAAGGAAAGGAAAATGAAAGTACTATATTGTTGTAACATTTTATATTATACATAAAATTATATAATATAAAGGTGCATAATATAAATACTAGAGCAATTTAAAAAAGAGTAAGACAGTTCATAAAACAATAGAAGACATTAGGCAGGCATGGTGGCGTATGCCTGTAGTCCCAGCTGCTCAGGAGGCTGAGGTGGGAGGATTGCTTGAGCCCAGGTGATTGAGACTGCAGTGAGCCATGATGGTGTCACTGCACTGCAGCCTGGGCAACAGAGCAAGACCCTGTTTCAAACAAGCAAAAAAGAAAATACAAAAACAGAAACAGGGAATAGAGAAATAGATAAATCTATAATTATTTGGAGATTCCAAAACTCTCTCAATAACTAACAAAAAGTAGGCAGAAAACCAGTAAAGTGGCCGGGTGCTATGACTCACGCCTGTAATCCTAGCACTCTGGGAGGCCAGGGCGGGCAGATCACCTGAGGTCAGGCATTCGAGAACAGCCTGGCCAACAGCGAAACCCCGTCTCTACTCAAAATACAAAAATTAGCCAGGTGTGGTGGCGTGTGCCTATAGTCCCAGGTACTTGGGAGGTTAAGGCACAAGAATCACTTGAACATGGGCGGCAGAGGTTGCAATCAGCCGAGATTGCGCCACTGCACTCCAGCCTGGGTGACAGAGCAAGACTCCGTCTCAATAAAAAACAAAAACAAAACAAACCAGTGAGGTTAGACCAACACTAAGGTTATAACCCAACAGATCCCACTGGCATTTAGAGAACATTTTACCCAACAAAAGAATACACCTTCTTTGTAAGTGCACATGGCACATTCACCAAGATAGAACATATGCTGAACCACAAAACAAATCTCAGAAATTTAAAAGAATTAAAGTCATAGAAGTACAAATTTAAAAATATATATATAAACAACTAGAATTAGTTGTCTAAGTTAAAGAATAAAGTTCTCTAATTCCTCAAATATTTGGAAATGAATCAAACATTTCTAAATAATCATAGGTTGCCGGGTGTAGTGGCTCACACCTGTAATCTCAACACTTTGGGAGGCTGAGGCCAGGGGATCGCTTGAGGCCAAGAGTTTGAGACCAACCTGGGCAATACAATAAGACCCTATCTTTATAAAAAAGTTTGTAAAAATTAGCCAGGAACAGTGGCAGTGCATTCCTGTAGTTCCAGCTACTCAGGAGGCTGAGGTGGGAGGATCACTTGAGCCTAAGAGTTTGAAGTCGCAGTGAATTATGATTGTACCACTGCACAATACCTAGGCAACAGAGCGAGATCGTGTCTCTAAAAACAAATAAAATAAAATAAATAATAAATAATCACAGGTCAAAGAATAAATCACAGGAGAAACTGGAAAATATTTTAAGCCAAATGAAAACGGAAACATATATAACGTGTCGGATGCAATAAAAGCAGTGCTTAGAGAGGTATTTATAGCTTTATATGCTTATGTTAAAATAGGTCTAAAAGCCTTGATCTAAGCATCTACCTAAGCATCTAAGAAGCTATAAAAAAAAGAACAGCATATTAAATCCAAATAAAGTAGAAGGAAGGAAATAGTGAAGAGCAGAAAACAAAGACACAGAAAATAAGTGAAAGACAAAAGCTGATTCTTCAGAAGGATTTATATAATTCTCCCCAAACTGAACTATAGTTATAACACAATTGCAATCAGAACCCAAGCAGATTGTTTTCGTTAGAAACTGGCAGGCTATTTTAAAATTTATCTGGAAATGCAAAAACCTAGAATAGCTAAAACAATTCCCAAAAAATAGAGAACTTAGATTACCTGATTTCAAAACTTACTAGAGAGTTGTGGTCATCAAGACAGTATAGTAGTCAAAGGAAAGACATGCAGAGAAATAGGACAGAACAGAGGTCAGAAACAGGCTCACCTATTTCTACATTTATGTATACGTGTATGTGTGTTTTTACATGTATAGCCAATATATTTTTGACAAAGGTATCAAAGTAATTTAATGGGAAAAACAATTTTCTCAACAAGTGATGCTGGAACAACTGGATGAAAATTTTAAAACTAGAAAAAAATTAACCTCAAACAATAGTATACATCACAGAAAAATTAACCCAAAATGGATCACAGACTTAATCTATTTCTAGAAGAAAACTAAGGAGTAAATTTTTACTGCCTGGTATGGTATGACGGCTTGTGCCTCCTCCTCCAAAATTCATGTTAAATCTTAATCCCCAACACAACAGTATTAAGAGGTGATGCCTTTAGGAGGTGATCAGACTATGAGGACTCTGCCTTCATGGATGAGATCAGTGCCATACGAAAGGGCTGGAGAGAATTAGGTACGGCCTTTTTTGCCCTTCCATCCCTTCTGCCATATGTGGACACAGCATTTGTCCCCTGTAGAGAAGGCAGCAACAAGGTGCCATCTTGGAAGCAGAGACTGGGCTCTTGCCAGCACCGAACCTGCCGG
Organism: Homo sapiens; assembly: GCF_000001405.40. Lineage (NCBI taxonomy): Eukaryota > Metazoa > Chordata > Mammalia > Primates > Hominidae > Homo > Homo sapiens. Next base: position 183,491,825 of record NC_000001.11, on the reverse strand, counting down.
CACCTTAATACTGGACTTCCCAGCCTCTGGATCTGTGAGAAATAAATTTCTGTTGCTTATAAATTACCTAGTCTTAGGTATTTTATTATAGCAGCACAAATAGATCAAGACACCAATCCATGATAGATAAAGAATTCTTAGCTAAGATTCAATAAAAGAAAAAACCTAATAAACTAGATTCATCAGTATTTATTTAAAACTTATGCTCTTCAAAAGATACATTAAAAACCGAAAAGACAAGCCACAGACTAGGAGATATATATATATGTATATAGCCACATATGTATGTACCCGAGTGTATATATATGTGCATGTATGTAACATTCTATACATGCACATGCACACATTTATATCCCAAAATACATACATGCAAACCAAGAGAAATGAAAACACATGTACACAAAAAGACTTAGACAGAATGTTCTAGCTTTATTCATAATAGCAAAAAATTAGAAACAACCTAAAGGTTCATCAAAAGCTGAATGGATAAACAAATTATATATTCACACAAAAGAATATTATTCAGCAGTAAACAAAGGAAGGAACTATGAATGTGTACAACAATGTGCATTAATTGCTTGGCATGTTTTATGCCAACAGAATACAGGCACAAAATAATGCATTACATCATCCCACTTCAGAAGTTACCGGACATGCGAACAAACTTAACATTGAAAAAAATCAGAGTAATGATTGCCTGAGGCACAGAGGGTTAAGCAGAGTTAAGATTGACTGCAAGGGGTCTAAAAGCACTTTGAGGCCAGGCATGGCAGCTCACGCCTGTAATCCCAGCACTCTGAGAGGCTGAGGTCAGGAGTTTGAGAATAGCCTGGCCAACATGGCGAAACCCCAGCTCTACTAAAAATATAAAAATCAGCCAGGCATGGTGGCGCATGCCTGTAATCCCAGCTACTTAGGAGGCTGAGGCAGGAGAATTGCTTCAACCTGGGAGGCAGAGGTTGCAGTGCACCAAGATTGTGCCACTGCACTCCAACCTGGGCGACAGAGTGAGACTCCATCTCAAATTAAATATATAAATAAAAGCACTTTGGGGGGATTTGAAATGTTCTTGATCAGGGTGATGGTTATAGGGGCATATGTTTGTCAAAATTCTTAACTATACATTTAAAATAAATATATTTTATTACATAGAGAATTTGATTAAAACAGTATATGTTTAAAATGCATTATCTGTATATGCATAAAATGCATATTCTATATTGATAAAAAGACTAGAAAGTATTAACAGTAGCGGTGGCAATGTAATGTTACCAAATTTTTTAATCTTAACGTTTTTATTTTATTCAATGCAGATATACATTTATAATAGTTATTAAAATATCAGTCTCCTATAAGCCAATTTTAAAATATTTTATACTTAAAATGCTTTCTGCATAGAAAATGTCCACAGGTAAGAATAAAACAATTTCTACAAAATAAATGCCCTTTTATATTGTCTGTTGAAGCCCAAAACATAAAATGTACTCCAGTCCTTCCAACCTAAGTTTCCGTCCATCCTGCTTTTGCCATCAAGCATCCATCTTTCTCCCTGTCTTTGAACTTTATGAAAAGACAATATATATAGCTACTGGCTTTACTTTCTGATTACCTAAGTCATCTCTAAACTTGCAGTTAGGGTCTTTTATCATTGTAGCAAATTTGCTCAAGTGTTACCAATGACCTTCCCTGACCAATCTAAGAGCTTTTTCTCAGTCCTTGTATTTCCCAAACTCTCAGTACTCAATACCATACTTTACCAGTGTTTTTTCAAAAACTAGCCCTGGATCACCCAGATTGCTGGGCCATATCCCAAGAGGTTCTGATTCAGCTGGTCTGAGATGGGGCTCAAAAATTTGTGTTTCTAGTAAGTTCCCAGGTGATGCTGATGATGCTCATCTGGGGACCACATTTTGCAAACTATTGCATTAGAGCAACCCCTTCATTAAAACTTTTCTGCTCAGTCTTTCCTAGTCCCTCTCACGTTTTCGATAGGTCACTTCTTGTTTCTTCTTTCTCCTTCCACCTAAATAGGTAGAGTAACAAAACCATTGAGAATAGAAGTTGATCTTTATTACTATCTGGTACTTGTTCCCTAAGAAGCTGGCCCTAATGCCCTTATACTTCTTTAATTCATACTTCCCAGCTTGTAGATTCAAGTCTCACCATTATTGAAGACAATACAAAGGCAATAATTCTAACCCAGCCATGGTCCTATTCCAATTGTCTATCTGGCATCTCACCATAGATATTCATTAAATATTCCCTTTTATTCCTCATTTCCATTAAAAGCGCTACTATTTCTCTATGGTCAACATCAATATCATCGATGAATCAATCTCTCTCCCACTCATTCTTCACATCTAACCATCCTTAGGGAGGTGAGGTCCCAGCCCAAGCTGTAGGACCTAGGAGTTAGATGTACAACAGCCAGAGCACTCTGTAACCAATTTCAAAGAAACCACACTTGCCCTTCACAAAGTTATTCCACTTGTCCTCCCTTGCCCAGCCCAAGCAGAAAGATCTGACAAGAACCCGAGAATGAGGACCAGACCTGGGCAGAGCAGCTAGCTTTTTAGTATCTTACTATTTAACACAGTACTTAGCACCTTAGGTATTTTATATTGGATTGAGTAGAATTAAATAAAATTCAAGCCCTGTCTAACTCTGTTGATTGAACTTTTTTTTTTAAGCTTCAATTTTCTGTATGAAAAGTGAGGGTTAATTAAGCCTATTGTGCAGGATTCTGTCGGTGAAAACATCTAACACACGTGAAAGATATTGTGAACACTCATGAACTATATCAAAAAGAAAAATAATTAGGGTTAAAAAGAAAAAAAGCCTTGGCCAGGCGTGGTGGCTCAAGCCTGTAATCCCAGCACTTTGGGAGGCCAAGGCGGGTGGATCACCTAAGGTCAGAAGTTCGAGACCTGCCTGGCCAACACAGCAAAACCTCGTCTCTACTAAAAACACAAAAATTAGCTGGACATGGTGGTGGGTGCCTGTAATCCCAGCTACTCAGGAGGCTGAGGCAGGAGAGTCACTTGAACCTGGGAGGTGGAGGTTGCAGTGAGCTGAGACTGCCACTGCACTCCAGCCTGGGCAACAGAGTGAGACCGTCTCAAAAAAAAAAAAAAAAAAAAAAAGCCTTATAAACATTTTACTTTTCCTGGATTGACTCTTGTACAGTAAAGATGCTACACCATGGGTATAAAACTGAGCTATCCAATATGGCAGTCACTAGCCACATGAGCACTTGACACATGCTTAGTGTAACTGAGAAACTAGATCTTAAATTTCATTCTATTTAAATGGCCACATGTGGCCAGTGGCTACCACACTGGACAGCACAGTTATATATCAATACCACTGTTACTGATAACCTACTGGAGTGAAAAGAGAAAAGCCACAAAACCTTCCCACCTTCCTCTATCAACTATTCTCATGTCACCATCTGAGAAACTGGATCTTAAATTTCATTTTATTTAAATGCATTTAAATAGCCATATGTGGCCAGTGGGTACCATATTGGACAGCACAGTTATACATCAATACCACTTTAACTGATAACCTTCTGGAGTGAAAGAGAAAAACCTCAAAACCTACCCACCTTCCTCTATCAACTATTCTCATGTCACCATTTGAAAGGCAAAAGTACAGCCAATAGCAATTTTTGGTGAACAGATGAAAAACACACTAAGTGAAAAGCCTTCACATAACAGAGCTGGCTTCCTATCAGAGTCTCAGAGAAATAGTACTGATTTATGTTAGGCTACTGACATATGAACACGGCTTTCCACTCTTGCTCTGGCTAGCACCAACAGAAACAGAAATGTATCTCATCCATCTGTGTATCTCTGGTACAGTTTGTCAAACGAATGGAATCCTTATACCAATGACTCTCAACTGTACTTATATGTTCTCTCTGGTTGGTATTCAAGCCCAGCATCTGAATTTCTCTTCCTATTTTTGAGAAATCCCCACAATTTATAAAGCAGAACCTGCTTCCCATTATATATTTACCAGCTTCATTTGCAGCTAGTGTACAGACACATAATTCAGGCTCCATCAACAAACACATCAACCCCACATTTAAGTGTGAACTAATGAGAGAAAGTGGGGACTGTGGCTAATCCATTCTGGATAGCAGCAGCAAGCACATCCAATTTCCAATAGGGCCAGCATGAGTGGTGTTAGGATCAGGGATGCAAAGTAACTGACACAATCAAGGTTCTGCAAAGTGTCTTCACAGGCTGAGTTCTATGATGTGATTTGAGGCACTGTTCCAGGCTGTATAGCTATTGTGGAAAGCAGAATAATGGCTCCTTAGAGATGTCCACATCCTAATCCCAGAACCTTGAATTTTATCTACAACAGGGATTTTTCAGGTGTGATTAGTTAAGGATTTTGAGAAAGGGAGAGTGTATTGAATTATCTGGGTGTGTCCAATGTGATTACAAGGATCTTTCTAAGTGAAAGAGAGGCAGGAGAGTCAGAGAAAGAGTGGTGGGGGAAGTAGAATATAGAGTAATGTGACTACTGGCTTTGAAGATGGAAGGGGGCCATGAGCTAAGGAATGTGGGCAGTCTGAAAAGCTGGAAAAGGCAAGAAAAAGGATTTTCCTCCTAGACACTCTAGAAGGAATGGCACCTTGACTTTAGCCTGGTAGGACCCATTTTGGACCTCTGACCTCCAGAACTGTTGTGTGTTTTAACCCCACCATGGTGGTAGTAATTTGTTAGAGCAGGAAAAGGAAACGAATACCGCTACTGGTCCTACATCTCCAGCCCTTTCACCGCTTAAGTGAGCCAGTGTTTTTTCTGTTCCTTGCAACTAAAAACCTAATAAACTCCTGTATTCTTCAATTCTTACATCTACAGTGTTATCAGCATTTCTTTAAAAAGACAGTGACCAGCCTGAGCAACCTGGAGAGACCCATCTCTACGAAGAAAAAAATTCCAAAATTAGCTGGGTGTGGTGGCGTGCGCCTGTAGTCCTAGCTACTCAGGAGGCTGAGGTGGGAGGATCATTTGAGCCTGGGAGGTAGAGGTTGCTGTGAATACGTGACTGGAGTCCAGCCTGGGTGACACAGTGAGACCCTGTCTCAGAAAAAAAGAAAAGGCCAGGTGTGGTGGCTCACGCCTGTAATCACAGCACTTTGGGAGGCCAATGCAGGTGGATCACGAGGTCAGGAGTTCGAGACCAGCCTGACCAACATGGTGACACCCCATCTCTACTAAAAACACAAAAATCGGCCAGGCGTGGTGGCGGGCGCCTGTAATCCCAGCTACTCAGCAGGCTGAGGCAGGAGAATCGCTTGAACCCAGGAGGTGGAGGCTGCAGTGAGCCGAGATGGCACCACTGCACTCCAGTTTGGGCAACAAAGTAAGAATCCGTCACACACAAAAAAAAGGCCTGTGACACAGTTTATACAGTTTTTGCTTCTTTTCATTGCTTAAGTCAAGTGTGCTTGGTTTTATGTAACAATGAAGAATAGTACTAATTATTCAGACTCTACCATTCCTTGAAGACTGAATATGTCAATTACTCTGAGAAATTCACGTAATTCAAAATGTTTGCAGTAAGTGCAATCTCATATATTATTAGCCAACATTTACTGGGTGTCAGTATGGTTCTAAGGTTGTCCCAAAATAATTAAGAGAAAGCCCTCCTCTTAAATGACAACATGAGAACAACATGGTGCACACACAAAAGAGAAACATCTACTCATTTACCTGAGAAAATTCTAAGATGATCCAAAGAAAGACTTTCTGGAAGAAGGAAATTTTCAAGAGCAATGTAAAGTCATATGAAAGAAAGAAATTAAGACTGGGAAGTGAGTAAAGGAAAGCTGTCCCTTTTCCTAGTTAACCACAGTCTTGCTGTCTCAATTTCAGGTAACAATAAATTTCCAAGGGTAAACATTAAATTCAAAGATATCAGGTCACATATAAAGTATAGCTTTAGTAATCTGTTACTTTTTAAAAGTTACATTGAATTTTCCTTTAGAAGCAAGTTATTATCCAAGATTTAAATTTCATACATGCAAAATTATAATCCTCAGTGTCAGAAGCTGGCACCTAAACATCTCTATGTAATAACCAAGTCAGTGAGGAAAATGGAATCCAAATCTTCTGCAGTGAAGTTATCCACAAAAACTGGCAAGTCATTCACTACTTGTACTATTAGCCCTGATAGGTCAAAGTTATTTTCCCCCATAATAGCTGGTTCTCAATATTCCCCAGTGTTCTAGGAAATAAACTGTATCTAAGTAGTGATACTAACTAAAGACAAAACCTGCAGAAAGAACAGCTATAATAAGGGAGGAATAGCAGGTCAACTAGTCAGTAAGATAAAGCAATCTAAATGAATTAATTTCAAATATACAAGAAAAACTTATCTCCCCTAAGTAAGTTTTTTGGCAAAACTACCCGGCCCACTTCCCGCTTATTATCTACAAAGAAAAAGTGCATTAGGAAGGTTGACACTGATGAGAAGAGTGTTCAGATTATATATGTTTATAATTCTACATATTACATTATGTTTTATATAAACAAAAATAAAATAAAAATAAAATCATACAATCCTAAGCAAATAAGATTATAAAACTATACAGATACAGATAGAATCAGCCTGATATCTAGGTTCAAAACCCAGCTCTGCCACTTTCTGCATGTATGTCTCCTATGCCTGTTTGCCTAGCTGTGTAACAGAGCAATAATAGTATACATCTACTATTCAAAGAGTTAATAAACACACAATATTTGGAATACTGTCTGGCACAACATAAAAGTGCTGGCTATTACTACTAACAATCATGTCAAAAGAACAAACAAACAGCCTCTCTGTGAAGTTATTCCTTATTGCTAGTCTATACAAGCCTCAATGTCAGAACTGAAAAAAGAAAAGGTATGTCAGTGTATGCCAGATTACATGCGAATGGAAGCTAACCCAGAAGCTATATGGCAGATGGTCTAAGAGTATAATAAGCCTTTCAAACAACAGGTCAAAATGATTACTAAAAACATTATTTATAAAATAATAAAATCACATACCAAAAAATTTTTAGATAAAGGATATTAACTCAGGAGTCTCCTAAGTTTCACAAAGATTAATATTAAAGGATATACCTATATGGCCACATCAGGATATACTGCACACCTCTCCCAAATCCAACACAAAAGCAAGTAACCCTCATACAAAGGAAATGCTAACAATTCCCTGTTAGCATTTAAAGGGAGAGAGAATTGTTCCTGGTGACACATTCTTGAGAACTGCCATCACTTGTAGCTTCAAATCAGCTGCCAAAAATAGTGGAAAGACTAATTGTTATTTCAGGTATAAAGAAACAGCACAGGTAACAAAAAAGCAGAAAGCATGAGGGTTATTGTGGTATGAGCTGGCCCTCTATCGGTGAGTTCCTCATCCATGGATTCAACCAATTGTAGACCAAAAAAAAAAAAAAAAATTTTTTTTCAGAAAAAAATAACAATTTTTTAAAATACAAATTAAAAAGCAATATAGTGTAACAACTTTTACATTGTATTACATATTGTAAGTGATCTAGAGATGATTTAGAGTAGACAATGTATGCAGGTTATGTGCAAGTACTATGCCATTTTATATAAAGGAGCACCTACAGATTTTGGTATTGTGGGGGTCCTGGAACCAATCTCCCACGGCTATGGAGGGATTATACTGTGTCTATCTTCTCATGTAATTCTCCTAGTAATTCTACCATGGTCATTTTACAGGTAGCCAAGGTAAAAAACTAGAGAGCTTCAAGGTTACATTGCTAGTATATAATAGGGATCTGAACTCAGGACAACCAAAATACAAATTAAGCCAGTCTTAATTCAAACTCCTTGGCTCATTCAACTTGCTATGCCGTGCCGCTGTCTTAGGGAGCCAAAAAGACCTGTGTATGCGTTTAAACAACCAAATTAATATATTACATTAGAAAACCAGAAAGCAATTAATCTGTTACATTATTTTCCTTTCATAAACCAGAATTTATGGCCAGTATGCCTTATTATTTGAGTTGTGGTTCTTAAAATGGTCTAACCTTTTTTCATCAAAAAACAAAACTAATGATTATTTCAGACAAGGTATAATACTGTCATTTTGGTTACTTAAACAGAAATTGAGGAATATGATTTCATAGAATTAGATGTTAAAAGTACAAAAATTTCACCTCATAATATATTACACAAGTTGTATGTATGCACACACACAAAATTCTGCAGATGTCCTAAGACACTCTTTAATGTCCAAATTTATCCTATGGTGGTTCTCTCAACACTATGCTTTTTTACTTTTTTCACCAGTAATAAAAAAAATTTCAAGTAAGCAGTCTTTAACTCATTTTTCTCTTTGAATACCATCTTCCAGTTGCATTTTCCTTTGATTACCTCACTACTAATTATCTCATTACTGTACAGTATCTCAAAGATAATCTGGTTAGGTGATCACCTGATACAAAAGTAAATAATTCGTAACCTTTCTAAGAGGCAGTATTAGTAAAACAGACACATCCATTATACTGTATCCCAACTAACACAGCACTGAAATACTATTATATGTCTTTGGGAAGGAGAAGGAAAGAAAAAGAACTCAACTTCTGCGATCTGAGAAAAGAACCCAAAGAGTTTTGGGAAACAGATGAGAATATTAATGCAATATAGCAGTTATAACAGACTTTCAGAATCATGCTTGTCATTTAAGACAAGACACAACAGTAGGAAAATGCCATCAAGAACTGTGAGAACAAAACACTAATCATCAAAGGGTCTGCAAAGTTTTTCTTCTTTATGACTTGAAAAAGTTAAATCCAAAGACACTTCACTTAACCTTAGTAACTAAAGATTTCTGATATTTCCCCCTAATGCTGTAGAACTTCTCCTTCCCACAACTCTACCTCCATTCTACCTCCTTATCTCAAGGTGAGGATTCTATAAATGAAGTCCTATTAGCCCAAAGCTGTTTTCAGAATTACATGTACATTAGTCCTCCATTATCCATGGGAGATGACTCTGTGGATGCCTGAAACTTCAGGTGGTAACAAACACTATATATACCACTTTTTTCCTATACAGATTTACCTATGATAGTTTAACTTATAAATTAGGCACAGTGAGAGACTAACAATAGCTAATAATAAAATGGAATAATTATGACATAAGCTATAATAAGTTATGTGAACATGGTCTCTCACTCTCTCAAAATATATTGTACTGTACTCACCTATTTTCTGACCACCTACTTTTAGTTACCATTGACCACAAGGTAACTAAAACCATAATTAAGGGAGGACTACTGTACTCACTAACACTGTCATCATTTCCCACGTAATCATTTAATAATGTTCCAAATAGCTATTTTTTTTTTTTACCTAAGATGAGGCTACTTACAAAAGTAGGGGGAGGAAATCTAAATCTTTACATATCTCAAGAGGAAGTACTGTAGGCATTATATAAATCTTTCTCTCTTGTGTCTCCCTATTCCAGTAGGAATGTGCATAACACACACCAGCTACTCAAATATAAACTGCTCCCTTAAGATTAATGACCAGGTTCACTGAAAAAAACCTTAGACCCCCCACCCCCACACAAAAAAATGCAGAATGAGATATGGACTAATCAAAATCTCTAATTTATATGGCCTAATGTGACTGGTAGTCTCAATCTGATCATAATGTTTACATCAACCAAACTCAGTCATTCCTAGTATCAGGATTCTTTTAGAGTTCTTCAAACACACTGCACTGAGGCATTTACTCATTTTGTTCTTTGCCTGCTATACTCTTCTTTTTTACCTGGCTAATCCTGCTCATCCTTTTAAAATTCAGCCCACAGGGAATGGTGGCTCATGGCTATAAATCTAAGCAACTTGGGAGGCTGAGGCAAGAGGATCACTTGAGGCAAGAGGATCACTTAAGGCCAGGAGTTCAAAACCAGCCTGGGCAACAGAGCGAAATCCTGTCTCTGAGAAAAATAAAAAAATAAGTAAAACTGAACTCTGGTGTTCAACTCCAGAAGCTTTCCCTAAACCTCCTATGCAGGAAAAGTTCCACTTCCCTTAGTACACTCATGGAATTCCTTGAAAACATTTCACACTGTATTTACTACATTATATTGAAATATTTGTGCCACATCTGTCTCCCTCAGGAGCCACTATCCTAAAGAGTAAGTATCGGTTCATTTTTATATTCTCAGAGCCTAGCACTGGCATACGGTAAATAGTCCTAAATGTTTTGCAAAAACAAAACAAAAGCATGACAATTTTATTTAACACCAATTATGTACACTGTACATTTAAAAGATGCTGAAACATGGTCTCAACCATACTTAGTCTAGCTGCAGAGATAAGTCACATATAAAAAAAGAGATCATTACAAAATTAAGAAATTACAAGTACCAAATGACTAAGATACAGGAAATGCTACAAAGTTTAAAGAATGCAGAAATCACCAGAGTACACAAGGAAGTCTTCACAAAAGAAGGTGAAGTTTAAGCTAAGCTAGTACAGTGTGGCACTTCCCACATGGGAAATGACATGGGAAGAGAGATTTAAGCAGGAATGCATATGCCATGATTAGAAAACAATGAGATTACTCTGGCTAAGGCAGTTGGTTTCTATCAGGGAGTAAGAAGATATCATGAGGCAGAGGTAGGTGCAGGTCATTTTATGGAAGGCCAACAATACCAGATAAATGAGTTTAAGGAAGTGAAAGCCATATACAAATACTTTTTCAAGACTATTAATATAGAAGCAACGCAAAGATTAATTGGCAGGGGGACAGGTGGTAAAGAACCTGAAAAAGAACCAGAATTTGTTAAACACATGTAAACCTTTGTTAACACTGACAGCAATTTTAGGAGATCAATGTTCCGTTTTACAAATAAAGAAATCAAGACACAGAAATGTTAAGTTGTTAGCCCACACAGAAAGTAGCAGATGGTGCTTAAAGCCCCAGATCAATGCTTCCTTCTTGATGCTTGCAGGAAGAAATGCAGGTAAGGTAACAGTAGGAAGAATTTTTCAAAAGAATGGGCAATGTAATTAGAATCATGAAATCTTGATGCTAAACGCAACAGAGCTCAGAACACCCTGTAAAGCCTCTGTGTATATACCACTGCCAGTATGAACTATTTGGTAATTGAGTACTTACTTGTATGCCCAGTGAAACTACTTGAGGGCACAGTCTCTTTTTATCCCCAGGGACCTGGGATATAGCATGGCCCAAACTGAATGTTTATTGGTGGAATGGATAGAAGGACAGATACAAGAGAGGGGGACACACAGAGGAAGGAAAACAAAAGTGTGAGTTTGAGGGAAAGGAAAACAATCAGTAAATGAATTTGGCCACCGTGAGGTCTTTGGCACCTTTGGAAATGGTAATTTCAATAATGTACTCAGAAAAAAATGGACTGATAGCAAGGGATTAAGGAAAAGTAGATGGTAACTAAAGGAAAAACATAGGTTAGGGCAAACTTGAAACGCTTGGCCATAAAACAAAGGTAAAGAAGGACAGAACTTGAAAAGAAAAATCAGATCAGGAAGGCCTTTTAAAGGAAAATTGAGATTGGTTCACAGAAAGTAAGATCGGTAAAGGGAATAATTTAAAAGAAGAGAGCGACACAAGTGAAAAAAGATCCTGAAGGATGGTAAACATTAAAGAGTACAGTTAAAGGAAGGGATTCTGTAGGATCCTGCCTGACCAAATTCCTTTTCCCTTTTTGAGGCCTACAGCAGCCACCAAATCTTTGAACTACCACTTCCACATCACCACTTCTCTGTCCATAAACCTACCTTATCTAAGAAAAACTTAGATGTGGTCAGCATACTAATTAATGCAATGTATTAAGTGAGTGAATCAATTTTTAAAAAACTTATTTGGAATAAAGGAGCCATGAGTTGTTCTTCCCGCCTGAAATGGCAATTTGCCCAATATCCACTTATTAAAATCCCATCCATCTTTCAATGTACAAACCAAATCTCACCTCCTCAAAGACACCCTCTCCACCCCATCTCCACCTCTGTTGGAATAAACTTCTTGCCTATACTTACATAATACCTTTGACCTACTATTATAGCTACTTAAATGTCTTTCTTTTAATTTGCCAAAGGCATAACCCCGGTAATTGTGCTCTATACAATAAGTATTCAATAATTGCCAGTAAAAGAACACAGATTTAAGAAATTAAAATATGTACAAATGTTTATGGATAATGTCTGCCTATGGTAACTAGCCTATTACTACCTAAAAGAAAACTGAAAAGAAAATCCAATCTGTGGCTTAGAGGAGAAAACAAGAAAATGAACCCATGCAGTGCATATATATCTTTACTACATATATTTTCTAAATCAGTGGTTCTCAACTGGGGGTGAATTTACAATCCAGGGGACATCTGGCAATGTGTGGACATTTTTTATTGTCACGATTGCAAGGGAAGATACTGGCATTTAATGGATAGAGGCCAGGGATGCTGCTGAACGTCTTACAATGCTCAAGACAACCCACCACAACAAAGAACTATCTGGACCAAGTCGTCAATAAGTGCCAAGGTTGAGAAATCCTGTTGTAAATGAAACAGACAAGAAAAAAACCCAAAGCTGCCACATAGTCTACTTGAGATTCCTAAAATTTTCTTAGACAATTAGTAGAATCACCTCCTCTTTCCACTGACTAAAAACTGGGTCTAAGGGAGAGTAAAAACAATGTTCCTAAGCAGCTCCATTTACACACTAACAAAAAAAGAGCTGGTTACAAGCTGTCACTTACCATGTGACATACCTGCCAAAATTCCACTCTTATATTTCCTTGTAAATGCTTAGTTACAATTTCCCAGACAGCTGATAAGTCTATTCATAACAATACAGCAACTAAACTAAAATATGGCTTGACTGCAAAACTTTAATGGCAATATATAATGGCCATCTGCCAATATACCTACAAACAGATGAATAATCCACTATCTACAAGACGTATGCTTTATAATTTATTCTCTACACAAGATCAATTAAACTAACCCATCTAAACTTTCAGGCACTCATTCATGACACTAATACAAAAATTTGAAAGGCTAGCCGGAGGCAGGAAACAATTTTTCTCAAGTATAAAACACACCAGCCCTTTTAAAGTGTGAACCACTCTCCACCTCAAAACTGCCTCATGAAACTTGCAATACTAGTGGGTCCAGATCTTACTGTAACACATCCATTAAAAACAACAACATAAAACTCAGCAATTGCTTCTTCTACCATGAAGGCAGAAGACCACAGCTGTTAGAAAGCAAAGAAATGAAACCTAAGATAGGACAGGAAGTATACATTTTGAATCCAAATGAAACCACAAGGGAAGCAGAAATTAACTGCCAAAATAATTTAGTCAGACAATATCCAAGCAGGTAATAAGCTATTAACACTGTTATAACAAAGACTTATAAGCCTAAAGAGACAGTCATTCATTCAAAAAATGTCACCACCTTTGGCTGATATTCCGGGACAAAAGCTACTTTACATTCTGTAAAGCATGTACCTGGTGGAAAGGAAGGGGATGGGGCAGGTGAAGAAGACTTCGTGGACCACATGGACTAAAATCAGCATGTGCTCTAAGACTTCTAGAAGCTTCAGGATACAGTGACTATCTGATCTAGCATTACTAGACTCTTCTAGAACCTGGAGACCATCCTATTTATATATTCCTCCCAATGCTCCCACTATCTTCTCTGTTCCTCTCCCCAGGCTAGGATAAGGCTTAGCTTGCTACTTTATCCAGCCTTATCTCCACTATCTCTCTGTTTCAAGATTTATAGTGATACATTTTTATTTTATACCATATTGGATATTTTACTTCCTATTTAAATGACAACCATTTTTCTGCTGGCTTAGAAAACAACCCTGTGGCTGTTATATTAGTAACAAAACTTCTGACAAGTGAGCCACTGAGATGCAGCGTCTTCACTATACATGTATCATACAAAAAATATATGTATATATACACACATATGTGCATAGACACATATACATATATGTATACATACACACATACACACATGTATATATGCACACATATGCACACACATGTATATATGCATATATACACATGCACACACGTATATATGCATATATACACATATGCACACACGTATATATGCATATATACACATATGCACACACGTATATATGCATATATACACATATGCACACACGTATATATGCATATATACACATATGCACACACGTATATATGCATATATACACATATGCACACACGTATATATGCATATATACACATATGCACACACATGTATATATGCATATATACACATATGCACACACGTGTATATATGCATATATACACATATGCACACATGTATATATGTATATATACACATATGCACACATACACACACACACACACACACAAAACAAAACAGATACTTTCTGGACCTTTCCTGTAAAGGAGTCTAACAGTAGGAATCCACTTCAAGTGGATCTCACTGAAACACTCACAGCATAGGAAGAAATTAGAGACAAAAGAGAATAGTGAAGGAAGAAAAGGAGGAAAGTTGAAGGGAGCATAGAGTATGAACAGTGGCTCCCACAATGGCAGCAGAAGTCATTCGGTGGCACCTGTGCCACCTTTTATAACAGGATTTGACCTGTTTGACTGGTATTCCCTATAGCTATGATTATTCTACTTTCTCATCTTCCAAAACAACTTTGATGTCTTCTCTGTCTGGTACTTTAATACTTCCCCCACTCCTGCTTTTCCAACTTTGATATGTTAATTTCCACTTTTCTTTTTTTCAAAATGCCATTATTTTAAAGCATAATATTATACCTCACCTGCGGCCTATCCTAACCTTCTCCTACCCCCATCAAATGAATTGTATTCAATACACCCTTTCTTTTACTCAACAGAGGTGTCAAAGTCTTTTAAAATCTTTCATTCTGTCATAAATCAAAAGAGAAAATACTCTGAATTCTCCTTCAATTTGAGTAATAAATTCCCAATGTTATTCGGCCTAGAACCCTCATATTTAAGATCATATTTTTATTTTTATAAAACATAACAAAGTATTTTCAACTTAACTGATTCTCTTAGAAGTCTTGTCAGTGTATTAAAAAGATACTTACCTTTCAACAAACAAAAAATTTCATTATCCTTTCCTGCCCAGAATATCATCATCTTTCCCACATAGAAGATAGGTTTTCTTCCTTTCATCTCTGCTCTATTTTTATAACTTGAGACTAATTCAGTTCCCTTGATGTTGAATTCTCTCTTTATTGGTCTTACTGGGACTTCTTGCCTCCTATCTTCATTTCTGACCCTTCTGAAACAGCCATCTTGCTCCTTGGTTTCCCACCACCCCACCATTTCAATGCCAGACATCCCAGCTCATTTACTCTAACAAATTAAAATTCAGCCAAGACAAAACTAATTTTCATCTACATGAGGCAGGATCTGTAGCTATAGAGATTAAAAATTGCCCAGTCATGATCTTCCACCACTGACAAAGGTAGGCAAGAAAATTCTTCAAGTCAAGGTCACGAAAACAATTGCTACACCCCCCAACCACATCCATTCAGCAATACTCGGCATCCTCCCTGAAGTGTCTATAAAAACCAACAGTTCTATTTTCAAAGAACGTGAACATAATGCTTCCCTAAAGACATTCTCTAGTGTCCCCACTGCAGACTTTAAATGGAATGATTATCTAAAAGAGGAGGAGGGAAATTCAGACTGGCACAAGCCTTTATGATTCCCACAACCACCACCTAGGTCTCAGACTTCTAACACTTGTTTTAATTTACTTAGGACAAATGCCTAAGATTGAGACAAGACTGGCTCCAGGAATCTTTAAGGGACCCCAGGACCTATGCCTCCCCCATTTTGCCTGCTCAATTTTAGCTGAAAAATATCATTGTATTCATTTTTTTTCTCCCTTCTTCAAAGAACTAAGTTCATCTCAAACTATCATTGATTCCACATCTAAGGAAGTCTTCCCTACCATGTCAAGCTATAAAATATAAGGCACATTAACAAGAAGCCTCTCAAAGTCCACTGATCTTCCCCATTAAAAGTACCACCACTCTGCCAATTTGTTTTTCATAACTTTCTAGATCCACTGCCAGTACCTTATTCAGGACCAAAGTCCCAAAGGGAATCTTTTGTAAGGAAAAGAACCTTACAAAAAGGACCAATTTTGAAGTCTTCCCCTTTTCTAAGCAGTAGTCACTCCCCAATTAATGTCAGGCTCTAACAACCTTACTTTTCTCTGTTATCCACCACTACATTACACAGAGTCATTTTCCTAACACATAGCTGTGAACATATTAATTCTAGCAAATCATCTCAGATTCTCCATTGTCTACCCATTTTAACTATAAATTATGGAACATGATATTCAGGATCCTCTTAAATATGGTCACCTTATCAAATAGGATTTCCCCGACCACTTTGTCCAGATAAAACAGTACATCCCTGTCTTACTTTATTCCTCTTCCTAGTGCTTGTGACCACCTGATATATATTTAACTGCTATGTTTACTGACTGTGCCCTTCTACTATAATATATCCTCCCATGTTCACCCTTTTATTCACCAGTGTACCCTCAACACTAGAATATATTATGTTCTCAACTTATATTTGTGGAAAGAACAGATGAATACTGACATGCAGTGTACTACAGCTGACTTGAAGTTAGAAGACCTACATTTCAGTTAGTTTCCACATACCAGCTATATGAGCCTCAACAATTTTACCTTCTTTGGGCTTACATTCCTCATGTGTAAAAGGAAAGGGTCAAACTTGATAATCTCTACAACTCTTAAGTTTTCTCAGCTATATCACACTACCTTGTTGTCTAACTGGACTGAATACCTCCCTTCCCCCCAGCTTCCCTACCTACATAACTCTGCTCAGTTTCCTTCCATTTGGAATTCCCCGCTTCTCAATCCACATCTGTCAAAATGAACATTAAGGATGAACAATATCCTAAGTGCCATTTTCTTGAAGTCTAACAAAGTGTAAGCTCTGTAAAAGGAGGGTGGAGTTGTTCTTTTTCTATTCTCAGATGTTGGTACAATGCCTCCCATACAGGTGATCAACAAAACAACTAATGAATCATGAGTACATGAATGAGCAAATAAACAAAGTCTTTCCTGATTTCCTCCCATTGCTCAGGTGATCTCCTGCCTTTGGACTCAAAACACTTCGTATCTTTTATTTTTATTTATGTATTTACTTATTTATTGAGACGAAGTTTCACTCTTGTTGCCCAGGCTGGAGTGCAATGACGCCATCTCGGCTCACTGCAACCTCTGCCTCCCGGGTTCAAGCGATTCTCCTGCCTCAGCCTCCCGAGTAGCCGGCATTACAGGCGCCCACCACCATGCCCAGCTAATTTTTTGTATTTTTAGTAGAGACGTGGTTTCACCATGCTGGCCAGGCTGGTCTTGAACTCCTGACCTCAGGTGATCCTCCCGCCTAGGCCTCCCAAAGTGCTGGGATTACAGGCGTGAGCCCCCGTGCCCGGCAACGTTTGGTATCTTTCATGGTACTTACACTCTGTGCTGTTTAATTTACTTGCCTAACAGATACTCAACTGCAAATTCCTTAAGACTAATCAGCACCCTGATGGTTTCCATCTCTCTATAGCACCTACAACAGATCTTTGTCATAGCTATATTTATTTGAAATATTAAACAACAAAGGGATATCTAAGATGAAAAAAAGGACCTCAAATTACAGACATCATTCCAACTGTCCTGTGGTCACTGGGCATATATGTTGTGTTAAAATCAAGCATTCAAGCATTGTTCAAATATCTCATCATTCTCTTCTCTCCCTATTATGCTTAATAAAACTTTACTACTTTAAAAATTATAATGGCCACCCTATGTATCAGGTAACTACACACCTCTTGCAATATACATATAGGGATCCACACACGTCAATACTTTCATGTCACTAAACAGCTAAAGTGACTTTTCCACTCATTTCAGACTTCCACCTCATCCAACTCCCTCCTCCGCAAGGTATGAAACAATTTTTTAAAAAACATCTTTCCATAAGGCCTCCCTTTCTTAGTTCTGCTCCTGAAAGACAAAAAGGACCAATTTTAAAGTCTTCCCCTTTTCTAAGCAGTAGTCACTCCCCAGTTAATTTCAGGATCTAACAACCTTACTTTTCTCTATCAAGATTTTTGACCCACTTTACCTCTGCCTCCAAGCTCTTACTCAGCTTCCATGGAACCTTTCAGCTGACACAAAAGCTGGTGTCCTTCCATTCAATATGTTCTCGCCATCAGGTACTAAGTTCAACCTATCTACATCTTCATCCTGAAATGTGCATCAATCGCCGCGCCCCCCACCCCAGACACACATCTCGCACACACACACACTATTCCCATGTGTCACTCTACCTCTGACATACAAGTTCCTTACACCACTCTTAATGAATACACACGACTCTCAGAATGGTATCTTCCGACTACACTGATTCTAACCCAGTTTCTTCTGAAAAACCCAACCTTGTCCACAGTGCCTCCCTCTTTCCTCACTTCCCCATCTATTCCCCTTCACGCCTCCCCACACCGCCAACTAACTACAGATGACATTATTCCTCAATACTCCCAACCCGAGAATGAAGAACAAGCTCCAGTTTCCTGCGGTCTCCCTCTCCCCCTGTCTGCCCTCCGCGGTTCCCCCGCCCCAACACCCCAGGTGTGCAGACTTCCTCCCCGTCCTCTACTCATGCATCGCTCCAACCAATCCCACGCCACACCACGAGTCCCCTGCCACGGGGATCAGACTCCTCCACACCCACCTCCACTCGGGGTCGCCGCCGCCTCCCCGGACGTTTCTCTCCACCCCTCGCTAGCAAACCCGAGACCAAGGGCGCGCGCGCACATTCTCACGCTTCCCCAACCTCCCTCCTCGCACCGGGACGAGCCGGCTTCGCCAGAGCTCAGCCCGGGCGGTAGGGGCTAGGCACCCATACCCGTTCCGCCCCCTCCCGCAGATCCCCTTGCAGTCTCCGCCGACCTGCCCGGCGAGGAGAGGACGCAGCAACTCCCCCGCCACCCCGGACTTACCTCGGTGTCTGTTGCTCCATGCCCCAACCTGCGGCCCGCTCCCCCTACGTACCAGCCCGGCCTCGGCACTCACCGGAGGTACTGCGCGCTCTGCAGGCTCATCCTCCGCCGCCGCCGCCGCGTCTTCCCGCGAAGCCTCCGTGGGTCTCTCAGGCTCCTCGGAGCGGCCCCGCGGCACCGCGGGTGCTGGCGGCCGCCGCCATCTTCCTCTCCTCCGGCTCCTCCTCGCTCGGCAGGGGGGTGGGGGTGAATGAGGCGAGGGGGAGGGAGTGGGGAAAGCTGCTCTCGCTGCTGCTCTGGCCCGTGGGGCGCAGGGACACTCCGACCCGGGGGGGAGGGGGAGGGAGGAGGGGCGGGGGAAAGAGGAGAAGCAGAGGAAGTCGGCGACCGGGCGAGGGAGGGGGTCCCTCTCGCGAGATTTCAGCAGCGCCTGTCCCTCAGTGATTTCCGCCTCTCTGTAGCGCTCCCTTTTGGGATCAACGAGCTGTGTGGCGCCTGTGCGGCTTCTGAGAGACCGGCTGGTGGCGCTTGGCGGCTTCCTGCCAATCCACCCTTCTCCTCCCGCGCAAGGGGGCAATCCCAATCCCACCACCGGGAACACCCAGGCCAAAAGAACGGGAGTTACACTCAAAGTCTTCCCCCTTCTTATCACTCCTGCCGATTTCCCTCTTCCTTTTTGCACGCCTCCACTCTTCCCCACCGGAAACGCCGCCCCTTCCTCCTACAGTTCCTCCCAGCAGTCCCTCAACGCCTGTCTTCCCTCGCGCGTAGAGAGTGACTCGAAGGACCCCCTCTCCTCTTCGCTGCAGCCCCTCCCCATGCACGCTGGGAGACTCTTGGAGGGGATAAGGTGGGGCCCGGAGAGGAAGAGAAGACAATCGGATTGGATAGGCAGCTGCCATGGCAACTGGAGGCTGTGGTTATATTGTCATAGTAACCGATGTGTGCGGACAGGGTCACCCTCCCCTTGGCCAATGGATTCCCAGGAAACCACCCAGGGTTCCCCGTTGGCTTCCCTTCCATCTAAAGGCCTCCCCCAAGTTAGGAATCGATATAGTTCTCCCCGGTGGTGAAGTCCACTTCCTCCTCCCTTCCCACTTCCCACAGCAACTGGGGGGACACCCCGAGGCATTCACCATGGGCTTTTCCACCCGCCTGCGAGCGGGAACCACCTCCGTAGTTTCCTCTCAGAGCCGGGCGTGGAGAGGGCTGGGCCTGCGAAGAGGATGCATGGCCTGGAGGCTGGCGGGCGGCGGGCTGGAGTCGGGAGGGCGAGGCGACAGCGCCAAGCGGCGAGGAAGGGCAAGGGGTTTCCCCACAACTGCCTTGGGCTCTGGGAGGCGGGATCCCGCCTGGACGGGGTCCCTGAGGGAGGAGAGCGGCACACGACAGCCGCGATGCCTTCCCTGCCGACGGGGATAGCCGACTTCTGGCGAGTCGACCCCTCCCCCAAATCCACCCCACCCGCGTACTCCCTCCTGACCTAGCTGTCGCGAGCCTGCCGCGAGGAGGCCAGGGTGAGGGTGGGAACACATCCTAGAAGGCTAACACGTGGTTTTCTATCATTTAAGCCGGGGACAAGCCGGAAGGCTGACTAGCGCCATCACTCTGATAGGCACCCCGCAGTGGGGATCCTGCTTGATTATTAAAGGCAGACCTCCAAGTTCCTCCCTGCTCTGCAACCTTTCTCTTCTCACGGGTCTGCAGTGTTTTAAAAGTCGTCATTCTGTGTCGTTGAGTTAGAGAGGAAAACATCGGATAAAAGAGGATCAAGAAGAACGAACCCTAGATACATCTGTCTGGTGAAAGGAGTCTAGGAAAAGAAGTTTCATTCTTAGAACAAATCTTTTTGGATATTTATTATGTGTGTTTTGTGTCAGGTTTCGGGCCAAAAAGCTGAAATAAAGAACGAAGTCAATAATAATATGAAGTGTATGAGAAATAGCTGGAAAATTCATCATCCATGACTTGAAGAAATTGACGTTTTACAAGTTATATTTTCGGTTCGTATTGTGGAGTCACTTAAGGAGCTATCCCAAAGTACTTTAGGATATGTAACTATATAAAACCTTCCAAGAATGCAGCCCTCATAGGATAGTTAAAATAAGGATTTTAATGGGCTATTTTGATTTGGTTTGGTCTGGTTTGGCTACCTGATTCCTGCTGTCTTTTTCTACGCCAGGTGAAGAGGCACTTTCAAGATCCTTCTCTGAGACCTGCACCAATAAGACTATACCAATGTTCAGTTGAAACATCAGGTATAAGTTTAGCGGAAACGAAAGTACAACCTGCTTTGAAATAAATTCCAAGGACAGATTGTCATTAACGAAATAGAAAGTGGACTATGCCCCTCATGCTGCCAGCGCCTGGTATGGTGCGGCGTGACACGCAGCGCTTGCGGCAGTACAATGCCCCCAATCACCCGCCCCGCCCCGACGCGCCGCCCACTCACGGCAAAGAGAGCCACCTAGTGAGGGATTATTCTCATTTCCGCGGTGGGGTTCTGCTTTTCTTTCTACCATGAGCGCCCAAGGATAGACACTCCTACTACCTATTACCTCAAATAGCCTACATTTCTTTCCGAAAATTTATTGGTTAGATATTTTTCTTTTTTTTTTTTAATTTAAAGACCAGTGTGATCGTGTATTGGTTAGATTTTTTAATTGGTTAGATTTCAACCAGAATAAAAATTGTAATAATTACCCCCTTACTAATCATGGTAATAGCCATTTATGTCTGTGGCACATATCTCCAATAAAGAGTGTATGAACAGTTATCATACATTCCTGATAAGCAATCTAGGAAAATATTACTACTATCTTCTCATTTTGGAAATAGAGAAACGGATCAGAAAGATGAATCCTTTTGTTAGTGTTTGCTGATTTATTCCATAAACATTTACTGAGTACTTATTATATTTCAGACACTGTTCTGGTTATGATGGACACCACAGTGAAAGAGACCTGGTCCCTGCCTTGAGGAAACCCAACTGCTGGTAGAGAGCTCAGAGTAATGATTAGGATGCAATATGAGGGATGCAGTAATTGGGGTAAGAACAAAGTAGGAACACATGAGGTCAGAAATAATAAAGTCTGTGTTTTATAGCAGCTTTCCTAAGAATCTTATAAGAGTCTTCAATAGCTTTACAATATCTCTAGCTAAATAGAAGAATAGTAGTATATTTTAGAGATTAGAAGACTTTGATACTAATATTAAAATTACCTTCAAAAATCAATAGGACTCAGAAAAATTATTACCTTCTATTTATATACTGTTTAATACACATTTTCCATTTTCATCTATTTCCACTTGTCCTAGTCAACAAACTTGTAGAATTACAAACATCTTTCTTTTTGCAATAGATATTGTTCACCTTTTCCCCCCTACAGATATAAGATCACATCTAAACCAAAAGAAATTAAAGAGAAGCTTCCTTACTTACATTAATCCTACCAGATTTTGTTTTTGGGTTTGTCTTTTTGGCTAAGTGATTTCATGGAAAGATCACAAGCTAACGGACCTGAGTATGCATTCTAACTCTGCCATCTTGGTGTCTGAACTTCAGTTTGCTCCTTGACCAAAATGGAAGCATTACCTGTTATAGGCTTCCTGTGACCTTTAATGATGACATACATGATTGAGTGCCCATTATACAACACTGAACTTGATAAACATTAAATTTTTTTCTGCCTTTTTGCTTTTTTTTTTTTTTTTTTTGAGACAGAGACTTACTCTGTCACCCAGGCTGGAGTGCAGTGGCACAATTTCAGCTCACTGCAACCTCTGCCTCCTGGGTTCAGGCAATTCTTGTGCTTCAGCCTCCCAAGTAGCTGGGACTACAGGTGTGTGCCACCACGCCCAGCTAATTTTTGTATTTTCAGTAGAGACAAGGTTCACCATGTTGGCCAGGCTGGTCTCAAACTCCTGACCTCAAGTGATCCACCTGCCTTGGCATCTCAAAGTTCTGGGATTACAGGTGTGAGCCACCTTGCCCAGTCCCTTTTGCTCTTTTATATCAAGCTAAAAAGAGTAAAATAGAACTACTACAGCATAACATTATTTTTTAAAATAATACTCTATCTAGTCTTTTTTTTTTTTAAATAGAGATGCAGCCTAACTGTATTGCCCAGGCTATCTATCTCTAACTCCTAGCCACAAGCAGTCCTCCCGCCTCAGCCTCACAAGTAGCTGGGATTTTAGGTGTGAATCACTGTACCCAGCTCTCAATCTAGTCTTTGTCTATAATACTCATAGGTCTGAACTCACATTCAAATCTATTGGCATCCAGTGCTAGAAGATAGATTTCTTTATTCATGACTGATTACAGAAAAGAACACAATATTAGGACATTGTGAGTCCAATGCTAGAGATTTAAAACTTTTCAAAAACCTTTTATCACATAAAACAGGCTAATATAACCACATTTCTGTCCAAGTAGATGGAATGGCCTCTTTTCAATCAAACACAGTACTTGCTGAGAAGCTACTCTTAACATTCTTACCAAATTTACCCAGAGCTTTGGTAACCTGACGATTAATACATAGCAGGCCTCCTCCCTTTTTATAATAATAGACAGCCTGTGCCATGACATCGTAACAAGCCCTAATTTATTTTAATATTTATCCTATATATTCTGAATGTTTATAAATCCTGTGCACAATTAGGAACTTGGTAAATCATTCTCATCAAAGCAGAAACACATTTATTATCAGTTGCATACTCAG
Organism: Homo sapiens; assembly: GCF_000001405.40. Taxonomy (NCBI): domain Eukaryota; kingdom Metazoa; phylum Chordata; class Mammalia; order Primates; family Hominidae; genus Homo; species Homo sapiens. The sequence continues at coordinate 183,467,998 of NC_000001.11, read as the reverse complement.
TACACAATATGTGTGAAGCTAGCCATTCATTCCTCTTCAGTACCACACCTCAGACCATAGAGTTAAGTGATTCAATCAAATGAGTAATTCATTCTCTTCAAATAGTGAGTCAGATACAAATTGACATTTAAATTCAGGTCTCCTGTTGCTCAAGATTTCTTAGATCAAGGGTCAGTAGCCTTTTTCAAACAGTTTGCCAAGTGTATATTTATTCATTCACTCCAAAGAGGGAGTCTTTTAGCCTGAAGAATAGTCGGGAATCATTGCAGTCCAAGATTGAAGAAAAGAAACTTCTGATTTGGGAGGCACTGAGGTGACAGTTGGGGAATAATATTCAGAGCTTTCTCTCCCCCTTCACTTCTCCATTCTCCTAATATTTACTAAGGGAAATCTTACTATCTTCAAGGTTTCCCCCAACTCCCAATAAGCAAATACCTCTGAGAAATTACCACACCTAAAATTCTTATCTGCTGATTTAATGGACACAATCTGGAGAAGACAAGAAGAGATGCTCATAGGAAAGATTGAAAAGTATTGAAAAACAAAAACAAAAACCGTAGCCTCTCTTATTTTATTGGCAGAAGGCCTTAGTGTTCATGCATCTCTTTACTACCCGAAGCACAGTACTTACTGAAATCATCTTGTGGGTCCCTAATCTAACAGCAACATATTTCATGTCAAAGTCTGTTCAGTTACCTAGAAGTTGCCATATTTTTCTTAAAACACCCAACTAAAATAACATAATCTTTTAATATTTTCTAGTTTCTACTTTCCTAACTTTTATCAGGTAGATAGTAATTTGGAGCACTAAGAATGTGATACTGATATTCATTGTCATAAATCTGTTCTTCAAAACCATGGGAAACATGTACATGCATGTACACATGCACACACTGATATGGTTTGGCCCTATGTCCCTGCCCAAATCTGATCTCTATTTATAATCCCCACATGTTGACGGAGGGACCTGTAATCCCCACGTGTCCAGGGAGGGAGGTGATTGGATCATGGGGGTGGTTTCCCCCATGCTGTTCTCATGAGTGAGTGAGTTCTCACAAGATCTTATGTTTTTGTAAGTGTTTGGAACTTCCTCCTTTGTTTGTCTCTCCCTGCTGCCTTGTAAAGAAGGTCCATTTTTCCCCTTCCACCATGATTGTAAGTTTCCTGAGGCCTCCCCAACTATATGGAACTGTGAGTCAATTAAACCCCCTTTGCTTATAAATTACCCAGTCTCGGGTAGTATCTTTATAGCAGTGTGAAAACGAAATAACACACACCTTCCTCTTTTCCCTGACATTATTATTGTACCAATTCAATTGGCAATTCAAGTTAAAATGTGATAAAGATGAAAAGCAAAGAAACTTAGGACTTAGGTCCATCACTTCAAGGCATACTAAGAATATGCATCCAAGCACTTTTTTGCTTTGCTTAACAATCCCAGGGTCTTTTCTATTCTCAGAAAACTTTTACATATCAAAAACCTGGATAGTTTGTTCCATATATGTAAAAGTTCTTTCTTTTCTTTTTCTTTTTCTTTCTTTCTTTCTTTTTTTTTTTTTTTTTTTTTGAGACAGGGTCTTGCTCTGTTGCCCAGGCTGGAGTATAGTGGCATGATCACAGCTCACTGCAGCCTCAACCCCCGGGCTCAAGTAATTCCCCTGCCTCAGCCTCTCGAGTAGCTAGGACTACAGGCTTCCCTCACGATGCCCAGCTAATTTTTTTATTTTTTGTAGAAACAGCAGTCTCCCTATGTTGCCCAGGCTGGTCTCAAACTCCTGGGCTCAAGAACCTCCAGCCTTGGCTTCCCAAAGTAATGGGATTACAGGTGAGCCACCTCACCTGGTCATATTTGTTAAAATTCTTAATATTAGCCTGGCACAGTGGCAGGTGCCTATAATCTCAGCTACTCAGGAGGCTGAGCCAGGTGGATCACTTGAGCCAAGGAGTTTGGGGCCAGCCTGGGCAACATAGCAAGGCTCCATCTTAAAAACAATTCTTAATATTGTTGGGTTAAGATGTAAGAACACATTCTGGAACAAATTAAATAGTAAATTAATGTGTACGTATATTCCACATTTTAGCTATGTTAAGCTTTTTAAAAAGTTTTTTCCCCTGGCTTTAAGTCTCCATTGCTTTTCCATTACCCTTAGGATAAAGTTTCCAATCCTTATGATGACCTCTGTTCTGGTCTCTGCCTGCCTCTTCTCTGACAACCCTCCCCACCCCCTGGTATCACCACTCTAGCTATAGTGACCTTCTGCTAGGTCCTTGAATAAGCAGTGTTCTTTTCTTCTCGGAGCCTTTAGATAAGTTGTTCCCTCTATCTGGGTAATTCTTCTCCGCAGACTACTCTTATGTCTACCTATGCTTTAAGCCTAAATCTGAACTTCTTTGGACGAGCTTTCTCTACTTTCCAACCCCCAACCATTAGGCTAAGTTAGCTAAACTGGTTATATGTTCCCATAGCACTCTGCCCTTCTTTTTCATGGCATTTGTAAGTCTTTCATATTTGTAAATCTTTGTTTAATGTCTGTTACCTCCAATTGTAAGCTCTGTAAGAGTAGATGCTGTGCCTATTTTGCTTACTCTTGTATTATCACTTCCCTAGCAGAACACCAGATACAAGGAATGCTCAATAAATGTTCATTAAGTCAAGGAATTAAAAAACAAAAACCAAATTAATAGAAATTTGGGAGCTGGGCACAATGGCTCACACCTGTAATCTCAGCACTTTGGGAGGCCAAGGTGGAAGATTGCTTCAGCCCAGGAATTCGAGACCAGCCTGGGCAACATAGTGAGACCCCATCTCTAAAACAAAAAAAAAATTGGACCACGTATTCTTTAGAAGTAATCCTAAAGCAGTAAGAAAATAATTTTATTGGGCCTTCAACTAATCTCGGTAATTGAAATTGCTATTACATTTAACAAGATTAAAGTTGTAATTAAATGAAATATTTAAGCAATGAGTAAAATGCACAGTTATAAGATGAAGGATAACTCATCAGTTATCTCACAACAGCATCTCAGACTTTGATGTAGAAAAAGTCTTCAACGTCCAAATTATTTTTATTTAACTTTATGTTTTTAAATTTGAGATTAGGTGCAGTTAATTCTTTCATTATGTGGCAGGAGAGGGTGCTAGGGAAGGATGGCAAAAGAGAAGAGAGGCTATCAGCTAATTAGAATGTAATACAAAAAGTTACCTTTAAAATTTCGGAAAGAAAATTGGATCAGGGTGTAGAATGGAAAGCTCAGTGGTCTCTATTTTTCACCAGAGAAGTGTTTATAAATTCTAGCATTATTATTGTTAATTTTTTTGCCTGTAATGGGATAGGGCTAAGTAAACTGAATGTAGGATTTTAAGGAAAGGGCTATATCCAATTTCAAAGTAAATGTGATAATTATGTTTCTGGAGGCAGGTTCTGAATTCAATTCAATTAAATAAGGCATGTAACATATGTAAGCAGCCTGGCACTTAGTAGACACTCAACGAATGCTCTTACTTTATATAAAGGGTGAATAAGAACTGCATACACACTCTAATTAATGTAGGTTAAATGCACCTTTAAAAACAAATACAAACTGCTGTAGAGGTACACAGCATACTGCCTCAAAACTATATGACCAGTTTTATCATATGACCCTTCCTTCCTTCCTTCCTTCTTCTCTTTCTTTCTTTCTCTGTCTTTTCTTTCTTGCCCTGCCCTGCCCTCTCCTCCCCTCCCCTTCCCTCCCTTCCCCTTCCCTCTTCCCTCCCCTCCCCTCTCTTTTCTTTTCTTTACTTTTTTTCACTTTTCTTCCTCTCCTCTCTCCTCTCCTCTCCTTTCCTTTCTTTTTGACAGGGTCTCACTCTGTTGCCCAGGCAGGAGTGCAGTGGTGCAATCACGGCTCACTACAGCCTCAACCTCCTGGGCTCAAGTGATTCTCCCACCTCAAGCTCCCAAGTAGCTGGACTACAGGCATGTACCAGCATGCCCAGCTAAATTTTCTTTATTTTTGAGGTCTCACTGTGTCTGCCAGGCTGGTCATGAACTCCTGACCTCAAGTGATAAGTGATCCTCCCACCTCAGCCTCCCAGTGTGCTGGGGTTACAGGTGTGAGCCACCATGCCTGGCCAGTATAAATTCTTTAATCTATTTGTGAAGGATATCTCAGTTCATTAGCTGTTTTGTATTTGAATGAAATGAGAGCCAAGATCTGGTTCAAAGCTAAAGAGGATAAGGAGGCTTCTACGGAGCAAAACCAGCTGTTTATGCTTTCCCCTGCCCTCTTTCAAACTAACACCTCTGGAATGGCTTTGACTTGCATGCTGTTTCACTCTCGTGCTCTCTCAACCATTGGCTATAATGTTCCCATTATGGTCCTCCAAGTCATCCATTTCTTTGTCCAAGAGGACATGAATAGTTTTAATTTTTGTTGTTGTTGTTGTTGTTGTTTTGTTGTTGTTTTGAGACAGGGTCTCTCACTATCACCCAGGCTGTAGCGTAGTGGCATAATCACAGCTCACTGCAGCCTCAACCTGCCAGGCTCAAGCCATTCTCCCACCTCAACCTCCTGAGTACCTGGGGCTACAGGCACATGTCACCACGCCTGGCTAATTTTTGTATTTTTAGTAGAGATGGAGTTTCTTCATGTTTCTCAGGCTGGTTTTGAACTCCTGGGCTCAAGCAATCCACCTGCCTTAACCTCCCAAAGTGCTGGGATTACAGGCATGAGTCAATGCACCCCACCAGTTTTAGTTCTTTAACAATGTTCCTGTGGGTAAGACCAGGACTAGAGGGCATGCCAAATAACTGGAATGCCAACATTTCCAAAATACAGGCAGCAGTGGCCTAGATGTTACAGAAGGTTACCAGCTGTAGAAAGAAGCTGAAATTAATTTTCTCTAAGTATTTGAGGAACAGTCAAATTTCAGCATGAAAGCACTGTAGGAATGTTAGGTAGAATTGAGTTTAGTATCTATAGAGCATGTTCAATTGATGATGATCAATTCCCATCTTTCTCTGCTTTTTCAAGACAAATCTATATCGAAACTAAAATTTTACTTCTGGGAATCTTAATCTTGGTGTATCCTGCTACTATGGAGAAGTTTGATGAGCTGTGGATCCTCTAGAATTTTAGTATTTAGTAATTTATTCAGTCTTTCAGTCTTTTCATAAATAGAATTTTCATTGTATCAGGTCATATGCTAGTCATTAGGGTGAAAATGGTGAACAAACAGTCCTGCTCTCAGAGCTTAAGTTTAAAAGACAGTTAAGTAAAAGGGAAGTTATATTATAGAGTGACAAATGCCGTGGTAGAGGTCTTTGGAACCATTCCACTTGAGATCGAGTACAGGCATGCAATCAGATAATCCACGTAAGTGTCCCAGTCAACTGTAAAGTCCTTCAGAATGAGATTTTGCATAGTTTACTTGTTCACATTCTATTTCCCAGCAGGAAAAGGAATACATACAGCTCATCTACCAGAAAAGTGATGGAAAACCATGGCTAAAAGTATACTAAATTATGCCTGAAAGATACAAAACTATAGATGTAAAGTGCAACTATGAAATAGAATTACATAGAAAATGGTCATACATATAATAAAATGTTAATAGCAGCTATTTCTGAGGTAGACTACTTACGGTTGGCTTTAATTTCATACATTTTTCAACATTTTCTGCCAACCAAAAAGCAAAGTTGAGTTTATTATGGTTATTGTTGTTTTGGTGGTGGTTAGCATTGTTTTTAAAGAATGCCTGAACTTCTATATTATAGGAGTCTGAAAGTAACATTAGACATTGAAAAGGAAGCACATTAAAGATAAGTGTAGGGCCGGGAGCAGTGGCTCACGCCTGTAATCCCAGCTACTTGGGAGGCTGAAGCAGAAGAATTACTTGAATCCGGGAGGTGGAGGTTGTAGTGAGCCGAGATTGCGCCACTGCACTCCAGCCTGGGCAACAGAGTGAGACTGTCTAAAGGAAAAAAAAGAAAGAAAAAAGATAAGTGTAATAGCTTTTCACAACTGATGATTGAAAAAAACAATCTTGTTACAGGCAATTCCTATGGCTCTAATGCAGTATCAGGCACTAATACTTATGTATGAGCAAAAATTGATGAGGATGATCATGTTTTAATACACCAGTACAGACCAAAATGCCTCTTTGGTAATTTTCAGATCTACTTCTGGGAACCGTCACAGCCTGAGAAAGATGGCATGCCCTGAATGGAATTCACAGAGAATTATTTTAAGTAAAAGAAGTTTAAAGTTATATCTTAATTTGTCTTTATTTGCCATTTTGCCTTTTCTTACCTTTAAAATTATTTTCTGCCCCTCCCTCAACTCTAGGTCATGCTACTGGCCCCGCCCAGTTATGTAACAACTTGCATTTCCTCAATTCTCTGGAATGTGGCCAGTCAGGAACTTCCACATTTGGTTTTTTTTTTTTCCCCCATTTGTGGGTAAGAAAGTAAAAGAGGCAGGAAAACTGAATTGAGAAAGAAGAAAGAATAGGGGAAGAGAGAAAGAAAAAAGAAAACCATGAAGCCTGGAAGAGGAGAAAGAAGAGATAGATGAGCAAAGAAGCACATTGCCTGGTGGTAGTAATAGTTGTCAGACACCCATCTATTATAATCTGTTTTCCATGGGAGATTTTAAGAAGAGGCTAGATCCCCAGTCTGTCTTAAAATCAAGAAAAGGGACTCTGTTGCCTCTAAAGTATACTTCCAGACTCAGCAATCTCTAAATTCTGAGTGGGGCATCCCTAGTTTTGCTGCCTAAAATCTATGACAGTTGGAAATGATTCCATTTAAGATCCAGTTCAAGAAGCTATACACCCTGAGGAACTTTATATTGCCATTTAGAGGACCGATATTCTCCAGATTGCTTGAGCCCAGGAGTTTGAGACCAGCCTGGGCAACATGGCAAAACTCCATCTCTACCAAAAAAAAAAAAAAAACAAAATTAGCTGGGCATGGTGGTACACATCTGTAGAACCAGCTACTCTGGAGGCTGAGCTGAGAGAACCCCTTGAGCCTAGGAGATGGAGGTTGCTGTGAGCCAAGATCGTGCCACTGCACTCAAGCCTGGGTGACAGAGCCAGACCCTATCTCATAAATAAATAAATGTCAATATTCTCCAAAACAGATTGTATCATTTGAATTTGGACTTTGTGTACACTTGATACTACACTTAATCTTTGCCAAAAAGCCGAGAAGCAATGGACTTTGGGTACAAGGTGGAATATCACTCTACTCTCACCCATTTTAGTATGAGTGAAAATACCATTTAAAACAAAACAAAACAAAACAAAATAAGGTAGTCCAGACAGTTGTAAACTACTGTATATTCTGCAGAAAGTCCTCTTTTACCCCTCAGGTAAGCTTCAGATAGATAGCCAGAAACCTTTGAACTAAATCTAATAATCTCGTGTAAATTTTCATTTTCTCCTCTTTTTTTTTTTTGAGACGGATCTTGCTCTGTCATGCAGGCTGGAGTGCAGTGAGGTAATCTCAGTTCACTGCAACCTCTGCCTCCAGGATCCAAGCAATTCTCATGCCTCAGCCTCCCAAGTAGCTGGGATTACTGGTGCATGCCACCATGCCCAGTTCATTTTTTTGTATCTTTAGTGGAGACAGGGTTTCACCGTGTTGGCTAGGCTGGTCTCAAACTCCTGACCTCAAGTGATCTGCCCACCTTGGCCTCCCAAAGTGCTGGAATTACAGGCATGAGTCACCACACCCATTTGGTAGTACTAATTATGTTTTCTTTACCCAAATTATCTTTTACCTTGAATTTAATGATATTAAAAATCTTTTTTCATTCTACCACTTTAACCTCATGTTTTTTGGGGTTTTTTTGTTTTGTTTTTTTTTTTGTTTATGTTTTTTTTTTTGAGACAGGGTCTTACTGTGTTGCTGGGCTGGAGTGTAGTGCAGTGGCATGATCATGGCCCATTGCATCCTTGATCTCCTGGGATCAAGCAATCCTCCCACCTCAGCCTCTTGAGTAGCTGGGACCACAAGTGTGCACCACCACACCCAGCTAATTTTTTTATTTTGTGTAGAGATGGGGTTTCACCATGTTGCCCAGGCTGGTCTCAAACTCCTGGGCTCAAACAATCCACCCGCCTCAACTTCCCAAAGTGCTGGGATTACATGGGTGAGCCACCGTGCCCAGCCTAATCTCATCTTTAATTCATTATACTGCTATGGTTCTAGTGGTACTTAACAAATGTGTGACTATAGAAATTCCTTAAATGGAAATATAATGACAGAACTGGGTGATTTATTGGATGGGAAGGAATCAAGAAGACTCTCAGGTTTCTGCTTGAGAAATGGATGAAAATAGAAAATGTAAGAGAGAAGGAACAGGTTTGGAGAGGTGTATGGGATGTGGAGATAATGAATTTATTTTGGACATGCTGAACTACATTTGTCTGGGGTTGAGAAAACTTGTGTATCTGGAGAACATGAGAGAAATCTGTACTAGAGTTGTAGCTTTGGGAGTCATCAGCAGTTAGATAGTAATTAAAGCTACTTGTGTGGTTTTTAGAAAGCTTGCCTACAAAATGAATGAAAGATAGTTTTGTCTTATAAAGAGGTGGGAGACTTCAGCAGGAAAACATCCGATATAGAAAAATCAGGGATAGAGGCCAGCCAGGCATGGTGGCTCATGCTTGTAATCCCAGCACTTTGGGAGGCGGAAGCTGGAGGATCACTTAAGCCCAAGAGTTTAAGACCCACATGGGCAACAAAGCAAGACCCTCGTCTCCATAAAAAATAAAATAGGCCGGGTACGGTGGCTCAACACCTGTAATCCCAGCACTTTGGGAGGCCGAGGTGGGCAGATCACCTGAGGTCAAGAGTTTGAGACCAGCCTGGCCAACATGGTGAAACCCCATCTCTACTAAAAATACAAAAAAATTAGCTGGCTGTGGTGGTGCACACCTGTAGTCCCAGCTACTTGGGGAGGCTGAGGCAGGAGAGTCGCTTGAACCCAGGAGGTGGAGGTTGCAGTGAGCCAAGATCATGCCACTGCACTCCAGCCTGGGTGACAGAGGGAGACTCCATCTTAAAAATAAAATAAAATAAAATAACTTGGGCATGGTGGCATGCACCTATAGTCCCAGCTACTGGGAAGGCTGAGGTGGGACGATCTCTTGAGCCCAGGAATTCGAGGCTACAGTGAGCTATGATCATGCTACTGTACTCCAGCCTGGGAGACAGAGCAAGACTCTGTCTCAAAAAAAAAAAAAAGAGGGAGAGAGAGAGGTAGATAAGAGTGAGGCCTCTGGGGAAATGAGAAAAAGTAGATTCCAGAACATAAATGCAGAGAGGAAAATCTCTTCTCTGGTAGAATAATAATGAGATGTAATTGTGGGGTTTTCCTCCACACACCTTTTCTTACACCCCTTCCCTACTGGATTTCAAAACTTAAGGTTACAAAAATGCATAGACTTTGAAAAAATTTAGGATAAAGACTAATTTAAGAGCAAGAGTTTCAGTACCAGAATATATTGTTTTAATGTCTCTAATTGTCGTATACATTAAGTCAGTGAGGAGAGCAAGAAACAGGGGGTTTTATACTCTGCCTCTACCTGAGCCAGAAGCCCTGTGATTTAGAGATTCCAAATAGATTTCTGGCATTTGAGAATACAAGAAGCCTGAATCCATATTACTAAGGAAAGCCAAAAAAGGTAGCAAGACCAGAGTTCCCCACATCCAGAATGTCATGGGAAAATGGTCAAAATGGTTTTGTGGAGCTCACACTTTGAATTTCTACATCTTCTCCAAGAACTTCAATAATAAAATTTAATTAAAAATTAAAAGACATCTCTGGGTTCATTAACAAAACAATCATCTCTGGGCATCAAAATGAAAGACCAGCCAGGCACAGTGGCTCATGCCTGTAATCTCAGCACTTTGGGAGGTCGAGGCAGGTGGATCACCTGAGGTCAGGAGTTCGAAACCAGCCTAGCCAACATGGAGAAACCCTGTCTCTACAAAAATTCAAAAATTAGCCGGGTGTGAGGGCACACACCTATAATCCCAGCTACTGGGTAGGCTGAGGCAGGAGAATCGCTTGAACCCAGGAGGCGGAGGTTGCAGTGAGCCAAGATTGCACCACTGCACTCCAGCCTGGCCGACAGAGTGAGACTGCATCTTAAAAAAAAAAAAAAAAAAAAAAGACCAACACAACTGGTTTAGTGGGGGCTACAGCTACAGCCTCGATGATCTTCTGAGTATGGAAGCTGGTAGAAGTTTTCTAGGAGTTTGAATCCTTCCCAGTAGTGGAGATCAAAGGCACCCCAAACATGGTAGGGCACCTTAGTCAGGTTCATTGTGAAACTGAAATTTGGGAAAAACTGTGACTTCTACCCTGGGCTAGAGTTTAAAAAACAAAGCAAACAGAAAACAACAAAAACTGCTTAGTTATGGTGGTGAAAGGAAACAAACTAGCACACACAAGACTTAGGCTAACCTACCTTGAGGCTCAGGAGGCAGAACTGAAGGACACATCCTGAGACACATAGCCAGGGGGTCTCAGGTCTACATGGACGCAACGCTAAAACAGGAAACCAACGGAATAAGTTAAAAAAAAGGAAAAACTATCACTCTAGATGACCTGCAAATTACAATTTGTACACAAGGAAAACAATACTAAAAACATCTGCCAACTTTCAATTTAGTTTCTGTTTAATTGATCTGTGAATTTCTAAAAAGACATATTTAAATTTTCCAATATAGCACCTGGGCTTGGTGGCATGGACCTATAGATCCAGCTACCCAGGGGGCTGAGGTGGAAGAATCCATTGAGCCCAGAAGTTTCAGCCTAGCCTGAGCAACACAGTGAGAACTTGTTTAAAAAAAAAATTTTTTTTAATTTCAATATAGTGTTGATGTACTAATTTTTGGTGTAATTCTGTTAGTTTTTGTTTTATATCATGGTTATATGGTCAGCTAGATAGAACTTGGCAATTTTTAATTTTTATTATTACGTAATGTTTTTATCCTTATTAATACTTTTTGCTTTATACTATTTTTGTCTGCTACTGATATTAAACTTCAACTTTCTTTTGTTTAGCATTTGCTTGCTATAACTTTTACCTTTATTTTTAACCTTTTCTATGTTATTTTATTATGGCCACATCTTTTGTATGTGGCATATAGCTGATTTTTTGTTGTTGTTTTTAATCCTGACAGTCTGTTTTTAACTGAAAAGTTCAATTTATATGAGTAAGATCTATTTGAATTTATCTCTACCAATGTCTACTTTTGATGTCTACCAATGTATTTATTTATTTTTTTTTTGAGAGGAAGTCTCATTCTGTCGCCCAGCCTGGAGTGTAGTGGCATGATCTCAGCTCACTGCAACCTCTCCCTCCTTGGTTCAAGTGATTCTCCTGCCTCAGCCTCCCAAGTAGCTGGAACTACAGGCACGTGCCACTGTACCTGGCTACCTTTTGTATTTTTAGTAGAGACAGGGTTTCGCCATGTTAGCCAGGCTGGTCTTCAACTTCTGACCTTAGGTGATCAGCCCGCCTTGGGATCCCCAAAGTGCTGGGATTCCAATATACTTTTGATTTTCTGTTCGCAATGATTTCTCTTTTTTTTTTTTTTTTTTTGTGGTTGTTGTTGTTTGTTTGCCTCTCTTGCCTTTGTTGGATTGATAACTTTTGAAAATTCCCTTGCTTTTACCTCTATTTGAAGTGGGTTATATTTTGTCTGTTCTTTCAGAAGCTACTGTTAAAATTTTGACATGCATGCTTAACCATTTATTTTCCTAACGATTTCTAAAGTTTTTGTTGTTGTTGTTGTTGTTGAGATGGAGTCTCACTCTGTCGCCCAGGACGGAGTGCAGTGGCGCCATCTTAGCTCACTGCAAGCTCCGCCTCCAGGTTTCACGCCATTCTCCTGCCTCAGCCTCCTAAGTAGCTGGGACTACAGGCTCCCACCACCACGCCCGGCTGATTTTTTGTATTTTTAGTAGAGACGGGGTCCCACCGTGTTAGCCAGGATGGTCTCGATCTCCTGACCTCCTGACTTCGTGATCCGCCCGCCTCGGCCTCCCAAAGTGCTGGAATTACAGGCGTGAGCCACCGCGCCCAGCGGATTTCTAAAGTTTTTTAAAGTCAGTTATCCTCCAGCCCCAAGACTGCTTTATCTACCTAATGTATTGGGAGTCATTGTTATCTAGAATTTTAGTTCCATATTTATCAGAACATAAAACTGTTACTATAAAATCAATGTGTAATTTGACTTAACATAATTTATCAATTTTTGTTTTTACCATTTGTTTCTTTAATACGATGCTTTCATTCTGAATTCACTTTTCTTCTTGCTACAATGCATCTTTTAGTAGCTCTTTCAATAAAAATGTATGCTTGTTAAAGTCAGTTTTAAAGAAAAGTTTTCTATTTCATTATTCTTGAATTGTCACTTAGCTGGATATAGAAACCTATGTTGCCAATTATTTTCATCTCAGTCCTTTGGTGATATTATTGCATTGGCTTCTCGTTTCTATTGCTGCTAATGAGAAGTTTGGTGTCTAATTGTCATTTTTTTTTTTGAGATGGAGTCTTGCTCTGTCACCCAGGCTGGAGTGCAGTGGTGCAATCTCGGCTCACTGCAACCTCCGCCTCCTGGGTTCAACCAATTCTCCTCCCTCAGCCTTCCGAGTAGCTGGGATTACAGGCGCCCGCCACCATGCCCGACTAATTTTTGTATTTTAAGTAGAGACGGGGTTTCACCATGTTGGCCAGGCTGGTCTCAAACTCCTGACCTCATGATCCTCCCGCCTCAGCCTCCCAAAGTGCTAGGATTACAGGCATGAGCCACCACGCCCAGCCTAATTGTCATTCTTTTATGGGTTATCTGTGTTTTCTCTTTGGGGTGGCTTTTAAAATTTGCCCTTTATCCTTAATGTTAGGTGTCTTCACTACAGTACATCGAAGTATGAATTTGTTTTCATTATTTTGCACTTAATATGCAACTTCACTTTTTAAAAATTCTCTGTATCATCTCTACAAATATTATTTCCAGCATTCATTTTATTCCCTTTCTGAAATTACTATTAGATGCATCCTTCGTGTGTTCTGTCTATATATTGCTATGTAACAAACACACCACTCTAAAACATAGTGCCAAGAAGCAATAACTATTAATATTGTATTATGCTCACAGATTCTGCACCATAGATATTTGAAACAGGTACATCAGGGATAGCTTGACTCTATTTCAGGATATCCAGGGTGTCAGATGAGAAGACTTGAACAGTGGGTGGTCACTTGAATGACTGGAGGATTTTTTACTCACCTGCCTCTGGGCTAGAGGGACAGAGGTGGCACTCTGCTGGGACTGTAGATTGGAATGCCTACACATGACTTCTCCATGTGGTTTCGGTTTCCTCACATCATAGTGGCCTCAGGGTAGTCAGACTTCTTACATGGTAGCCCAGGGCTCCAATAGTGAGTGTTTTGGCAAACAAGGTGGAATGCATGAAATTTTATTGCCTAGCCTCACAAGTCATATATAATGTCATTTCCACCTTTACTTAGTCACAAGCTCACCCGGTTTGGGAATGTGGGAACTAGACCCACCTCTTAATGGGAGGAGTATCAAAGAATTTGTGGCCATGATTTGAAACTGCCACAATATGTCTTTTCTTTGATATCATGCTGAATTTTGGGTCATTTCTTTACTTTCACTATTCAATAATTGTTTCTCTGAGCAGTTTAGAGTTTGTCTCAAACTCCCAGCTCAAGCAGTCCTCCTACCTCAGCCCCCTGAATAGCTGGGACTACAGATGCATGCCACCATGCCTGGCTAATTTTTTAAAAATTTTTTGTAGGGACGGGGTCTCCCTATATTGCCCAGGCTGGTCTCGAACACCTGGGCTCAAGCAGTCCTTCTGCCTCTGCCTCCCAAAGTGTTAGGATTACAGGCATGAGCCACCATGCCTGGCCTCCATTTTCCTATGTAATTATTTTTCACATTTATCTTTACTTTATTCATGTCTTTTGTGTTTGTTTCTTAACCTTTGATTCTTTTTTATTTCTTTATCTTATTGAATGTATTTATTTTAAAGTCAGTTTAAAATCTGGATTTCTATTTCAGTGGGAATGGATCATCTCCAGGAAATGAAAGATTTCTGTAATATCTATCTATATACATAGGTAAAAACCCTCCACCCAACAAATAGATATTCTTTTCAAACACACATTAAACATTTATATAATTTGAGCACATACCAGGCCAGCTATTTCAAAAATCACCACAGTACAGACTATATTCTCTGACCAAAATTTAGTAAAGTTAGAAATCAATTTTACTAAGTTTGAAACTTAATGACAGACTCATAAATAACTCATGACTTAAAAATAAAAACCATTTAGAAAAGGGTAACAAAGAAAATACTGCATGGAACAACTTGTATAATGCAAGTAACTCAGTCATTTGAAAGAAATGTATGGTATGAAATGCATTTATTAAAAATGATTTCAAGTAAATGAGCAAACACCTACCCCTAGAATCTGGAAAATGAACAGAGTCATTTCAAAAAACAAAAAAAGGCCGGGCATGGTAGCTCACGCCTGTAATCCCAGCACTATGGGATGCCGAGCTGGGCGCATCATTTGAGGTCAGGAGTTCAAGACCAGCCTGACCAACATGGTGAAACCCCATCTCTACTAAAAATACAAAAAAATTAGCTGGGTGTGGTGGTGCACGCCTGTAGTCCCAGATGCTTGGGAGGCTGAGGCAGGAGAATCACTTGAACCCGGGAGGTGGAGGTTGCAGTGAGCCAAGATTGTGCCACTGTACTCCAGCCTGGGTGACAGAGCAAGACTCTATCTCTAAAAAAAAAAAAAAAAAGAAAGAAAAAAAAAGTAAAATTGATTAAGAAATTCAAAAGTGGGTTCTTTGAGGAAACCAATAAAATAAATAAACCTTTAACAAGCCACATTGAAAAGAAGATAGCATAAATAAGCAATATGAGGAATTCAAAGAAGAATATAGATATATATATAGTAGAGTAGAAATTAAAAATACTGGTTATGCCAGAAATTTTGTAATATTGTGTGATCTTATGTCAGTAAATTGAAAACTGAGGTGAAATCCACAACTTACCAGAAAAATATAAATTTAAGAGTTAACTCTAGAAGAAATATAAAATCTGAATAAATCAAGCATCATAAAGATAATAGATCAATAGTCAAAAGTCTCCCAATAGTCTCCTCCCAGTCATCCTTCCATCCCTTGCCAAAGAAGCCAGGCCAGATGGTTTTACAGGTGAATTTTATCAAATTTCATGGAACAGACTATACTAACTCGCACAAACTATTTTAGACAAGAAGAGTAAAGGCTACCCGGTTTCTTTTACAAAGTTAATATAATCTTGATACCAAAATAGGACAACTCTATAGACAAAGAAAATTACAGATGAATCTCACTTTTTAACATTGACACGAAAATCCTAAATAAAATAATTATGAAATCAAATCCAACAAAGTATACAAAATAATACATCAGGTACAACTAAAATTTGCCCCAAATGTAAAGATGGTATTATGATTTTAAAATCTATCTGTAATCTACCTTATTACCAGATTAAGGTGAAGACCCATATGCTCATCTCAATGGATACAAACAAAGCATTAAAAATTTAAGAACTATAATTTAAAACAAAATGTCTTAATTAACTAGAAATATTAACTTCATGAGGGTATATATGAAGCATCTATAACGTATTTAATTATGAGACTATAGAAGGATTCCTATAGAGTCAAGAATATAGCAAGCCTGCTGAAACCTCTATAATTAAACATCATACTACAAGTTCTAGTCCCTGTATTTATGAAAAGAGAAAAAGAGGTATTCAGTGATTAGCAAAGAAGAATAAAAATATGTGTGCACAGCATCATTTCTTAGCCAGAAACTCCAAGAGGCTCTATAGGAAAAAAAATTAGAATGACTAAGTGTTGAGTATGGTTAAATGCATGATCGATGTGAAAAATCAATAGCAATCCTATATACCTAAGTAATAGGAAATCCATACACCTATGTAATGAGAGGAAAAGATCACATTTATACTTGCAACAGAAATAATAAGATACTTAGGAACAAATCTAACACAAGTGTGCAAAACCTTTATGAAAAATGTTATAAATAGCAAAGGGCAAAAAAGAGATTGTAATAAAAAATATGTAATATGTAATACTAAATTCACAGAACAGAAAATCAATGCTATAAGAAGTATGATTCTCCACAATTCAGTGCAATTTCAATCAAATTCTTAACAACATTTTTTTGTGGAACTTGACAAGCTGATTCTAAAGTTACTTATAGAAAGAATAGTTTTAAGAAGAGCCAAGACAATTCTAAAAAAATTAAGAAAGTGTAATTTGCCTTTCCAGAAAGGAAGGTTCCTTGTAGAACTGTAGTAATTAAATAGTACAGTGGTTGTAATATGAAGAAAAGCTCTGAGGTAGACACATGTAAATATGAGACCTTGACATATGATAGAGGAAACATTATAAACCTAGTGGGTTTGGGGAATACTGACTTTCTATACTAAAAAAAAGAAAAAAATATTAGATCCCTTTCTTATACCTTATACCAGCAATTCTCAAGCTTTTGGGTCTCAGGACTTCTTTATACTCTTTTTTTGAGACAGAGTTTCGCTCTGTTGCCCAGGCTGGAGTGCAATGGAGTGATCTCAGCTCACTGCAACCTCTGCCTCCTGGGTTCAAGTGACTCTCCTGCCTCAGCCTTCTGAGAAGCTGGGATTGCAGTCATGCGCCACCACACCTGGCTAATTTTGTATTTTTAGTAGAGATGGGGTTTCTCCATGTTGGTCAGGCTGGTCTCGAACTCCTGACCTCAGGTGATCCACCCAACTCAGCCTCCCAAAGTGCTGGGATTACAGGCATGAGCCACTGCGCTCAGCCTATACTCTTAAAAATTACTGAAGGTCCCATAGAGCTTTTGTTTATGTGGGTTATATCTGTCAATATCATATTAGAAATTAAAACTGAGAAATCTGTAAAACACATTAACAGATAAGCACACATTCTATTAGGCATCAGAGTGATGACATCATTATATGTTGTGTAGCCTCTGGAAGACTCCACTGTTCATGAAAGAATGAGAGCAAAAAAGACAAATAACATTTTAGTATGATTATGAAAATAGTTTTGACTTTCTAGGGCTCCTGAAAGGGTCTTGGGGACTCTACAGGTATCCCCCCACTACAGTTTGGGAGCCTCTGGTATAAACTGAATTCCAGATGGAAAAGATCTAAACCTGGAACAAAGTAAAAACTTCATAACTATTAGAAGAAATTATAGGAGAACACACTTCATGATCACAGGGGAAGGAAGGATTACTTAAATGTAACATCAAAAGCACAAATTATGAAGGAAAAACCTAATAAATTTGAACACTCCAAATTTAGTACCTCTGTTTGATAAAATATCCCATAAACAAAATTAAAAGGAATGCCACAGTCTGGGAGAAGATAATTGTAACATATATTAAACAAAAGATTAGTATTCAGAAAACATATATTACTTTTGTAAATAAGAGAAAGATAATCTAATAGAAAATGAAGTAAAAAAAAATATGCTCAACCTCACTCTAGTAATCAGATAAATACAAATCAAAACATCCATGAGATTGGTGACTCTAAGTCTGGCAATGTCATGTGTTGGCAAGGATACAGGGAAATGAAAAAAATCTTACTTTCTGTTGAGATGTAAATTGATACAACTACTTAGGAGAGCAATTTGGAAATACGTTGCCTAGTTGAAAATGCAAACATTCTAATGATCCAGAAACGTCTATAATTTAGAAAAAAAGGTTGAAAACACATATAAGGAAACATTTATTCATGTATTTATTGAATAAATATTTATCAAGTTCCTATATAAACCAGCATTATACGAGGCTATGGGAATAAAATGATGAACAAGACTGTTCTCATGAAGTTGAGACAAACTTATGAATAAACACATATATCACGTCAGGCAGGGTAAAGGGATAGGGGCTGGAAGTACTATTTTAGGTAAGATGGACAGGGAGGGCCTCCCTGAGGTGAATTTGAGGAAACTTAGAGAAGTGAGGGAACAAGATCTGTGTTTATGTTCTAAGGAAAGTGCACTTCAGGCAAGAAGGAATGGCAGAAATGTGCTTGAAACACTGGAAGAAAGGAAGAAGGCCCATGAGGTGGAGTGGAGTTAGTGACTGGAAAGTGGCAAGAGATGAATCTGGAAGATAGGCAAAGGCTACATCACATAAGGCCTTCAGGCCAAGGTAAGGAGTTTGGACTTTTTGGCGGAACGAGAAGCCATTGGAGGGTTTTGCGCAGGCATACCGTATTAGTCCGTTTTTACACTGCTGATAAAGACATACCTGAGACTGGGCAATTTACAAAAGAAAGGTTTATTGGACTTACACTTCCACGTGGCTGGGGAGGCCTCACAGTCATGGCAGAAAATGAAAGTCACATCTCACATGGCAGCAGACAAGAGAAGACTGAGCTTGTGCAGGGAAATTCCCGTTTTCTAAAACCATAAGATCTCGTAAGACTCATTCACTATCACGAGAACAGTGGAAGAAAGACCCGCCCCCATCATCCAATCACCTCCCACCGAGTTCCTTCCACAACACATGGGAATTGTGGGAGTTATAATTCAAGATGAGATTTGGGTGGGAACACGACCAAACCATGTCAGATACTATTGATCGAAAGTGCATTCTTAAAAGGCCACTCTGGCTGTTCTGTGTAGAAGAGACTGTAGGGTGTAGTATTATTAGAAAACAATTGCAATCATAGGAAAGTGATGTTGGTCACTTGGATTGGTTGAAAGTGTTGAGAAGTGGTTGGATCCAGAATATATTTTGAAGCCAAAACAGACAACTTGATGGGGATTTGAGATGTGAGGAAAGGGGTTCAAGGATGACTGAAGTTTTTGGCGGAGCACCTAGGCCCAGTGCCTGGTGATGTCATTTACTGTGAGAGAGACTACTATACAGTGAAAAAGGATAGGAAGGGATAGTTGTTGCAATATTTGTTTGTATCAACAAAACACTAGAAACAACCCAAGAATGAATGAATGGGAAGAAACTGTTATGTATTCATTCTGTGATAGACAGTACAGAAATTAAAATGACTGACTTTATATCAATATATGGATATATTTTGACTGCAACATTAAGTTGCAGCATATTATATCCATATGATACTGTGTGCATATACTTTTAAAAAACAATACAAGATATTGTGTTTTTCTACAGTTATGTCAAACAAAAGCATATCAACATGGACTAGCAGATTTGCACCAAATTCATGATAGTGATTACCTCTGGGGGTAAAGAAAGTAAAGGAATTGTGCTAGGAAGGACATATGGGAGACTTGACCTTTATCTTTATTTCTTTAAAAAATACTTTGATGGAAATATGAAAAGACAGTAACATTAGTTCATTTGGGGTGATAAGTACGTGGATGGTTTATATTATTGTTCATACTTTGAAATATTTTGTTTGTTTTCATGAAAGGACAAAGAAAGACTGAGTGATGTGAGTGATGTCTAGGAGCATGGGCCCAAGCCAACCTCATGCAGCAGTGCAGCAGAGGAATGACTTCCTGTGCACTTGAGGGCCTGAAGGAGTTGACAGCCTGGCAGCATCCAGCATGCTCTGACAGTCAGATGGTTGATGATGGTGATCTGCAGACTGCCAGTGCAAGGAGAAGGTGGCTGCAGTATGTGTGGCAGGGGTCCCTGAAACCCCGTCCACCCCCTACTGCATAATACAATCCCCAAACTCTGAAAATGTAGATACAATCCAGAGAAAGGCAGAGAATTTGCCAAGATTATATGTTAAGATGGAGGCTTGCAATTGAAGTTGAATTTATTCACAGAAAAATTAAGTATTTCATAAACATCTAAGTTTATAGTGCATGTTTATGTTAGGAAAGAAGGAAGCAAAGATGGATAGTGATATAGTTAAATTTCTCACTGGGGAGAAAAGTGGGTAGTCTTGGGTGGAGAAAGAGGAAAGGGGAAAGGCCTAGTCAATTGAGAGAACAAATGTGGTGACAATAATGAAATGAGGTGGATGGAAGGCCAGAAGCTGTGATCAAATGGTAAGAGGCATGAATCTGAAATTTGGGAGGTTGAATGGCTCCAGCTGATTTTAAGGTCCTGGATGTGGCCACCAGACTAGCAGGCTGAGGTAAATCAGAAGTGGAGACAACTGTAGTCTCCCTCTTTTCTCCTGATTTATATTTAGTGATTTACAAAAGAAACGTTTTCCCTTTATTTTCTAAACTGTGATCATGGATGGATCGGTAATGAAAGTATTCTTCTCACTGTTCAGTACTTTCTTATTCCATGGAATTACAGAAATCACAGAATTGTGAAGCTAGAAAACTCTCAGGAGATTATGGGTTTTCCTCCTTTTCTAAAAGTGTCCGTCAGAATTATGTATGTGTAATCCTTCTTGGTAGAAAGTGTCTTTAATTTGTTGTTGTTGTTGTTGAGACGGAGTCTCGCTCTGTCGCCTGGGCTGGAGTGAAGTGGCGCGATCTCGGCTCACTGCAAGCTCCGCCTCCCGGGTTCACACCATTCTCCGGCCTCAGCCTCCCGAGTAGCTTGGACTACAGGTGCCTGCCATCACGCCTGGCTAATTTTTTTATATTTTTAGTAGAGATGGGGTTTCACTGTGTTAGCCAGGATGGTCTCGATCTGCTGACCTTGTAATCCACCTGCCTGGGCCTCCCAAAGTGCTGGGATTACAGGCGTGAGCCACCGTGCCTGGCCGTCTTTAATTTTTTGAAGTAACCTACTTAAATCTCAAATTACTTTTTATCTAAGGTAAACTTATTATTTTAATTCAGCACCACTCTACTTACCTGAGTTGCAACTTCTCTCTTTGGTTCCTGCATTATAAACACACACACACACACACACACACACACACACACACATATAATTTTCACCTATCAAACTGTAAAAGATTAAAACATTTGATAAGATATTGTTTTGATGAAAGTTTGAGGAAGTAGTCAGTCATAAATAGTTGATGGATGTGTAAGGGATGGAGAGAAAGTTGGAAATATCTTTCAAAAGTAAAAATGCACATACATATTGACACATATTCCATGTCTAGGTATTTATCCAGTGAGTCTGTTCAATGCAATATTGTTAATAATACAAAAGATTGGCAACAACATATATATCCCTCAATAGAATGGCAAAACAAAATGGCACAGGCATTCAGTGAACAACACTCAGCTGTTAAAATAGCCACGTCACTAGCTCTCCATATGGAGAGGTAGCTAAGATATCTTGATAAATGAAAAGATAAAGTAAAATAGAGAGTAGTATGTATATTACGCTACCATCTGTGTAAAAAAAGAAAAATTATATATGTTTAAAAATACATATATACATTTTTATATATAGAATGTCCATGGAAGGAAATTTAAGAAATTGGTAATAGTGGTTGCCTCTGCGGAGGAAAACAGAATCACTGAGAAAAAAGAGAAACTCACTTTTCACGATATGCCTTTTGATTTTGTATACATGAGTGTGTTACCTATTCAAAAATAAACAAAAAAAAGTTTAAAGTCCACACCCAAGCAGAGACACTATTTATTAATTAAATGTAGATACCTCCCCTACACACACTTATGAGACTCTGTGCCAGTGATTCTTGTATTTTTTAAAAGAAATATATCACACAGTCAAGCGTGGTTCCTTCAAAGAGAGCATCACCCTGCTGACTGAGTCCCCTTCTTTTAAAGAGAACAGGCAACTTCTCAAGGGATATTATCTGTGGATCATTAAAGGCCCATCTAACTCAAAACATTTCCTTTTGTTAACTTGTCCCAGTTCTGGAAATCCCTACCCATGGAACTTCTTTTATTTTTATTTTAGGATAAAGGCATTACATTTTCAGGAAGTCCCTGTCAGGCTGCAAATATGTAACCTGGCTAACCTGGAGACATTAGGATGGATATTTTTGTTGGTTCCCTAGCAGAAAGCTGTTTCTTGAAAAATAAGATTGGTTTGGTGGGAGGGAGTTTAAAGACACTGATGCATGCAGTCCTGCAGAGAAAAGTTTACGTCCTGGAGATTTACCAAATGAGAGTTTCTGGGTAGTAACAGGCATCATGAAGGTAATGAGCATTTGGGAGCACTGAAGGAAGGGATGAAGCTTTGTAGAGTGTTACATACAAACCCTACCCAGTTTTTATGAAGCAAGCCATGATTGTATAGTAGGGTGAAGTCCTACACCAAAATTATAGGAAGGCCAAAAGTCACAGTAATTGAATACAGGTTGACAGTAGGCCAGTGCCCTTCAGTATTTTTTAAAGCTATCACAGTAATATAACCTGTTATGAGGTGATTTTAGATACATCATCTGCCCCAATATTAGCCAATGTATGTTCTGAATAATACCAGTCTCTTGGAATGTTAATAGTTGTTGCTAAAATGTGTTTTATGATCAAATAATTTTGGGCAACAGTAGTTTAAGCAGAAATTTTTTTCTTGTTGGAACTTCTCAGAGCCTATAGCATGCAAGTGGGTATTTTTCCAAGGGAAAAACAATTATACACTGTGCCCAAAATTGTCTTCTCACAGAACTCTTTTTTATCACCGTGCATC
This sequence comes from Homo sapiens, assembly GCF_000001405.40. NCBI lineage: Eukaryota > Metazoa > Chordata > Mammalia > Primates > Hominidae > Homo > Homo sapiens. The sequence continues at coordinate 183,445,343 of NC_000001.11, read as the reverse complement.
TCATGCACTAATGTTAGGTGGGACACTTGGGAATCGCTGAGCCTTCCTACTCTTGCCCTGGCCTCCCATTTCTATCCTGATGATCATTTTCACCTTGTCTTACCTTGCCCTCCCCTGAATCATTACATAACCTCTATTATGATGTTCACACTAGGAAAATAATGATGAGATCAAAAGTGATGATGACCTTCACAGAAGGACTTCCTTCCCACTTATTACCATACTCCTATGCGTGAGTAAAGGCTCTGCATTTTTTGAAGAAACTACAGTCTGTAATAAGACTCAGACCAATGTGAGATTGAAGCAGGCCTTAATACTACAATTGTCAGTGAAGCCTGTCCTTTAGGTATCATGATGCTCTCTGTAATTATCCTTTGCCTTCTTGTAGGCCTCAAAAACTGGCTTGGCACTAGGGCTCTCTGAAGCAATCATTGTGTCTTTTTCTACCCTTCCACATTTGATTCTTCTAAGTTCCTAAATCCTTTAAGGCTAAAATTAAGTTTCGTTAGAGTTAGAAACTCCAGACCATGGAAGGCCACCCATCTCTGGACAGTACCTACTGCAAATATTGCATTATTTGGGACTGGGACAGCTCTGGTCAACATAATCTCCGAGGGTCAGAGATAGCAGTCAATGATAGCACCACTTATTATTTTCCTCAAGAGAGGCTGCTTACATATATATTTGTAAAATCAGAATAAGGCTTTCTGTAGCCTTAGAGTCCATCCGAATATTTTGTCTCATTCAAAAGAATCACAAATCCACCTTTAATGAGCTTTGAAAAATAATTTATTTTCACTGAAGGCTCTTGAAGAAGTAGCAAAGTGATGAATCACATCCCATCGCAAACAATGGAACTTAGTCAAAATCCTTCTTTCCTATTTCCCCAAAGCCCCACGCTGCAGAGCAGCTGCTGTCCAAATGCTCCTGCTCAGATTTCAATCACTCTCTTCACCTCTCACCTCCCTACTTTCTCTGTCCCTTTCCCCTTCCTTCCAGATCTTTTCCACTGCAGGTAATTCTTATCTTTTTTTTTCTTTTTAATGTAAATTGCTTTAGCTTCTCCTTCAGTTCTTCTTTCTGTCCCTTACCAACTTTTCTCCCTATTTCTTTCCCCGACTTACCCCTTAGACTCAACAAGGAAGCTGGAGGAGAACAGAAGAAGGGAACATGATCAAGTCTTACAAGTTACTCTTTTTCTCTGACACATATATCTTATATAATACATATGACATTACACATATGTAACATGCTATATACAATATATATGATATATATTATGTTATGTAATATGTCTAGCAGAGCCTCATTATAACAGTCTTTGCCATCTGTCCTGTAAAGCTGCTAAATTAATGGACCAATTAGGTATTTTTTTTTCTGATGCTGTAGTAACTACTTCCCTTTTTAAAGTTTATACTTTTAACTCAATTGCATAGTATAGCAATAGTTTTCTAAGGAATTTCTCCAAAGACTGTGTAATTAAACTGTGTGCAATCAAAGCAAATGGACAGAATTATAGGAATATTGGTCATTCATATTAATAAAGCTATCCAACTATCTTTCCCTGGTCAGATAGTCTGAGCTCACATGGGAAGGCCCTTTTGTGTCTTATTTGTGCTGAAGAAGATAAGGAAAGCATTGAGTAAGAACTAGGTCAGGTCCCTTCCACTGCTTATCACAGTCATCAAAGCAAATTTCTTAGGCTTAGAAGTTTCTCGTCTTTTAAATGGATTTGCTGTTCTTTTTTCTTTTATACAAACCAGAATGGCATTTGCTAATCATCTCACTTTCAAGCAAGTTTACATATCATAGTGTGTGTATGTATAGATTTATGTGAATTTTCTCAAATCACACAAAATTATTTTTGGCTTGCATGTTTAATTATTTGCTGGGCAAATACTTCGTATGTAAACTCTGCAAAAACATATTTCTAGGCTGAGTATAAAATTTTAGAATCAAAAGTAGGAATTTCTTCAGAGAGATGCTAAACTTGAAAAAGAATAGAAAATGTCGGAATATACTACCCAATCCCCTGCTGCTTGATCTTTGTCAGAGTGAAATCAGGATTCAGTGATGAGGACCACATCCTGTTGCCATGGAAATGATTGTGCTGTCACAAATATAGTACTATGACTTCATGGTAAAGAGGAACAGATGGTCTGGAAGAGAATGAAGGCCTAAGGTTAGCACAATTGTTTGGGGAATAAGTCATCTTAGATTCTTTTTGGAAGTAGGTAGAAGCACAAATAATAAGCAAAAATGACTTCACTGTAGCTTTGCAAAAGCCGCTGAGTAAGAAAGAGCTTAGCCAAGGTAAAACTACAAAGCTCTTTTCCAATGAAAGAAAAAAACATTTTAATATAGGATGAAGCACAGGTAACAATACAAAACAGCTTTACAAGTCCATATTCCAAAGTTGCCGCTCCACCCTTCCCCAGCCTCTCACTTGACCACTGTTGAAGTAACTAGCACCTAGAATGCTTAGGGCCAGTGGTAAGCATTAAAAACAAAAACAAAAACAAAAAAAACAGAAACGAGGCTGAAATAGACCGAAACAATATTTGCCATCATTTTTACAATGCCTCATTTTTAGGTATTTCTGGTTTTAGTGTTGGTTTGATTCAGGCATCCTGGATCATATACCTCCAAACAGCCTCAAAACACAGGATTGGATAGTTGAGCTGGTAGGTGTAGGGCCTGCACAGTCAAATCAGGGGCATGTGTAGCTCACTCACCTTGCCCCTGAGTGATCGTGTGTCCAGACCTGGTTCTCCAGCCATGATGACACTCTGAAAACCACTCTCCACTAACAGGACAATGAAACCACGGTGTCCTCAGCTACTCAGAACTGACATTGGTTAGAAGCACTAACTTTTAAAAGGGTCAGCCTGGTATCTTCTCATCATGATATTGTTCATTTAAAGGGCAAAGAAATTTCCCACGCTTATTGTTATGGTCTGAATATTTGTGTCCCTATCTAATTCATATATTGAAATCCTAACTCTTAAGATGATGGTACTGTTAGGAGGTGAAATTGTGCCACAGAGTTAAAGAAGCCAGTGAATAACAGAAATTCTTGAGCTTGTATGAGAGCAGATAAGAAAAGAAACAACTTGCCGAAATGCTGAAACTCCCTCTGCTTGTGATATTTAAAAAAAGAAAAAAAAAAAAAAGGCTGAAATTGATTGGAACCAGCATGGTCAACTGGAGTCTTTGCAGGATAAAATTTTCATTTCCACCATGTTTCCTACTAAGTTCCCCAAATTTGCAAATGTGATTCATGAGGTAGCATGAAGAGATAATTGTGCATGCCTGAGGACTTTCCAGACCTCCCCTTTCTTTCCACCAATCACCTACTAATCCCAGAATCTACCCCATAAACCCTTTCTAATAAAATGACTGCCTTAAAGCCAGCACAGGGAGACAGATTTGATCTGGACTCTTCTCTCCTTGTTGACTGACTCACAATAAAAGCTTTTCTCAAAAACCTGGTGCCATAGTATTGGCTTCTAGTGCCTTGGGTCTAGTGCCTTGGGTAGTGAGCCCTTTTGCTCAGTAACAGTGGGGCCTTTGGGGAAGTGATTAGGTCATGATCTTCATGAATGGGATTAGTGCCCTTATAAAAGGGACTGAAGAGAAACCTCTCACCCCCTTCATCAAGTGAGGACACACTGAGAAAGTGCCTGTGAACCAGATCCTTACCAGATATTGAATCTGCTGGTGCCTTCATCTTGGACTTCCCAGCCTCCAGAACTTTGAAAAATTGCTGCTGCTTATAAGCCACCAAGTTTATGGTACTTTGTTATAGCAGCCTGAATGGACTAAAGCAATTATAAATGCCACTACAATCACTTATCCTTAGAAAAACACTTTTTATTTGGAGTAGAGGCAACAAGAGAGATTTCCCAGCACTATCATTCTCTTGCGTTATCAAGTGAATTAACCAAGAGAAGCTAACATGAGATACTAGCTAGTATGTGCCAATGCAAGTACTTTTTAAAAACATTTATTTTGAAATAAGCTCAGATTTACAGAAAAGTTGCAAATATAGTGCAGAAAGTTCATGGACATCCTTCATCTAGTTTCTGCTAATGTTATATAACCACAGTACAGTGATTGAAATTGTGAAATTATTGGTGCCATACTGTTAATTAAACTGCAGACTTCATTCAGATTTCACCAATGTTTCCTTTTTGGTTCTGAGATCTAATGCAGGAGACCGTGTCACATTTAATCATCATGTCTAAGTCTCCCTCAATCTGTTCCTCAGCCTTGTTTTATCATGACCTTGACAATTTTGAAGACCACTCATCAAGTATTTCATAGAATATCCCTGAATGGGGCTTTCTCTGAAGTTTTCTCATGATTGGACTGAATTATGGATTTTTGGAAAACAATATCATGGAGGTAGAGTGGTCCTCTCATCACATCATATTGAGGGTACATGATCAATATAACTTGTTTACTGATGACGTTAACTGTGATCACTTGGTTAAGGTAGTGCCTGCCAGGTTTCTTCACCGTAAAGTTACCATTTTCCCTTTCCATTCTCTATTCATTCGAAACAATCAGTAAGTCCAATCTACACTCAAAGTAAGTGAGCTACACATGCCCCTGATTTGACTGTGCAGGCCCTACACCTACCAGCTCAACTATCCAATCCTGTGAAGTGAATCAGGCTTCACCTTCTAGACGAAGGTTTATCAAATAATTCGTGGACATATGTTTAAGCTACCACAATAATTAATAAATATTTTTTTGATGAGATACTTTGAGGCTACACAAATATGCTGCTTCTCCTTAAGGTTTTACCTACAAATTTTAGTGGATCTTACCTGCAGCAGTTATTACTAAGGTGCTCTAGTGGTGATTTTAAATGTCCCTCATTCCTTCTACACTTATAATTTAGAATTCTTCTCTAAGGAAGGTTTGCTCTTCTTCCCCTAATTTATTTGTTTATTCATTTACTTATTTGTACTCATTCCATACTATTGTATGGAATGAAATTACATTTTATCTATCTATCTATCTATCTATCTATATATATATATAGTTTGTTTGGATTGTAATCCAATTTTGGGTTATTGGGGGTGGTTTCAGGTTGGCTCCTGTGTCTTGTTTGTTATGCCCTATACAGGAAAGAATCAACAAAGAAGCAAACCCAAGGCTGATATCCTTAGAAGAGGCTGCTTAAAGATTGACTCTTTCCTGACATCTGGGAACCTGGCTTGTGAAAAGTTCCCCAAACCAACATGAAAAGTCTCCTGTATTGATAAGGCTGTTTTGCCCTTGAGGCACTGAATTACCACTTCCTTCAGAGAGTCTGATATTTTGACAGTTTCCAGGCAGAGAATGCCTTTTAGCACTAGCCCCCAAGAAAAACCCTAAACTCTGAGTCTCAAATGGGACACACACACACACACACACACACACACACACACACACACATTGAATTCATATTGTCATTGCCAACTTTATTTAGAACCACAGGATTTATTTCAGTCTTCTCTGCTTGCTTGTTTGTAACTTTTTTCTCTGACAGTGAGAAAGCTGGCTTCCATTAACTACAATTTATTTACTTATTTGTTCAGCCTTAGTATACATGTAAAGTAGTTTCAGAACTGCTAACTTATACTCCTGCCTGAAACATAATGACCAATTAAAGAAAAGCATTTATGCACAGTTGATTTTGCTTTAGCTTTACAGTATCCAGTTAAAACACATTTCCAAAGTTACTTAGGTCAGCTCCTTTTTCCCCAACCGTTTTAGTCAGGTTATGTCATATAATTGTAACACAGATTTGTCAGTCTGCATTTCATCCTGGAATCTCCCCACATCGTGGTTGATTTTTTAAAAAAATGTACACAGTAAATTTCACTTAGGTTTATAATACATTATACCTTAGTTAGAATAAATGTACCTTTTGTGAATGTGGACAAATGCATAGAGTCATGAATCTACCACCACAGTATCTTGCAAAACTGTTCTATTACCCTAAAAATTGTCTTGTGTGATCCCTTCGCAGTCAACCTCTTCTCAACACATGGCAACCACTGATCTGTGTTATCTGTCTCTAGAGCTTTGCCTTTTGCAGAATGTCATGTTAATAAAATAAAATAGGTTGTGATCTTTTAGGTCTGGCTTCTTTCACTTAGCAAAAATTTATTTAAGATTCATCTATGTTGTTGTGTGAATCAATAGTTAATTTCTTTTTATTGCTGAGTAGTATTCCATTGCATGATATACCACAATATGTTAATCTGCTTACCTCTTGAGGATATCTCAGTTACTTCTAGTTTTTGGTAATTATGAACAAAGCTGCTATAGATATTCATTTATAGGTTTCTATAAATGCAAGTTTTCAATTCACTTTGATAATTACCTAGGAGTGGTATTGTTGGGCCACATGATAAGTGTATGTTTAACTTTGTAAGAAACTGACAAACTCATTCTGCCATTTTGCATTACCACAAGGAATGAACAAGAGTGCTTGTTGCACCATGTCTTAACCAGCATTTTGAATTATCATTTTTTAAAAAGTTGCCATTCTAATAGGTATGTTGAGGTATCTTATTGCAGTTTTCATTTGCGTTTCTCCAATGACTATTGTGAGCATCTTTTCATATGCTTATTTGCCACTTGTGTATCTTCTTTGGAAAAGTATCTGTTCAGATCTCTTTTTGTCTTTAATTTATTATTAAATTGCTTTATTTGTTTTTCTTGTTATGAGTTCTTTGTATTTTGGTTGTAAGTCCTTTATTGATATAAGATTTGGAACTTTTTCTGTAGCTTGTATTTTTATTCTACTAACAGCATTTTTGTGTGTGGGGGGGGGGGAGGGCATGTTTGGTGGAAAAGCCAAAGTTTTTAATTTTGTTGGGTCCCGTTTTCATATTTTTCCTTTTATGGATTGTGCTTTTGGTCTCATATCTAAAAACTCATCACCAAACCCAAGATCATACAAAATGCTGTTTTTCTTCTAGAAGTTTTTTATTTCTACATTTTACATTGAGGTGTATGATCCATTTTGAGTTCGTTTTTGCATAGGTGTAAGGTCCTTCCTCTTTCTTTTCCTTTTCTTTTTTCCTTCCCTTTCCTTTTTCTTCCCTTTCCCTTTTCCTTTCCCTTCCCTTTCCCCTTCCCCTTCCTTCCTTCCTTCCTTCCTTCCTTCCTTCCTTCCTTCCTTCCTTTCTTTTCTTTCTCTTCCTTTCAATGTCAAATTATTCCAGTACCATTTGTTGAAAACACTGTATTTTCTCTGTTGAATTGAATTTGAATCTTGTCAAAAATCAACTGATGGCTGGGCGCGGTGGCTCACTCCTGTAATCCCAGCACTTTGGAAGGCCGAGGTGGGTGGATCACGAGGTCAGGAGATCAAGACCATCCTGGCTAACATGGTGAAACCCCATCTCTACTAAAAATAAAACAATAAAAAAAAATTAGCCAGGTGTGGTGGCGGGTGCCTGTATTCCCAGCTAATCGGGAGGCTGAGGCAGGAGAATGGCGTGAACCTGGGAGGCAGAGCTTGCAGTGAGCAGAGATTGCGCCACTGCACTCCAGCCTGGGTGACAGAGCCAGACTCCGTCTCAACAACCAAAAAAAATCAATTGACTGTATATGAGTGCATTTATTTATGGGCTATGTATTCTATTCCTTTGATCTTTATATATTATATTAATATAGTAGTATTAATATCATAATTATAATATTCCCTGTCTAGTTCTAACATCTATGTCATATCTGGTCTAGTTATGATTATTACTTTGTCTATTCAGGCTGTCAACCTAGATGTTTCAATTAATTATAGAAATGATCCTTGAAAGTATAGTATTAGCTGAGATGTTTTAAATACATTATGTTAAAGTTTTCAAATGGATCTAAAAGTTCAAGGAGAATTTTAAAGTATATGTTTATATTTTATGATCATCTAATATAAGATTATTCTGGATCTTGTCATGCAGTGTTAGTCACCATGTTTGTTTCCAGTTTAGTGTATATCAGTGAATACCCATAGTAACAGCATATAATATTTAATGAGTGGGAAAGCATGTTATGTCAGACTTCTGTTAACTTTGCATGTCTTAAATTTAAAGTCATTATTATCCTACATGTATCGCTGTGCTCCTGTGGATTAATTTTACCAGTTTCACAGACAAAACTAGTTTTTTATAGTGTTTATGTTAATTAGACTTTTTTATAAAAATACTTTATTTAATAACGTGAAATTTTGGTTAAACATGATGAAAATGACATAGTACCAGCTAATGCATTGTGGCCAACCTAATATGTAAATTTCTTATATGCATCAAGTGAAGGCTAAATGATGTCATGCTAGGTGTACAAATGAAGTGCTGCTGGTAGATCAAACAGAGAAGAAGAATGAGATAATTAAATAATCTGCACTATAACGTCCATTTCACATTACAAGTGCATATTTTCACTTTGCAAGAGTATATATAAGCAATGCAATATATGCACTTGCAATGTGACAGAAAGCAAAAGAAACTCACATTGCCCTCTCCTCCTCTTTTGGAATTGGCAGCCTCAACCTGAGTCCTTTGAGCAGAGGCAGACCTTCCATAAACTTGTAAGGAAGCAATGCAGTTACCTGTGATGGCACAAGGGTGCTTGGCAAAGTGGGTAGGTGGGACTCGACACCTGGAGGTGTCGAAGCACCTAGTTTCCAAGTTACATAGAAGCACCAAATGGACTAATGGTGGCTCTGGTTGAATAATGCTTTCTGGGTCAGGTGTGGTGGCTCATGCAACCTCAGGGATTTGGGAGGCCAAGGTGGGAGGATTACTTAAGGCCAGGAGTTACCGACCAGCCCAGACAACATAGTGAGACCCCTGTCTCTTAAAAAAAAATAATAATAATAATTTAATTTTTATTTTAGGTTTGGAGGTACATGTGAAGGTTTGTAACATAGATAAACAGGTGTCACAGAGGTTTGTTGTACATATTTTTATAGGTACATCACCCAGGTATTAAGCTCAGTATCCAATAGTTATCTTTTCTGCTTCTCTTCCTCCTCCCACTCTCTCCCTCAAGTAAACCCCAGTGTCCGTTGTTTCCTTCTTTGTGTTCATAAGATCTCATCATTTAGCTCCCACAAAAAAAAATTTTTTTTTAAGTAGCTGGGTGTGGAGGCATGTGCCTGTAGTCCCAGCTACTCCAGAGGCTGATGCAGGATGATCACCTGGGCCCAGTAGTTCAAGGCTGTAGTGATCTGTGATTGTACCACTGTACTCCAGCCTGGGAAACAGAGTGAGATGTTGACCAAAAAATATATATATATCCTTTCCTTTGCTAGGTCTGTTGTATCCACCAGGATACATATAGCTGCAAGTCACAGAACACATGACAAATAGTGGCTTAAGCAATTAACACTATATCTGGCGATAGATGGTTCTGGGGTTGGGAAGTGGCTCCACAATGCCATTAAAGATCAATTATTTTCTCCATGCTGACACCCTCAGAGTCTTCAAAGTTTATCTCATGGTAATAAAATTGCTGCTGCAGCTCCAAGATTACATCTTCATACAGTTGCATTGAACCCTCATCTGTTTTGATCAGGAATAAAAGTCATTCCCAGAAGTAAACTCCTCCTCCCACCCCAGCAGACTTCCCCTCATATATCATTGGCCAGAACTGGGTCACATAGTTACACTGGCTTTAAAGAGAGCTGGGAATGATAGCCTAAAAAGGAAGAAGAGTTGGCAACCAACAGTGTCCACAATACTCAGAAAAAAAAAGTCTCTTTTCCACTTTCTGTCTCAAACGCAACCCTCAAGTTTAGTTAGAAAAAAAGCACCTCAACCGCTCTTCTTTTTGATTCTGGAATTTCTTTCTTAAATAACTTTGTAATCTCTATACTAATATCTAATTTATTTAGACTAATTGGAAACAAGATAAATTTGTTCATTTGAGATTTTTTAAATTATGGAATAATTTTAGCAACATGCATATTTACCACTTTAAACTGCAGCTTATTGGTAAGGACTGGGCTAAATAGGGAAGGCCAAGAACTAATCTTTAATGATGGACGCTTTAATGAATAAACACTAATCACCTGGGATAATTTCATTATTTGTATACAAAAGTATCTATCAATCTTCTTAAGCATTTTTTTTTTCTGAACTCCCCCTCTGCAACCCTGTTTAAGATATGTGTCATTTGTGTGGCGGGGAGGGAGGGGGGACGGGGGTGGCAAAAAGTTAATCAAGGCAGCAACTAAAGGTAACCTAGATAAATTAACCCAACATTGGCTTCTTACTGTATCCATAACTTGGCTTTTCTTTGTTTATACAGAAAGACTCTTTCTGTTAAAAATGTATTTTTATTCACTCCATCTTATTTCTGGTACATTTTTTTTTTTACTCAAAAGCTTTGCGAGCCTAAAAATGCGAGTGTAAATTAAATTTTCCTAAATCTTGAAGCATGGATGTCCAATCAGGATCTTGGTATGTAGAGAAATTCTATATGTGAATCTTTCTCTCAAACAAAAAATTAAATAATCACTCCCTAAATATAGATTTACATATATGAAGTTTGACTAATATATGATATACTTCTCTACTTTAGTTTTTCTTACTTGTATTATTTTCAATAATATGCACATTTCTCATAACAAAAGTTCCTGTTAAGACAACTCCCTCGTCACACACACATACACACACACATCACACACACACACCAAAGAAACAAACACTCTAAATCCCGCTTTATGTTCAGAAAAACCCTATCTTGCTCAAACTTGCCTTTTTTGTTAATGGAGCTTTTAGGAAAAGGTATGAGTGAGCTTCATTCTTCCCACTCTGAACCCCATTTCCAAGATTGATAAATTAAATCTGATATGGGTCATTTTCATATGAAAAATACTTTCTTTTCTTTCAGTGTCCTGCGTTTGCTAAATAGCAGAATGGCAAGAGAATAGAGAGAACAGTGTGTCCAAGTTAACCACTAAGGGAGTTACTTACACATTGCATTGTGAAATTGCCTCCTTTTTGGTAGCATATTTAATTTTAATCCACATATGGCTTCTGCACTTTTTGCAGAGAGGCTAAGAAAGCAAAAGACTCATCATTCCTGATTATTCAAAGTTTGATTACTTCCGAATACCCTTTCAGTGCCATTGATATGAAGAAATAAACTCTCTACTATGTATTAATGACACCTTCTGTAGGTGATGAATTTGCTCAAATCATCTTGGAAACCACTTCAGCTTATACTCTTTAGGGCCTAAAGGAAGATTTTAAAGCATTTTCATTGCAACTGGCCTGCACTTACCTTCTGTCAGGAAGTCTTCTTTGAAAGAGATATGCTGAGCCTGAGACCTCCCAAAGCCTCACAGTTGAAGGGCTAGGGAGGCCTTGGCAGGGGTGGGGTGGGTGAGAGGAGGGAGCAGAACAAGGACACTGATGATCACAGGCAGTGAGTGCTGCCCTACCCACCCCACACACGACTGGAATTCCAACTGGTGGGACTCTGGCTGGCAGTCACTTTCAGATAAGCTGGTGTCCTTAGCCTGCTGGACATGTCACTAGGCTGCAAAGTGGGGTAGTGCAGCAGCTCTTTCTGTCCTCATCCAGGCTTGTTATCATGAGTGAGGGTCAAGAGAGATCAAAGATAGCAGCTGGATACTCTCACTTACATTACAGTGCTGCAGTGGAGAGGCAGTTGTGTACCCCGATCCATAAGTCTTCTTTCAAAAAGGCAGCAGGGACTCAGGCAGACCTGGTTCAAATCCTGGCTCTGCCAGGTGTAATAGCTGACTGATTATAGGCAAATTATTTGACTCCACTGCCTATTTTCTCAATGGGAAAATGATGATAATAATCCCTGCTAGCTTCTAAGCCCCTACAAGACAAATCCAGGTTTAGAGTAAAAAGCCAAGGCTGAGCAAAGTGGTTCACATCTGTAACCCCAGCACTTTGGGAGGCCAAGGTGGGTGGATCACCTGAGGTCAGGAGTTTGAGACCAGCCTGGCCAACATGGTGAAACCCCATCTCTACTAAAAATACAAAAAATTAGCTGGCATGGTGGTGGGCGCCTGTAATCCCAGGTACTTGGGAGGCTGAGGCAGGAGAATTGTCAGGAGGTGGAAGTTGAAGTGAGCTGAGGTCATGCCATTGCACCTCAACCTGGGCAACAAGAGCAAAACTCCATCTCAAAAAACAAAAGTCACAAGGACTTTTTTTTTTGAGACAGAGTTTTACTCTATCACCCAGGCTGGAGTTCAGTGACGTGATCTTGGCTCACTGAAACCTCTGCCTCCCGAGTTCAAATGATTCTTGTGCCTCAGCCTCTGGAGTAGCTGGGATTACAGGCATGTGCCACCATACCTGGCTCATTTTTGTATTTTTAGTGAGACAAGGTTTCACTATGTTGGGCAGGCTAGTCTCGAACTCCTGACCTTAAGTGATTCACCTGCCTTGGCCTCCCAAAGTCCTGGGATTACAGGTGTGAGCCACTGCACCCGGCCTAAAGTCAGAAAGACTTTTAATAGTCTCCTGCCAGTTTCCTTTACTTCCTGCTCTTGCAAATACCTTTCCTGTACTGATGTGGAGAGTAAGAAGAGCTCCCATCCAGAGTGAGGACAGGAGAAAAATGTATGACCATCTGGCCCGTGCAGGCTGGTAGATGTGTGCACAGGGCAGTTTAAAAGAACAACATGAATCACAAACAGCCATAAAGATGAGTCAGATAATATACCCTCCCCACCCAATTTACAAAATGCAATCTCAGAGTTTCCAAGGCTTGGAATCTCTAAATGGGTCTTTTCACCTTCAGCTCAAATAGCTGTATGACCACCCATTAGTCTTAAGACTGTGGGTGTATTTTTACGGATGTCTAATGTGCTATGTTGCCCTCTGCACCTCTTTTTTGAGAGTGCATCTACCAGTAACTTTTAGAATTTCTACACACACCTGTACATATACGGCAGCTCTCAGTTCCTGGACTCTCCTCCTCTTCTTTGAGTCTCCTTAAACTCTCTCCCCTGAGAGACAGTTGCAGGCAAGGTGAGCTCATTCCTTCCTCTTTTCATATCTTCTTTTCTTCCAGGGCCGCTCCATGCCCAGCTAACCCTAGGGCGACTGTGGCCTGTATTCCCTGAGACAGGGACCAGTCCAGGGCAAATGCCACCAGACCTGACAAAAGTGGGGGAAGTCCTCCTTGTACAGTCTCCCTAAGAAAGTGTTTTCTTCTTCACAATTCCCAGGTCAGGGCCAGATGAATCTGTGTTTATCATTGTGCCAGTCACCCAAGGGGCAGAGGACACTCTTCCTTTCACCTTATCCTGAAGTGCCATCCAGGCAGAGGAAATAAATACTAGAGCCAACACCTTCTAGTTTCCTGAAACTAGATGAATGACTGCTCATTCATCCTCCCTTTCTCACACCACTTTTGAGCAGCTGTTTCTATATGACACTGCACCAGTAGGGACAGCTCACTCTTTTCCCCAAGCAAGGCCCATTGCCTGTTCACATCTTAAAGTAGGATTGACTAAGATGAAAAGAAGTGTAAGAGCTGCGAGGGACCCTTGTGACTGGCAGAACCCAAACCCCAGGGCCGCTCTGCAAAGAAGACGTCTCACGCACCATAAGTCACAACTCAAAGCACCCAAAGGGTGCCCTTCTGTTTAGACTAATGTGACCTTGGAACCACAACTAGCCTTTCCTTTTGCCCCAGAGCCGTTCTCTGTGATAAGCCAATAAGAATTCAGCCAAACACTGTTTTTTTCTTTTTCTTTTGAGATGGAGTTTCACTCTTGTTTCCCAGGTTGGAGTGCAATGGTGCAATCTCAGCTAACCACAATCTCCGCCTCCCGGGTTCAAGAGATTCTCCTGCCTTAGCCTCCCGAGCAGCTGGGATTACAGGCATGCACCACCACGTCCAGCTAATTTTGCATTTTTAGTAGAGACGGGACTCTCCATGTTGGTCAGGCTGGTCTCGAACTCCCAATCTCAGGTGATCCACCCGCCTCAGCCTCCCGAAGTGCTAGGATTACAGGTGTGAGCCACTGCACCTGGCCCAGCCAAATTCTTAAGTGCAAGATTGAAAATATGGGAACATCAAGAGAAGACTATTTACAAAATGCCAAATTTTAACTACCCAACGTAGAGACTGGACCCATTTAGCTTCTCAGCTCCACTGCCAGCTCATTCAGGTTCTACCTCTCAGGGACCAGTCACTGAAAAAAAAAAACAAGGAAAGGCATTTCCTAGTCTTGAGAAAGGAAAGCCTCTTTCTGATTGGGCCCTACAGTCTTTGTGTTCAGATTCAAAATAGCATGCTTATCATCTTTGGCAGTCTGAATTCCTCAGTTGTCCCTCATCCTTAAACCAAAAGTAATTTCTATAGCTAACTGCTTGGAGTAGGATACTGAAACTTGGAATCAACATTCTGACCCAGCCACTTACAGCTGCATCCTTGAGCTTTCTGGGCCTCACTTTCTTTCCTCATGTGCAAAATGCACAAAAGGGCCTGCAAACTCTTAGCTCACAGAATCACTCATTGTTAAGATCAAATAAAATAGCATATGAGGAAACGTTGGGAGCTCTAAATAGCTCCACACATGTAAACAGTTATTAGACTAAGTTCTTAATAATGACTCATTATCAATTCCAAATCTGCTCTGCTATTCCCTTGTAGAACCTGAGGGTTCTCTACTCATTTTCTTCTGTCATTCCAGTTGATTCACCTTTTTCAACATCTCCCTTCCTCAACTTGTGAAACACACAGACACACACACAAACCCCCTGTAATTCTTTCATTCATTATTCTAATTCCTGTCAATTAATTTTTTATTCATCACACATTTACATTTCCAAAATAACTACATTTACATTTCCAAAATAACTGCATTTACATATGATTTGCTCTTGCTTACACAAAAAGGGGTCAGCTAGATACAGCAATTAAGGGGATGTGTCAGTCAGGTTTCAATTCAGGAAACAGAAACAGCATTATGTATTTCCAGAAGAAAGGAGTTATAAAAACAAGGAATTAAGTGCTTATAAAATTCATTAGAAGCGCTAAAGAAACTGAAGTTAGGGACCACCAGTGCACTCTGTATTTCAGGGGTACACCACAATGGCTGTAGCCTACAGGTCAGCTGCCAAAACTGTCTGTCAATGCTCATGACTTTGGTGACTACTGAAAGATGGGTTCTGGCTTCAAATACAATTTACAGTGCTGCTTAGCAGCAGCAGCAATAAGAAAATGACTTTCACCCTACTTTAACCTGCTAAATCTCACATGAGGGCATCTCTGTTGTAGAGTCTAATTAGTATCCAGAAATCTAGCTGCAAGAGAATCTGAAAAATGTAGTTTCTAACTTTCTGGCTCCTAAAATTCAAAAGCATACATAGGGGGCTTTGAGAATGGATGCTTACTTCCAGCTAACAATAACCCACTGAAGGGAGGAATTCTAATCTTTACAAAGAATGAACAACTCAGCTATGGTCTAAAATAGAGCTTGAGGGGAGAAGGAACAGGGTGCACAGATCTTACAGTTGCAGGCTTTATGAATACCTGTTGAGATTTATTTTTGGCCGTCCTTTTTTCTAAGGTTTTTTTTTTTGAGACAAAGTCTCAGTCTGTTGCTCAGACTGGAGTGCAGTGGTGCAATCTCATCTCAGCTCACTGCTACCTCCCCCTCCCAGATTCAAGTGATTCTTGTGCCTCAGCCTCCCCAGTAACTGTAAATATAGGCGTGCACCACCATGGTCATCTAATTTTTGTATTTTTAGTAGAGACAGGGCTTCGCCATGTTGCCTAGGCTGGTCTCAAACTCCTGGCCTCAAGTGATCCACCTACCTTGGCCTTCCAAAGTGCTAGAATTAGAGGTGTGAGCCACCACATCTGGCCGTTTTTTTCTAGTTTTTAAGACATCTAACTCAGAGTAGAAATTGTAAAATATGCATAAAGAGTGGATCCAGCCATAAGCAAAAATCATTCCACATTTATTAAAGAAATATTTTGTGAACGCTTACTATGTGTCAGACTGTGACAGACTCTGGGGATGTAATAGTAAACAAGACAGAAGTGGTTCCTGCTCTCATGAAGGGTTTAGGAGAGTAGGGCATTAGGAGTGCCTGGCTGACTACCCAAGTTCAAAGCCTGCCTTCACCACATATTAGCTTGAACACAATTTAACTTCTCTAAGTCTATCACCTTGTCTGTAAGATACAGGTAATCAAAGAACCTACATCATTGAGATATAGTGAAAATTAAATGAAACAATGTGTGTAAAGTGCTAAGCATACTGCCTGGCACATGGCAGGGTCTGAATAAATGTTGGTGGAGGGTGTAAACAAATAAAAAAGTAATCACAATACAGGACACTGTGATAAGTGCTTTAATACAAAAAAAAAAAAAAAAAAAGGACATATGAGAAGAGGCGCTAACACAGACCCAGGGGGCCCACAGAAGGCTCAGGAAGTAAATTAAGTAAATTCTGGGTTGAGACAGAGTTAGTTAAAACGGATGAGGATAAGAAAACAGTATTTACCAGCTAGGATAGAGCATGCCACATTTGATGACTAAAAGGAGTTCAGTGTGTGGTTAGAGTAAAGGGAGTAAGGTGAGGTTGAGAGGCAATGAGGAGCCAGATCATGAGGGACTTGTAAGATTTTTAAGAATTTGCATTTTATTCTGAGGGTACTGAGTAGCCATTGAATGATTTAAAGTCAAACAGTGATCTGATCTGATTTATAATTTAGAAAACATCCCTGTCTTAGGTTGTTTTGTGCTACTGTGACAGAATAATCTGGGACTGGGTAATTTATAATGAATAGAAATTTATTTCTTACAGTTCTGGAGGCTGGAAAATCCAAGACTGAGGGGCCAGCATCTGGAGAGGGCCTTCTTGCTGTGTCATTCCAGGATGAAAGGGCAAGAAAGCACAAGAGAAAGCAAGAGGGGACCAAACTCACGTTTAGAACAAACCCACTCTTGCAATAATGACATTGATCCATTCATGAGGACAAATCCCTCACAACCTAATAACCTGTTAAAGGTCCCACCTCTCAACACTGTTGCATTGGGGATTAAGTTTCCAACACATGAACTTTGGGGGACACACTTAAACCATAGTAATCCCTTTGGCTGGAGTATACAGAGTGGCTGAGAGGAGGAAAAGTTTACTGCAAAAAGTCCAGCCTGAATTCTTTAGTAATTTAAGAAGGAGAAGCTGGGGAGTGGCAGAAAGATCAAGAAAAGTGGAATAATTCTGGAGATGTTTAGTAAGTAATTGGCTGGAAAGTACAGTATGCATTTTTCACTGCCTTCCTTCTTCCTTTCTCTTTCTCTCTTTTTCTCTTTATTCCTTTTTATTTATTTATTTATTTATTTTTTAGTATTTATTGATCATTCTTGGGTGTTTCTTGGAGAGGGGGATGTGGCAGGGTCATAGGATAATAGTGGAGAGAAGTTCAGCAGATAAACACATGAACAAAGGTCTCTGGTTTTCCTAGGCAGAGGTCCCTGCAGCCTTCCGCAGTGATTGTGTCCCTGGGTACTTGAGATTAGGGAGTGGTGATGACTCTTAACGAGCATGCTGCCTTCAAGCATCTGTTTAACAAAGCATACCTTGCACCACCCTTAATCCATTTAACCCTGAGTTGACACAGCACATGTTTCAGAGAGCACGGGGTTGGGGGTAAGGTTATAGATTAACAGCATCCCAAGGCAGAAGAATTTTTCTTAGTACAGAACAAAATGGAGTCTCCTATGTCTACTTCTTTCTACACAGACACAGTAACAATCTGATCTCTCTTTCTTTTCCCCACATTTCCCCCTTTTCTTTTCGAGAAAACAGCCATCGTCATCATGGCCCGTTCTCGATGGTTGCTGTCTCTTCGGTGCTGTTGGGTACACCTGCAGAAAGGCTGTCACTTCACACTTGGAAGATTGCACAGTGGCCAGGCAGAGGCGCTCCTCACCTCCCAGACGGGGCAGCCGGGCAGAGGCGCTCCTCACCTCCCAGACGATGGGCAGCTGGGCAGAGGCGCTCCTCACCTACCAGACGGGGCGGCCGGGCAGAGGTGCTCCTCACCTCCCAGACGATGGGCAGCAGGGCAGAGGCACTCCTCACATCCCAGATGATGGGCGGCCAGGCAGAGGCACTCCTCACTTCCCAGACGGGGCGGCTGGGCAGAGGCGCTCCTCATTTCCCAGAGGGGGCGGCCGGGCAGAGGCGCTCCTCACTTCCCAGACGATGGGTGGCCGGGCAGAGGTGCTCCCCACTTCCCTCTTTATTCCTTTTTATTAGCGAGCAAAACTTCTTTAAATAATTCACCTTCTTAGGTAACAGTGCTATCTGATCAGTTAGCGGCCTTCAGAAACATATGCCCTATGTTAGATATTTAACACAGTTATTTAACATTATTGCAAATTTATAGCCATGCGGAAAAAAAGATGATATAGGGACTACATTTGCATTTGGCTTTTGTTTTGGTAGCCCTCGAATCCTGCAGCTACACTGCAGATATTTCAGGTGAACAACAATTTTCTTTTTAGGATAATCTTTTGATCTGAGCTATTTGTCCAAGCAGCCATCATAGTGGTAACTAAAAGTATCATGTTATACAATCCTTACTATTCTTCTAGTTTCTGGCCCTGTTTTTCATGGTGAAACCAAATTTTGAGTGTGTTTGGGGGTATTAACAGTGGGACAGTGCCCCTTAAAACCCTCGCCAAGGAGGTGGGTAGAGCAGACCAATTTTTTGGCCCCAGGTGAGTATATCAGAATGGTCCCATGACTCATGCTGAGCTAATAGGATTTTCTTTCTGTGATTTGAACCAAGACAAAGAAACTGAGGTCAGCAGATGTTGGGAACTGGAGGTCATGTTTAGTCCGTGCCATAGTTTGGGCCATGAAAATTCAAATCATTTTAATGGAGCAGCAGGAACCAAGAAGCTTTCAGAGAAGGATGATGCTAATGCATGGCATAGATAACAGATTATGTGGAGGGAGGGAATAAGTAGGAGGGAGGGAGCAAGAGAGAAAGAACGAAGTTTAGAAGCTTCCAGATGCCAACAAGGCCAGCTTGGATTCAGAGAGTATTAAGCTCCCATCTCTGACCCTCAAGAGAGGAACTCCCACACTCTCCTTAGTCCCTAGAAGCTACAGCCTAAATGTCTTGAATTTATCCAGGACCACATTTCCCTTGGAATGCCTTCCTTTTTTTTCATCAGTTTCTACCCTCCCACAAAAGTTAATAAATCTGAGTTTACTTCTTACAAGGTGCTGGACCTACAGATATTAACAAGACATTTTCAGATTGTAACTCGATGTTTACACTACATATTTTCTTCTTATAGCAACACTATATTTATTGTCAAGCTTCTCTACCCTCTATTACAAGCCTAGTCTGAGAAATTCAGATGAAGTTGGCTTTTCTTCCTATTCCCCTCCCCCTTCAAGCCTAGTGTGGGCAAGTGACCCAGGTTTGGCCAACCAATTCCTCTTTCTAGTCACAGTGATTGTTAAGGATGGGCACGTGATCAGTGTAGGACTAATCAGAGTCTTCACTGAGACTTTTATTGACATTCTGGGCAAAGATGCTGTCTTTCAGTGGGATTATGACCAGTAAGGACAATGTTGTTTACGGCTGCCAGCAGCCACCTTGTTTTAATGTGGAGAGCATTCATCTGAGAATAAAAGGAATCACAGAGGAAAGTAAAATAAGAGGTGGTGAGAGAAAGAAACAGGATCTTGATGATATTATCAGAATTTATGGATATAGTTGCCCCTAAAACTGAATCTACCCATTAGACTTCCCAATCAAATAGATCAATAAATTTCCTCCTTGGCTTAAACCCCAGCTTGAATAGGCTTTCCGTTATTTGTTTCTGAAACAATCCTGAGTAATACAAGCAACTTATAAAATTTAAAAGTGGGCCAGGTGCGGTGGTTCATGCTTGTAATCCCAGCAATTTGGGAGGCTGAGGTGGGCAGATCACTTGAGGTCAGGAGTTCGAGACCAGCCTGGCCAACACGTTAAAACCCCATCTCTGCTAAAAATACAAAAATAAGCCTGGCATGGAGGTGGGCACCTGTAATCCCAGCTACTTGGTAGGCTGAGGCAGGAGAATCCCTTGAACCAGGGAGATAGAAGTTGCAGTGAGCCAAGATGGCGCCCCTGCACTCCAGCCTGGGTGACAGTGTGAGACTCTGTCTTAAAAAAAATAATAATAAAAATAAAAATTGAAAGTGCACAGTTACTAACCTTGAACTATTTCAACTCCAGCCATAGAAGGAATATGGGTTGTGAAAATTGAGACTAGCAGGTCTGATTGGTGCAAATGTTTCTTGTGCCTTCATTTCCTCTGAAATTAGTTTAGTTATTATGGGAGAGTTGTTTAGAGTAGCTCAGCTGAGACACTGTTATTTTTTACATCTGATAAATTTGGGAGTCATGGGATTCAAATTCCAAGTTAGAGCTTGCTTAACTACATTGTGAAGTATTGACCTAATGGAAAAAATATTTTGTATTTTAATCTCCCTATCCTTTATTTAATTCTCCCTTGAGCCAAATGTGTTTTTCATTTGGGTGACTTAAAGGAAGGAGGCAAAGATATTCTCAGATGTCATTTCAGGGAATAATTTTACTTCTTAATCAATTATACCCTTTCCAAGTCTGTTAGTACTGATTTTTCTGTCTCCTATTTTTGCTCTTGGGAAAACTTTATAAGTAGTAAGATTTTCAGTCTCAAGAAAATAATTGAAAATATAAAATTTTCAATTTGCACCACCTCCCCCAATATCTGAAAGAAGCCATGATGAGCAAATGAGCAAATATCTGAGTTAGCTGAAGAAATTTATTATTTTTAATGGTATGCAATGCTTATTGGTTACAGAAACCTGTGTACCTTTTCTCTTTCACTGTGGTGCCAGAAGTATTGCTATGCTTATAATTGATAATTAGGTTTTAAAGTTTGGGAACATAAATTGGGTGAGACAGCTCATGCCTATAATCCCAGTACTTTGGGAGGTCCAGGTGGGAGGTTTGCTTGAGGCCAGGAGTTCAAGACCAACTAGAGCAACATTAGCAAGACCCCATCTCTTAAAAAAAATGGGGAACATATTTCATTTGTGAATTATTATTTGAATAATTACATAAATTATAAGTCTGAGTGAGCCACTGCGCCCAGCCCCTAATATTACTTTGGAAGCCAGCTGTATAAACATGAAATAGTTTTACCCTAATTTGTGATAAAAATGTGTAATCAATCTTGTCTAGGTAAATAGGGAAATAGGTAAGCTTACATGCCCATGAGCATACATACCCACTTCGTTAGACTTCACATATGCACATCTCTCTCAGACCCAATAGACACTTAAGCCTGCCCCTTCAGAACAGGTATTCATGGCATGGAAAGTTCTGGTTTGGTCTGTCTGCCTTGAACTATTGGAAAACTGAACTGGCTCGAGTGAACTGGAAGGTTTAGGCAGTGGGAGAATGACTCTGCTTCCTTCTTTACAGCCTAAAGTAATTTCCAGCTGTCAGAAAGTTGAAATATTGGACAAAATAATATTACCTAAGTTAAAATAAGCATCCCTGAGAATAAATCACTATATATTAAGGTGCATCTATTGTGCAAGACTTGATATTCTTACATCTTATAAAACAACTTTTACTGAAACTCATTATTGGTATGTTTTTGGCAATTTGTTTTCATTGGTTGATATTTAGACTATTGGAATATTCCCAAAGCCATTACTCTCTAAGTTTGCAACTTCTGGAAACATTCTTGACAAATGCATCAGTAGAAACAACTAAACACTTAAAAACAATTGGCGTTTGTATTTAGCAGCTGTGAAGTTTGACCTGAAGTTGGCAATATGCTTTTTTAACAAAGTTCTTTACTCACACATGGTTTATTTTATTTTATTTTATTTTATTTTGTTTTATCGACATAGAGTCTCGCTATTGCCCAGGGTGGAGTGCAGTGGTATGATCTCGGCTCACTGCAACATCCGCCTCCCAGGTTCAAGCGATTCTTGTGCCTCAGCCTCCTGAATAGCTGGGACTACAGTCACGTGTCTCCATGCCCGGATAATTTTTGTATTTGTAGTAGGGACAGAGTTTCGCCATGTTGGCCAGGCTGGTCTCGAACTCCTGGTCTCAAGTGATCCTCCCACCTCAGCCTCCCAAAGTGCTGGGATTACAGACATGAGCCACCGTGCCTGGCCCACACATGGTTTTATTTGATCCATATAGCAAACCCGTAAAGTACACTTCCTAGTAATAACTAAACTAATTTCAGTGGAAATGGAAGCATAAGAAAAATTTGCACCAATTATACCTGCTAGTCTCAGTATTCACACGCATATTCATTCTATTACTGGAGTTGAAGTGGCTCAAGGTTAGTAACTGTACACTTCTAGATGTTGTAACTTGCTTGTATTACTTAGGACTATTTCAGAAACAAATAACAATAACCCTATTCAAATTAGAGTTTGCTTATTGTGTGGCTTTGGGCAAGTCATTTATTGGTAAGCCTTTATTATATCAACTGGAACTAAGCCAAAGAAGGAATTTATTGATTTACTTAATTGGGAAGTCCAATGGGTAGATCTAGCTTTAGGAACAGCTATATCCAACAGAAATTATTCCTCACTGGAGGCTGGGAAGTCCAAGATTAAGGCACCAGCAGATTCGGTGTCTGGTGAGGGCTTGATGCCTGGTTCATAGATGTGTCATCACATGGTAGAAGGAACAAATGAGCTCCCTTGAGCCTCTTTTAATCCCATTTATGAGGGCTTCCAGCTCATGATCTAGTCACTTCTCAAAGGCCCTATGCATTAGTATGTTCTTGCTCTGCTTTAAAGAAATATCTGAGACTAGGTAATTTATAAAGAAAAGAGGTTTGATTGGCTCATGATTCTGCAGCTTGTACAGAATGCATAACGGCTTCTAGGGAGGCCTCAGGAAATTTTTACACATGGTGGAAGGCAAGGGGGAAGCAGGCAGGACTTACATGGCTGGAGCACGAGGAGTGGGTGGAAAGAGATGCTATACACTTTTAAACAACTAGATCTCATGAGAACTCACTATCAAGACAACACCTACATGGGGGATGGTGTTAAACCATGAGAAATTGCCACCATGACCCAATCACCTCCCACTAGGCACCACCTCCAACGTGGGATTACAATTCAACATGAAATTTGGGTGAGGACACAGATCCAAACCATATCACCCTACCTCTTAAGACCATGACATGGGGGATTAGGTTTCAATATATGAATTTTGGGGGACAGAAACATTCAGACCTTAGCACATGGTAAGGTATCTCTCAGTCTGTTCTCCAATCTCTGCTAAGAAGTCCTATTCTCTCAATTATGAACTAGCTATCATTTATTGATCATCTACTATATGCTAGGTGTTCTACATACATTACCTCTAATCTTCACATCTCTGCAGCTTGGTGGGTATTGTTTTCCTCATTTTACAAATATGGCCAGTATAGCATAGCAGGGAAACAAGATGAGAGAGTAGCCTTGTATCAAGAGTAGGGCCTTCAATCAAAACTGTCAGGGTTTGAATCTGGTTCCATACATGCTAGCAGTCTCAACCCAGACCAGTTACTTAATTTCCCTGTGCCCCTGTAGGCTTATCTCTAAGATAGAATAAAATCATACAAACTCACAGAGTTATTGTGAGTGTTAAAGAGTTAACATCTGTAAACATTTTACAGTGCTTGGGCTTCTAGTAACACCCAATGAATGTTAGCTACTATTATTAATTTGGTGTGCCCCAGGGTTGAAACTGAGGACCTCCTTTTCACTCTGTATATCTGTTTCTCCCTAGGTAACCTCATCTAGTCCCATGACTTTAAATATAAACTACACTGAAGACTCCAAAATTTATATCTTCTGCCAAACATACTTTTCAAACGTTGAGTCACCTCATGTCACTTCTCCACTCAAAACCCTCGAATGGCTTCCCATCCCTTCTAAGTGAAAAAACCAGAGCCTTAATTAAGACCTACAAGGCCCTGTATGATCTGTCCTTCTTTTTGGACCTGTCTTTGAGTGCTTTCCACATTCTTTGTTTTCTCCAGTCACCTTGGTGTGCTTGTCAAACACCCCCAAGCACTCTTAGTCTTCCGATCCTTTATACTAGCAGTCCTGCCTGGTATATTCTTCCCTAGATATTCAAGTGACACATACCTTCACTTCATTTAGGTCCCTGTTCAAACACTGTCTTATCAAAGAGGCCATCTTTGACCCCTGCAAATAAAAGAGGATTTTCTTTCTTTCTCTTTTCTTCACATTCTGCTTTATTTTTCTTTATGGTACTTTTTACCATTATGTTTATTCATTTGTTTATGGTCTGTTGTTTTCCCCTGGAATGTGAGCTGTATTAAAGCAGGGACTCTGTTTTGTTCACAGCCCCTAAATCAGGGCTTGGTGCATGGCTGACACTCAATAAATATTGATTGCTTAACTATAATTATGTCAATTGCCTAGCTAGTGAGTCTCAGTTTCATACCTGAGTCAACCTCCCTTTACAAGCTCTAGCTCTTTTTAAGCCACTAATCTGCATATCATATTAGGGAAGATACAAACCCCATTATAAATATATATCAGTTCTTAGGAGTCTTCTATTTAAACTAGAAATTTTATGCGTATTAGGGTTGATTTGCTATTCATCATAATTTAACAAATATTTACTCCACACCTACCACATGCTCTTGGATAAGAAAAAACACAGTGACCAACTCACTAATATGGGGTGGAAATTTATCCAAGAAACTTGAAGCCCAGGATAGGTACGTATTTGTACTTGTCAATCTCTAAGTTAAGAATTATTGGCTCTGGCTGGGTCTGTGGCCCATGCCTTTAATCTCAACAGTTTGGGAGGCTGCCGTGGGTGGATTGCTTGAGGTCAGGAGTTCAAGACCAACCTGGGCAATATAGTGAGATCCCATCTCTACAAAAAACACGAAGAATTAGCTGGACATGGTGGCAAACACCTGTAGTCCCAGCTACTTGCAAGGCCGAAGTGGGAGGATTGCTTGAGTCCAGGAGATCGAGGCTGTGGTGAGCTGAGATCATGCCACTGCATTCCAGCCTGGGTGACAGAGTGAGATCCTGTCTCAAAAAAAAAAAAAAAAAAAAAAAGAATTATCCTCTATATCCAATTCATCTGCAAAGAATTATTGGTTCTTTCTGTTGTATAAGCATAGAACATCTATCTTCCCCTACCATTCTCAATTTCAGTCTACTCATTGTTTAAGCCAAATTTCAAAATCTATAAAACATATCCTGAGACCATCTACTTCTCGTTGCTCCCGTCTCTATAAACCCTGGTCTCAGGACAACTCCACTTGCCTAGGCTACCAGATTTTCCTAAATGCTTTCCTTGTCTTCCCATTTGCCCTCCCTTTCCACCCAGCAGCCAGAGTGATCCTATAAAAATGTAAATTACATATTATTCCCCTGCTTAAAAGCTTCAGTGGCTTCCTTTTGTTATTATTCCACTTAGAAAAGTGTCTAACTCTTGCCCTAGTCTACAAGCCCCATTTGATCTGGCCCTGATCACCTGCTGCTCAGTCTTCTATCATTTTTCCCCTTGCCCATACTTTCTAGCATCACTGGCCTTTCATTTCTATGAATACAGTAAGCCCTTCCCTGTCCCTGAATACGTGAGCTAGCAACTACTCCTGTCGCTCAGGTCTCACTGAAATGTCACCTCCCCAGAGAGGCCTTCTCAGACTACTTGATTCGTCCTCTCTTCTCCACTCACTCTCTGCTCTGTCAGAGAGTAAATTGCATTCACTTACTGTGCATTGCACAATTGCCATCTAATATTTATTGTCTATCTTCCTCCAGTAAAATGAAGACAGTGACTTTGCTTCACCAGCAGGGTTTATAGCAATACTTGACACATAATGAGCCCTCAAGAAACACTTGTTAAATGGTAAGTCTTTGTCTCAACTTTGGTAGCTTATGGAGGATCCCCATCATTTTCTTTTTTCTTTTTTTTTGTTTCGAGATGGATTCTCGCTGTCGCCCAGGTTGGAGTGCAGTGGTGCGATCTTCGCTCACTGCAACCTCTGCCTCCCAGGTTCAAGCAATTCTCCTGCCTCAGCCTCCTGAGTAGCTGGGATTACAAGCACTCGCCACCATGCCCGGCTAGTTTTTGTATTTGCTTTTTAGTAGAGACAGGGTTTCACCGTGCTGGCCAGGCTGGTCTCGAACTCCTGACCTCGTGATCCGCCCGCCTCGGCCTCCCAAAGTGCTGAGATTACAGGCATGAGCCACCGCACCCGGCGGATCCCCATAATTTTCTAATACAGTTTTAGTAACTCTGCCCCCTTCATGTTCTCTCAAACGGATAGCATTGCTTCGCCCACGAAAAGGATCAGTATTGCAGAGGAAGGGCTTAGATCACCCCTATCTCTCTGCAGCCAGCAGATCAAGATTTGGACTCAACTCAATAGTTTGGAATCATCAGATAAAGGAAAAAGGAAAAGCAGAAATGAATACTACTGAAATAAACAATGGTCATTTCTCACTTAAAATTTTGAGGAAGAGAGAAAGAAAAAATACCTTAAGATCAAACATTTTTTAACTTGGAGATGTTAGAGAAAGTAGGGGGGACAGAAAAATGTTAGAATGAGGAGGAAAACTGAATCAAGATGAGGCAAGAGGCAGAAAGAGCTCACACCATGCTGTGGGCTCTTGGTTCTGAGCTTGGATACCACGTCTTGCCTTCTGGATAAACTCTAAGGAAGACAGTGATGGAGTGAAGTGGGCTGGGGGCGATAGAGAGGATGGGGTGGGGCACCAGGCGAGAGATGCGAAGGAAGCCAGAACGAAAAGAGAGCGACCGAGGAGAGAAGAGAGCAGAGCAATACAAAAGCAGCCTCGGATCTAGCCGGAGCTGCAAGCGTTAAGGGGAGGCGGAGAGTGACGCGGTTTGCGTCTGGAGCGGCTCCTTGGAGTCCACAGCATCCACCGCCGGAGCCTCGCCTTCCTTTCTCCCTCTGCAGACACAACGAGACACAAAAAGAGAGGCAACCCCTAGACCACCGCGAAGGACCCATCTGCACCATGACCGAGACCACCAAGACCCACGTTATCTTGCTCGCCTGCGGCAGCTTCAATCCCATCACCAAAGGGCACATTCAGATGTTTGGTGAGTCCTCCCGCCCACCTCTGGAAGCCGCTTCCGCTCCTCTCCTTTCCCAGGCACCTGTGTTTTCCAGGGCGATCGAACGGGAAGGCGTGTGCCCCTTCGGAGGGGTGGGCCGGCTCATCCAGCTGGTGGAGGTCGGCCCCTTCATTTTGGACTCAGGGGAGGGTACGCAGACTGCGTTTCCGAGGCGTCACTTGCCGGGGCCAGACCCGGCTCGCAGGGGGCCAAAGGTGGGGGATGGGAGGGGACTAGAGATGAGTATCATTTGGGGCTGGGCAGGGGTTCGAGATACCAGAACTGGAGTGTGGCGGTGCGGTGGTTCGGCTACCAGGCTGGCGAAGACCGGGATGGGGGCAGAGGTTGGGGCGCCGAGTAGGGGAGGAAGGGGCTGGAGATAACGTGCTGTTTGTTTAGGATGGGCCGAAAGCTCGAAGGAGTTAAATCATGTATGTGCCTGGGATTCGCAAACACACTCGCGCCCGACACACCGGTGACAGGGGCTGGGGCTTCAAGATTAATTTCGGATTTGGCTGGTGATTCTGGGCGGCCCAGGGACCAGTGTTTGGGAATTGTGGGCCGTGTATTGCCCGCGCGAGGTGGATGCTGAGTGAATAGGGAGGGGGCCCTTTTCCGCCTAGGTTCGGCCTCAGGGACCCGCTGCCTAGGACGGGGAGGGGGCCGGGCGGAGGCTGCGGGAGGCCCTGCGCGAGCCGGAGCCGAAGGATCGGGGCCCAAGTTGGCTGAGGCTCTGCCCAGGGTGGCGATGGCACTCGGAAGGCTTGAGGCGTCTAGTGTGTGTACGAATGTGCGAATGACTGTGTGTGAGTATATGCGTGTGCGTGTTGGGGGGAGGGGACTTATCGCGCGTTTGTTTCTTAGAAGCTTTGGGGCGTGGAGTCAGAGAGAGCGAGCGGGGGCATCCGGCTGGCTGGTTCGGGGTCCAGCAGCGGTAGGGGAAAGGTGATCGATAGATGCCTATTGGAGGTCTCGCGCCACCGGTGGGAAGCCACGCGGCTTCGCAGCTGCTCGTAGGACTCAAAGGCGTGGGGCATGAGCGTTTAGACACGGAAAGAGGGACGCGGAGGTCACTTTAGAAGCAGGAATTGAGAAGTTAGAAGTTGGGGGTGCTTTTTCTTGAAACTGAGAGAAGCGAGGAGTAGGGAAAAGCGAGTGGGCTGGGATGGATGAGAGAGCGTGTGGGAGGCCCTGACCTGGCCCGCCAGCAAGGCGCTCTCCAGAGGCGGCGGTGCTGAAATGCAGGGCGCGCCGGAGCTGGATGCGGGCACACGTGTTTATCCGGAGCCTGAGGACTGCGCGAGCCCTCCTAGGGAGGTTTAGTGAAAACCACACCACAGCGGTAAAGACAGGGCGAGGTGGCTTAGGCTAAAAATATTCATCTTTAAACTTAAAAGGTGCGCTGAACTGGGCTCGCTTGTTAAAAACCTCATGGAAAGAATATAGAACTACTTTGAGCAAAGGGCAAATCGGGTAGGCATATCTACACGATAGAAGGAGGGAGGCTGAGAGATAGCCATCCCTTCTTCACCATTCCTTCAGCTTTCAAAAGTCTTTTATTAAGAACCAATGCCAACTTGCCTGTTAAATAAGGACTTCTGTTCCAGCATCAGGGTAGACAAGAGCATGTCATCAGTCTTCTAAGGACTATCAGTGCCCTAAGAACACTCCACTTTCACTTTCCTTTGATGCTGGTGTCTTCATCCCTTTCCTTCTTTTCCTGTCTGTCCATATGTCCTCTAGCACTTTATGTTGATGCGCTTTACTCCTCTCCCTTGACCAGGCAATGATGGGTTTTCCTTTGGAACCAAGAGAAAGGAGGAGTAGGGAAGAGCCATTGGGCTGGGGATGAAACTCTGTGGCTCTAAGAATCTTTGATGACCCAGCAGGTACTGCTCCTTTCTTCCTGAAGCTAGGAAATCCCAGTTGTTTTAGATTACAAGAGAAACAGATTTGGATTGAGAACCAAAGATTCTGTCTTGTAGCTGAAGATTCTTTGTTAACAGTAATAAAGGCTTTTGTTAAGCGAATGCTGACCTGCCAATTCTCCATGAGCTTCAAGGATAGACTATGTGGAAATAGACCTGAGTTGCAGTGGAAGGGTTTAGATATAGAAAGGTGAAAGGAGACTTTTGGCAGTAACGATTATTTACTTAGTATAAGAACTGAGGACCAGGGCAGAATGTGAACAAAGTCCTTTGCATGTCCATTAAAGTATAATTCAGAGAGTAATACAAAAAAAGGATATAATATGTTCACTCACTATGGCTTTAAGGAGTTTATTACCTAATGAAGAATTTAGCACATAAACAGGTGAAAATGAGGCAAGAATAAGAACACAAAATACACATTCAACTATTTTTGGTAGAATGTCTTATTGGAATCTTTGAGCTCTGGATAAATTTTATAATTTATTTTTGTAGAGCAGTTCTGGTTAACAAAGCCATTTCATCTATGTTATGTTACTTATTCCTGTTAAAAACCTTATAAGAAAAACATTATTACCCTTATTTTACAAATGAGAAACTGACAGAAGCCAAGTGACTTATGAACACACATGGAGAATGGGTGGCACTGAGACTTGAGCCTCATGTTCCTGATTCCTCTTGCAGAGGCCTTCATACTGCAACAAAGGCTGGAGGAAGTGCCCGCTCATCTTCTGACTGCATAATTCCATGAACACTCTATTTTCATGAACCATAAACTAAGAGAATTAAACTGGCCATCAACTAAGTGAGATTCATATATGTGCTTTTCCTTAAGATCTTTGTCTCATGTCTAAAGAAACCAGTTATTTATGAACTATTTCCTCCTTTTAAATTGCTTTAAAAATTTTCTCTGTGACAACACGGAAATAATTAATACAACTAAATTATCAAACTTTTGGCCAGGTGTGGTGGCTCACTCCTACAATCCCAGCACTTTGGGAGGTGAAGATGGACATTAACACATGAGCTCAGGAGTTTGAGACCAGACTTGGCAACATGGTGAAACCCCATCTCTACAAAAAATATAAAAATTAGCCAGGTATGGTGTTGCATGCCTGTAGTCCCAGCTACTGTGGAGGCTGAGGTGGGAGGATGGCTGAGGTGGAAGCCTGGGAGGCAGAGGTTGCAGTATGCCAAGATAGCACACTGCACTCTATTCTAGGTAATACAGCCAGACTCTGCCTTAAAAATTTTTTTTCAAGCTTTCTTTAAGGTGACTGAAATTTGTAATAATTTTTTTTTAAAAAACAGACACAAACAAGACTTTGAAATTAGGCATTTTAAATAGAGCTCCTATATCCTGAAATTCAATTTCTTATCAAAGGAAAAAGAGAGACTGTAAACAAAAAGAGAAGTGACATTCAAAACTCACTCTTCATCTTTGTAAAGTAGCACTTGTACAATTCTCAATATTTGTAAATATTTTTAGAATGAACTTTTCTTTTACTCTGAAAGGGAAGTTGATATTATTTCTCCTATTTGAAACTATAGAAACATACAGGAAAAAATAGTATTTGTGAGAGATATTTGACACTTGTATACTCAACTGTAACTAAAATGCTTTCAGGGATGAGTAAAAGTTTTTGGCAAAGTAAACTCATAAATGAGTGATGTCATATCTCATGGGTCTGCCTCATTACATAAGAAGATAATGTGGAATTGGAAGTTTTAAAAAATGTAACTGCTTAGTTTTTAACTATGTAGAGATTATAATTTAATGTAGCTTTCTTTACATTTATAGCTATATTTGTCAATAAATCTACCACTGGGAAGTCAGAGAGCAAGTTTAAATAGAAAAGTAAGAAAGGACAGCTCAGATTATTTTGGCTATATAAACAAAAACAGAGGAATTGGGGAATTTCATCACAGCAGAAATATTTCTAGCTATTTTTTGTATTTTTTTCTATTTTAATTTGTAGATATAGGGTCTTGCTCTGTTGCCCAGGCTGTAGAGCAGCAGCAGGGTCATGGCTTCCTGCAGCCTCAAACTCCTGTTTCTGCTAGCTGCAGTTTAAATCCATGACTCCAAAAACTATTATCTTTTCACTGCGCTCTGATATTGTCTCCAAAAATTACCAAAGTCTAGCATCTTTCCTCCTTTTAAGCCAGTCAGAGGTCTAATGCCTGACAGAGAGGAATAACCAGGTTGCAAGGAGTCATTCATTCAGGTCGGGTGGTTAATATCAGGGAGAGCTTTCTGAAATAAGCTTCAGTGAGAACAATTGGAATTGGAAACTTATGGCAGCCGCTGTTTTTGAAAATTAATATTTCTAGGCCGGGCGCGGTGGCTCATGCCTGTAATCCCAGCACTTTGGGAGGCCGAGGCGGGCGGATCACGAGGTCAGGAGATCGAGACCATCCTGGCGAACACGGTGAAACCCCATCTCTACTAAAAACACAAAAAAATTAGCTGGGCGTGGTTGCGGGCGCCTGTAGTCCCAGCTACTCAGGAGGCTGAGGCAGGAGAATGGCGCGAACCCGGAAGGCGGAGCTTGCAGTGAGCCGAGATCGCGCCACTGCACTCCAGCTTGGGCGACAGAGCGAGACTCCGTCTCAAAAAAAAAAAAAAAAAAAAAAGAAAGAAAAGAAAATTAATATTTCTTTAGAAAAATCATATTTCTTCGAAAAGACCCACAATACTGATAACTCAAATGGCACAAGATCTACTATAATCATTTTCCAAGTACCCCAGCCTGTGGCATAGTAGAGTCTCATGCTTAGGCTGGGTGCATGCTCACAGCCACCACCGTGCTCTCCAGCAGTAGTCCCTCCACCAGCATCCAGGAGAATGTGACCAAAAACAGGAGGACATGGTGCCTGTAGTCCTAACTACACAGGAGGCTGAGGTGAAAGGTCCGCTTGAGCCCAGAAAAAGAATTGAATTTGGTCATTTCTGGCTGTGACCAAGGCCATCCTCCTGGTATTGGCTCCCTCCTCCCTTTACATCTTCCAGTGTCTCCATGATTTGTAAACTCTGCAGCAAAGGCAAATATTACGACCACTACTAGTATCATCATCTTCCCCATTATCATCCTAATCATGAAGCCACTTTATTTGAACTTCTTTAAACCATACTGCCATTAAGCTATTTTTTCTTAAATTTAATGCATAATTCTCTTTAGCATTATACAAGTGAGCCAGCCAGGAAAATTCTTATAATCATGGCAATAAGAGGTTAAGAGGAGGAAGTAGCAAAGGAGCAAGACTCTGAGGCTAACCCCTGGAAGTGATGGCAGCTAAATAGCATTCTTTTTCTGTTTTTCCTCCTACATCAAATTGCCTCCACATGAATAGACATGCTGCAACATATTGACCTCATTTAATATTTACCAGGCAGTAGAAGAGATAGTAAAGCATATTCCCTAGATAAGACTAAATGCTTATAGTTTTATTCTTGTTTCAGTTTCTTAGGCCAAAAACCTTGGACTAATGCTTAATTATTCCCTGTTTTGGACACACTATTTATGTCCAAATGTTTTGGAATCTCTTTATCTTCAAAATATAACTAAGACCAACAACCTCTCTCCATCTACATCCCTGGTGCAAACCACTGTTAACTTTCATTTGAATTATTGCAATAGCTTCTTAACTGGTCTCTCTGCTTCCACTCTTGGTTGCAACACTCATTTCTTAACAAATTATCAGAGCGATCCTTTTGGCCGGGCATGGTGGCTCACACCTCTAATCCCAGCACTTTGGGAGGCCAAGGCAGGTGGGTCATGAGGTCAGGAGATCGAGACCATCCTGGCTAACAAGGTGAAACCCCATCTCTACTAAAAATACAAAAAATTAGCCGGGCGTGGTGGCACATGCCTGTAGTCCCAGCTACTTGGGAGGCTGAGGCAGGAGAATCACTTGAACCCGGGAGGCGGAGGTTGCAGTGAGCTGAG
Source organism: Homo sapiens (assembly GCF_000001405.40). Taxonomy (NCBI): domain Eukaryota; kingdom Metazoa; phylum Chordata; class Mammalia; order Primates; family Hominidae; genus Homo; species Homo sapiens. Next base: position 183,412,289 of record NC_000001.11, on the reverse strand, counting down.
ATTGCACCACTGCACTCCAGCCTGGGAGACAGAGCGAGACTCCGTCTCAATAAACAAACAAACAAAAAAACAGAGTGATCCTTTCAAAATGTAAGCCAAATCTAAGTCAGATCATGTTGCTCCTTTGCTCCAAATCCTCCAGAGCTCCGTATCTCTGTCAATCAAAGTCAAAGTCATCATCATGGCCTACAGGCCTCCATGATCAGCCACTCTGCCCCCCACCTCCACCCTAACGCATCTCTTCCACTTCATTCTTAGCTAACCCCATGGAACATCTTTGCTTTGGCCTTAGAGTCTTTGTGCTGAATGTTCCCTTTGCTGGGAATGCCCTTCCCCACCTAGCCCATGTCTCATTCGCTCCCCTCCTCCAATTCTTTACTCAAATGTAACCTTCTCCTCATTGTCCACTTGGCAGAACCTACTCCCCTGATCACATAATTTAAAATTGCACCTCACACACTCCCAGTCCCTGTTATTCTGCTCTACTTATATCTTTTCCCCTTCGTACTTATCACCTTTAAACAAAGCATGTTATTTCTTGTTTTCTTATGCTTATTATTCAATGCCTGTCTCCCCAGCTAGAGCTCCTCAAGAGCAGAGATCTTTGTTTACTCTGCTCATTAATGTATCTCAGGCTCCTAGGACAGTGCCTGGCATACAGTGAGTGCTCATTAAACATTTGTTGAGGCCAGGTGCGGTGGCTCAGGCCTGTAATCCCAGCAATTTGGGAGGCTGAAGCAAGCAGATCACTTGAGGTCAGGAGTTTCAGAGCAGTCTGCAATATGGGGAAACCCTGTCTCTACTAAAAATTCCAAAAAATTTGCCAGGCCTGGTGGTGCATGCCTGTAATCCTAGCTACTCAGGAGGCTGAGGTGGGACGGTCAGAGGTGGAGGTTGCAGTGAGCCAAGATCGCACCACTGCACTCCAGTCTGGGTGACAGAGTGAGACTCCATCTTAAAAAAAAATGTTTATTGAATGAGTAATGAGTGAGATATTAGATTCCTCATCTCAAGTCTATGGTAGACTTACTGCCAGGAATGATAGAGTCAGGAAGGCTCTATGGCTATTGATGATCTCTAGAGGAGATAACAAACTAAACAAAGCAATTGAGGTGAAAAGTGTTACAAAAGAGGTGAGAATGAGGTAAAGTGGGAACATGGAGGAAGTTACCACTCTGGACATGGTAGATGGGCCATTAGAGCAGGTGTTAGTGAGAGTTTGAGCTTGAAAGTTGAAGCTGCCAAGTGGACAGAATAGAGAAAGGCATTCTTGGCTGGGCGTGGTGGCTCACACCTGTAATCCCAGCACTTTGGGAGGCCAAGATGGGAGGATTGCTTGAGCCCAGGATTTGGAGACCAGCCTGGAATTTATAATGAGACCCCATCTCTACAAAAATTTAAAAAATTAGCTGGGTGTGTTGGCATGTGGCTGTAGTCCCAGCTACTTGGGAGGCTGAGATGGAGGGATCACTTGAGCCCAGAAGTTCAAGACCAGACTGGGCAACAAAGCAAGACTTCATCTCTTAAAAAAAAAAAAGGAAATTAAAAAAAAGAGAGAGAGAATGGCATTCTGGGAAGAGAGCAGGATATGTATGGAAGCCTCAACAGCATGGCGCATTAAGGAATTTCTAGGGAACTTGCTAGAGTGCAGGTGAGCACAGGGAAGGACAGATGAGAGAGCCAGAAAACAGGTTGGAAGGGGGGCAGTGCCAAGCAGTTCAGATCTGACCCAGCATTTTTTTTAGTGGGCCTCGAAAGGTGATGGGCAAAGGAGTACATGGCAGATGTTGGACCTGCATCCCAAATGTCAGTGTTCCCTTTGTTAGCAGTTCAGTAGGGAGCTGCCATTGTGATTTTATCTAAACATTTTAAAGTTATTATTTCTGTATCACTCTTTGAAGTGGATTTTTTCTTTTTCTTTCTTTTCATGATTTTATTTATTTATTTTTTATTTATTTTTATTTTTTGAGATGGAGTCTCACTCTGCCGCCCAGGCTAGAGTGCAGTGGCTCTGTCTCAGCTCACTGCAACCTCCACCTCCCGGGTTAAAGTGATTCTCATGCCTCAGCCTCCAGAGTAGCTGGGACTACAGGCACCCGCCATCATGCCCGGCTATTTTTTTTTTTTTTTTTGGTATTATTTTTGTAGAGACAGGATTTCACCATGTTGGCCCAGCTGGTCTTGAACTCCTGACCTCAGGTGATCCGCCTGCCTCAGCCTCCCAAAGTGCTGAGATTGCAGGGGTGTGCCACCATGCCCAGCCACGATTTTATTATTTTCTGAAATGGAACCATTGTACATTGTATAAAGTATATCTGTTGAGGAAATACATAAGTGAGAAATTCTATTGCTGTACAACCCACCAAAATAACAACAAACAAGCAAAAAATTCACCCCCCTGATAGGTTGTTCTTGCCTAGGATCTAGATTTTACTGTGCTTCACTGGAATGCCCTTGTTGCTCAAGTATTCTCAGATTTGGTGAACTCAGTTCACCCTAGTTTTATCTTCCATGATTTTGTTGGATTTGAATATGTGCCTGCTTTCTTCTCCACAGGCTTAATTGTCTGAAAAGTAAGCACTGTAGAGATCCTGTCTTTTGACACTTGTTTTTAGCACTAATCCTGGAGGTCTTGATCAAGACCTATTTCTATTCTTATAAAACTATGGTTCTGGCTGGGCACAGTGGCTCACACCTGTAATCTCAGCACTTTGGGAGGCCGAGGTGGGAGGATCACTTGAGGCCAAGGGTTCGAGACCAGCCTGGGCAGCATAGGGAGATCCCATCTCTACAGAAAATTTAAAAATTAGCCAGGTGTGGTGGTGTGCATCTGCAGTCCCAGCTACTCTGGAGGCTGAGGTGGGAGGATGGCTTGAGCCCATGAGGTTGAGGCTGCAGTGAGTCATGATCATGCCACTGTGCTCTAGCCTGGGTGAAAGAGAGAGACTCTGTCTCAAGAAAACAAAAACAAAAATATATCATTCTCCATGACTATTGAAATTATTTACCATTTAAAAAACTCAATAAAGTGACACTATGGTAAGGGGTTGGGTTTTCTGATGCTTTATTTAAAATTTAATTTAATTTTTTTTTAATTTTTAGAGACATGGTCTCACTTTGTTGCCCTGTCTGGCCTCAAATTCCTAGGCTAAAGTGATCCTCCTGTCTCAGCCTCCCAAAGTGCTAGGATTACAAGTGTGAGCCACCGTGCCCACCAATGCTTTATTCTTCAACATTTTTCCAACCCTTCATCTTAGTACCCACAGAGAGGTGAAACACTTCCTCCATGGAGCACTGAGATGAAACTACATCCATGACTATTCATATTCCTTTTCAAATATTTATGTGTGGATAAATATTTAGCAGTGCATAGCTCATCACATCAACTACAAGATCTTTAAAAGAAGACTTTTTTTAAAAAAAGAGACATGTCATTCGTTTTAAATTAAAATTAAGACAATAAATATTGTACATATAAATTCAAGCCATAATTGCTTCATTTTCCATGAACCAATCTTGCTAAGCACCATTTAAAAATTATTTACTTGTTATACCCCAGGGAATCAAAATTTATAGATATTATATCAGGTTCTCTTGCTGTTAACAGTGTTGACAAAGAATGGGTAAAGGCCCCAGTTTTTCCTATCACTCCATTTTTTCTGTTTATATGGAAACTAATAAACTGAATGGCTATTGATCTGGGAGTATACTTAGTCTGCTGGAGCCTTATCTTTCTCATTTGTAAAATAAGGTGATTGACATAACTCAGAGGTCGGCAAACTATGGCCTGCAGGCCATATGTGGACAGCTACCCGATTTTTTAAGGCCTGCAAGCTAAGGATGGCTTTTTACATTTTTAAATGGTTGAAAAAAAATGTAAAATAACAATAATATTTTGTGATACATATAAATTTTATAAAATAAAATTTTACTATTCATAAAGTTTTATTGGCACATAGCCACTCTCATTCATGTATGTATTATCTCTGGATGTTTTTGCACTGAAACAACAGAGGTGAGTGGTTGTGACAGAAACTTTATGGACTGCAAAACCAAAATTATTTACTATCTGAACATTTACAGAAAGCTTGCCAACCCCTGGAATAACCTACCTCTGGGTGTTGGAATGGAAGTATCTAAAGTGTTCTTAAAATAGGAAGTGCTGTTGAAGTCCATTACCCAGAGAAACTGTTTAACGAACAATTTTCAGTCTAAACTAAATCTCTAAAAAGACTCATTTAAGCAGCAAATGTAGTTTCAATTTCATAATTGTAATTTTTCTGGCTGACTGGGTAAATGGCCATGTTCATGGTGGGGATGATTTTCTGGTGTTTGGTTTACAGTGGACATTGATTCACAACTCTGGCTAATGTTGGACATTTATCTGCTGTTGAACATTAGGTATACTTTCTCAGAACACATTTATCCTTTTCTTGTTTCATAGCTACCTCCTTCTTTAAATGTAATATCTTATATACCTTATATTTGATGATTAGAAAATTAGCACACCAATTGCATCAGGCGTGCTCTTGCAGTCATATCTAGTTTTTCTGCAGCATCTCACTTCCCTCTGAACGTTGATAGCACTTGGTTTGTACCTCTCTTATAGTACTTAGCACATTGTGCTATGGGTTGTAGTTATTTCTGTCCATGCCTCATATTATCTATCAGATATAAGTTCTAGCCAAGGTCATATGGTTTTTTGTATCTCCTAAGGTGCCCAGCACAGTGTTCTAGGAACATGAAGATACTTAAAATATTTAGCAAATGAATGAATGATTAAACTGTTAGGAATATTCAGAATCTCAACATCTAGGCAAAATAGATGCTCAGAAAAAAAAAGACAAGCATTTAGGAACCAGAAAATACAGGAAAACAGAGATTCAAGCAAGACAGAACCAAAAAAAACAGGACAGACAGCAAACACGAGGTGCCAGTGACTTAGGGACTTCAAAATCAAGATAATTCTTGCCTCAATATAGAAAAGCTCATGCTTCTTCCCAGATATCCACAGTGGGAACCTGCAAGTCATGTTTGGGAGCTATGAAGTGTGTAACTTGGCAGGAGTGAAAAATATGGAGTCAAGTATCCACTGGACACTTCAGGCGGGTGCATGGGACATGTAGGAATTATTTTTCAGTGAGGCAAAAGTGGGTTTAAGAATGGCAGATCAGGCCAGGTGCAGTGGCTCACGCCTATGATCCCAGCACTTTGGGAGGCTGAGGCGGGCAGATCACGAGGTCAGGAGTTCGAGATCAACCTGACCAACATGGTGAAACCCCATCTCTACTAAAAATACAAAAATTAGCCAGGTGTGGTGGCATGTGCTTGTAATCCCAGCTACTCAGGAGGCTGAGGCAGGAAAATTGCTTGAACCCAGGAAGTGGAGGTTGCAGTGAGCTGAGATCTCGCCACTGCACTCCAGCCTGGGTAACAGAGTGAGACTCTGTCTCAAAAAAAAAAAAAAAAAAAAAAAAGGAATGGCAGAGCAGTTGAGTTTCTTTTTTATTTAGTTGCAGTTTGAAAAAGGTTTTAGGTACATGACACCTAGTGAAGTGAAGCTTTGTAAAGTACTTACTCTACTTTGAGCGAACAAAACCAAAAACCGTTGGTTTATTGATTGTTAAGTTTGCATCTTCAGAAATCACAGAATCTCCATTTGAAGCAGATTTCAAAATTGTGCAGATAGTCTTCCAGTTCTGAAATCCCTTTTAAAACATCTTTACAAGTTTCTGTCCAATCTCTGCTTGAGATCTTTCAGGTCCAGAGAATGCACTATTTTCCAAAGCAGCCAAATAGCATTTGGCACAATTGCACTTTTTTTAAGATTGTCCTTTCTATCGAGCTGACAGTGGGCTTCCTGAGACTCCCATGTGTTGGACCTAGTTCTTTTCCTCGAGATCCATGCAGCAAGTTTAATTTGTCTTCCACTGTGAGACATTCAAATAGGTGGAGACAGCTACTCTGTCCCAGCACCCTTCTCTTTCGGCTTCACAAGCTCTAGTTCTTTTTATCTGGATGTCATTACATTCCCAGTCTTCATAGCATCCTGCCTTATCCCCTTTAAACATACCTTCATTGTCTACATCCCTCTATTCAATTCAATTCATGATACTGCATTCTGATGTGGCCTGATTGTGCTGTCTTATCTATCATTGAACTTAGCATAGCAAGTAATCCCTTTATTTGTGGCACTGTCTCTCTCTTTTTCTAAATGAATCAAGTTAGGTAAGCTATAGCTACTTGCATGTTAAAATGTCCTGACATTCTGAAAAATTTGTCATTTGGTGGACTAACTGCTAAACTATTCCAATTTATTAAAAAATCTAACTGGTGTATTGTCAAGACGTGGTACCTTCCAGAACTTTGCAGGTCAGTGCACATACTTAGTTGTGTGAGATGTCAACCACACACTGGGAATAACATCCTGCCTTTGGAATAGCAAAGACACTTTGCACGTTCCCAGGCAGGGCTGAGACTAAGCGTTTCTGAATTCTGAAATTATCAAGTTTGTTTTCTGATATTTCACTGAAAGGGCTGTTATTTTTAAAACAAGTTCTCTTGAAGTGAGACTTCGTCTCTACAAAAGACAAACAAAAAAAACAATAAAAATAAAAAGAGCTCTGTTGAAAGCTCCAGTCAACTCTTGTCCATGTCTTAAAGTCTTAGTTTTGTCTAGCTCCTCCCTCATGGCCATGTGGTGGACGCTTCCCTATTCCCAGGGCTCCCATGTAAGTGGCTAAATGACCTTGTTCCCTGCAATGATGACTTTGTCCCAACAGAGGTGGATACTGTCATATTTACATTGGGTGAAGTGGAATCTTTTAAAAACCAAGTAATAAAAAAGCCATTTTTCTTATGAAAAATTCTAAACATATGCAAAAGTAAACAGAACAATACAACAATGAACTTGATGCACCTATCACCCAGCTTCAATAATTATCAATTCCTTGCTCATTTTGATGTGCTGATACCCCTACCCACTTCCCAATCCTTGCCCTATATTATTTTGAAGCAAATCCTAGAATCCTATTGTTTCGAAGGTGAGATCCTTTCTTTCATTTTTTTTAAAGACAGAGTCTTGCTCTGTCACCCAAGCTGGAGTTCAGTGGTGCCACCACAGCTCACTGCAGCCTTGACCTCCTGGGCTCACGTGATCCTTTCACCTCAGCCTTCCAACTAGCTGGGACTACAGGCACATTCAACCGCGCCTGGCTAATTTTTGCTTTTTTATAGAGATGGGATTTCACCATGTTGCCCAGGCTGGTCTCGAACTCCTGGACTCAAATGATCATCCCACCTCGTCCTCCCGAAGTGCTGGGATTACAGGCTTAAGCCACCTCGCCCGGCCTGAGATCCTTTTAGTTGGTGCATAATTGCTTCTTTGTCTATCTGACCTGCCTTTACAGACAGGATGTTTTTCTTCCCCATTTTGCATTTGTTTGCTTGACCATTTGGGTTGCAGACAGGGTTGGTATGGGAAGATGTCTAATTCCTTTCTTTGAGCAGATATAATAATGCTTCCACCCTAGACCAACAGCGGGGGTGGCAATTCAGCATTGGCATTGCCTTTAAAGCATTGCTTGTAAAGCACTGTCTTTCACATCTTTCTCACATCATGAGGGGCCTCCAAGGCTTCCCTCCAGAGTAGAGCTCCTATTGGACACAATGGGCCATTCTTCCTCTGAAATGGAGCATTCAGTTCTCTTTCCCTTCAAAGCCACGAATGTCTGTGTTAGAAGATGTTCCTATATCAGTGATTTTCCACTTGGAGTCCCTCAACAACCAGCATTTCTCATCAGTCAGAAAAAGGGTCTGGGAAATGCTTCCAGTATTTCTAAGCATATGCATTCCCCCTTAATATGGCACAGGCTAGCTAAGTGTAATATTACATTTCTGAGGCTGGGTGCAGTGGCTCACGCCTGTAATCCCAGCACTTTGGGAGGCCAACGCAGGTGGATCACCTGAGGTCAGGAGTTCAAGGCCAGCCTGGCCAACATGGTGAAACCCCGTCTCTACTAAAATACAAAAATTAGCCGAGTGTGCACCTGTGGTCTCAGCTACTCAGGAGGCTGAGGCAGGAAAATCGCTTGAACCTGGGAGGCAGAGGTTGCAGTGAGCTGAGATTGTGCCACCACACTCCAGCCTGAGCAACGATGTGAACTCCATCTCAAAAAAAAAAAAAAAAAATTACATTTCTGGGCTTTTGCCTGAATTATTATCAGTTTGGTGAGATAAACTCCTGCTGATCAGCAGTCCTAATGGGTAGCTGCAGATATCTTTGATGAACAAAAATAGGGACCCTTTTTCTTCCATTTCTTCACAAAAGGAGAAAAATAATTAAACAAATCCTGTTTGGTGACAAGGTTGTCCCCTGTAATAGCATTTGAATTCTTGGCTTCTGTCTGGCCTGACTTTAACCCATGTAAAGAATTGAAATAAAATCCTTCTTACTGATTCCCTAATCCTTCTCTTATGCTGCATTAAATCAACTTTTCAATGTGTATTGTCATGCAATTTTGTTATCATTTGCATTTAAATGTAGTGAATAAAGAACTCCCTGCTGAACCCCTTGTGGAATGTTTAAGTCCAACATCCCAGTTTGCCCAGTAAATCATATGGCTATGAATATTCATTAAAAAGGCCTGAACAACTTCTCCATGTGGAATTTGCCCTTCGCACTGCACTTGCTTTGTTAAGATTGGTTCTTTGTGGTTTCATATGTGGTCGTACTAAGCTCTCAAAGTGGATGGAAGGAATGGTGGGGAGGTGGGTAAGGACAGTCTCCCGAGTGGGGGCTCCCCATGGCTACTGAGATGTTTTAGTGCCATTTTTTTTGGGGGGGGGGGTTGTTCCTCTTCACTTGTCCCTTCCCCCAACTCAATAGAACCCACAGTAATTTACACACACACATTTCTTTTACATGCAAATTGACTTATTTCAGGCTATTGCGATTAAACATTTTTTGTTTGTTTAAAGAAATTGAGAAACGACATGTTTCTGCAGCCTTGAAAAGTTTGGGAGGGAGAAAAGAGGAATAAGATATGATGTTGTTTGGCCGGGTGCAGTGGCTCATGCCTGTAATCCTAGCACTTTGGGAGGCCAAGGCAGGTGGATCACCTGAGGTCAGGAGTACGAGACCAGCCTAGCCAACATGGTGAAACCCCGTCTCTACTAAAAATACAAAAATTAGCTGGACGTGATGGCAGGCATCTGTAATCCCAGCTATTCAGGAGGCTGAGGCAGGACAATTGCTTGAACCTGGGAGGCGGAGTTTGCAGTGAGCCGAGATCACGTCCTTGCACCCACCTCAGAAAAAAAAAAAAAAAGATATGATGTTGTTTATGCATGACATGATGTCTTATTGCACGACAGCAGCTTTGGGGGTAAAGTCCAATCTGTAGAGATTAAAGGAATGGGAAAGAGGAAAGAAAACCCAACTTGTCAATTAGGTGATGCTCAGCTTCTTTTCCCCTCCCTTTTTGAATTATCCCCAGAGGGAACCTGTCCAAAGACCTTCGTGGGAAATTACAGATACTTGTCCTGCCTTGAGGGAGTGGAGGGGGGAGCAGCAGTGGCCTGACATCCTGAAAATTTTTTTTGGCCTGTGTTGTGAGTAACTCTGAGCATCCCCTGCAATAAATAATCACTATAAACTAATATGTGAACTAATATTTATTGAGCATGTCAACAAAAAATAATCAAATGGGTCAGAATCTAGTTTAAAGAGAGTTTATTCAAGAGCAGCGTTTGAGGAGAACCACCTGGGAAGCACAGATTTCAAAAAATGGAAGTCAGTATTCTGAAGTGTAGAAGTTTGAAACCATTTATACAGACAAATTTTAGGGAAGCCTAACAAAATTTCAACATCTTTCTATGTAAGTCTTAATGCATAGTTACAACAATCCGATTAGTCAAGATGGTCTTATTATTTTAGGAAAGATAATATTTAACTTTCCACACTGAAGATGTAACAGTCATAGGGTCTTTGGCACCATCTGAGTCTGAGTTAGGTTCAGGACAAGAAAGGAGGCAGTTAATCTATAACAAAGATCAGTGATTTGAAGGAAAGGAGGTCTGGTCTCTGGTCTCTCCTAGTCATTTAAGAACAAGAACAATGAAGAAGAGAGTCAGCCTATAATCTAAGAAACAGAAGTTGCAAACATGCTATGTGACCCAGTCTCTAGGGCTTGACTACCCTCTTAGCATATTTTTTTTTTATTATACTTTAAGTTCTAGGGTACATGTGCACAACGTGCAGGTTTGTTACATATGTATACATGTGCCATGTTGGTGTGCTGCACCCATTAACTCGTCATTTACATTAGGTATATCTCCTAATGCTATCCCTCCCCCCTCCCCCAACCCCATGACAGGCCCCCATGTCATGTGTGATGTTCCCCATCCTGTGTCCAAGTGTTCTCATTGTTCAGTTCCCACCTACAAGTGAGAACAGGTGGTGTTTGGTTTCCTGTCCTTGCAATAGTTTGCTCAGAATGATAGTTTCCAGCTTCTTCCATGTCCCTACAAAGGACATGAACTCATCCTTTTTTATGGCTGCATAGTATTCCATGGTGTACATGTGCCACATTTTCTTAATCCAGTCTATCATTGATGGACGTTTGGGTTGGTTCCAAGTCTTTGCTATTGTGAATAGTGCCACAATAAACATACTTGTGCATGTGTCTTTATAGCAGCATAATTTATATTCCTTTGGGTATACACCCAGTAATGGGATGGCTGGGTCAAATGGTATTTCTAGTTCTAGATCCTTCAGGAATCGCCACACTGTCTTCCACAATGGTTGAACTAGTTTACAGTCCCACCAACAGTGTAAAAGTTTTCCTATTTCTCCACATCCTCTCCAGCACCTGTTGTTTCCTGACTTTTTAATGATCACCATTCTAACTGGTGTGAGATGGTATCTCATTGTGGTTTTGATTTGCATTTCTCTGATGGCCAGTGATGATGAGCATTTTTTCATGTGTCTGTTGGCTGCATAAATGTCTTCTTTTGAGAAGTGTCTGTTCATATCCTTTGCCCACTTTTTGACGGGGTTGTTTGATTTTTTCTTGTAAATTTGTTTAAGTTCTTTGTAGATTCTGGATATTAGCCCTTTGTCAGATGGGTGGATTGTAAAAATTTTCTCTCATTCTGTAGGTTGCCTGTTAACTCTGATGGCAGTTTCTTTTGCTGTGCAGAAGCTCTTGAGTTTAATTAGATCCCATTTGTCAATTTTGGCTTTTGTTGCCATTGCTTTTCATGTTTTAGTCATTAAGTCCTTGCCCATGCCTATGTCCTGAATGGTATTGCCTAGGTTTTCTTCTAGGGTTTTTGTGGTTTTAGGTCTAACGTTTAAGTCTTTAGTCCATCTTGAATTAATTTTTGTATAAGGTGTAAGGAAGGGATCCAGTTTCAGCTTTCTACATATGGCTAGCCAGTTTTCCCAGCACCATTTATTAAATAGGGAATCCTTTCCCCATTTCTTGTTTTTGTCAGGTTTGTCAAAGATCAGATGATTGTAGATATGTGGTATTATTTCTGAGGGCTCTGTTCTGTTCCATTGGTCTATATCTCTGTTTTGGTAGCAGTACCATGTTGTTTCGGTTACTGTAGCCTTGTAGTACAGTGTGAAGTCAGGTAGCATGATGCCTCCAGCTCTGTTCTTTTGGCTTAGGATTGTCTTGGCAATGCGGGCTCTTTTTTGCTTCCATATGAGCTTTAAAGTAGTTTTTTCCAATTCTGTGAAGAAAGTCATTGGTAGCTTGATGGGGATGGCATTGAATCTATAAATTACCTTGGGCAGTATGGCCATTTTCACGATATTGATTCTTCCTATCCATAAGCATGGAATGTTCTTCCATTTGTTTGTGTCCTCTTTTATTTCGTTGAGCAGTGGTTTGTAGTTCTCCATGAAGAGGTCCTTCACGTCCCTTGTAAGTTGGATTCCTAGGTATTTTATTCTCTTTGAAGCAATTGTGAATGGGAGTTCACTCATGATTTGGCTCTTTGTTTGTCTATTATTGGTGTATATGAATGCTTGTGATTTTTGCACATGGATTTTGTATCCTGAGACTTTGCTGAAGTTGCTTATCAGCTTAAGGAGATTTTGGGCTGAGACGATGGGGTTTTCTAAATATACAATCATGTCATCTGCAAACAGGGACAATTTGACTTCCTCTTTTCCTAATTGAATACCTTTTATTTCTTTCTCCTCCCTGATTGCCCTGGCCAGAACTTCCAACACTATGTTGAATAGGAGTGGTGAGAGTGGGCATCCCTTTCTTGTGCCAGTTTTCAAAGGGAATGCTTCCAGTTTTTGTCCATTCAGTATGATATTGGCTGTAGGTTTGTCATAAATAGCTCTTATTATTTTGAGATATGCCCCGTCAATACCTAGTTTATTGAGAGTTTTTAGCATGAAGGGCTGTTGAATTTTGTCAAAGGCCTTTTCTGTATCTATTGAGATAATCATGTTGTTTTTGTCTTTGGTTCTGTTTATATGATGAATTACATTTATTGATTTGCGTATGTTGAGCCAGCCTTGCATCCCAGGGATGAAGCCAACTTGATCATGGTGGATAAGCTTTTTGATGTGCTGCTGGATTTGGTTTGTCAGTATTTTATTGAGGATTTTTGCATCGATGTTCATCAGGGATATTGGTCTAAAATTCTCTTTTTTTTATTGTGTCTCTGCCAGGCTTTGGTATCAGGATGATGCTGGTCTCATAAAATGAGTTAGGGAGGATTCCCTCTTTTTCTATTGATTGGAAAAGTTTCAGAAGGAATGGTACCAGCTCCTCTTTGTATCTCTGGTAGAATTCAGATGTGAATCCTTCTGATCCTGGACTTTTTTGGTTGGTAGGCTATTAATTATTGCCTCAGTTACAGAGCCTGTTATTGGTCTATTCAAGGATTCAACTTCTTCCTGGTTTAGTCTTGGGAGGGTGTATATGTCTAGGAATTTATCCATTTCTTCTAGATTTTCTAGTTTATTTGTGTAGAGGTGTTTATAATATTCTCCGACGGTAGTCTGTATTTCCGTGGGATTGGTGGTGATATCCCCTTTATCATTTTTTATTGCGTCTGTTTGATTCTTCTCTCTTTTCTTCTTTATTAGTCTTGCTAGTGGTCTATCAATTTTGTTGATCTTTTCAAAAAACCAGCTCCTGGATTCATTGATTTTTTGAAGGTTTTTTTGTGTCTCTATCTCCTTCAGTTCTGCTCTGATCTTAGTTATTTCTTGCCTTCTGCTAGCTTTTGAGTGTGTTTGCTCTTGCTTCTCTAGTTGTTTTAATTGTGATGTTAGGTTGTCAATTTTAGATCTTTCCTGCTTTCTGTTGTGGGCATTTAGTGCTATAAATTTCCCTCTACACACTGCTTTGAATGTGTCCCAGAGATTCTGGTATGTTGTGTCTTTGTTCTCACTGGTTTCAAAGAACATCTTTATTTCTGCCTTCATTTTATTATGTACCCAGTAGTCATTCAGGAACAGGTTGTTCAGTTTCCATGTAGTTGAGCAGTTTTGAGTGAGTTTCTTAATCCTGAGTTCTAGTTTGATTGCACTGTGGTCTGAGAGACAGTTTGTTCTAATTTCTGTTCTTTTACTTTTGCTGAGGAGTGCTTTACTTCCAACTATGTGGTCAATTTTGGAATACGTGTGATGTGGTGCTAAGAAGAATGTATATTCTGTTGATTTGGGGTGGAGAGTTCTGTAGATGTCTATTAGGTCCCCTTGGTGCAGAGCTGAGTTCAATTCCTGGATATTCTTGTGAACTTCCTGTCTCGTTGATCTGTCTAATGTTGACAGTGGGGTGTTAAAGTCTCCCATTATTATTGTGTGGGAGTCTAAGTCTTTTTATAGGTCTCTAAGGACTTGCTTTATGAATCTGGGTGCTCCTGTATTGGGTGCATATATATTTAGGATAGTTAGCTTTTCTTGTTGAATTGATCCCTTTACCATTATGTACTGGCCTTCTTTGTCTCTTTTGATCTTTGTTGGTTTAAAGTTTGTTTTATCAGAGACTAGGATTGCAACCCCTGCTTTTTTTTGTTTTCCATTTGCTTGGTAGATCTTCCTCCGTCCCTGTATTTTGAGCCTATGTGTGTCTCTGCACTTGAGATGGGTCTCCTGAATATGGCACACTGATAGGTCTTGACTCTTTATCCAATTTGCCAGTCTGTGTCTTTTAATTGGAGCATTTAGCTCATTTACATTTAAGGTTAATGTTGTTATGTGTGAATTTGATCCTGTCATTATGATGTTAGCTGGTTATTTTGCTTGTTAGTTGATGCAGTTTCTTCCTAGCATCTATGGTCTTTACCATTTGGCATATTTTTGCAGTGGCTGGTATCAGTTGTTCCTTTCCATGTTTAGTGCTTCCTTCAGGAGCTCTTTTAGGGCAGGCCTGGTGGTGACAAAATCTCTCAGCATTTGCTTGTCTGTAAAGGATTTTATTTCTCTTTCACTTATGAAGCTTAGTTTGGCTGGACATGAAATTCTGCGTTGAAAATTCTTTTCTTTAAAAATGTTGAATATTGGCCCCCACTCTCTTCTGGCTTGTAGAGTTTCTGCCGAGAGATCCACTGTTAGTCTGATAGGCTTCCCTTTGTGGGTAACCCAACCTTTCTCTCTGGCTGCTCTTAACATTTTTTCCTTCATTTCAACTTTGTTGAATTTGACAATTATGTGTCTTGGGGTTGTTTTCTCGAGGAGTCTTTGTGGCGTTCTTTGTATTTCCTGAATTTGAATGTTGGCCTACCTTGCTGGGTTGGGGAAGTTCTCCTGGATAATATCCTGCAGAGTGTTTTCCAACTTGGTTCCATTCTCCCCATCACTTTTAGGCACACCAGTCAGACATAGATTTGGTCTTTTCACATAGTCCTATATTGCTTGGAGGCTTTGTTCATTTCTTTTTACTCTTTTTTCTCTAAAGTTCTTTTCTCGCTTCATTTCGTTCATTTAATCTTCAATCACTGATACCCGTTAGGTAACTTGTGTCAAGCTGATACCAGTGGGATAGGAGAGGTCCCCAAACACCAGCAGAACCTCGACCCTGGCTGGTGTCCAGGATCTTGACACTGTCATGAGAAGGAATTCAAGGACGGGTTGGAAAACAGTGAAAGTATGGAGATTTATTGCAAAGTAAAAAGTACACACTCAAGAAAGGGGAGTGCAGACATATTTTCCATTCTCCTGCCACCACCCTTGTCTCAAAGCCCCACAGCAAGTGTTCGGTGGGCAGAAATGTAGACCTATGTGCTTTGACTCTGGAGGTCACAGTTTTGACTACTTCAGGATGCTGCCTTACTCATTTGTTGAGTGTGAAGGTGTTAGCAGTGGAATGCATCCGAGTCACATGGCACCAAACTATGTTAGTGGCAGCAAATCCATATGGGTCTGCAGCAACCTCAATTCTTGCCTCCTCAGAAGAAAGAACTCGACTGAGGGGCATAAGGCAGAGTAACAGACTGAGACAAGTTTTAGAGCAGGAGAAAGTTTGTTTAAAATCTTTAGAGCAGGAGTGAAAGGAAGTAAAGTACACTTGGAAG
Organism: Homo sapiens; assembly: GCF_000001405.40. Classification (NCBI taxonomy): domain Eukaryota; kingdom Metazoa; phylum Chordata; class Mammalia; order Primates; family Hominidae; genus Homo; species Homo sapiens. The sequence continues at coordinate 183,396,737 of NC_000001.11, read as the reverse complement.
AGGGCCAAGGGGGTGACTTGAGAGATCAAATGTGCAGTTTGACCTTTTGACTTGGGGTTTTATATGTTGGCATGCTCCCAGGGTCTTGCATTCCTTCTCCTTGATTTTGGGGCAGGCTGTCCGTATGTGCAGTGGCCTGACTAGCATTTGGGAGGGGAGCATGTGCAGTGTGCTTACTGGAGTTATATACACGCTAACTTGAGGCGTTCTTCCCTTACCAGTCAAATGTCCCAAGGAGGTCATATACCAGTTAAACTCCACCATTTTGCCTCTTAGTGCACATGCTTGAGCCCACTCGCCCAACTCCTGAGGTCTTATTGGGAAGCTGCTGATCACCACCTTCAGGTGTTTTCTGTCTACTGGGAGACTGCCTTTCCCTGGTGCTGGCTGCAACCAATTATTATTTTAGAGAGACAGTTAACAACCGCCTGACCATCACCTGATTGTTGCCTGACATTCCTGGTAGGGCAGGGGAGACCTCTCCTGCCCTGCTCATGCCTAACTACCTACTATAATAAAGGAACCCTCAGCATTGTGTTAGGGGCTGTGACAATTCAGAGACAGAAGATAGCCTCCTCTGGCACTTATGTCTACCAAGTAAACTAGTGCCAGGGTTTGTTTGCAGAAAGGCTGGCACTGCTCTGGGAATCTTGCTCAAGGCATCCAAGTGTGGTAGGGCCAGAGGACTCTGCAGGCCACCAAAGAGACCCATGGACAAAGCCAGAGGACAGTGAGAGGAGCAAAAGGAAGGGGTCAACAGCAAACTAGGAGTCACTGCTGGGAAATAGGAGAAGTCTGGGACCAAATCTAGAAGGGTCCTGGGTGATGAGGATGAACATTGCGAAGAAGCCACACTCACCTTTATGCTAAAGGTACAGGATCAGAATAGACAGATACAAATATGAAATTCCCCCCTTCTTTTACATTGCAGTTGGCAGAAATGCCTACAGATTATTATTCAATAACCTCCCCTCTCCCAATACACTGTAAAAAGTGTAACACCTCCTTTATTGGACTGTTGTAAGAATTAAATGAAATAATGTGACCATATGGTAAGGCACCTCCTTGGACCTCTTGATTCTCACCTTGGGTCCCAGTGCTTCATTTCACCCCCTGCAAAATCATGGCTCCAGTCCCTACTTACTGACAAGTGATGTAAATTTCAGTAAACATTTTACAAAGAGATGGCAGATGTTATAGTGTACATCACCCACCATTTCCAAATATCCCACTCAACTCTAGGGAGAGGAAATTTTGTTCTTCTCTTATTGGAAGCAGGTTTATCTCTCTTCCTCCTGAAACTCCTCTTGGCCATGTCCTTCCTACAAAATGCCCTGGCTTCCCCTGCCCCCGACTTATCTTCCTTGACCCACCTCTATCACATTTTCTACCACTCTAAATCCCTTGATGTGGCTGCACATCAAGTGATTTAGAGTGGTAGAAAAGGTGATAGAGGCTGGCCTGCCCTGCTCAACAAGCAAAATCCACCACTGCTAGTTAAACTCTGGTCAGATGTAGTTCTGCAAGCATGCCCCTGCATATATATGTAAGGTTATAGCCTATCCTTTCACATATGGAGTTTTTAGCACATTGTCTAGTCCAGAGTAAGTGATGGATAAATGGGAGCAATATTATCAGTTGTTGCCAGTGTCTGTCTCATGATATCTTTCCTGGGCCAGTATGCAGTCACCCCTGAATACCTGGTTGCCCATGGTAGTGAAGGGCTGGGAGAATGGCTGAACGGCAAAGAAGGGTGGGTAACTGCCATCCGGGGATATTGTGGGCTGGCTGGATCTCTGAGAGGCCTGCAGACATGTGGACATTGTCAATGAGCATCCAGAAATCACTAGAGGAGCTGCCTCCTGCCAAGGACAGTTTGCTCCTCTCTTTTTTGTAACCACTGGTGGCTTCACTGTCAGTGAGAATGGAGTGACTTGCGAAGACATCTGCCTGTTCCTGCTGGGCAGAGGACCTCATTGAGATGTGAGCCCCTGGTGGGTTCTGCAGTGGAAGGCTAGAGGAGGCTATGCCCCTAATCTCGCTGTAGAAGAGGCAACTTTAGCCACTGCTGGAAGGATCTGGGGCTGACAGTCAGGTGGCTCTCATCCTGTATGAGTGCTGGCAAAAGAACCATGGTTTTCAGCCAGATTTTTGCTCCTGTCCTACCCCATTGTCTTTTCTCACCCTCACAAAGCCTTTCACTGAAAATAATGGAGACTTAGAGTAGAGAGAGGCTCTACAGAATAGAAAATAATCAAATTTGCAGTTGGAAAAGAAGTCATTAATTTGCTTATTGGATACTTTCGATGACAAGGTGCTCATTTCCAGACTGTTTCACTGTTGGGCAGCTTCATTTATTAGAAAGCTCTTCTGTCATGAATAAAATCTGTGCTCTTACAACTTAGTGTTTGTCTTAGCACTATCTTCTGAAACTCTTGACTAGGCTCTGCTTTGTTTTGCTTTATTATCACCCCCATTTCCTGACACCTAGACAGAATCTTGAACATCTTTGATACCCAAATGCATAATAATACAATTTGTAGCATCACCAGCCAGCAAGTAGAGGCACTGTCCATTCTGTTACCAGTTGAAAATTTGTGGGTAACATGTTAATAAGTTATTAGTGGGCATCTCAAACATAGCTCACTTGCTATGCTTCTCATCAACCTCTATCTCTTTTCCCTTCATAGCACTATCATCCTCTGACTTATTTTAGGTGATTCATTTATTTGTTTATTGTCCATCTCTTCTCTGAGAATATAAAGTCCATGAGAGCATAAGCTGTCCCAGTTTGTGTTGTCCTGAACTGTATCCCATTTAGAGAACAATGTTGAATCTGGGAAGCACTCAGTTAATGTTTTTTTGAATAAATCAAGAGCCAAGGCCCTGAGCAGTGGCTCACGCATGTAATCCCAGCACTTTGGAAGGCCGAGGCGGGAGGATTACCTGAGGTCAGGAGTTCGAGACCAGCCTGGCCAACATGGTGAAACTCCGTCTTTACCAAAAATACAAAAATTAGCCGGGCGTGGTGGTGTGTGCCTATAATCCCAGCTACTCGGGAGGCTGAGGCAGGCGAATCGCTTGAACCCGGGAGGCAGAGGTTGCGGTAAGCCAGGATCATGCCACTGCGCTCCAGCCAGGGTGACAGAGTAAGATTCCGTCTCTAAATAAATAAATAGCCAAATTAGGATAGTGAAGTTTCCAGATTCTGTCAGTATTCACTCAAGCACTCCAGAGAACAGCAAGCTGTTTTTTTTTTTTAAAGCCAACTGTGTAGCAGCCATGGTCCTTGAGTGAGGGGACTTAGGATTTACTCCAAGGTTCATCCCAAGTTTGCACTCATCATCTGGGTGACCTTGAAGCTGGGCGTTTAACCATTCTGAGGCTTAGCATCCTCATCTGTAAAATGGGATTGGCACCATCTGCCCTATTTAACTCACAGGGTTGTCCTGAGGTTGAAATATGACTGTATAAGAGAAAGAATTTTGTAAGCTGGAAAACTATGATATATAAACATGAGTTATGATGATGATGACAACTGAAGTTATATAATCTTGATAAAGTGAAAGTGTATTTAGTCTGAGAAGGAATTTATCTTCCACTCGAGGTGAATTAATTCCTGGAGCAGCTAGGGATCATGTGATCTCCAGAGATGCTCTCTGTGAGTTTGCTCACCGACACCACCACCATTTGAGTGCCTACTATGTTAAGACAGTCACAGAGAACAAAACAGAATCCTTGCCCTTATGTGTTTACAGTCTAGAGGAGGCAGAAAGACAATCAACTAAATAAATAAGGAAATGATGTAGTATGTTAGGGTTACAAGTATCAGGAATTAAAAAAGAAATAAAATGGATAGAGGACTAGTGAGTATGGGGTTGGGGGATTGCAATTGCAAAAGGTGATTGGGGGAATCACATTGAGGTGACTCCTGAGCAAGGACTTGAAGGAGATGAAGGATTTAGCCATATGAAGAATGCTTCTGGGAAAGCATTCCCAGCAAAGGGAATAGCAGTTGCAAAGTCCTGAAGCTGAGCGCTTCCCTCACATGTCCAAGAAGCCAACAAGGCTAGTATGTTTGGAGCGGAGGAAGAGAGAGGGGGTGGTAGATGGGATTAGAGACATAGTGGATGCCCAGGTTGTGTAGGGCCTTATGTAACATTGTGAGGACTTGGGCTTTTACTCCAATGGAGAAAGGGAGCCATTTGAAGGTCTTGAAGAAAAGTGTTACATGATTTGGCTTTCATTATATTTGTTCTAGCTGCACTGATGAGAACCATAGGGGTTGAGAATAGCAACAGGGGAACTAGTTAGGAAGTTACTGCGTGTAATCTATAGGAGAGGTGATGGTGGTTTGAACCAGGGAGGTAGAGGGTAAAAGTGATAGGGTATCAGATATATTTTGTAGGTGGATTTGCTGTTGAATTGGCTTTGGTGAGAGAGAAAAAGGAATTAAGAATGAGCCAAGGCTTTTGGCCTGAACCCTTGGAAGAATGGAGTTTCCATTTATTGGTGTGGGGTATCTGTGGGAAGAGCAGGTTTGGGAGGAAATGTCAGGAGCTCGGTCTTGGACATGTTGCTTCTGAAAGGATGATTAGACATTCAAGTGGAGATGTTGAGTAAGCATAGTTCAGCCTGAGCCAAAAATAAAAATATATAAATAGTAAATAAAGTCAGGAGGCATCAGCATAGAGTTGGTATTTAAAGCCATGGGACTGGCTGAGAATACCAAGGGAGTGAATGCATTGGAGAAGAGGTCAAGGACTGAATCCTGGGGCACTGCCATGTTTGGGGATTGGGGAGATGGGGAAGAGGCAGCAATGCTAACAGTGAAAGAGCAGCCAGGGAGACAGAGGAAAATCAGGAGACAGTGATGCCCTGGAAGTCAAATGCCATCAGTGTTTAGGGGGCACGATCAATCATGTCAGACATTTCTGAGAGGACAAGTAAGGTGAGCACAGAGAAGTGATTGTTGGAGTGAACTGAAGTGGAAGCCCACTTTGAAGGCTTTGACACGAGCAGATTTGCTGGAATGAAGGGGGCAGAAGCTGGACTGGAGTGAGTGTCAGAAAGTAAAAGGAGTGTAATGGAGAGCACCTATTTAAACATTCTTTTGAGGAGTATTTTTCTAAAGAGGAGCAGAGACAGGGTATGGCTGGAAGATACAGGTCAAGAAAAGGTCTTTGTTTTTTGCTTATTTTTTTTTAAGATGAGAGAAATAACAGCATGCTTTTATGCAGATGGGAATCATCCAAAAGATATGGAAGAACGGATGGGGCAAGGCTGAGAAGGGAGAAATCTCGAAAGAATGTCCAAGCACATTAGAGTAGGTTATAGGTATTGGGTCAAGCCAAAATGGAGGAGTTGGCCTTGCCTAGAAGCACCAACAATTCATCTATATGTAGAAGAGTAGAGAATACAGAGTTACAGACAGGTAGGTGGATAGAAGTGGTGGGAACATGGAGAAATTCCCTTCTGAGAGCTTCTGTTTCCTGAGTGAAATAGAGAGAAAGGTCATCCTTGCAGAGTGAGGATGAGGATGGGAGGAAGCAATGGGATTTGAAGAGAGAAGAAGCAGGCAAAAGAAGCAGAGACAGAGCCTAAGTGATGTGGTGTGGAGGCATTTCTCCAAGGCCTTTGGCATTAGTTCCAGTGAGGGAACTCTTCTATGCTCATTGATGCTGCAAAATACCAGGTGGCCCTATCCCTCCTTCAAAACTTCTTGGTCAGGTTTGTGTTAATTTTTAGGCATAAGTTTTGCCTGAAACTTGTGTTAATTTTTAGGCATAAGTTTTGCCTGAAACTCACGTGCATCACCCCAAATGATTTCAGGCTGTGGAGGCTATCAGAACTGTCATGATATTTTCAGAAATTGACTTCATAGAAAGAAAATAATAGGTTTTGCTCTGACCCAAGCTGACCTTCAAAATGTTCCAAATGCATGCAGCATCACATGGTTGAATTTCACCATCACATCATTAGTTAGGGAGTCCGTTCTGGCCTGAAAGAGGAATTACTTGTTTCTTTCATTTTAGACAAATGTGCTATCCTTTACATTTCTCCCCAGCAAAAACTACTTTGGTTTATCTCACCAGGCATCCGAAGCATGAGTTATTTTGTGTTTTTTCAATTTTAAGTGCTCTCTTAAATCACTACCTTGTAAACAGCAGCCAAGAGTCTTCAATTTGGGTTTTAAGTATAATTTGTATAACTACCATCAGAATCAAGCAGCCAACAAGTATATGTGAGACAATTATGATGTACTCTCCTAGAAATCATAATGTGTGGTGATAGCATACCCGGCGTTAAACAAAGTGCTGATGAAGACAAGATGGGATGCTTTCTCAGGCTCAGCTCCGTTATAATAAGGAAACTGAGGACTGAGGGCATGGAGACAAGATTAGGGTGTGAAGGTAACTTTGACTGTTGACATTTCCTCACTGTAAGCACTAAGTGAGCACTTAATTCATTAAGATCTGTGTATCTCATTTTCCAAGGCTGACTGGTACCATGGGCATTTTTGAGTAGCCGTTTTAACATTGATGTTCATGCGGCTCACCCTATTCAGTAATTTCTGATTTGTAAACACACAGAGAAAACAGCAATGTTCCCCACCTTCCCGTACCACTGCTGCCCACAGTAGTGTAGTTAATGCCCTGTGTAGTTAATGCCTTCCAAACCCCTGGCACCACAGAAACAATGTTCTATATCGTGATGAGCTTCTATTGCACTATCCTGTAAAAGCTTTGGTGCATGGGTCCTTTTAGATAGTTAAGAGTTTACTTTAAGGACAAAGAGAGAACTAACGTATTTTCTTTCTTTCCTTCCTTCCTTCCTTCCCTCCCTCCCTCCCTCCCTCCCTCCCTTCTTTCTTTCTTTCTTTCTCTTTTTTCCTTTCTTTCTTTCTTTCTTTCTTTCTTTCTTTCTTTCTTTCTTTCTTTCTTTCTTTCTTTCTTTCTTTCTTTCTTTCTTTCTTTCTTTCTTTCTTTCTTTCTTTCTTTTTTGACAGGGTCTTGCTCTGTTGCCCAGGCTGGAGTGCAATGGCATGATCTCAGCTCACTGCAGTCTCAACCTCCAGGGCTCAAGCAATCCTCCCACCTCAGCCTCCCAAGTAGCTGGGACTACAGGCATGTGCCCCCCTGCCCTGCTAATCTAACCTCTTTAATACCTACTTTGCACAAGGTGCTTTTGCCTGTTTTGTCCCATTTAATTCTCAAAACAGCCCTGTCAAGTTGGTTTTATCCCCACATTTATAAGATGAGAAGACCTAGGTGGCGAGAGGTTATGTAATTTGACTGAGATAAGGCAACTACAAAATAGTAAAGCTTGGATTCAAATTCAATTCTTGGTATGTGACAAAACAAATAAAAATATTTTTGAAAGAGAATATTATTTTTAATTTCCATGCTTCCTCCTGGAGGATGGATCCCAAAGGAATGTGTTCTTTGCTCAACAGAGATGACAAGTGTGAGAAGGTAAACTAGAGACTCTATATTACTCAGCAGAATAATAAGGGGGATATAGAGATTCAGGAAGAATGTTAGCTGGGGACCTGCAGTGCTGGAGGGGTGATACTGTGAGAGGGTGAAGGGATGGCCAGCTGGCAGGCGAGGAGCTGGCTGGGGACAGAGATACCTGATGAAGATTTAGGGAAGAGCAAAGTGCTGTGCTCTGCGTAAGGCTGACGCTCTCCTCCATTCCCTAACTCCCTCCTGAAATCACCAGTGAAACCCTTTCTTTTCCTTGTGCTCCATGACGTGTGTTTGCTTTGAGGGTAATGGAATCACGTTGGTATACTTACTCAAGGTTGGCTGGCAAGAACAAAGGCTGCCCACAAGGGTCTGGTGAGGATCTTCAAAGCCCATTCTTTTTCAAGAACTCATGAATATTTACTGAGTTATTTTTGTGTGCCAGGCATTGTTCTAGGGCACCAGAAATACATCGATAAACAAGAATGAAGTCTCTGCCTTTATGTAGTTTATAGCTGGGGGAGACTGACAATAAGAAAACAAAGAAATGCTATGAAGAAAAATATAATGGAGAATTATTTTAAAAGTGTTGGAGTAGAATGTCCTTAAATAACTTTGACAGGAGTCTTCTTTATTAAAGACAGATAATTGAACTGAGGACTAGTGGTTGCAAACATTTAACAGTTTTTTATTGATTAATTACAAGGTGCAACATCGAATTCTAGATATTGTAGCAGGTGAACTGAACATAGGTCTTCAAGGACCATATGGTTAATAAGGGAGATGTGACAAGTTTATTAGTAATTTTAGAAGTGATGAGTTACCTACAATGCCATGAACCTTCCAATGCATTTGGCAGAGGTGTTTTTCTTTAGGACCCTGAAATTGGCCCAGAGTGAGAAGAAAGCCCTAGAAGGGCCCCACTCTGCCCCCAGTTTGCTACATCCCTGCCTGCTTAAGGTTTCACCTTTTTTTCCCCAAATAAATGTGTGCGCCTCCATATTCTTCAGTTTACCAGGCTGTCTTCCTGCTCATGGCTCATCTTTTCTCTAGTAGTCCTCGCTAAGGTAGGAGAGCCTAATGGTTAGGTCCATGGTTTCTCAGCTCAGTCACTTGTAGCTGGACCACTTTGGGTAAGTTACTGATCCTGGGCTGTAGTTTCTTTATCTATTAAACTGCAGATATCATTGTACCTGCTTTGTGAGTTTCCTGTGAAGATCAAATGAATTAATTTATATAATTAGAAGAGTGCCTGGCACATAGCAAATTTCAAGTTAGAGTTAGCTATTATTAACATTATTCTGGTGTTCTCTAAGGGTTTGTTATTACTATTTGGACTGACCTCACTCACTAGTACCTTAAGACCACCCGACTGAGAATCTACCTCCTGACTCCCAATCAAACAGGAAGGCCACCAGTGTTGAGCCTTCGGCACTTCAGATTTGGGATTACAAAAAAGAGATTTACCTCTACGTGAGACATATGAAAACACCAATGAAGTGGTATTTGAGATGGACCCTGGAGATGGGGAGGATGCAAACATTTGGTGGGGAAGAGGAGGGGAAAGCCATTTCATCAGAGAGAATACCATGAGCAAAAAGACAGAAGCTGGGCATTTGGGGCCAGCACTGAAATGTTGTTTGGTTTGATTTGCCTCAACATTGAACGCACCAGGTTAAGACCAAGAGATAGATGTGGAAACATAGTAGATTAGTTGACAAATTGTGGAGGCATGTGAATGTTAAGATTATTGGTGTTAGACCTTGTAGGCAAATTGAAAACTATTGTGGATTTTTAAGGATCCAGATTTGTTCTCTGCTATAAAGTAGATGTGTGGCTGTAAGAGCTGTTTACCTCAATGGTAAATGGCCCAAAACTACCGTAATTTTCTGAATTCTTCAATTATTTTTTTCTTACTAGTCTTATCTATCCATTAGGTGCTCTACAGGGATTGGGCAATGAATTAATTATATATTCCAAATCAAGGGTCATTAATATTTTCTCGATAAGAACAGGCAAAAAAAAAAAACACAGGGATCTTCCATCACAGAAATATAAACTAAGAGCTGTAGATGAAATTTCAAAATAACATTTAATTCATGAATATAACTACTTATACAGATTTAGAATTATACTCTATATATTATTAATTTATAAATATAAACTAATACATTATTTATGTATGATATTATTATTGCTTTTCTTCATGCACATTTTATCAAACAATTTCTTCAAACTAATCACAGGCATTTTCAACATCAATTTCTCTGTTGTCATTAAACTGAATTTTTGAATCATCAAAACATTTTTTAATAGTTTTCCAGAGCAAAACATCTTCGCATTTAACTAAGTTGTTTGATATAAAGTACTTCTTGCATCTCTGTATAATAAAATTTTATCATTACTCTAAGTGTCCTAACTATGTGTCCATTTGTATAATGTAAGAACAGTTTTGATTTTTTTCATTTATCCTATAACTAGCGATCCATGAGCTCCACAACATAACTATATATTATACTGCTTTTGTAATTGTTAAATAATTTTTTATTTTGTGCAAAATGTTGACACAAGAATGTCAAGTGAAAAAGGCAGAATACATAACTATAGAAAGATAGTATGACCTCAACTATGAAAAAATAATATCCAAACCAATTATTTTGCTTTTTAAAAGTGATCTTTTTAAAAATTCATATAAAATGACGAGCCCTTGCTATTGTGAGGTTATTTCTCCAAAAATAATTATTATGTTTGTGTTAAATTTCTTTGCTTTTGCTTTTTATCAGTTTCATAAGATGTTTTCTATAAACACTCAAACTTAGCATAAATAGCATTTGTTTTAGGTGAATATAACTTCCCCCAAATGGTACATTGCTATTCAAAATAAGGTAATTGAAAGGGCACCTCAAGATATTGGAAACTTTGTAAAGATTTATACATGAGATAACTCTGTCTTTCCTGAGGGATTTTTTTTGGTGGGGGACACCTTACCTTATATTTGGATATATATGGCTTTCTAAATCTCTCAAAGGTATCTTGTGATACCTTTGTTCACAGATCTTCCATGACTTTTAATCTTCTCGAAGTGGATATAATTTTTGTTTACAAGATAGTCCTTCCGGTAACAAAATATATTTAAATACTATGCTGTAGTAGAGTTAAAAAAACAAAAACAAACACAACAAATTTTTAAGTCCCCTAGCACAGTCCTCCCAAGTAGCGTCCGGTCTCAGTTTTTATGTCTCTTCTCTGGAGCTTCCCTGACATTGTGGCCCAGTTCCCTTCTATGCTGTCAGCATCCAGGCCTCATCCCCTCGGGCCCTCATCAGTGACTCATAGGCACCGACTTGCCTGTCTGTCTTTCTAAATAGACACGTGGCATCCTGAGGACAGGCACTGTGTCTTGGTCTGAGAGAGGAACGATCAAATAAGGGTCACATTTCCTCATATGACAGAGAATCATTCCAATATCTTAGAGAGTTGGTGCAAATTTCAAATGATGCCATATGCAGATTTTAATGTTTGTTGATTCCAGCTATGTACACACATTCAGATAGTTGCCATCTGTTGCCTAAATGTATGGGTGGCCAAATCTCATATGTGAGGTGATGAAGTGAGGACAGGCAATGCCTATAGTTTAAATGTGGAGGATTTTCTGGAAAAAAAAAAAAAATTCCAGGCTCTGTCTGTTTATATCACATGGCTTTGGTTTTGTGATGGTGCCAGGCCACACCCCTGTCACAGAATATATGCAAGTTCAGCAGGTCTACAGACTGGTAATCTGCTTTGGTTTTGTTTTATCTCAATTAGACCTGTGCCTGCTGTCTTTCAAGATTATCTTCCATAGGTGTATTTAGGTGTATAGGTGTATTTTTAGATTGTTAGATAGCTGGTGAATATTTTTCCAGAAATTTCTGGTGTCTGTGGGTTTTAGGCTATTGCTTTAGCTAACTTCAGCCATTGTCAAATAGCTCACATTTTCTAAACAGGCAGGCACACGTATATACCTGTGGATGTTCATTTTGCCAATGTTTTTGTTGCATCTATTCCATATTTTGTTGTTTTTTTTAGAGACAGAGTCTCACTCTGTTACCCAGATTGGAGTACAGTGGCTCAATCATAGCTCACTGCAACCTGAAACACCTGGGCTCAAGTGATCATCCTGCCTGAGCCTCCCAAGTTGTGTCAGTTAATTTTTTTTTAATTTTTAATTTTTTTTATTTTTTATTTTTATTTTTTGTAGAGACAGGGTCTCACTAAGTTGCTTAGGCCAGTCTCAAACTATTGACCTCAAGCAACTCCCACCCCACCCCTGGACTCCCAAAACACTGGGACTACAGATGTGAGCCACCACACCCAATCCTATTCCATATTTGGTAATGGTCTTGGTCATAGTATATATACAATATCCTGCCCAGCACTCTACTCAGTTATACTAGTGACTGCTAGGGCACCCAATATACCACAGACATTAATCTTCAATGCTTTCTCTCACATTTGTGTTACTCTGTGCTGGGAATATTAACACCTCTAACCTCAAGGCAATGAGAGACGTCTTTGAGTAAAGATGTGAACTGGGAAATTATTACAGGCCCAGAGTAATATGGTTTGGATCTGTGTCCCCACCCAAATCTCATGTTGAATTGTCATCCCCAATGTTGGAGAAGGGGCCTAGTGGAAGGTGACTGGATCATGGGGGCAGACTCTCCCCTTGCCGTTCTTGTGATTGCGAGTGAGTTCTCACAAGATTTGGTTGTTTAAAAGTGTGTATCAGCTGGGCTCAGTGGCTCATGCCTGTAATCCCAGCAGTTTGGGAGGCCAAGGCAAGCAGATCACTTGAGGTCAGGAGTTTGAGACGAGCATGGCCAACATGGTGAAACCCTGTCTCTACTAAAAATACAAAAATTAGCTGGGCATGGTGATGCATGCCTGTAATCCCAGCTACTCGGAAGGCTGAGGCAGGAGAATCACTTGAATCTGGAGGCAGAGGTTGCAGTGAGCTGAGATCGTGCCACTGCTCTCCATCCTGGGTGACAGAGTGAGACTTTGTCTCAAAAAAATAAAACATAAAAGTGTGTAGCGCCTCCTTGTTCACTATCTTCCTTCTGCTCCGGCCACATAAGAGGTGCCTTGCTTCCCCTTCACCTTCCACCATGATTGCAAGTTTCTCTTTGGTCATGCTTCCTATACAGCCTGTGGAACCATGAGCCAATAAAACCTCTTTTCTTTATAAACTACCCAGTCTCAGGTAGCTCTTTATAACAATGTGAAAATGGACTAATACAGAAAATTTGTGCCAAGAAGTGGGACATTGCTATAAAGATAACTGAAAATGTGGAAGCAACTTTGGAACTGGGCAACAGGCAAAGTCTGAAAGAGTCTGGAGGGCTCAGAAGAAGGCAGGAAGATGAGGGAGAGATTGGAACTTCCTAGAGACTTGTTAAATTGTTGTGACCAAAATACTGATAGTGATACAGTCAGTGAAGTCCAGGCTGAGGAGATCTCAGATGGAGATGAGGAACTTATTGGGAACTGGAGCAAAGGTAACTTCTGTTACACATTAGCAAAGAGATTGGAGGCATTGTGCCCCTGCCCTAGGGATTTGTGGAACTTTGAACTTGAGAGTGATGATTTAGGGTATCTGGTGGAAGAAATTTTTAAGCAGTAAAACATTCAAGATGTAGCCTGGCTGCATCTAACAGCGTATGGTGATAGGCATAAGCAAAGAGGTTATCTGAAACTGGAATTTATGTTTAAAAGGGAAGCAAAGCATAAAAGTTTAGAAAATTTGTAACCTGACCATGTGGTAGAAAAGAAAAACCCATTTTGGGGGGAGGAATTCGAGCCAGCTGCAGAAATTTGCACAAGTAATGAGGAGTCTAGTGTTATTAGCCAAGATAATGGGAAAATTTCTTGAAGGCATTCCAGAGACCTTGGTGGAAGCCTCTCGCATTACAAACCTGGTGGCCTAGGAGGGAAGAATGGTTTCGTGGGCTGGGCCCAGGCCTCTGCTGCCCTGCACAGCCTCAGGACACTGCTCCCTGTGTCCCAGCCACTCTAGCTCCAGCCGTGGCTAAAATGGCCCCAGATATGTCTCAGGCTGCTGCTCCAGAGAGTACAAGCCATAAGCCTTGGCAGCTCCACGTGGTGTTAAGCCCACAGGTGCATAGAGGACAAGAGTTGAGGCTTGGGAGCCTCTGCCTAGATTTCAGAGGATATACAGACATGCAAGGATGTGCAGGCAGAAGTCTGCTGCAGGTGTGGAGCCCTCATGGAGAACCTCTACTAGGGCAATGTGGAGGGGAAAATGTGGGATTGGAGCCCCCACACAGAGTCGCTACTTGGGCATTGCCTAATGGTGCTGTGAGAAGACAGCCACCATCCTCCAGGCTCCGTGCACTTGGAAAAGCTGCAGGCACTCAACACCAGCCTATGAAAGCAGCTGAGGAGGCTGTACCCTGCAGAGCTAAAGGGGCAGAGATGCCCAAGGCCTTGGAAGCCTGCCCCTTACTGATGGGTGGGCTGGATATGAGACATGGAGTCAAAGGAAATTAATTTAGAGATTTAATATTTAATGACTGCCCTACTGGGTTTCAGACTTGCATGGGGCCTATAGAATCTTAGTTTTGGATGATTTCTCCTTTTTGGAATGGATGTATTTACCCAATGCCTATACCCTCATTGTATCTTGGAAGTAACTAACTATAACTAACTTGTTTTTTATTTACAGGCTCATAGGTGGAAGGGACTTGCCTTGTCTCAGATGAGACTTTGGAATGTGGACTTTTGAGTTAATGCTGAAATGAGTTAAGACTGGGGGGATTGTAGAAAAGTGATGATTATATTTTGCAATGTGAGAAGGACTTGAGATTTGGGAGGGGACAGGGGTGGAAAAGATATGGTTTGGATTTGTGTCCCTGCCCAAATCTCATGTTGAGTTGTAACCCCCAGTGTTGGAGGAAGGGCCTGGTGGGAGGTGATTGGATCATGGGGGCAGATCTCCCCCTTGCTGTTCTCATGATAGTGAGTTCTCTTGAGATCTGGTTGCTTAAAATTATGTAGCACCTCCTGCTTTGCTCTCCTTCTCCTGCTCCAGCCATGTAAGATGAGCCTGCTTTCCTCTCACCTTCCACCATTATTGTAAGTTTCCTGAGGCTTCCTCAGTCAGGCTTGCTGTGCAGCATATGAAACTGTGAGCCAATAAAACTGCTTTTCTTTATAAACTACTCAGTCGCAGGTAGTTCTTTATAACAATGTGAGAATGGACTAATGCACAGAGTAATCTGTATCAGAGCATAATGCAACAGAGTGTGGACTCTGGAATCAGATGCCTGGTTTGGATCTGTTTCTGTTCTTTACCAGCTATGTGATCTAGAACAAGATTGTTATTCTCTCTGCTTTGATTTTCTCATCTGTTAAATGAGTATATAATAATTCGTAACTCATAGTAATTCTGTGAGGAATAATGAGTTAAAATAAGTAAAGTGCTTAGAATAGTGCCTCACAGAGTAACTGTTATTTTAGGTATTAGTTATCATTTTACTCATTTATTTTTTATTTTATTTATTTTCTTTTTAGAAGGAGTCTTACTTTTTTGGCCAGGCTGGAGTGCACTAGCATGATCTCGGCTCACTGGAACCTCTTCTTCCTGGGCTCAAACGATTCTCCTGCCTAAGCTTCCCAAGTAACTGGGATTACAGGTGCACACCACCACACCCAGCTAATTTTTTGTATCTTCAGTAGAGATAGGATTTCACTTTGTTGGCCAGGCTGGTCTTGAACTCCTGACCTCAAGTTATCCATCTGCCTCAGCCTCCCAAAGTGCTGGGATTACAGGCATGAGCCACTGTGCCTGGCCTTATTCATTTATTTTTTATTGAGGTAAAATAGTACCCATTATTATTGTATGTGCTATTGGCTCTGGTTACAGGGACTGACTGGAAAGGGAGTGACTTCCATGACCAGCCCAAATAGAGGTTGGTTTTTGATTGGTAACCTGAACTTTCTCTGCTTGCAGAGGTTGAGAGAGGGAGGACCCAAAAGGTTGCCAATCTTCTGTCCAGAACAGGAGTCATGGGGATGCCCATCCTCCTGGTCATATATGTAATCAGTCTCTCTCCCACACACCCTCACAACCATCCTTTGACCCTTCCTAGAGATTTTCTGCCACAGTGCAGCTCATCCCATCTCTCCCTCATTCTCACAATGGTTGATCCAGCTCCTCATTATATCATCCCTGGACCACTGAAGAAGACTTTCCACTGGCCCCTCTACCTCCAGGCCCTCATCCACTCCTCACACTGCCTCTAGATCGACCTTTCTAAAACACAAGTCTCATTATGTCTCTCCTCTACTGAAAACCTCCTCTGGCTCCCAATTACCTGCACAACAATGTGGGAAGACATTGTTTGGCTTTGAGAACCTCCTACAAGGTGACAAGCAGCTCATTTCTCCGTATTTCTTTTCCTCTCACATTCTACTCCAACCGAACTGAAACAGTGCCTACCTCTCTTGCTTCATGCTTTTATTCAAGCTATTTCCTTTTCTAACTTACCTTTCCTGCCACATTGATCTGTCGAATTTCCATTTTTTAAATTGAAGGAGAGATATTACTTTTTAAAATGAGAACTATTTTCCAACAGCTGCACCCCTTCTGATCCCATTATCTGTCCAGTCAGAATTTTTCACCCTCTCTCATATTCCCATAGTCATTTGTTTGTGTCTCTATGATAATGCTTAGCACAGACTGTCTCATGATATTTATGTTTACTTATTTCAAAATTGCCTTTATATGGATAACAAAAATTATATGGTAATATTTGTCAAAATGTATTGAACTATACACTTAAGATGGATTCATTTTATTGCATGCAAATCATGCCTCAATAAAATTGGTTTTAAAAGAAAAACTACAGCAAAACCATAGCAAAAGAAAAAATAAACAGATGAGAAAATTGAGATAAAGGAAAATAAGGGTAGGAAAGTAAAATAAATTCAGGGGTAAGGTTAGCATTAAAAAATGCATGCCATAAGTTTCCATGGACTAAAGATGTTTTTCTTGAGCTTCCCAGCTGCCAAAGAAAATAGAGAATTATGACCAGAGAAAATAGAGACTTTCCTAGTTCTGAAACCTGAACAAAATCTCTCTCATGAGCCCTTATGAAGAGAACGCTGTGATGTAAGGGATAGCTTTCTCAACAATAACCCTATGGTAAACCCAATAGGGAATTGTATAGGTTGTTTCTCATAATATCTCTCAGTTAAAGTTGCTGGCAGAACATCGAAGTACAATTAAGAAAACAGTTCCATGAAGGACTAAAGTATGATGATTCAAGTGCACAGCTTCCTAATAATTTCATTGGATTAGAAAGAAAAGTTTAAACTAACTATAGAAATGGGTTCTCTGTTTATCTTTCAAGCAATCCCTTGACTTAATATGACTATATCATGAATGTATCTTTTGTTGCTATTTGAGAGAGTTGAAGGCTATAGAGTCTATGACCAAATCCTGGAGTGTGATGACTGTTACCAATTATGGATAGATCTTTGTTTTTGAAGCTCTGTTGTTAGGTGCATACACATTTAGGATTGTTATGTCTTCTTGGTGACTTGAATACTTTGTTTTTATATGTCTCTTTTTATTCTTGATAATATTCCTTGTTCTGAAGTCTACTTTGCCTGAAATTAATATAACTATTCCAGCTTTCTTTTAGTTAGAATTTGCATGTATATCTTTCTCCAACCTTTTACTTTTAACCTATCTATATCTTTATATTAAAAGTGGGGTTCATGGCTGGGCATGATGGCTCATACCTATAATGTCAACCCTTTGGGAGGCTGAGGTGGGAGGATTGCTTGAGCCCAGGAGTTCAAGACCAGCCTGGGCAACATAGGGAGACCTCATCTCTACAAAAAACAAAATAATTAGATGGGCAAGATGGCTCACACCTATGGTCCCAACTGCTGGGGAGGCTCAGGCAGGAGGATTGCTTTAGCCCAGGAGGTTGAGGCTGCAATAAGCCATGATCATGCCACTGCATTCCAGCCTGGGTGACAGAGCGAGATATAGTCTTAAATAAATAAATAATGAGGTTCTTGAAGACAGTGTAAAATTGGATCTTTTAAAAAATCTAATCGGACAATATCTGCTATATAGAGAGAGAGATATAGATTATAGATTATAGATATAGATATAGATATAGATATAGATATAGATATAGATATTTTTTGAGACAGAGTCTCACTCTGTCACCCAGGCTGGAGTGCAGTGGTGTGATTGAGATCACTCACTGCAACCTCCTCCCAGGTTCAAGTGATTCTCCTGCCTCAGCCTCCCAAGAAGCTGGGATTATAGGCATGTGCCACCATGCTTGCCTAATTTTTGTATATTTAGTAGAGATGGAGTTTCACTATGTTGGCCAGGCTGGTCTTGAACTTCTGGCCTTAAGCAATCTGCTGCCATGGCCTCCCAAAGTGCTGGGATTACAAGCATGAGCCACCTCGCCTGGCCAATATCTACTTTTAAACTGGTGTGTTTAGACCATTCACATTTTAAATGATTATTGATATGATTGGATTAAAACTTGCTACCTTCCTCAATGATTTCTATTTGTTCTAGTTTTTCTTTGCTTCCATTTTCTTTTTCTGTCTTCTCTAGGTTTAACTGAAACTTTTCATGATTCCATTTTTATTTATTTTATAATAATTATTATTATTTTTAGACAGTCTCACTCTTGTTGCCCAGGCTGGAGTGCAGTTGCACGATCTTGGCTCGCTGCAACCTCTGCCTCCTGGGTTCAAGTGATTCTCCTGCCTCAGCCTCCCGAGTAGCTGGGATTATAGGTGTGCACCACCACACCTGGCTAATTTTTTTTTTTTTTAATGGAGTCTCCCTCTGTTGCCCAGGCTGGAGTGCAATAATGCAATCTTGGCTCAGTGCAACCTCTGTCTCCTAGGTTTAAGCGATTATCCTACCTCAGCCTCCTGAGTAGCTGGGATTACAGGCTCCCACCACCACATCCAGCTCATTTTTTTGTATTTTTAGTAGAGATAGGGTTTCACCATGTTGGCAAGGCTGGTTTCAAACTTCTGACCTCAGGTGACCTGCACACCTTGGCCTCCCAAAGTGCTGGGGTTATAGGTGTGAGCCACCGCACCCAGACTATTTTTATTTTTTTAAAATTGACTTATGTTATAAATTGTGTTTCAATTTTGGTAATTTCTATTGACCTATCTTCAAGTTTAATGATTTACTGATTCTTCCATCAGCTATGTTAAGTCTACTGAAGAACCCACTGTTAACATTTTTATCTCTGTTTCTGTGTTTTTGATTTCTAGTATTTTCATTTGATTCTTTCTTATAGTTTTCAACTACCTGAAAAAATTACCTATCTGATCCTTGTTTGCTTTTTTCATTAGAGTTTTTAACATATAAATCATAATTATTTTGAATTCCTAATCTGATAGCTCCAACACCCATGTCATTTATGAATCTGGTTTTAGTGATTCTCTTCAGACTTCGTTTTTCTTTGCCTTTTTGTTGCCTTGTACTTTTTGTTGTTATTGTTGAAAACTGAACATGTTGTATAGGACAGTAGATAATGAGGAGAATATTTTTCATTCTTGAAGTGAATCCATTTTTCCTTTTGGTAGATCTTTAGTGTAGAGAGTTTATGTTAATTTAGTCAGAGGTTGGACTGGGTTTGAAGTCTATGTTGCTGTTACCCTTAGTGCACCAAAGTCTTCCAATTCCTTTAACGGTAACTTGTATTTATGGCATAGACTAATTTAAAACAGAATTTTTGTCAATGTCTGTACTCTGCGTGACTTCTAATGTTTCTGCTTGGATTTGAGTCTCCTTTTGCACTGCTCCCAGGACAGAACTGCCTTTTGCCACCCTCCCAGTTGTATTCCAGTGATGTTTTTACTTGATGCTTGACAGCATGGAGGTGGTGGGTATGGGGAGGGTCCCTTCTCTGATGTTCTGATTAAGCCTCAGTTGTAGGCAGTCACTGTCAATCTGGAACTCAGGGTTGTGGCTCTCTCAGGTGTTCTTACCCCTTCTCCAGATATAATGTTGCACCCAACAAGAATTCCTGCCTCTTTACCACAGGTAGAGAGTTCCTTTTCCTCCCTATTCCCTTATCCCAGCTTTCGTGAATTTCCACCAGTGCCTTCGGACTACAGCTGTGTCGCACTTCCTGCTGAATATTTCCTTCCTTGAGGAAGAGAGGGGAGTTGAAATTCCAGCAGTTGCTGTTCTCCTTCCCACCCAGAACCAAGAGGGGAGCTTTCTCCTTGATCTTCCCTGGAAGCCCTTGGTGGGGTTCCTGAAGAAAAAATCCACAAGGAGAACCTTATTTTTGATAGTTAACTGAGCAGAGTTGAACTCCTCTCAAGAAAGCTAAAGCTCTCAAACAGTTCTCAGGCCCAAGGAGATGGGCACTCTACCTCTGCATGAAGGGGTTGCTGGAGCCCCTGTAGATAGGGCCATGATATTTAATGGAAAACAGGCTTGTCTTCATTCTACCTACCACACAGTCAAATGCATCTTCAAGATCCTAAAGTTCTATATAGGGAAATGGTGAATTCCAGGTTTGAATTTTATGGGACAGCAAAATTAAAATAAAAAATAATTGGGAGGGTCAATGTTAGATTCTCAACTTTTTAGTTTCCAAACCAAAAATCACTCACCTGTCATCGCATCATGGCAATATGAAAGGAAACACCCACCCACCAAAGTACAAAGGATATACTCTTGGAATAGTGAACAGTCCTTTACTTGGAATAAATTTAGCCTTCAATAAAGTGAAGTCAATTTTTTCCACTCCTCATCATAGATCAATGGATGCTTACTTATAGACCAGCACAAGCACTCAGCCATCACTCATGAGCCATTGCTGTAGAGCCTGGCTGTTTTTTCACATAGCTCTATCTTCTATATTTTTGTTGTAAACTCCTGGAAAGGAGAATCATGTCATATTCACCTCTGTTTCTCCAATTTTACCCTCAAATGTGACCCACTTAATAGGTTCTCAACTAATGAGATTAATAATGAATATTAATTATTAATACCATTAATTTATTATATCAGTACATTAATATTAATAAAACACATAGGTTGTCCTCATAAATGTTAGCTGAACAGAACTGGATGTCAAGATATCATGACCTCTTCAGCACTCCTTAGGTGTTCCCCAGTACTTCCTAGGCCTACCTGGAAGGATGGGAATTTAATTTTTTTACCTTTCATCTTAATAGCATTAGTGAGTGACCACTTTGAGTGAGGTGTTTCTTTTCAGATGTGGTGGGAGATGAAAAAGATACTCAAGACAAGAGTTTTGCCCTTAAGTGGTTTATAATTATCTACACAGCACAGGTTGTTCTAATACCAGAGTGTGATCAATAACCTAATTATGAACACACAGTGCCAAGAGAACAGAGGAGAAAGTGTTCATGTACCCATTGACTCATAAGTACTCTGAGAGGCTTTGTTCTGGACTTAGTTGGAGGGAGGAGAATAAACATGGACTCTTCGTTCAATGGATAGTAGTCAAGAAGTAATGCCACCAAGGTATAAGAAACTAATGGAGGGATTGGAAAGAGCATGGTGGTCAAGGAATTGAGAGGGGAGCAGCTACTTCTTCCAGGAGATAGGGGAGGCTGCAGGTGGTCAGAGAATTAATGCTGACTTGGGGAAATCCAAGAAGTTTTCTTAGAGAAAGTGAGTTGAGACTTGAGTTGTCTTTGAAGCTGTGTAGAACTTGGATACATGTGTGTGGAAGAGAGGAATTGCCACAGGAAACAGCCTGGGCAAAGGCATAGGGGAGGGAAAGCGCAAGTCAGGCTCAGGAAATAGAAAGTGCTGAAGAGTAAGTGGGGAGTAGGGTGTGGAGTTGGGGGACAGTGGAGTAGAAGATGTGGCTGAAGAGGCTGGCCAGAGCCAAACTATGGCTGGCACAGAGCAGGTGCTCCATAAATATTTGTCAAATGATTGGATAAATAAAGGGAAGCACTGGCCATGGGTTGTTATTATTTGTTTATTTATTTATTTTAGTAGCTAATGGTGAAGAATTCTGAATAGGGAGGTGGTAAGATCATATTATGATGGCAGGTCTGTGGAGGACAAAGGAGAGACAAAGCCGATGGGGGTAGGGGCATGAGTTAGGAAGCTGTGGTGATTGTCCTAAGAGGCCTTCCTGCCCCCAGTCCTGAAAAACCTGATTCTCTGCTTCCCTGAAAAGCTAGGCTGGAATGCTTCCCTCTTTTGAAACATTTAGGGATCGATGAATGTCAACACTCAAGCTAAATGCAGACCATGTTTAGACACACACTAGGAATATCAACACACATCCTATTCCTAGGGAGGGGACTAAAGTCTTCCAGTTGCATTGTTCCAAGGTCAGTCTGACTACAAGGGAGCATCTGGGGAAGTGACACTCAGTGTGGCTGTCAGCCCTGAAGACTGCCTAAGCCTCTGAAACTCCTAAGCTTGATGGTTCTCATTATGGCTTCCTAGAGAGAAGATGGAAAGCCATCTGATGTTCCTCTCTTAGCACTCCTCATCTACTTGGTATTGATATTAATAAACAATGAAATCACAGGATACAGCTTAAGTAAATCTATTTTCCTTGCATGTGGTACAACACAGTTTGAAAATAAAAACAAATCAAATGCTCTGAAAGGAAAATGAATGTAAATTAAGATCTGGAGAAATTTGTCAGCATCTGAGCATTTATTTTGCTTTCATCTCCCCTTTAAATCAAACTAAACCATTTTCTGAAGCTCAGATGTGAATCACAGCCCCTTCTGGAATGAATGATTATGACTCCGGCCTAGTTTAAGCAGATGATCCCCCATAAGTGGGGAGAGAAAGGCTCTTCTTGACGGGGTAGAAGGCTCTGAGGCCAGCGGCCTCTTGAGGACAGATGGCCTGGTCTGGAATTGCACAGGTGAGGTGCCCAGAGCCAGGGGGGTGCAAGCAGATTCCTGAAGTCTATCTTCCCTTTGGAGGAAACATCACTTTTTTGCTTTTTATCTGTTGGTAATTCTTCTTGTCAAAATAAATGGTGCCACGGTATACTGGTTGAGTGTAGACTTAGGGAGAGAGGGAATTGGTTCAGACCCTCAACCCTACATGGATGACCTTGGAGCAGTTACTTACATTCTCTGAACTTCAGATTCCTTACCTAAAATTTGAGGACAACAACACCTGAGTTATTGTATCCAACACCTGAGTTATTGCATAAGAGTTACATGAAATAATATACAAAATGTATTTAGCAAAGTGACACATAATGATTGCTCAATACAAGGTAGCACTTCTTAATTACTAATAAAGAATAAAGTTCAACTGGCCAGGCGCAGTGGCTCATGCCTGTAATCCCAGCACTTTGGGAGGCTGAGGCGGGCAGATCACTTGAGGTCACAAGTTTGAGACCAGCTTGGCCAACATGGTAAAACCTCATCTCTACTAAAAATACAAAAATTAGCCGGGCATGGTTGCGTGTGCCTGTAGTCCCAGCTACTTTGGAGGCTGAGAGAGGAGAATCACTTGAACCCAGGAGGCGGAGGTTGCAGTGAGCCGAGATGGCACCACTGCACTCCAGCCTGGGCAACAGAGTGAGACTCTGTCTCAAAAAAAAAAAAAAAAGAATAAAGTTCAACCATCTCAACAGAAGTGGCAGAAGCTTTAGAATAAGTGCAGACCCTTGCTGTGGACACTTGTTTTTCCTTGGTGACTCCATGGAATTTCACGGATATTCTGAGGCTTTTCCCCCAGTGGCTATTACAGAAGGAGTCAACTGCCCTGTCAGGCCTAGTGCTGCCCCATGACAGTCAGACCCTGTTATATTTCTGCTTATTCTCTCTCCACGGGGTCATGGAAAGGAGAAGGGAGAAGGATCTGGTGGTGTATGAAGTCCCATGTAAAGGACCCTTTTGCAATCAGGCCTCTCAGTTAGGACCTTAGGTTTCTGACCACATAGAGAATACCGACTTTTAAAGAGAGCCAGACATTTTATTCAGCAATGTTGCCCTACCTTTTCATGTTAAAGTACCAGGAAATGACAACTTGAAGAGCACACTGGGCTGAAAAGAGAAGCTACTTTCAGCTGGAGGGAATGGCCTGGGCCTCTCTCACCACCTAGGGCTGACTGCCTCAGTAACGCAGCTCACTTGGCCCCATTCTGAGGGCTCTCTGGCCCAATAGCTTGTTTAGAGTCTGTCAGCTGCAGGGATGAGACATCTGGGCCTGGACTTGATGGCCTCCCTGGGGGAGCTGGCCCCTCCTATGTGGAGCCTAGAAGATGAAAGACACTTGGCCCCTCCAATTCACAAGAAGAATCCATGGAGAATCTCTCACCTCCAGGCCCTGCGATATTAACCTTTGATGTTGGCTCCTGACCCAATTTCCAGGCTGACCTGCACACATGGCATCAGAGCTGAATTCTTTTTTATGTCATAGAGTATCTCATCTCTATAACAACATGCCTTGAAGCCCTGTTGTCCATCTTGGTCACCGTCCAGGATCACGCCTTTGGATTCTGCTTTCCAAAATCTCCTTGGAAATTATCTAGCTTTAAAAGAAAAGAGAGGGGGCATTTTTGCTGTTTTGTTTGCAGAAGCAAAGCATTTGAAGAAAGAGGTCAAGGAACCAAGCAATTTTGCAGTAGGTTCTGAACTTTAGTTTCATTGAACATTGGGATCTATTATATTTTGAGGAACAGGAAGAACCTGGGAGCCATACAGGTGGCTAACACAGGTAATAGTTAAATTTCTGTGTTTGGAGGCTGAGGCTTGTTATGTCTCACTCTTCCTGGCTCTGTCTTGGTGTCTTGCTTCCACTCCCTTGCTCAGTCTCTACTCTCTGGCTTTGCTGTTCTCTCCTTCGACTTTTCCTGTCACTTTCTGTGGTGTGGAGTCTATTTCTCTGTAGTCATTGCTTCTGTTTCCACCTTCTCGGTTTCTTTTCTGTGTCTCTGTTTTTTCTGGTTTGATGGATAGCCTCTGCTTCTAATTTTTTTCACTAGCCAATGCCGGGCAGTACAGTTCCTTGAGAGGCACGCCCTTGTTTCTGGAGCCCTTACTTGTTTCAAACGTCCTCCTGAAGCAGCCCCCTGTTTTCCAGAAGAGTGGACGTAGGTCACATTTTGTTTGCTTCATGTTGCTCCCTGCAAAGAGGAGAAGATATGGCTGGGTACAGGGGCTTGTGCCTATAATCCTAGCACTTTGGGAGGCTGAGACAGAAGGATCACTTGAGCCCCAGGAGTTCAAGACCAGCCTGGGCAATGTGTTGAGACCCATCTCTACAAAAAATTGAAAAAATTAGCTGGCTGTGGTGGTGCACGCCTGTGGTCCCAGCTACTCAGGAGGCTGAGGCAGAAGGATTGCTTGAGCCCAGGGGATCAAGGCTGCAGTGAGCCATGATTGCAACACTGCACTCCAGCCTGGGTGACAGAGCAAGACCCTGTTTCAAAACAAACAAACAAAAAACAAACAAACAGAAACAAAAAAGAAAAGAAGGTACTTGGGAAGCACAGCAGCTTCCTCTCTTCTTGCCTTCCAGCCAGCAGCAGACTCAGCAGAGCTCAGAATACCCTGGAGTTTCAGGCCCTTCAAACTCCTTTTTTAAAAAAATGTTTTTTAAGAGAAGTTTTAGTTTCACAGTAAAATTGAGAGAAGGCACAGAGATTTCCCACAGACTCCCCCCTTCACACATGCACAGCCTTGCCCATTATCAACATCCCCCACCAGAGGGGTACATTAATTACAGCTGATGGAGCGGCATCCACACACCACTCAGAGGCCATGGTTTACACCAGAGCTCATTCGGGGTGTTGTGCATCCTATGGTTTTGGACAATGTTTATTGACATGTAACCACCTCCACAGTATCACATAGAGTAGTTGCGTTGCCCTAACCATCCTCTGTGCTCTGCCTGCCCATCCTTCCCTCCCCTCAACTTCTGGCAACCACTGATCTTTTTACAGTGTCCACAGTTTTGCCTTTTTCAAAATGTCCTATCATTGGAATCATGCTGTATATAGCCTTTTTCACATCAGCTTCTTTCACTTAGTAATCAACTTCTTCTGGGATGAAGAGTTTTATCAGGTGCGTCTAATGCCCCAGGTGGCTGGAAGTATCAATCAAAATCAGTCTGTCCGCATATACCACTCCTGCCCCTGGCCTTTTTTTTCTCCTGTGGAGGTGTGGGGGAATCCATTCTGAAATATTTGTCCAGGTCATTTGTTTGCTTTTCCTAAGTAAAAACATGCGGCGCACCGTGGTCAGGCACCATGCATTTACTCACTCACTCATTGGTTCAACATGTATATACCACAACCTCCCCAGCATCCTCAACCCTCCCTGAGGCTCTGGGGCTATAGTGGGAAAGCACACCGGACAGGGCAGGAGCTGTCCAATCTGCCCGCCAGTCAAGGGACAGAAGTTCAGGCAGAAGCTTGGCTTTTTACAGCGTCAGTGTTACTGGGAGCCCACCAGCATCCCCTTGTTCTAATTGTCCTGCCAATACTTGAGATACAAGAGGCATGCATATTTTTCTGGGGATTTTATTTCATTCCCCCAGAATCAATGGATCCCCACCAGTACTCTCCTCAACGCTGCCTCTTCCTCTTCCTCATTCCTTGTGCCCGAGCACACCTGATATGGAGAGCACTCCTAGGCTGGCTGGGCTCCAGGGCATTCACAGAGGTTTTTCAGTTTCCTTCTATGGTGAAGTGGAGAAGTGGAGAAGTGGGACAGGAGTTCACAATTATTGAGTTTCTGCTGTCTGTCAGACACTCTGCCTGATGATTTCACAACTTCATTTCATTTAACCCTTATTCTCAGCATACCAGTAAGATAGATAACACCATCCCCACATGAATGAAGCAGAAATGGAAACTCAGTAAAGGGCAGACATTTAGCACATCACAGAACTGTACCTGGAACTAGGTCTGTCTGGTACCAGAACTCAAATTCTTGCCACTGCAGCCTGTGTGTGTGTGTGTGTGTGTGTGTGTGTGTGTGTGTGTGTGTGTGTGTGTGTATGTGTTGATAGTAGTGGTAGGAAGTACTAGGAGTGGATAAACAGAGCAGTAGAAATCATCCCAGGCTCTTTTTCTCCCCCTTGGGTCCTGGACAGAGGAGCCCTTTGCCACCCTTCTGCTTCTGATCAGGTTGCAGCCGTGTGTTGGGAATGCAGGAGGCGTTAAGGAAAAGAGGCCCTTTTTCCTCTCCTTGGAGGGTCCTCTGTTCTCTTTAGCATGACCTAGCGGGCTCCAGAGCCAGATTTCCTGAATGCTAATCCCAGCTCTTCTGTTTGCTCGTGGTGTTTCCTTGGGCAATTTATTTAAACTGACTGTGCTTCAGTTTCCTATTTTGCAATGGGGATAATAAGAAGAGTGCCATTCTCATTCCTAGAATAGATGAATTTATTAAGACGGAAAGTAGCATGGTGGTTGCCGGGGACCAGGAGGAGGTTAGTGTTTAATGAGGAGTTAAAGGAATGGGGAGTTCGTGTTTAATGGGTACAGAGTTTCAGTTTGAGAAGATGAAAAAGTGCTGAAAATGGATGACAGCGACGGCTGCTCAACAGTGGCAATATACTTAATGCCACCGAACTGTTTGCTTAAAGACAGTTAAAGTGCTGAGTTTTATTGCTATGAATATTTACCACAATTGAAAAAAAGAATAGGCTGGGTGCGGTAGCTCATGACCATAATCCCAGCACTTTGGGAGGCCGAGGCAGGTGGATCATGAGGTCAGGAGATCGAGACCATCCTGGCTAACATGGTGAAACCCTGTCTCTACTAAAAATACAAAAAGATTAGCTGGGCATGGTGGTGCATGCCTGTAGTCCCAGCTACTTGGGAGGCTGAGGCAGGAGAATCGCTTGAACCCAGGAGGTGGAGGCTGCAGTGAGCCGAGATCACGCCACTGCACTCCAGCCTGGCAACAGAGCAAGATGCCGTCAAAAATAAATAAATAAATAATAAAAAAAAAAAAAGAAAAGAAAAGAAAAAAAAAAAGAATACCTTCCTCAAAGGATTTGGGGAGGCGAGAATGAGATTATGCATTTTAAGCACTTAAGACTGAACCTGGCCCATGTTAAATGCTCCATAAATGTGAGCTCTTCTATGCTCCAACTTTCATCTCTTCCAGAGAAGTCCTGGAAACCAGGGGCAGAGCTGCGTAGTGCACACCTGCTGCTGGCTCAGAGTTGCCGTGAGAAGGGGTCTCACAGCCAGGACCTGGAAGTGTTCCCCATGCCCGTGATTAGGCAGCTGTCAGGACAGGGAGTGGTGACTGTGCATTTTAATAGAAGAGCTCTCCCTGCCCATGTTGAGCAGCAAGGTTATAAATGGAACACTGCTTGCTAAATTGCCCCATTTTGCACAGACTCACTTCATGAGTTGCCGGCTCTGATGTGTGGCTGAATTTGATGATTAAGCAAGAACAAAAGAACTATGAATCTACTGGGGAATACATCCAATTAAGTGGTATCAACGCAGGATGACTGAGAAGAGAATGGTGTGTTAATGTTTTCACCGGCCTTGCCAACAAATATTTATGGAGTGTCAATAGGGAGGCAAGAAGGTGCTTAGAAGGTGCTGAAGCAAAGTGCTTAGAGTTGAGATCAGGAATGGCTAGTGGCATGTTATGGGACAGAGGAGGGAAGACAGACACACACGGTCAATCTGGAGACAGAATTAGCACCCTTGTAAGCGGTTGAGCTCCTTCAGATCTTCAGACTTCTTTATGTAATTCTCCCCAAACACCCCAATTCTGTTCAGATCAATGGCATTTATTGTGTGGTGTGTAGAGGCCTCAGGAGCTCAAAAGAGATGAGACAGCGCAGCCCAGGGGCAGGGAGTGGTCAAGAGAAAAGACTTCTCTGTCCTTATTCCGGCCTCCAGGAACCCTCTGTAGTCCACTGCAGCCATGATGTTGCCCTTAATTCTGAACCCAGAGGACCCTGTCACTCTGCAGGGACTTGCTCTGCAAAGCCCTCCGAGCTAATGGCTCTAAGACTTGCTGTCTGTTCTAGTGCTTCTCAAGCTCTCTGTGGTGAAAGACCAGGTTTTTATTTTGATTTCTTTTCAGTTTCCAATCCACTGTGGGATCAATACTTTTATATAATAAATATTAATTCCTAAATTTGTTTAGTAAATAAATTAGAAATTGAAATAAGAAACAAAGAGATACAAAACACAAGACCACGTTTAATTATCACATTCAGCAGACATACATAGACCTACCAAAATCACTACAGAAGTTTCTAGATGCTTGCTCTCCATTTCTTTGCTTATTGAGTTGCAGACTAGTAACAGAATAGCTTGTGCCATGCTGGGGGACCTCATTCTGAATAGCTTTGCTCTAGACCTCTGGTATCTAAAATGGTGTGCTGAGACAATCCACTGGGCACAGGAAGAAAATATTGGCACTTCTATTTATATTTTTATTGCATCTTCATTTAATTTTTATCTTTGTGTATATTTTCAATGTACACAGCACAATAGTAAAATAAGACACATATATAATTTATAGATTAGTAAATTATATATGACAAGTTGTGCCCCAAATCTTTTTACTGAAACAGTTATGTGGTCAACAATGTGTTGAAATCTGTTGCCCTCGACTACTCATGTAAAAGTTACTGCTACGCCTCTTTGGAATATCTCTCATCTTGCACTGGGCTTCTATTATTTAAGATTTCAAATAGTTATGTCTGACCTAAATTATAATAAAACTATAAGTTATTTGCAGAACTGTGTCTTATTTATGCTTATTTATTTATTTATTTATTTACTTGAGACAGAGTTTTGCGCTTGTTGCCCAGGCTGGAGTACAATGGCACGATCTCGGCTCACTGCAAACTTCACCTCCTGGGTTCAAGCGATTCTCCTGCCTCAGCCTCCCAAGTAGCTGGGACTACAGGCACATGCCACCATGCCTGACTACTTTTGTATTTTTAGTAGAGATGGGTTTTCTCCATGTTGGTCAGGCTGGTCTCAAACTTCCGACCTCAGGTGATCTGCCCGCCTCAGCCTCCCAAAGTGCTGGGGTTACAGGCCTGAGCCACCACTCCCGGCCCTTATTTATTTACTAAGCTGAGAAAAGTGTGGATGTGATCCAGGCACCATGCTAGGATGTGGAAATATGAAAATGGCTAGGAATTAATCTCCATTC
Source organism: Homo sapiens (assembly GCF_000001405.40). NCBI lineage: Eukaryota > Metazoa > Chordata > Mammalia > Primates > Hominidae > Homo > Homo sapiens. The sequence goes on along the minus strand of NC_000001.11, from coordinate 183,367,080 downwards.
CTTAGGGTGGACATATCTAAGTCAGGGACGGAGATTTTCAAATTGATCATTGCTTTAAGTGTAACATGTGAAATCAAGTAAGCATGTATAAGTAACAAACTGGGAGCATAAAGAGTGGTTCACTCCACTGGGGGTGGTGCTTAGATAAAGATACCCCCAGTGAAGCTGATGTCTGAGAAGATGTTGACAGATAAGCCGGTTTTGCTTGGTTGACAGGAGGAGGTAAGATATTTTGAGTAATAGCATGCAAAAAGGCATAGAGGTCTTCACACTCATTGCTGGCTCTCATTCCCTCCTGCAATTGTCATCTGTGTTCCAGATTGCTCATCTTAGCATAAGATCCATCTATGCTTCTTAAATGTCCCTCAGTCCACTCACTCAATGTATCAATGGCACCACCATCTATCCCTGCACCCACATCAGACTCCTCCCCATCTCACTCCCACACCCATTCTATTAATATCTATTCCATTTTACCTTCTTACCATGTCTCAAAGACATTTCCTGCAATACCAACAATGATAACACTTTTTATAAATCTACTATTTCTGACCATTTTATGCTGGCAAGGTCAAGGACTGAGACTTAATCATCTTGGAATCAACAGTGGCTAGCAGAGTGCTTAGCTTACTACATAATACTAATACTAATTAATGATGATGATGATAGTTAATGCTTACATGGTGCTTAATTTGTGCCAATATTCTAAGCACTTCACATGTGATAGCTCAATTCTAAAAATGACCCTATGAAGTAGATACTATTATTATCCCTTTTTACAGGGGAAGAAAATGAGGCACAGAGGTGAAGTGATTTGCCCAAGGTGTATAGCTTGTAACAGCCCAAAGTTGAGTGAGTGAATTAATACATAAATAGCAGAATAAATGAATGAGGTCAGAAAGACGGGATGGGTCATACAATGATAATTTCTGCCATGCATGTAGTTAGTAGATTGGGAGCCATTTCTTGGGTTTCTTTCTAAGGAGGTACTAATTGCTATTTTGGCAGTTGTAGTTTACCCCAGGGTGTAGTGGTATACCAGAGAGAATGGAATCTGATATACATGATCCAAAGAAATAAGAGGATAAAACATTTTTGATGGAGAGGGAAAGGAAGTTGGCTGATTCAAGGTGTTATTTCAGTTGGAGATATGAGTCAGGGGTGGTTTATCTGCAGTCTGTGCCTGCAGAGTGATGCTGGCATCCTGCCTTATTCAGCCCTTGCTACAAAAACATCGTGACAAGTGTCCCCCAGGGAGCCACATACCTGGGGTTTATACAACACCGTGTCTCAGACATCTCTCAGGGGCTGTGGGCCACCTGTCACTGTTCCTTTTTTTTTTGAGATGGAGTTTTTCTCTTGTTGCCCAGGCTGTAGTGCAGTGGCAAGATCTCAGCTCACTGCAACCTCCGCCTCCCAGGTTCAAGTGATTCTCCTGCCTCAGCTAGGTGCACGCCACCATGCCTAGCTAATTTTTTGTATTTTTAGTAGAGGTGGGGTTTCATCATGTTGGCTAGGCTGGTCTTGAACTCCTGACCTCAGGTGATCCACCCTCCTCGGCCTCCCAAAGTGCTGAGATTACAGGCATGAGCCACCGTGCCTGGCCTGTTTCTTATTTTTAAAACCCATTCTCCATCCCCACATCTCCTCTATCACATTGGAGGCTGGTTACCACAAACTATTGGCATACATTTTCCTAATCTAGAAAAATGATGCTGCATGGACCTGTTTGCTGTCTTTCTCAATTCCTAATCCTCCCTGGGCTGCCGCTCTGTTGCCATAGGGCTCTGTGCCACCGTTCTGTGGTTCTCCTCCGACCACTGAGAAAGAAAAGCAATGCAAAGGGTTCTTCTCACTCTCTCACTGCCCTCTACAATCAAATAAATGTTAAGCCACCTCCACTTTTCCTGCCACTTTTATTTTCTTCCTTTCTCACAGCTATAAATAAATACATGAATAAACTGCCCACTCTGATTCATAGGCTGTCAGAACTATAAGGAATCTTCAGAACACACTGGTTTGATTTCTTCCTTTTAAATATGAGCAAATGGAGGCCTAGAGAAGGTTGAGGTTCCTGTTCATGGGGCACTGGGTGGATGGGAACCCTCGTCTGATTCTGGGGGACATGGGAGATAGAAATCATCCTCCCATCACGAGGTTAGCAGTTCAAGACCAGCCTGGCCAACATAGTGAAACCCTGTCTCTACTAAAAACACAAAAAATTAGCCGGATGTGGTGGTGGGCACCTGTAATCCCGCCTACTCTGGAGGCTGAGGCAGGAGAATCGCTTGAACCTGGGAAGTGGAGGTTGCAGTGAGCCAAGATCGTGCCACTGCACTCTAGCCTGGGAGACGGTGTGAGACTCCGTCTCAAACAATAACAACAACAACAAAAAAAGAAAGAAAGAAAGTAAGAAAGAAAGAAATCATCCTCCCCTTGCTTGAATTTATCCCTGCAGCTTCTACTTATATATAACAAAATTAAACTATAAATTTAATTTAATACTTTCCTGTGACTTCTCTTTCATTTTTCTATTTAGAACAACCATTTACAAATCTATTGTATTTCATGCCTTCTCTTCTCTGCTGGTTTCCTTCTCCAAAATATTATTTAATATAGAATAATGAAGAAATGGGTTATGTTTTTCACTCCTCCCTTCTAGTGATTGTATACAGATGAAAGAGTTGCCAATGGGATACCAGAAGAAAGACGAAACTTCAGTATCTGCCATTCCTGCAAGTCCTACCCTGTGAGCTCCGATGATGAAAACTGCTTTAGAGCAATCATTGAAATGTGACATTATTTGTAAATATCTGTTTACACACCCATCTTACCCAATGCATTATGAGCTCTGAAGGCACAGACTGTGTCATATCCCCTTTCGTGTTCCTAGTACATAGCACAAGGTCTTGCACATAGTACTTGCTCAATAAATTATTGCAAAATTAGTGACTAAGTGCAGTTATCAGTCTGGCCACACATTCAATGCTTATTCTTCCCTAATAGAATAGACTACTTAGAGGAAATGGCCTTTGAGCTGAGCTTTAATGGAAAGAAAGACAGCACATGATAGCAGGATGAAGGAGGTTGTTTTTATGCACATGGAACAAGCCAGACAAAGGCTTGGAAGCGGGAGACTAAAATTACTAGGTTGCCCATCAGGAAATTAAACATTCTATCCATTCATTAGAGAAAGAATAAATGACAGGCCTTGTGCATTACCAGACTGTTAAAAAGCAAGAGCCAGACTTGTTCTTATGGAAAGCCAGACACTGAATGTCATGTTATCCAACCCTCTCAAGCCACCCTATTCTTAAAGCCTTACTATTCAAAATTGCAGATTTTACAGAGTACTGGTGCTGGAATAAGGGGTTACAATTCAATTCCTCTTTTATAACTGTCTCTTTCCTCCTATTTCTCAGCTACTGAAACAGTTTGTATTTATCCAAATGATCTTATGCTGAGTGGAGGTATTGTGTGTGTGTGTGTGTGTGTGTGTGTATGTGTGTGTGTGTCTCTAGGGGACTCCTCATAATAAACTCACTGACCTCTTCCAATTGGGGGCCCTGCCTTTTAGACTTCAACTCACTCCACTTTGTCTGCTAGAATCAAATACAGCTTCCTAAGGGAAAACATGTCTAAAATCAGAGCAGAAGGATGAGAGGGTCTAACAAAATGTCAAGTGTCTATTGGGTGCCCCAAACTGTGTTTGATGCTTTATTCACTTGTTCCTCACAATAGCCCTATAAGAGAGATACAATCCATTTTTACAGATAATAAAGCTAAGGTTCAGAGAAATTTTTAAAAAATCTTTCTTGAGGTCACATAACTAAGTGATGAAGCCAGAATGAAATACAGGTCAAGTACAGGTAAGCCTGTGATCTTTCCAACACACCATGCTTGCAATAGCAGTTATAAAATTATCCAAGACCAACAATTAACCCAATTAAAAACTGAGCTAGGGGTTTGAACAGAAATTTCTCCAAAGAAGATACACAAATGGCAAATAAACTCCTAAAAAGTTGCTCAACATCATTAGTCACTAGGGAAATGCAAATCAAAATCACAGTGAGATACCACTTCACGCCCACCAGAATGGCTATAATAAAAAAGACAGACAATAACAAGTGTTGATGAGGATGTAGAGAAATTGTATGAGTATCAACAATTGTATGAGAAATCAACCCTCATACAATTGTTGATTGGAATATAAAATGGTACAGCTGCCTTGGAAAATAATCTGTCAGTTTCTCAAAAAGTTAAACATAGACTTACCATATGTCCCACCAATACCACTTCTAGGTATATATGCAAGAGAATTGAAAACAATTGAAACACTAAAACTCGTACATGATGTTTACAGCAGCATTATTCATAATAGATAAAAGGAAAAAAACAACCCAAATACCCATCAACTGATGAAAAACTGTGCTATATCTATATACTGGAATATTATTCAGCCATAAAAATGAGGATAGTGTTGATACATACTACAACATGGATGAACCTTGAAAGCATTTTGTTAACGGAAAAAAGCCAGTCACAAAACGTCATCTATTGTATGATTCCATTTATATGAAATGTCCAGAATAGGCAAATCTGTAGGGATAGAAAGTAGAGTAGTGGCCGTCAGGGACTGCAGGGCCAGGGGGCGGTGGGGAATGGCAAATCACTACTAAGGGATATTGGGTTTCTTTTTTTGGGTGATGAAAATGTTGTAGAATTCGATAGTGGTGATGGTTGCACAACTCTGAAGACACTAAAAATCACTGAATTGCACACTCTAAAATTAAGGGCCTATTTTATGATATGTGAATTATGTCTCAATAAAGTTCTTATAGAGGCTGGGTGTAGTGGCTCATGCCCGTAATCCTAGCACTTTGGGAGGCTGAGGCAGGTGGATTGCCTGAGGTCAGGAGTTAGAGACCAGCCTGGCCAAAATGAAGAAATCCCGTCTTGACAAAAAATACAAAAATTAGCCAGGCGTGGTGGCAGGTGCCTGTAATCCCAGCTACTCAGGAGGCTGAGGCAGGAGAATCGCTTGAACCTTAGGGGTCAGAGGTTGCAGGGAGCCGAGATCACGCCACTTCACTCCAGCATGGGCAAAAGAGCGAAACTCCATCTCAAATAAATAAACAAATAAAGTTATCACAGCAAATGCATCTGAGACCAGAGGGCTGGCTTTAGCAAGTGTCAGGTAGCCATACCTAGGAAAAACTCTAGGGCACTGAGCACATGCCACCAAGATTTAGGATCTGATTATAAAATAAAATGACTGACACAATGCTTGCTTGGAGTGTCTGTAAATGACAGCTTCAGAAATGAGGTTCTTGATAAACAGCCAAAAATCTGTGGGGAGATACTTCACAAAATACAAGTAATATTAGTGTATCTCAAAGAGATTACAGTGCTAGAGTATCCAGTCAATAGGAGACACAGCCATCATTTATAATATGATAGCATGATGAAGGTAGACTTAGCACTAGGATTTGCCATTGCCACTTTCACTTGTTCATTTATTTAAAAATATTTATTGAGCATCTAGAATGTGCCAGGTATTTTGCTAGTTGTGTTATAATTTATTATGTTTACTTCCTCACTCATGCAGTATTAGTCTTTTCATTTTACAGATGAAAAATCCGAGGCTCATAGAAGTGAAGAAAACTGCCCAAAGTCACACAGCTATTGAGTGGTGGAGGTAGAATTTGTGCCCAGATTTCAGATTTGTCTGACTCCAAAGCTAAGGGCCAGAGAGGTTTGGGCTGGAGAGTCAAGAACAAGTCGTGGCTTGCCAAGTGTGGACCACATGGCGATGGGGAGGATAAGGGTCCCCTGATGTGAGTAGCATTCAGTCCAGACTCGGTAGTCAAATGCCTGGGTTTGAATCTTGCCTCTGCCACCTCATGGGAATGTTGTGTCAATTTAATAAGTGTATGTATGCAAGAATGCTTACAACAGTGATTGGCATGTATTGAACATCCAATGTGCAGAAATTTTATTATAGCTTCTTATGCATACATGCTCAGTGTGGTAGCTCTGAGGTTGATGATCATTAAGACAGAAAAACCCCTTTCAGATTTACAGTTAAAACGTGGTTAACTCTGGAGAGAGGGGTTGGTGGAGAGCTAGGGTAAATAAAGAAGGATATTTTCTCTGTTTTTATAAGGTTTGAGATTTTTATAATTATGTATTTTTTAAAAAATAAAAAACAACACAGCTTATAAAAATGCTTCCACCAATAAAAGAACACTTGTGCTTGGGGAAAAAATAATCCTGGAGGATCTGCACTTATTTTAATTCCTGGGGAAACCCAAAAAGTCAGCCTACTATATGCAACCTCCGGTCCGGAGTCTTTGCAGTGAGAGGCACACTGCCAATTTTATAGATTCGTTTCCTTTCTCCTTCAGCCTGTTTTCCATTATGGGGAATTTGCTGTCATTTGATCTTAATAGATGACCTGGCAGACATTTCTAGACCTCAGTTCTGCACAGAGAAACTCTCAGATTCCTCCCTGCTAGGTACTCCCTAGATGGAGGATGTTTATAGGGGCCTCCAAGTGGGGTCTTCCTCTCGGAGACTCGTGGATGGGTAGGGGAGACCTGTGAAATGGGTGTCTGAAAATTTCAATTATTGTTGGGACCTGGGGCTAAATAGAAGGAGGAAGATGAAGAGGTGAGTAGCTAGTATCTTTCTCGGTGAGGAATGACAAGCTGTCTCGAGCATCTTACCCTCGGGGGTGTAGGTAGGCTGTGCAGCTTCCATCTTGCCCAGTCTAAGTTTTCCATGTCAACTTTAGAAGGCTGTTTTTCCTTGGCTGAAATCTGGCTTCCTCATCTATGAATTGGGCTTCATATTTCCTCTGTTCCAGGAATTTGGTGAAATCTATTTAGCTTTGGTCTGAAATGGATTGCAAGGCTTCTGAGAGCAAACTATTGAGCATTTTCATAATGGAAAGTGAAATGATACAGAAATAAGGACAGAGCACAATTGAGTGACTCACTGTCAGGCTCGAAGGAACCCAAGTGTGTGAGAAGGCACTTAATTCACCTTTAGACTTAGCCCACCAGAACAGAGTCCAAAGCCAGCAAAAATCCAATGTTTTACACTTAACTATATATAAGGATGAGTATATGCTAGGAGCCAACATCAAGGACCCAAGAAGAAACGTTCTAAAATGCTGTGAGAAAAAATCTATCATTATCTTGCAGGTGTCTTTATAAGAGTAACTAGAAGTTTTTATATCCTAGCCAAAGTTCCAAGAACAAATGCCTCCCAGGGCTTCCTGCCTTTTCAATCACACCTGAATCCCATCTCCACTGGACTCTGAGCCACACGTGTCTCCATTTTCCCTCTCCCACTGCTGAGCCAGATCTGGGCATGGGAGCAAAAAAGAGGCAGCCCTGAGGGTGATGTTCCCAACAACCCGAGCTGTCTCCACCTTACATATCCCTTACAAGGACAAGATGCCCTCTGTCCTGCTTGGACAAAGGTTTACCCAAGGCCAGTACAACCTCGCATAGAGAAGGAGAGTTCAGAGACCACATGGTTCAAGTTATAAAGTGATCTAAGAATTTAAGAGGTGAAGACTGCTGGTGTCTGCTTTTCAGGGCTTTTCTTCTGTTCCCATCCCACATGCAACCAGACAGTGTGAGAATCTGGTGGTTCACACACCACTGGGTTTTCTCTTCTTTTCTATCTCTTGGGTGGGCAGTGGGGGAGAGAGGGGATTTCCTTTTCCTGAGTTCTTCATCTCTTTATGGAAATGTTCCTAATGGCAGCGAAATATGTCTGTTATGAAAAAACTCTTATTTTACTAACATAATCTGTTGGTAATTGTGGCACTGGGGAGGCTTGAAGGGACTGGGACATGCCCTAGCCTCCATTTCCAAAAGGAGGGACATTTCTGCAAATGTGATAGAATTATTAAAATTACATAAAATCAACTATCTCATGAAATCAGCCTCATGTGTTCCATAGTTAGATCACACTTTAAAAAAAAAAAGTCAAGATAGAAAGGAATTTCTATAAGTACATTTGAACAGCTCAATATGCAATGATACTTTAACTGCACTATATCTGTCCAGCTGTTTTCTGTTGGCGTATCTGCTCAAACTTTCTTCAAATCAACACTTGCTTAGCTCTGTATCATCAGGATGCTGCAACCTTTGGATCATTTGTACAGCTTAGCCTGAGTGAGTAGGACTGGCTTGGAGGGGAGCCTGCACCAACCTTATCGTCCGTCCTGTACCTTTCAGTTTACTGCTATCCAGAAAGGAGAGGAAGGTGGGAAGGCAGAAAAAGAGGAAAGCTGCACATTCTTAGCATGCTGGGAGATTCTAGAAACATCTAGGACTCAGTATGTTTAGGAAACTAAAATTGGCAGTCCACATGATGAGGGGAAAAAAGTGATGAGGCAAGTCTCCCCGTTGTTCCCTCTGATAGCCGCTCTCCCTTTCCCGTCTGGCTTACTCTCCAGCTCTCCCTTCTCAATCTAGACATTTGGATCAAGGTGTTGCAGAACACACCTGCAATGTTTTCACCTTTGCACCTTTACTCAGGCCTTCCCTCTTTCCTCCCACTTTTCAAGGCTCAGCTCAGAAAATCATGTTCTTTGTGAGGATTCCCCTGAGATGTTCTAGTTTTTTAAGTTGTATATATATTTTAAACTTTTAAGTTCAGGGGTACATGTGCAGGTTTGTTATACAGGTAAACTCAAGTCACGGGGGTTTGTTGTACAGGTTATTTCATTGCCCAGATATTAAGCCCATTAGTTATTTTTCCTGATCCTCTCTCACCTCCCACCCTCCACCCTCTGACAGGTCCCAGTGAGTGTCGTTCCCCTCTATGTGTCCATGCATTCTTATAATTTAGCTCCCACTTACAACTGAGAACAGGTGATTTTTGGTTTTCTGTTTCTGCATTAGTTCGCTAAGGATAATGGCCTCCAATTTCATCCATGTCCCTGCAAAGGACATGATCTCATTCTTTGTTATGGCTGCATAGTATTCCATGGTGTATATGTACCACATTTTTTAATCCAATCTATCATTGATGGGTATTTAGGTTGATTCTATGTCTTTGCTATTGTGAATAGTGCTGCAATGAACATACGTGTGCATGCATCTTTATAATAGAAAAATTTATATTCCTTTGGGAATTTATATATTCCTTTGGGAATATATAAATATAATGGGATTACTGAGTTAAACAGTTATTTACGAGAAAGAAACAACCTCATTAAAAAGTGGGCAAAGGACATGAACAGACACTTTCCAAAAGAAGACATACACGCGGCCAACAATCATATGAAAAAAAGTTCAACATCACTGATCACTAGAGAAATGCAAATCAAAACCACAATGAGATATCATCTTACACCGGTCAGAATGGGTATTATTAAAAAGTCAGTAAATAACAGATGTTGGCGAGGTTGTGGAGAAAAAAGAACGCTTGTACACTGTTGATAGGAGTGTAAATTAGTCCAACCATTTTGGAAGACAGTGTGGGGCGATTCCTCAAAGATGAGATGTTCTATTGAATTTGATATCTCTCAGCCGGGCGTGGTGGCTCACACCTGTAATCCCAGCACTTTGGGAGGCCAAGGCGGGTGGATCATGAGGTCAGGAGATAGAGACCATCCTGGCTAACACGGTGAAACCCCATCTCTATTAAAAATACAAAAAATTAGCCGGGCGTGGTGGCAGGCGCCTGTAGTCCCAGCTACTCGGGAGGCTGAGGCAGGAGAATGGTGTGAACCCGGGAGGCGGAGCTTGCAGTGAGCCAAGATCGTGCCACTGAACTCCAGCCTGGGCGATAGAGCGAGACTTCCTCTCAAAAAAAAAAAAAAAAAAAAAAAAAAAAGAATTTGATGTCTCTCTTCCCTGAGCCACTAAAGCCGTTGGCCTGGCCACCCATCTTCTCCTGTGTATTGTTTTAGTGTGCTTTCCCTAAACCTCACCAACGTTCTCCACATTCTGCCCCCCACCTCACCATAGCCGTCCCAAATCATACATTATGAACTTTTTGAGACATGTGTTGTGTCTTATTCATTTTTATATTATCTGTAGCAGATGGATAATATACACAAAGCATCTGGCACAGAGCCAGACCAAACTTAAATATTGGCTGTGAATTCTAACAGTAGACCTATGCACCATGGAATACTATGCAGCCACAACAAAAGTTAAATATTGGCTGTGAATTCTAACGGTAGACCTGATTCTATGCATGAAAAGTTGCTTGGGTTTTAGACAGTTATTTTCAGACATACCAAGCTTAATTTAGAAAACTCTATCTTCTACTGCTATAAATGGCCCTGGCAGCCTAAGAAATTTCAGCTCCTTCCAAAGGTGAACATTTCTCATCTCCTTGTTAGTTAACTCAGCGTGTTTATATAGTATGAATACAGTTAGGCATAACAAATTGGCTCAGGCCCATAGTTTACCCAGCTGATCTTGTCCCTGGCATGACGTTACTAGGATCCACAGGGGTCCGTGTTCTAATGGAAGTCAGGTCCAAGCACAAGTTTAAACAAAATATTTGAGATCCAGGACAGATGCACAGAATGATGGTGCTACATTTTCATTCTCTGTATTTAGCAGGTATATGCAAACTACCCACCTGGCTGGGTGGTGCCCAGGTACGCTGGGTCATTCCCTAGTATTGCTGATTGGAAAGCTTTTGGGATCCAATGAGCTGCTTAAAGGCACCCAACAGGCTGACTGTTCACCTGAGCTAGCTCTAAGAGTCTATGGCTGTCTATGACTTATGGGGAACAGTATAGTATAAGGGTTATGAACGAGGTGTCTGTTTACAAGAATAAGGTTAAAGTCCTGCCCTACCACTACTAAAGGAGGAATGTAAAACAAAATACTTAATGTCATTAATGCTCATTTTTAAAAATCTGTAAATTGGAAAAATAGCTCACTTCCTGGCGTTGTCCTGAGGATTCTATGAGATTGTGCACCTCTCAATAGTGTCAGACACACGGTAAATGCTCAAGGTGTGCTAGCTGGCTATTATGAGTTGACCACTTCCATGTGCTGAGTGACAGATGCCCCACCTCCGGAGTGACAGATGCTTCTTCATTGGTTCTGGCTTTTGAGCAGGAGGCACTGCTCTATGAAGACTGTGCTGAGTTCACTGTATCCTCAGTGGTGCTCTGAGATTTCCAGAGGAAGGAAAGGTTAAGAGGATAATGGTACAACACTGGCTGTCAAAAACCTTTCACTGATTGTCTGAGTCTAGGAGAAGGGCAGCAGAGCCTCCATGGGTTTGAACAGCAACACGACCTGTACAGGCCCAGAAACACACTGTGAGCACAATCCGGGCTGGAGGCCTGCTAGAGAGTGAGCCAGGGAGCAGAGTGAGCCACAGGAGCCCAGGCTGGGGCTACATTTCTGATGTTGGCCTCATTAGCATCTTTCCAAACAAACCAATGTAATGCACATCTATTAATTCATTCACTCAACACAATTTTATTAAGTGTCTGCTCTGTGTCAGGCAATGAGTTCATGGAGTTTTCACTCAAGTAAAGGAGACGGATGTCAATCAGTTTGCCACAGGAATAGCAACATGGGCCTTGTTCTCAAACCTTAATGTGCATCAGAATCACTCGAAGAGTTTGTTAAAACACAGATTGGGGTCCCACCCTCGGTCTCTGATTCAGTGGGCCTGGAGTGCCGCCCAATCATTTGCATTCCTAAGGAGCTTCTAGGTGCTGCTGGTGCCACTGGTCTGGAAACACACTTGGAGAACCACTAATATATCATAACAAACTGTGAGAGAACTTCCCTGGGGGGAAAATAAGAGGCTTCTGGGAGAGCATATGAGGAGGACCTAACACAGATTGGAAGAGTCTCAGAAGTCCTCTCCGAGGAAATCGCATTTGAACAGAGCCTTGAAGGATGAATAGGTGAGAAAGGTGGATGCAAGGGGTGAGAATGTGGAAACTGAGGAAGAAAGGGGCAAGGGGAGTGGGAGAATGGACACCAGCATGGCTACAGTGCAGTGGGTGGGCCAGGGGTTGCATGGACCATTCAGGGCCTGTGGAGTAGAAGGACCATGGGTCTAACCCAAGCACAATGGAAGGAGCCTTTGTTGAGCAGAAAATTGACATGTTCTGATATATGTTTCGAAAATTTAACTTATTACTGTTGTATGGCAGATGTGTTGGAGAGAAGCAAAAATGGTTGTTAGGAAGCTTTTACAGATGTCTTGGCAAAAGATGGTTGCTTTTGTGGTAGGTAGGTGGTGCCTGTGGTGATTGAGAGAAGTAGGTAACTCTGGGATATTGTTTGAATATAAAACTGATAGAATTTGGTGATGGATTGGATATAGGAGAGAAAGAGGAAAAAGTTAAAGATGGTTGGCACAGTGGCTCACGCCTGTAATCCCAGCACTTTCGGAGGCCGAGGTGGAAGGATCACTTGAGCCCAGGAGTTCGAGACCAGCCTGGGCAACATGGTGAGACCCTGTCTCTATAAACAAGGTCATACAAAAATTAGCTGGGCATAGTGGCACATGCCTGTAGTCCTAGCTACTCAGGAGGCTGAGGTAGGAGGATCACCTTAGCCTGGGGGGTCAAGGCTACAGTGAGCCATGATCACACCACTGCACTCCAGCCTGGACAGAGTGAGACAGTATCTCAAAAAAAAAAAAAAAAAAAAAAAGACATTAAAGATGGTCACAGGCAAGTAAGATTAAATTATAACAGCAGGACAGATACGATGATTCCTGAGAAAGTGATGAAAATTTTGTGTCCATATCCACTGACAGTTTTTATCTAACCTTACTCATTGTCCTTCCTCCTCTCTCATCTCTTTCGCCTCTCATCTCTTTGTTTTCAAGCCAGACTATATCCACTTGTCACTTGGGCTAGGTAAGCTATTTGCTGCAGCAATTGACTATCTGAAGATAAGGGCAAGGCTCTGGCCATGCGGAACAAGACCTGTGGGCTTGGGCTCCCTATGTGACAAACATGGTGGGGAAAAAGGATTGTCCAGACACACAGGCTCTGCATCCCTTTCAAATTTTATCTACTAAACTCATAAAACATTCATCAGAGAAAGATTGTCATTGCCATCCTTAGTGAACTGTGGCAACACTGAACCATGGAGTGATATGCCTTGCCCTCTGCTAGAGAGGGAATGGAGCCAATTCCAGAGTAGGGGGTTGGAGCTTCCTGACTCCCAGGTATCTCACTGGGGCCTCTCACTCAAGCAAGTAGAAGTAGGTCATGAGCCACAATCAGGGACAGGAACAGGATGTTCCCAGCTGGAGGTCTGAATACCAGTAAGTCAAAGTGGAGGTTCCCATGGCAATGGTAATGCCACCTCTTTTTTGAGACCAGCAATCCAGCAATACGTGGGTGAGTCAACTGCTACTTTGAAAACCTGTTGTATTTCTTCAATTTCATGTCTGAGATTGGAGATATTTGTGATGATTTGGGTCCTGGGCATTTGGCAGAGTTTCAGATGGTTTTCCACATGGTGATGTGGTCTCAGGATAGAGGCCCCAGAAACACCACCTCACAATGTGTCTTTCCCCTGGTCTGCTGCATGATCCTCAGAGAATGATTGACTTTAAGTCTCCAATGGAGTGAGATTTTCTACTAGCTTAAAGCTCTTTTAGGGCATTTCAAAACCTTCCAACTTTTCTGATTTGAGAAAATATCAAAAGGAGAAGGATGAATGGAAAAGATCCTACTGACTGTTTCGGAAAGATCTCTGAGAACCTTTGCCCTAGTCTCTGTCTTTTTAAGAGGTTGTATTCAGGGCTGGGCACAGTGGCTCACTCCTGTAATCCCAGCACTTTGGGAGGCCGAGGCGGGTGGATCTTGAGGTCAGGAGTTCAAGACCAGCCTGGCCAAGATGGTGAAACCCTGTCTCTACTAAAAATACAAAAAACTAGCCGGGCACGATGGCAGGCACCTGTAATCCCAGCTACTTGGGAGGCTAAGGCAGGAGAATCACTTGAACTCGGAGGGCAGAGGTTGCAGTGAGCCAAGATCATGCCACTGCACTCCAGCCTGGGTGACAGAGTGAGACTCCATCTCAAAAAAAAAAGAGAATGTATTCAGAAAAAGATGGCTAGAGCCTCCTTTCTGACCCCCTCTTCATATTCCCTTGCCCATTTGGTCAGTTGTATGCCCAGGCCATGCAGGCCCCTTAGCACTTCATCTCAGCAGCAGTCAGAGAATTCTTGAATCACAGAATCTCAGAGCTGCAAAGTACTTCAGTCAGAGAGGGGTGAGCATGGGGCTGCCTGAGACTTCAAGGCTTCAACCAGGTGAGGCCTTTTCCACAGTGCAGGGCCTTGATGTGATCACCATGTTCCCGGGACCAGCTATTAGTTTTACAGATGCCAGTCTCATAGACGGACTTACAATAACCAGGCTTGCAATAAACTGACATATAAACACAAATGTCCATATTTGCATTTTATAATGGTGGATATTCTATTTCAGTGACCAGAATTCTCACTCACAAATCTCTTTTTTTTTTTTTTTTTTTTTTTTGAGACAGACTGTGACTCCATCATCCAGGCTAGAGTATAGTGGTGTGATCTTGGCTCACTGCAACCTCCGATGCCCGAGTTCAAGCGATTCTCCTGCCTAAGCCTCCCGAGTAGTTGGGATTGCAGGCGCATGCCACTACACCTGGCTGATTTTTGTATTTTTAGTAGAGATGGGTTTCACCATGTTGGCCAGGCTGGTCTCGAACTCCTGACTTCAGGTGATCCACCCACCTTAGCCTCCCTAAGTGCTGGGATTATGGGTGTGAGCCACTGCACCCGGCCTCTCACACATCTCTTATCCAATGTCAAGGTGTTCAGGATATTAAATTGGTAATCAGAAGCTTGCTTAGTGATCAGCGCTTCAGAGCACAGGGAGGTGAACGATTTTGAAGCCTTTTTTTATCTTGAAGAGAAACCCCTGATGAGCTCTCCCTGCCCAACAACGGACACTTTTTTGGGTTATACCAGAATGCTCAGGTGCCCTGAACTAGACATTCTCTTCCCAGGAGAGCCCTGGGAAAATAAGTATTGATATGTCTGTTCCCTTGGGCTTACATGGGATCCACTCAGACTGTGTCCTTGTTGGTAGCACATTGCATGTCATTGGGTTTCAACTGTCTTGATGCTCAGGTCATTTACAGTTATGTCCTCACAAATCACACCCTGGTCACCTTGTCTCCTGATTTATTGACATTCTCTTAGGATGAGTTGATCATTCAAGTCTCCCTTTCCAAGGGTACCTGGTTTCTATATTCTTATAGGGACCCTATTAGAGCCTCCTCCAGGATTGTGGAAGGACCAGCAGCTCACCCAGTCCAACACTTTAGAACAAGAATTCCCAATGCCATATCTCCAGCCTGCCTTGGCTTGAATGCTGCCAACAGTGTGGAAATCACCACTTTTCTAGAGGTTCAGTCCTTTCAACAAAGACCCTAAGCTGAAAGGAATAAACCAATCAGAAGATATTATCAATGTCCAACTGTGTGTTCAGTACCTGACCTGTGGTTGAGGTTTTCTAGGCACTGTGGGGGATGCTAAAGAAGAGTAAATAGACCAGGAATGGGTAGTCAGCCCCTTTCCAAAGTTCTGCAGGCGAGGAGGGTTCAGAGGTTCACAGACTTGGCAGTTTGTGTCCTCAGCACCCCTGGAGCTCACTCAGTCACCTAGAACTACACTACTCCTGTTCATCCAGGGCTCTGGGTGTCTGCCACTTTGATGGAAAAAGCTGAGCCCTGTGGCCCATATGAAGAATTGTAAGGGGAAGGTTGGGTCTAGCATCAAGGGAACAGCCTGCTGCCAGGAATCCATGCACTTCGTCAGAGTATCTGAAAATCCTATCATGCCTTTGGGCCTCTTTTTTGATTATAGTATTATCTCCAGAAAACTCCTATTATAATGCAAATCATTTTACATGAAATCAGTAACAGATAAAGATATAAGTGGCTGAGCAAAGAATAAGACCTGGAGTATGAGGCACTGAAGAAGAGGATAGAGATGCTGAATGACGATAGATTGGCTAATAACGGTGATGGGACACAGTTCTCTGGGACCTCGCAATCCCTAGCACAAGATTCCATGGCGACATTTTATTGCCATTTTGCTGACACAGTTCTGGAACTGGGAAAATTTTCCTTCAAATACATGTTGAACTCAGTGAACTAGCTCGTGGAGCAAATCCCAGCTATCTCAATAACTTTGTGATCTTAGGTAAGGTACTTAATTTCTTTGAGCCTTACTTCACCTAACTATAAAAGAGAGAAAACAATGCCTACTCAGAAGGGCTGTTTGTGAAGATTAAGTGAAATTATGTTTAATGTGTTGTGCATGGTAGACATACAACAAATGGAAATTATTATTTCTCCTTTTATTTCTGTAACAGCTTCCTTTAATGATGTTCATAAAGAATTCCTTCTATTCCACTCCCAAGAGTCTCATTTAGATGTAAAATTGTTCACTCAAGTATTCCAGGAGCTGAACTGTGATCAAGCCTAATAACAGAAGTGAATTTTGATAGAGAAGCATTGGCCTTTGAAAGTCAGACATGCATATTCCTTACTGAAGATAACTTACAGTCTTTGAATGGTAAAATTATGGTAATAAGATTTTTCACTTTCTGAAGGAGGGCCCCTTCTTTCTTTCTGTTTTCTTTCCCCCTTTTTCCTTCTCCCTTTATCAGCTGCAGGGTATCTTTGAATGGATTTCTCTCAAATTTTCCTCCCAAATTAACAGGGGTTGACCAGGACAGTTCCCCATCTCAGCTGGTGATTGGGAACAGAGACTCCCTTGTTCTCCTGCACACCCTGGCTCATGGCTCTTACTTGGTGTGTGGAGGAAGGAAAAAAGAAGACCTTCACCATCACCTCTCCCCATTCATTTATTCACAGCACTTACCACCCTCTACAGTGATCCCCTTGGAAGATGAGCTCCATGAGGGCAGGGATTGTGTGTATCTTGTATATCTTCATATGCTCAGTGTTTGCACAATGTCTGGTGCACAGCAGGGTTTCAATGTATGAATGTGTGGGATAGTGGCCTGGTAGGGCAAGGTTACACAGCAAGTCCAGGACAGAGCCTAACTCTGGAGCCTCAGACTATATTCTGCCAGTCCAAGCAAGGGAATCCTGATTTCGGCCTGAGAGATGCATCTTCTAGCAAAGTCAACATCGGGATGGCTCCTGAGCTTTCCTTCTCAGAGGGGTGGGCTTCCTACTTCCCCCTCCCAGACTCCCAGTCTGCAAGGCCAAGATCCATTTCCAGGAGAAAATCAATATTTGATGTTCCCTTCCTTCCCCAGCATTGGTTCAGAGCTCTGGAAATCTCCTGCCCTCCTTACACCACGCAGATAGGAAATCTCTCCTTTGGCTTTTACCTTCTGGGCCCAGGCCACCCACTGCTGCCGTGGATTTTAGCCATATTATTTTCTGCTGCTCTGAGTGCCAACAGCACACTCAGCACTAGACACAAACATGCAAAGACGCAGCTCTTGCCTGCCCCAAAGGCTTGCTGGGTAAGTTAAACAGACTGTAAAATGCAGACTTCAAATATGCCAGAGGCAAAGGCATTTAAAATTCTCAGCGGGGGCTGGAAAGAGAACGCTTTTAAAGTCTTTTCATTTCTCCCTCTTCCTTTGCCTTCAGCATCGAGCTGCCTGTGAGTTGTCCTGCCTCTTCTGTCTATGACCATTTAAGGATGACTGGTCCTTTTGTGAGCAGGCAAAGGCTTTGAGATGTTGGCTGTGAATGTGGACAGCTCTTCCCAGGCTGCCTGAAAGAGCGGAGGCAGCTAAACTTGGCAACAAATATTTCCAAGCCTGCTTTCCATTCCATCATGCAGAATGGTGTTATTAAATTGATGATTCAGGATCTCAAACCAGCAGAGCTCTGTCCTTTGGGAGAAACATAATCCATATGACAGGTTTCACCAGGGCTATTTCTGAATACCAGAAACCAGTGCCTAGGACAGTGTAGATCAGAGAGCAGGTGAGCTGGGTGCTTTGGGATCAGAAGCCACCTGGGCCAGAGTTTTGCAGGTAACACTCTGCAGTGGACATGCCTGGGTCAACCTGGTGCACCGAGTCCATGCTGTGTTCACTTTGGTGTCCTTTTCTCCTGACAAAGACTTAACCTGGTGCCATATCTCTCCTAAGCAATGTGAGGAGACACTACCTTGACTTCCAAGGATTTGTATTCTGATCTTCTGGTGGGGATGTCATTTCAGGGAAGTTATGTTCACTGGCTAATGAAAGCATCAAGACTGAAATAGGGAACTCAGATCTCGCCAAAACACAAGATCTCCGAAAGCAGAATACCTTCCTTCCATCTGGAATGTGTGGCAGGATGGAGTGAAGGAAAGAAGTTTTTGTTTTTGTTTCATTAAAGCAAAGGGATCCTACTTGAAATGCCCCTTATTGTGCAAGTATCAGGAAAGAACTTTTGTTCCAGCAAATCTCCAAACACTGGGCTGCAAGGCTGGTCTGATGTATTATGCAAAAATGTTTACATTTTCTCCATCATTCCCCCACACCCCCAATCTCCTTCTCTGATTTTTTGACTGAGAAAAGGGTCTTAGGAACAAAGAACATAAATATTTTGGTGAATCTAATATTGGATTAGATTTTGCTTGGTGCAGTTCCTTATATACAGGGGAGCTCAATGGATGGGTTTTGATGGTGAGGGAGATAGAAATGATTTAATAGCAACTCACTCAGCATTCCCAGAATAAATTACTTCTATTCCCAGTATGGTCTGTGTGTGCACTTACATACTCATGCTTGTGGACACGTGCACGCACGCACAGCTTAAGAGCAAACAAGCCATGTTGCTTATTCAAGGGACCAGAAAAAAAAAACCTCTAAAAGATGCCTTTGCTGGGTTGACTGTTTTAACTAAAATTCATGTCAAATTGAAAAGGAGAGTATCACATATCTCAACGTATCACCCATGTTGAGAAAATAAAAGAGCAGGGCATTTTATATATAGGTCCTGTCTTTTAAAGGAAGGCAGTCAAAGACAGATCTTTCTAAATGAATGGGAGGGGTTGGGGGAGTGGTATGGGAATGGGGGAGGTATATCAGGAATCTCCTTGGGGTTACCTTTTAGTGGACATGTCCCCATTTGTTCAACCCTCCCAGCGCAAGTAGTCATTGAAGGGAACTGAGTTTCTAAGGAGGACATGTGCTCACTCAGAGTGTTGGCATGAATAAAAAGGGCTGAAGTCAACTGGTCTAAAAGTGTGATGACTAGGGGCCATCTAACACCAGGAGAGTGGTAGCACTCAAGAAAAAACAGTTTCCATTCAAAGATCTGGGACTGAATGGGAGCCCCTGCTATATGCTGCACAGCTGTTACTGCATTTCAAAAAAACAGTGCTCCTGCAGTCACTTATAGACTCAGAGGTGTTTTTAAATAATTCCTATGTCCAGTGCTGAGGGCTTTAAAAACACAAGGGTAGTATTGTACTAATAACAGCAAACACTTTTAGAGTGCTTACTGTGTGTCCGGCACTTTCCCAAGCTTTTTCCATATAATAATGTACTTAATCTAACTTAATCCTCTCAACAGTCCCATGAGGGAGGTACTATTATTATTATTATCATCATCATTTTTAGAGAGATAGGGTCTTGCTCTGTCACCCAGACTGGAGTGCGGTGGTACGATCATGACTTACTGCAGCCACGACCTCCTGGGCTCAAGTGATTCTCCTCTCTCACCCTCTTGAGTAGCTGGGACTACAGGCATGCACCACCATGCCCAGCTAATGTTTCTATTTTTTTTGTAGAGATGGCATCTCACTATATTGCCCAGGCTGGTCTCAAACTCCTGGCCTCAAGCAATCCTCTAGCCTCGGCCTCCAAAATGCTGGGATTACAGGCGTGAACCGCAGTGCCCAGCTGGGAGGTACTATCATTATCCCCTTTCACAGATTATGAGCCAGGAGTTTGTTCTCTATAGTAGTGATGGAATACTCACAGAAGAAAGTGACTAAGTGTCAGAGAAGATACAAAGGAAATGCAATAGCTGTTTATAGGGAGGAAAAGTGAGTTCCCACCCAGAAGGTCAAGGAAGGCTTCATGGAGGAGGTGGAATCTGAGTGGGTCTTGAAGAGTAGGGTGGGTTTCTATGTGTTTGCTCTTTTTTTTGCTTTGTCATAGAAAGAAAAGGGGTGAGAAATGACTATAATGGGGTAAAAATGGGGTGTAGGGCTGTTCAGGCTGTCAAAAGTCAAAATTACACAAATTTAATTTAAAGATCTCAATTGGCATTTATTTGTGATTCTAGAATCAGGCAACACCTCGTTCTGTGAAACAGAATGAGTGTTCCGATGAGCTGAGCAGAGGAAATTGGTTTCACAGACAAAAAAGGGCTGAGGACAGCAGAAACAGAAAACAAAAAGAAGGTTGGTCGTTTCAAAGTTACTTCCCTGTAAAGGTTAAAGCAGAGGAGACTTCCTTATCATGCCTGCTAAAACCGCCCTGTTTGGGGACTCGGCAATTATCTCTGTCTCCTGATTTCTTGGAAGGTCAGATCAACAGCTTAGTTTTGTCTTGGTGATGTGGAACTTCAGCACGAGGGGCTCCATTTTGGTATGGTCTGTTGTGCCTCGTGCAGAAGCTCAGTCCCAACCAGTGGCCATTTATAAATGTTAATTAACAAGGCAGAGGGCAGTAAGAGCAGAGATACGGAGGTTGTGGGTCACTGGGGATGACAACATGTTGGTTATGGCTGGGAAATCGAAGAGCAAGAGGCTGGAAGGGTGGAGGAAAGGCAAGTAAAGGTAAATTCGGAGTTTGGACTGATTTGTGTTGACCCTGAAGGTGAGATCAGGGGTGCTCAGTCTGGTAGCAGTGGGAATGATGGAACTGAGAGAAAGAACCCTGGAGGCCATCACAGAGATGGACTACTAATAAACAGTCCAGCTGAAAGGCGAGGAGAACCCAGCAGCAGTAGAATTGGAGCTGGGAATCAGGGGACAGATGTGAGGGGTGACAAATTATTAGATGTGGGGGGATATATTCGTTCATTTCCTGCTGCTTATAACACAGTACCTGAAACTGGGTAATTTATAAAGAAAAGGATGTTAGCCTGGCTCAATGGCTCACGACTGTAATCCCAGCACTTTGGGAGGCCGAGGCAGGCAGATCACGAGGTCAGGAGATCGAGACCATCCTGGCGAACACGGTGAGACCCTGTCTCTACTAAAAATACAAAAAATTAGCCGGGCATGGTGGCGGGTGCCTGTAGTCCCAGCTACTCGGGAGGCTGAGGCAGGAGAATGGCGTGAACCCGGGAGGCGGAGCTTGCAGTGAGCCGAGATCGCGCCACTGCGCTCCAGCCTGGGCAACAGTGTGAGACTCCGTCTCAAAAAAAAAAAAAAAAGAAAAGGATATTATTTCTTGTAGTTATGAAAGCTGAGAAGTCCCAGGTCGAGGGGCCGCATCTGACAAGGGCCTTCCTGCTGGGGGGCCTCTGTGAAGAGTCCCAAGATAGCACAGGGTATTACATGGTGGGAGGGCCAATGAGGTCTCTCAGGTCTCTCTTCCCCTTCTTATAAAGCCACCAGTTCTACTCCCATCATAACCCATTAATTCACCAATTCACTAATCCCCTAATCCAGGAATGGATTAATCCATTCATGAGAGCAGAGCCCTCATGACCTAAGCACCTCTTAAAGGCTTCACCTCTCAATACTGCCACATTAGGGATTAAGTTTCCTTTTTTTGGGTAATAATTTCTTATTTTTACTGAGGTAAAATATACATATATAATTTACCATGGGGATTGAATTTCAACATAATTTTGGAGGGGTCAAATATTCAACCACAGTGGGGGAGAAGGTAGTGGATGAAAAGAGTCAAAGATGACTTCAAGGCTTAATAACTTGAAGAAGTAGGTGATGTTAGTAGAAGCAAGTCAGCTAGGGGGAGACAAGGTGGGGTGGGGGAGGAGAAGAGAAGATTGTATATTAGCGGTGTCATTTTAGTTTACAATATGATGTCCAGAGGGAGATTTACAACAGGTGGAATGAGGAGATGGGGTCCTTGGAAGAGCAGTTGGGATTGGAGATGACAACTTTTTACAATCCTTCTCCCCGCTGTGGCTCTGAACTAGTGAAGGACAGACACAGAGCAGCTGGGGAATTGGCCCCCGGATGGGGAGGAAGCCCTGCCGGGGAGACTGGTTTGTGCTCAATCTAAGCTACATCATCACTAACTATGTGGTAGTGGAAAAGATGCTCTACCTTTCTCAGCTTCTGGTCTCACATTTGTAAAATAGCGTTTAAATGAGGTATGGTTTTAAATGCCTCGTACTTCGTGGGGCCTCTAAATATTCTGTTCTGCCTTCTCTGGAAGTGTTTCCAGACTTTATTTATGTTTATGCTACTAAACATCTTACAATGCCCAGGACGGCCCCCACAACAAAGAATTATCTGTTCCAAAATGTCAGTAGTGCCGAGGCTGAGAAGGCCTGCATTAATCCACTCATTTATTATTTATAAAGCACCTACTAAGTGCCAGCTCTAAGTAGAGTGTTGAGAATATAAAGATGAAAAGGCAAATTTGTGCTCTCAAACACCTGACAGTGTTGTGAGGAGACAGATGTGCCATCAAACAATTATATGGATATCAGGCATGTGCTATCATGGGGTATATACAAAGGCCGGTAGAACAGCGGGAAGCAGTGCCACGTGGTGGTTGAAGGCAGCCTCTTTGGAATGGGTCAGCCCTGGAATCGAATCCCTGTTATACTGTACCTCCTGGGACAGGCTACTTCACCCCTGCGAACCTCGGTTTCCTCATCTATAATGCAGATGATTATGCTTGCTTCATTGTGCGGTTGTGAGAATTAATCGCATTCAGCACAGTGCTAACACATAATAATTTGTCAATAGATGGTAACTAATGATAATGATGAGTATAATGATGATGAAAATGATGTTTACCTGCCTCAGGATTTAGGAAAGCTTCTCAGCATTTAACCCAAGGCTTGAGGGATGAGTAGAAATTGCTAGGTAAGCAATGAGGGAGAGGCATTTTAGACAGAGAATATTATGGGCAAAGACCCTGAGAGAGGACATTTTGTGACTCATTTGGAGAATTACAAATAGCCCAGTGCGACTCAGTTTAAAGAAAGTAGGGATGTTGGCTGGGGGTGGAGTTAGGGGCCAGCAGGATAAGAGGCTGGATAGGGAGGTGAGGCCCCATCCTGAAGGGCCTTTTATTCAATGCCAAGGAGCTCAGCTTTTGTACCGTAAGTTGTGGAGTCACTGGAATATTTAAAAGGAGTAGTGACAAGATCAGACTTGTGAATTAGGGAAAATAAATCACTTTTTTAAAAAATTTGAAGGATAGATTGGAGGGGGCCAGTAGACAAATAAAGAGACTTTTTCAAAAATCTAGGAGAGAGAGGTAGCAAGTGCTAGTGCCTTATCTCAAAGTATAATCTCCATTCATTCAAGTAATTTTTACAGAGCATCTATGAAGCTCTTGGTGTTCCAAATACTGAAAAAGACAACATTTTTGATAGCATAGAAATTGCATTCTAGTGAGACAGACTTACAGTAAACAAGAAAACAAACATAGAACTTAAAAGTTGTGGAAAAATTTAATCAAGTAGTATAATGTAATGACTGGGATAGAGAAGCAACTGGAGATGGGATGGTCAGGAAAAGTCACTCTGAGCATATGACAGATAAACTAAGGCCTGCATGAGGAGAACATTGTGGTTGTTCAATAGATATTTGTTGAATGAGTGAATCACCAAATGAAGGAGAATTAATGAACTAGAGTGTATGAATGTGAGTAGTAGTGGGGAAGGAGAAGAGGGATATCTATTTGAGAAATTCAGAAAGAAGAATCACCAGTACACGGCTTGGTGATTGCTTGGATGTGGGGGTAAGAGAGGAAGAGTCCAAGATGGTTGGCCTCAAAGGCCCAGGGGTGACATCTGCTGACATGGGAAGGAGAATGAGGTGCAGACATGAAGACAAAACATCTTGCATTGCACTTTGGTTAAAATGAGTTTGAGGCTGGATGGTGTAATGGCTTACACTTGTAATCCCAGCACTTTGGGAGGTTGAGGTGGGAGGATTGTTTGAGGCCAGCCTGGGTAACAAAGCAAGACCCCATCTCTACAAAAATAATAATAATAATAATAATAATAATAATTAGCCAGTCATGATGGAACATGTCTGTAGTCTCAGCTACTTGGGAGGCTGAGGTGGGGAAATCACTTGAGCCCAGGAGGTCAAGACTGCAGTGAGCTGTGATTGCCCCACTGCACTCCAGCCTGGATGACAGAGCAAGACCCTGTCTCAAAAAAAAATTAAATTAAATTAAAAATGAGTTTGAGATGACTTTAGAGTATCCAACAGGCTATGTCAAGAGACCATTTGAATTGCAGTTCTGAAGACCAAGAGAGAGAACTGTCTGGGGATGAAGATTGGGATTGCCAACATAGAGGTGGCAGTTGAAGTCATATATGGAGAAGAGGAAGTGTGTGCAGAGTAAGTGGAGAGTGGAGGACAAAATCCTGGAGAACCTAACAGGGAAGAGGAATCATCTAGTTCCTTCTTAGAAAAGTCTTAATCTCTACCCCTTTTGTGGAGTTAACACATAAAAGAAGGATGTGAACTGTGATAGTCTCACTATGGGTCTAAGCATCCTCCAGTCTTTCAGAGAGGCTTTAGGTAGCTCTCTTTATTGTTTATTAATTTGTTATTTTTTGGAAAAATTTTGTTTTGAGACAAGGGTTTTGCTATGTTGCCTAGGCTGGTCTTGAATCCCTGGTCTCAAGCAATCCTCCCATCTCAGCCTCCCAAAAGTGCTGGGATTACAGGCATGAGCCACTTTGCCTGGCCTGTAGTTCTCTTTAGGAGATCTAAAGTGCAAGCCTGAGAAGGTAGCAGCCAGCACTATGGAGACTTTTTTGCAGTGTGGAAGGTTTCTCACTCAGAGACACTGCTTTGCATGTTTGGGCCTCAGCAGGGGCAGTGGGCAGGGGTTCCCCAATGCCAAAGGGTTGGTAAAAAAAAAAAAAAAAAAAGGTGAGGAAGGAAGATAAAGACAACCACATGGATGTAATTGGTCTGGGAGGAAACTTCCCCCTCAATTCATAGGTGGGATTCCACCTTAGGTAAATGTCTTTGAGGGCAAATCATCGGAAAGAATGGAGCACAGATTCCATCAGGTAGTATAACTACTTTGATATACTTTCCTGTGTGCTCCTGAAAGGACTTTTTTCCTCTGAGCATTCTTTGATGGAAATTAAAGTAATCATAAACACATGATCAGAAAGTAACCTGGAGTGAAGGAAACAGGTTTTTTTTTTTTTTTTTTTTTTGGTGTTTGTTTGTTTGTCTTTTCCTCTCTCTCTCTCTCTTTTTTTTTTTCTCTATTGACCAGGCTGGGTGCAGTAGCATGATCATGGCTCACTGCAATCTCCTCCCAGGCTCAAGCAATCCTCCCACCTCAGCTTCCCGGGTAGCTGGAACTACAGGTGCCTGCCACCATGCCTGGCTAATTTTTTTTTTTTTTTTTTTTTTGCATTTTTTGTAGAGACAGGGTTTTGCTATGTTTCCCAGGCTGGTCTCAAACTCCTGAGCTCAAGCGATCCACCTGCCTTGGCCTCCCATAGCACTGGGATTACAGACGTGAGTCACCATGCTTGGCCTTTCTCATATTTAACAACAACCAACATTTATTGGGTGTCTATTATGTGTGGCCAGTTGTCCCAAAATGCCTCACTTATATTGTTTATAGCATTGTGGTTGCCATTTCAGAATGGGAGCAACTAATGGGTAGGTGCATAATAAAGACCTGATGGTCCCAGAGTCTCACAGTGAGCCACACAGATGCCTTCTTGACTCGCAGCGCTCAATCTACCAACCTGAGCAAACTGCCGCAGATGAAAGTGCCAAGGAATCTTAGCCAACCTGGCTATTACTCTTAGGTGGGCTTAGCCGACCTGGGTTCAAGTTCTAGCCCAGCCGCCCATCCACTGCATGACCTTGGGCAAGTCGCCCAGGCTGTCAGAACTTCAGTTTCCTCTTCAGTAAACCAAGGACGGGTGTTGCCTCCTCTCACAGCTCATCATCAGGATCTAATGAAATAATGCATGTGGAGCCTTTGTGAGCTACAGCCTTCCCACATGTAAAGCATATTAGTCTAATAATCACTACCCCACCCTTCGTATAAATCCAGGTTGTTAGGTGGGGCTTTTAGGTCACAATCCTTTTGCTCTCCTGCCATCAGGGCACCTGGGGATGCTGTAATTAAACCAGCAATCCAGCAGGTCATCTTTGGATTATGTTTCGTCAGCCCAGCTTGGTAGGCCTGGGAGGACAAGTACCTCTCAGCACCCAGGCAGATATGCTTACATCTAAATCAAGCAAGTTTTTGCAAAGCTTCCCAGTCTGCTGTCCATCGGAAGAAGCTAACCCAGAGGCCAGGCACGGTGGCTCATGCCTGTAATCCCAGCACTTTGGGAGGCTGAGGCAGGCGGATCACCCGAGGTCAGGAGTTCAAAACCAGCCTGGCCAACATGGTGAAACCCTGTCTCCACTAAAAATACAAAAATTAGCCAGGTGTGGTGGCACATGTCTGTAATCCCAGCTACTTAGGGAGGCTGAGGCAGGAGAATTGCTTGAACCCAGGAGGTGTAGATTGCAGTGAGCCAAGATTGCGCCACTGCACTCTAGCCTGGGTGGCAGAGCAACAATCCATCTCAAAAAAAAAAAAAAAAAAAGCTAACCCAGGGAAACAGTGCCAGGATCCAAATGGCTATCAGCCACTTTGCCACCTGGGTACTAACCAGCTGTATCTATTTGAGGATGTCTTCCCTGGAAGCCAGTTGAGAGAGGCTGTGCTTGCCAGTACAGATGTCTGCTCTTCAGAGCTTTAGCCCCCAGCAGGGAGGCAGCACCCCAGAAGGGGAGAGCCAGAAAGTCTGATTCTCTAGCCTGAGGCCCTTGCAAGGCTGATTGGCAATTGACCTTAAAGAAGGTGACTGGACCAGGCTCTCTGCTCCTTGTAATCATTGTGATTGGCCTAAGTGACTCTGCTGATCTGCCAAGGGCCTACGGCAACCGACATTCCCCTTTTATGTGTTCTTGTTTTCAGGATCTTGATTGTTAGTGATAGCAATGGCCTGGCTGCTCAGTACATGCCTGTGGTTCCAGGCATTCATGAATGCTTCCAACACCCACCTGAGGCAGACATAGCTCCTTCAGGACCTCTCATTGGGCCACTCAGAAGGCAGAGATAAAAAGGCTCTCTCAAAAGGAGCTTCATTTTGGAGTACAGATGGTACCTCCCTGGGTGGCAGGGCAGTTATCAAAAATGCATTGTGTAACAACTAAATGAGATAAGCCACGTCAATGCTGAGAACAGTGCCTAGCACATTGTAAGTGTTCAATTAATATTGACCCTTGTGATCATCTTTGTCACAATAACCCTTTATGCCAACTTTAAACGAGGACACTGGAGCTCAGACAAGGTAAATCTCTTGTCCAAGGACCTTCAGCTCTGGGATTTGAACCCAGTACTGCTCCTCTGGACTGGGCTTCCGATGCTGTTGAAACTCTCTACAATAATGCTGCAAAGGACTCAAGCAGTGGTATCCAGGCACTGACTCTGGGTACCCATCCCTGAGGACTTAAAAATGTGATCTCAGCCAGGCGCCATGGCTCTTGCCTGTAATCCCAGCACTTTGGGAGGCTGAGGCGCGCAGATCATGAGGTCAGGAGATTGAGACCATCCTGGCTAACACAGTGAAACCCCGTCTCTACTAAAAATACAAAAAATTAGCCAGGCGTGGTGGCAGGCACCTGTAGTCCCAGCTACTTGGGAGGCTGAGGCAGAAGAATGACATGAACCCGGGAGGCAGAGCTTGCAGTGAGCCGAGATCGTACCACTGCACTCCAGCCTGGGCGACAGAGCGAGACTCCATCTCAAAAAAAATAAAAATAAAACAAAACTGTGATCTCAGGAACTGGAGCTGTTGTGCCTACCCATGATGGGATGTTTGTCCCTAAGGGAGCCCTTGGGCAGGGTCGCCTGGCAGGACCCTGTGAAATCAGCCTTACTAAATAGAGGCACTTGGCTCTGATGCCCTTTCAGTCCTGCCCTTCCCACCCTGTTTCATGCCAACTCATAGCCCGAGACAGAGTGGGAGAGTCTCCAAAAGTTGCCTGGCCACATTACCTGACACAGGACAGTTTCTAGTTGCTTCTTTCTCTTCCCCAAGCCAGCACTGTCTCATTGTAGTGGTCAGATCCTGCTCCTCCTCTGTAGCCTCCTGAAGCCAGTGCTACTTCCTATGTCCCGGGTTTAATAATAAATTGCCCTCTGAGGTCAGCTGAGTAGCCTAGGAGTAGTTTTTCAAACTGATAGAGTGCACTCAGGAGACCTGAGTTCCAGTTTTAGCTTTTCCATTTACCAACTTGGGCAACAGTAATAATACGCATTAATGTAAAGTCGACAAAACAGTTTCTCAAACCTTATTTCATTTGATTATCATAAGACCGTGTGAGTCATCAGAACAGGTTCTTATTTCCATCTTACAGAAAAGAACATGAGGTTAAGCACTTCAAGATTGTACCTCTAGTAAGTGAAAACCAGAACATAAAGCTAAGGTTTTTAAATAGAAACTCCTATGCTATTTCTACACTGTTGTCATTTCTCCTCAACCCCACACCTAATTTTTTCATGTGCAAAGTGAGGGTATTTGGAATAAATGATCTCAGAATTTCTTTCTAGCTTTCAAGTAGAATCTAGTGTCTTGCAGTTTTCAGATGCACCCTGATTCATCTGAAGAACTCAGAGTTATGATATCTGCCTCACGGTTAATGATCTGTCAGATCTATTCCCACTTTTCTATCTGTATCCTGTAGCATTTGCTTTTTTTTTTTTTTTTTTTAAAGAGATGGGGGTCTCACTATGTTGCCTGGGCTGGTCTGGGCTCCAGTGATCCTCCTGTAGCTAGGACTACAGATGCAGGTCAGTGTGCCTGGCAACATTTCCATTGTTATAGTTCATGGCATAACCTTTCTTTAGAGAGGGGATCTATTTGAAATCAATAATAAGAGAACAACCAGTTTATTCCTTAGATTTCACTAGCAAATAAAGAAACAGTCTGACAAGTGTATGCACATCCCAGCATTTCCACTACTTTTGCATTAAACATCTAAGCACAGCACAGGCCTCTCTCTACAAAGAAGCCAGGTTTGTGACATCTAGAATCATCTACGAGGCATTTAGACCCTTGGAAAATGGCAATAAAAGTGCAAATGGATGGAAAGTATTGATGGCAAAAGGTATCTAAGTGATTAAACATTTAAAAATGGAGCAGGAAACGATTGTTGCCAGCAGAGAGAAGCTTCGGCTGAATCCTTGGTGCATTACTCTTGAAGGAATAATTATAAAAGCCCACAAACTGATGGCAACTCTCAATTACAGATGCTTCTCAAATGTATGGTATTTTTTTTTTTTTTTTTTTTGCTGTGGAGAGGAGGTGGTTAAGATTATTGGTAGTAGGCAAACCTAGATTCAAGGTCTTATTTCTTAGTAAATGACTCAACCTCTTTATGTCTTGGGTTTTTTCTTTATAGAACCTGTGTGATAATGATAACACTAAATAATATATCAAATAGTGATGTGAGGATTTTGAAGTTTAAAGAGATAAATTTGTTGTTGTATTTTCATCAAAGTAAAACATAGTCATGATTTTAAAAATATACTACTACTGACAGGTAGTAAACAGCAGGATTTTCTCTCTTCCTAATTTTTTTCATATTTTTATCCCTTCACTATGTCATTCTTTCTCTCTTATTGTAGAAATCTTTTTTCCCATTATTTTCATTTTTAAAAATTAAGGAAAATATTTACATAGAGTGGCAAGCACAGATCTTAAATGTTCAAGTCACTGAATTTTGACAAATACACCTGTGTAACCAACTCTCCAATCAAGATACAGACCATTCTAATCACCCCAGAAAGATTTCCCCTGCTCCCTTCCAGGCAGTCCTTATTCCCTGTAGGCAGCTATTCTGATTTTTGTCACTATAGATTAGTTTTGCATTCTTGACCTTTAGTTTAATGAAATTAAACAGTATACATTGTTTTGTATTTGGCTTTCTACTCCCAACAGACTTATCTGTGTTCTTGCAAGTAGTAGATTGTATCCTTTTGTGTTGCTATGAAGTATTCCATTGTTTGAATCTACCACAGTTTATTTCTCCAATTTCCTATTGATGAACATTTGGGTTGTTTCTGGTTTGTAGCTATTGTAAACACAACTGCTAGAAACATTCTTGTGTAAGTATTTTTGTGGTCACAGGTTTTCATTTCTTTTAGGTAAGTATTTAGGAATAGAATTGCTGAATCATCTGGTGTTTGTTTAACTTTGTAAAGAACTACTGCATGGTTTTCCAAAGTGGTTGCCATTTGACAATCCTACCAGCAACGTATGAGAATTCCAGTTCCTCCCTATCACCAACAATATTTGGTAATGTCAGTCTTTTTAATTGTAGGTTTTCAAATCCATATGAAGTGATATGATATATAACCAGTGGGGGAAATTGGGTGAAGAGTATTCTCTCTATACTCTCTTTGCAACTTCCTGTGAAGCTACAATTATTTTCAAAATAAAAAGGTTTTAACACATATTGGTTTTTCAAACTGGTATGAGGTGGTATCTCATTGTAATTTTCTTTTGCATTTATTTGATTTCTAATGACACTGAGTACTTTGTCATGTGGTTATTGGCCACTTATATATATCTTCTTTTGTGAAATGTCCGTTCAAGTTTTCATACATTTTCTTTTAATTGCCTTGTTTGTCTTTTTGTTATTAAATGACTTTCATCCTAGTCTATTAGGCTTAGATTTGATTGTGGCACTACTCTAGTAACACTACAGTGCTACTGTTGGTTAAAACCCAACAAGCCTAAGTTCACTGGGCTGATTTAGGAAAACATTACAGCCTGTTGCCAGGGAATAAAGTTGGTATGAGAAGAAATCACACACATTTAGGGAAGAATTTCAGACTCTTTTAGTTTCTCACAGAAATGAGTTTCACAGAGTTCAGATACCCTTGTTGTGAAGGTCTCTCCCTCCTACTCTCCTTGTAAACCTCCGTATCTCCTGAGATCATCCTGTGCCCAAAGATAGGCCAGCCTATTGTATTCACAGATTATTTATCCAACAAACATTGATGGGTGCCTGTAATGTGTCAAGCACTGGTTAGACTTGGGATCAGAAGATATATTAGACATGATCCTGACTTCTGAGACCCTATAATCTAGTTGGCAAAACATATAGTAAAAATAATGAAATAAAATGAATGAAGTACACAGGGATAACTGCAAAAAGGAGTATGCGCAATGTGGCAGCACAAAGGCATGATCAACTAACCCCATCCTGGGACACCAGGGAAGTTCTATTTTTCCCAAGCTTTAGGAAGGCATTATATAGACATTTCTCCCATGTCTATCCCAAGGAAACATAGCCAAGCTGGAACTGAAGATGACTACAGCAGAAACATCTTCAAGCTTGGCTGTTGCAAAAGCATCCATAATCAGAAAAAGAGCTTCCTCACATCACCTTGCCACAGAGGGGTGCAGAGGAGACTCAGGTGGTGGCCATGTTGGTGGTTCATTCACATTTTACACTAATGAGTGAAGGGCTATTTCCTTCCTATTTGCATCCACAGCTGGAGGTATAGATTTTTCAAGACATAGGGCCGGATTTGTGCAGAGGTATAGAGTAGAAAGAGACCATGTTGTTTCTACCAGAACTTTTTAATTTGGACATCTGAGTAGATGGTGTTGCTGTTAACAGAGACGGGATCTAACAAGAAGAAGGAAACTAGTTGTTTGGGGAATTGTTATTTTGGTTGTGATTGTTCGGTGACTTTTCACAGAAGCCCAGTAAAACGGGAATAATGCAACAGTTCAGTGGATTAAATGAGGAGATACCTGTAAGGTACCTGGTAGGTTATACTTGACAATTGTTATTAATTGATGTAGTGAGGAGCTGAGAGACCTGGCTGAATCAGA
Source organism: Homo sapiens (assembly GCF_000001405.40). Classification (NCBI taxonomy): domain Eukaryota; kingdom Metazoa; phylum Chordata; class Mammalia; order Primates; family Hominidae; genus Homo; species Homo sapiens. The sequence continues at coordinate 183,335,011 of NC_000001.11, read as the reverse complement.
TTTTTATGTTAATCTAATTCCAAGTTGTGCTCCAGTTCCTTAACTCTCTCCACTTAGGACAATATCATGTAACTTTTTCCTGACCCAGAACAGACAGGAAGTCAGCCCAGAGCTTCCTTACTAGGGCACCGTGGAGTCTCCCAACCCCAGGGCTTAGCTGTCCTGGCAGTTTGGGTCACGACCTGAAGAATGGGTGGCCTTGGGCCAGGTGCGGTGGCTCATGCCTGTAATCCCAGCACTTTGGGAGGCTGAGATGGGCGGATCACTTGAGGTCAGGAGTTCGAGACCAGCCTGGCCAACATGGTGAAACCCCATCTCCACTAAAAATACAAAAATTAGCTGGGCTTGGTGGTGGGTGCCTGTAATCCCAACTACTCAGGAGGCTGAGGCAGGAGAATCGCTTGAACCTGGGAGGCGGAGGTTGCACTGAGATGATGCCACTGTACTCCAGCCTGGGAGACAGAGCAAGATTCTGTCTCAAAAGAAAAAAAAAAAGAATGGGTGGCCTTGTACCTAACTCACCTGCTTCCACCGGCCCTGTGGCGACACAGACTCTTGAGTGTGTTGAAATAAACTTAGTTGAATCTGGGCTTTCAGTCTGAGGAGGCTGTCATAGAAAGCAAGGAGTCTATTGAAATTCAACAGGGCCGGGTATGGTGGCTCACGCCTGTAATCCCAGCGCTTTGGAAGGCTGAGGCGGATGGATCTCCTGAGGTCAGGAGTCTGAGACCAGCCTGGCCAATATGGTGAAACCCTGTGTCTACTAAAAATACAGCAGTTAGTCGGGCATGGTGTTGTGCTCCTGTAATCCCAGCTACTCGGAAGAGTGAGGCAGGAGAATTGCTTGAGCCCGAAAGAGACGGTGGTTTCAGTGAGCCGAGATCGTGCCACTGCATTCCAGCCTAAGTGACAGAGCAAGACACCGTCTCAAAAAAAATGAGACGGTGAGGAAGAGGCATCGTGCACATTTCCCAAAGCCTCTGCACTTGTCTTTATCACTTTCTCCTTTCGGCTTTCTTACTTAACTGGGAACAATGAGATCATTTTCTCCTTTCAGTTTTCTTACTTACTGGGGACAATTAGACAGCATTGGTGGATCCCGGAGATAGTTGAAGAGAACAAGAACACAGCTGGAAATGACAGAGCTAATGGCAGCATTTATAAGTCAGGAGGGGGAAGCACCAGCAGCAGATTATCTGTGAAGAAAGCCAAAAGGAGCACCATGTTTCAGGTTTATCCAGCAATGACTTGAGTTATGTGCAAGTCAAGCTGCTTAGAAAGTGTATTCGTTTCCTATTATTGCTGTTACAAATTACCAGAAATTTAGTGGCTTAAAACAATACAAATGTATTATCTTACAGTTCTGGAAGCCAGAAGTCCAAAACAAATTAGGTGGGCTGCATTGCTTTTAGAGGCTCTAGGGGAGAATCTGTTTCCTGCCCATTTCCACCTTTCAGAGACTGCTTGCGCTCCTTGGCTCATGGCCCCACATTACTCTGACCTCTGCTTCTTTCCTCACATCTCCTTCTCTGACTCTGACAATCCAGCCTCCCTCTTATAAGGATCCTTAAGTTAAATAATCAGGATTATCTTCCCATTTGAAGATCCTTAACTGAATCACATCTGTAAAGTCCCTTCTGCCATGTAAGATAACATACTCTCAGATTCTGGGGATTAGGATGTGGATATCTTCATGGGGGCAGTTATTCTGCCTACCATAGTAGAGATGACCCTCTCATCCCACTCCAGCCTGAGTTTTCTTTTGGCCCAAGGACCTCTCTGAAGATGTTCAGTAAATGCCTCTGAGTGCTGGAGTGACCACACTTTTACCAGCTCCAGGTATCCCCTGGAGAGTTCTCTGGGCATTGGCTTCCACCTGGGTTTTGTTCCTTCCCCTAAAAGAGATTTGTGAAGCTGTTTGGAGTCCTTCTCTATGGGGTTTTCCAATGGGAGTCAGCTTCATCCCAGCTTTGTGTCAGAGTGGATGTCATTACCTGGTAACACTAAAGTCATGGCCTGGTCCAGCCATAAGGCCATCCTAAGATCATCATCTCTGAGAGCTGTCACCCTGGGGTTCCCAATAGGCTGATGGCTGCTACTGCAAACAAAATGAGGATAAATGTGCAGAGTTTTTGAAGGCCCAGAAACCAGCAGGGGAGGGTGAGAGGGCAGTGCACCCCGACCTGGGCGAGGCTGAGAATTTCCCCTGGTAAGTCTGAATCCCTAGAGAAATTGCTAGATCCAAGGAAGCTGTGCCACTTCCTCTGGTCCAGAGTAGTTTAAAAGTGAATTGGGGTGGCCCTCCTGGGCTTGGCTAGCATGTTGCCAGTCAGACTGAAAGGCAGGCAAGCGTCTTTTTGGCTTTTTGGAATCTCCTCCACTGCCCCCATGTGCAGGGTTGGCTGGTGACTGTCTGATTGCATCTCACTTTCAACCCATGTGTTCCTATAAATCTCAAACCTCATTTTAAGCCTTTTCTCCATTCTGTTTGCCCTCATTATCCCCCTCTCTTTGGTTCCAGTCTATGTGACTGAGTACTCTAATTTATTCAGCATTTAGTGCTTTTTAACCTGAGTATTCACAATGATTAATATCACATTCTGCCTCTTATAATTTAATTCTGAGGCGCATCCAGGGTTATCATTTCCCCAAAAGACAGTTAGGTAAGACAAAGTTGTCTATTAAAAAATCTCACATTGGTGAGATCAGAGAACACACAAAGGAGCAGGCTTAACTTTAAGACTCTGGGCCCTGCTGAGTCTAGAAAATTCTAGAAAAGGCCCACTGGCTTTGTGTTTATGTTAAAAATAAACAGTTCTCTAACAGAAAGCTGGCCCTCCTGGCTGGGAGGTATGCATAGTGCTTTGGCAGAGCTTGCATCTGAGGACACAGGTTTGATATGGAGGGCTACAAAAGTGTGCAACATGGAGGCCAGGCATGGTGGTTCATGCCTGTAATCCCAGCACTTTGGGAGGCTGAGGCGTGTGGATCACGTGAGGTCAGGAGTTCGAGGCCAGCCTGGCCAACATGGTGAAACCCTGTCTCTGCAAAAATACAAAAATTAGCCGGGCGTGGTGGCGAGCACCTAGAATCCCAGCTATGAGGCTGAGGCAGGAGAATCGCTTGAACTGGGAAGGCAGAGGTTGTAGTGAGCCCAGATTGCACCACTGTACTCCAGCCTGGGTGACAGAGTGAGACTCCGTCTCAAAAAATAAATAAATGAAAATAAAAAACTATGCACCGTGGGGCGTGCGGCTGGCTATGGGGTAGCCTGGGTGGTGGGGGTGGGCTGTGTTCCCCTGGGGAGGGAAGGTCCTGCATTACCAGCAGCAGCAGCGTGCAGGCGCCAGGCTGTCTGGAAGGCTCACGCCTGAGGCTGCAGCTGCTGGAATGTCAGGTCACTGGCCCAACAGGAGAGAGCAGGGAGCCCCCAGAAAGGCAGGGAGTTGGAAAAAGAAAGACTGGTGGCTTTTCATGTAGGAAGAAAAGGTGTTTACATTCCAGGCTCCTGATTCCCTTGGCTGCCCCTTGTTGGAGACCAAATCTGCCTCTGCTTCCCTCTGGCACTCAGCTTCTAGATACCTGCCTTTCATCTTGTCTATGCAGTGCCGCACCCTCCAGCTCCCTTCTCCTCTCTCCTTCACGCCTCGCCTCGCCTCCCGTCAGCCAGTCTCCTCCTCAAGTCCCCAGCTGTGAGCTGAAAAACAGGCTTTGGCAACCCTCCCCCAGACCCCACCCCTGCTTTTCATGCATGTTTTATGACAGCAGCTTGATTGATGTCTGCCCTCTTTCCAGTTCCAGTGCTCAGTGCGCCACGGCCACCCCCACCTGCCCCTCATGATTTCACATGCCTCTGTGCTTTTGCTGGGAGAGCAGTGAGGGGTTTCATTTGCAGGGGCTCCCAGCTGAGTAGCAGGCTGAAAATCAGCCTGGATCTTGAATAAACCCCAGAAAGTAGGAGGAAGGAAGGAAGGAAGGGTGGGAAAAAGGGAGGGGAGAGAGAGAGAAAAAAAGAAATGAAAGGAAAGAAAAGAAACAGAGGAGGCTCCTTCAACATGTCTGAGAGGTTGAATGGAGATCTGAAGGAAACATTAGGATCATTTACACAGGGACTGGGAGCTCTGAGCCCTGAAGGAGGTGAAAACTATTTTCTGCACATTTTACTCTAGATATCTGAAAGGACATTAAAGTGGGGAGGAGCTGCCAATTGGAATAGAATTCACCTCGCTGATTCTGCTTGAATTAACCATTAAAGATGCAGGTTGACAAAAGAAATATATATTTTTAGGTCATTAAGAAATGCCTCATTAATTCAGGGGTGCCCCAGCACTGTGCTTAACATTTGTAGCGGGTTGACCCAGACTTTCTGAGGCGTGCATAGCCCACCAAGTTTTGCTTTGGGATGGGGAGATAACTGGCCAGTCAGCTGTGGCGCCAGTGCCACCAACAATGTTCTCACCTAGTGAAGGCATGGTTGAGGAAGAACAGGGAGGCTCCCTGGGGAGGGAGTGTAGGTAGGGACCATGGTGAAGCAGTCCAAGCTGAAAGCCAGCACCTGTCCCACCCTCCTTTGTTCTGCTCTCTGCCTGGCTGCTTTTGTAACACAGTCCCAGAGCCTGGTGTTGAGGGCCTCTGCTCAATTGACGTCTCAGGATAGCTCTAATTCTAGATGTCTCACCAAATCCTGGGTCTTCAGAGACTGCTTGATTTTATTTACCAAATGCACAAATAGAGTGTACTGTGTGCCAGGCACTGTTCAAAATGCTGTACTCACATTGACTCAAATAATGTTTATAACAATCCTATGTGATGGATACTGTTTTTATCTCCATTTTACAGATGAGGCAACTGAGGCATAAAGCCGCTAAGTAGCTGGCCTGAGTCCATGCAGCTGGGGAGTGGTAGAGCTGGGATTTGAACCTGGACACTCTGGCTCCAGATCCATATGCTCAGTCACTGTTTTGCTGCATCTCATGGTGGCTCCCCTTGTCTCCCCGTTCGATATCCAGCCTCCCGGTTTTGCGGGGAAGAGGAGTTGTGATAGAGTGAGTGGAGCACAGAACTGGAAGTCAGTAAACATGAATTCTAGTTTGGGTTGTGCCGCTATCTGGCTGGGTGACCCTATGCAATGCATTTAAGTTTTCTGAGCCCCAATTCCATGGCTTTCAGAGGAGGGAGTAGATTAGATGACTTCTATACCTCTCTAACACCGGATGCTTGCAATGCCCCCATAGAGCACTCAGTCAAGCTTGGAACCAACCATCTCTGCAGGCTCCTGGATCTCACCTTGGGGGTTATCAAGAAAAGGTAGGAGCAGGAAGGAAAGTGAATATGTTCAGCAAAAAGGTGATGGGTGGGCAGTATCTGTTGGGAAGGAGGACAGCTCAGTGTGGCTCTGGCTGCAGCCCTCCATGAGGGGAACAGTGAGGGCTTGAATAATGATCTTAGCAGGGTCATCCCCATGGCAGGCTCAGTAAGAAATTGCTAAAAGCTATTCTTATCCAGCCGAAGATTATCCAAGTAGGTCTCCTCCCACACAGGTTTTAACAGATAGTTTCCAACCTCTCCTGAATGACTTGGAGGAATGTACACTTTAATGGGTTAAAATGGACCATTTTACCTAATTAAGAGTCCAGATCAGGGAATTTAAAATATCCTATTTCCTCAATGCTAAGATATATGACTTTCATGCTGAGCATTTCTGAAACTGCAATAAATTTTATAATATTTATCTTCAATTTAGTGTTTCTTCACACACACATACACACACACACAATTAAAATGGATATTTGTTTGAATTAAAGGAATACAACAACATGATTGTTACTCTAGTTTATGCTGGTAGGGGGATAGAAATCATGAACCCCCATAGGCAGAAATGGGCTTCAGGGAGGCTAGGAACCCTGATTTGGAAAGCTGTAGGGAACCCTTGCAGTATGTCTGTCTCTCATCTTTGCCTCTTTCTCTGTAGCTGATACATTGTTTGCTATTTCTACCGACTTGCTACCTCTGCTCCTCTACCTCTGCTACCTCTGCTACCTCTGCACAGCACAAAAACAGACAACCACAGCCCCACAGAAGGACCAAATCTCTCTGTCTCCATGTTTCTCTGTCTCTCTCTCCTGCAATCCAAATACCGGGGGAAGGATTTCTATTGGCTTTTATAGTCCAATCAACTGATGTTGGAATGGGAAGTAGGGTCACATTTTACAAGGTGGCTACCAACTATTACTGTGAGTCCACAGGTCAGGCTAGGAGACTCTGTAGATTGCGGCAGACATTCCACAAGATCTTCCTCACAGGAGGCAAAGGTTTGTTGGTGCAGAACATCATTCCCATGGCACTAGGTGTTGAGGTTGGGAGGACAGTAGGCAGGGCTCCTAGAGACAAGTCACCTAACTAGAGCCAGGAGGATTGCTAGCTCCTGACACCAAGCCTGATGGTCAGATCAGCAGTGACCATGCTGACTCATGGGGCTGGCTAGGGCTTTGTCCTGATCACCATCTCCCTCAGAAAGGACTAGAGAGCAGAGGTTTCATTGCCCAAGGGCATTGCCCAAGGAGGAATGGTAGGGAGGCAGAAATGGCAAATTCTAGAAGAGCATTCTCCTAGAAGGGCTTATTAACATGTAGCACCAGAGAGGCTCTTTTCAAAATGCTCTCTGAGGGTCCGTATTTTGCTGATCTCAGCTTCAGACTGTCCAAAACAATCATAGCCCCTCCAAGGCTTCTGGAGGTGAGAGGGGGTAGAGCAGATGGGTGGGGAGGAAGCCAGGGAGCCAGGAAGCCAGGGTCCTGGCCTGCGGCATCTGATCCCTCTCCCTTTTCAGTTTTCAGGGACCTGCCAACTCAGTGTGTTTGAGTGGCTGGAGTCCAGCTGCAATACTGTGTGGTCCGAGACCAGGTGATGGTTCCCTCCCATGACCCCTATTCTCCCCTCTCTGGCCCAAGTCCTGGAGGGAACAACCTCTCCGCCTGCCCTAGAAGCTGTGGGGGCAGCTGACGTTGATGAGCCACCGACCTGGAGATTTGGCAGAAGACCTGCTTGCTAAGTTGGAGAGAGGATGTCAAGTGAGAAAGAGCAGTGTTCAGTGCCAGCTCCTCTGAAACCCAGGGGAGCCAGGGAGTAGACAGGGCCAGCGAGGACAGGGAGGGAAAGCAGTAGCTTCCCAGGGCAAAAGGGGAAAAACACACATACACACACAAAAAACAGCAGCTAAGAAGACTATTTTTATTTCTAATTCTCCAGGCATCACTCCCAAGAGATCTGTCCAAGTGACTCAGAAATGTCCTTGTGGCACTGAGAAATTGCCTAGTTTGTGAGTACAGAGAACTCAGTGCTGGCGAATAAACATCCCTGCTCTTCTTCAACCACTCACCCCTACCCACCACTCCGTTGGAAACGATTCTGGGACATACTGATGTCTGTGCAGTGTACAGATGTCTGAATTTGAGAAGAGTTGCTGGCAAACAGTAAGAAGCACTGGTATACATGAGCTGTCGAGGTAGCAAGAAGGAATGCCTGCAAATATGGCCCTTTTGGCGTACTGGATTGGTGATGCTTGAGCCAACACATCTTCATAATTCGCTGTGTGAACTGAGAGAAGTTATCTTAAATGTCTGTCTCCACTTTGTTATTTAAAAAATGTATAATTAGGGCCAGGCACAGTGGCTCATGCCTGTAATCCCAGCACTTTGGAAGGCCGAGGCAGGCGGATCACTTGAGGTCAGGAGTTCGAGACCAGCCTGGCCAACATTTAGTAGAGACCAGCTGTCTCTACTAAAAATACAAAAATTAGCCAAGTATGGTGGCACATGCCTGTAATCCCAGTTACTTGGGAGGCTGAGGCAGGAGAATTGCTTGAGCCTGGGAGGCGGAGGTTGCAGTGAGCCGAGATTGCACCACCTCACTCCAGCCTGGGTGACAGAGTGAGCTCTGTCTCAAAAATAAATACATACATACATACATACATACATACATACATAAAATATAATTATGAATACTGCTGAGAAAGGGTAATGGGGATAGCTATGTCCACTCTTTCCCTCTCTGTTGTGTGACTGGAGATTAATCCTATTCATTAATTTTTCTTGGTCCTCTCCCAGTCCTCTTCCATCCACCTGGTTATCTAGTCCCTTCTTTAACCCTCAGAGTCAAAGTTTCAGCCCACCTGGTGATTCTTCCTCCAATGTATATTTTAAATCCATCCTCTTCTTTCCATCTTTCTAATGGAGTCTCACCTTGTCCATTGCAATCTTGTTCTGCGAGCTTCTCAATCCATTCTCCTCACAGCCCAGGGTGCTTTTCATGAGTAAGATCATGTCACTCTCTTTCTTAAATCCCCCAATGACTTCTTTTTCCCTTAGAGCACACCCAACATGATATGGTGCCTATTGACCACTCTAGTGATATAGATTCTTCAAGTTCTAGAACACATCAAATTTTCCCTGTCCTGGAGCCTTTGCACATGCTGCTGTCTCCATATGGAAAGCTAAGCTTCTAAGTCTGCCCCTGGATCCTCCTCTTCATTCATGCCTCAAAATGAAATTATTTCTTCCTCACAACATATTTTCCCTTGCAACCATATCTAAATAGTTCTCTTCCCCTGTCTTTTTTTTTTTTTTTTTTTTTTTTTTGAGATGGAGTCTCACTCTGTTGCCCAGGCTGGAGTGCAGTGGTGTGATCTCAGCCCACTACAACCTCCACCTCCCGGGTTCAAGCAATTCTCCCACCTCAGCCTCCCAAGTAGCTGGGATTACAAGTGTGCACCACCATACCCAGCTAATTTTTGTATTTTTAGTACAGGCAGGGTTTCTCCATGTTGGCCAGGCTGGTCTTGAACTCCTGACTTCAGGTGATCCACCCAGCTCGGCCTCCCAAAGTGTTGGAAGTACAGGCATGAGCCACCGTGCCTGGCCTGCTCCCCTGTCTTGTGTGTGCCTGATGACTGCATTCTGTTCATTACTCTCACACCACCTTTCTTGATTCACATGTATATGTGTGTTTGTGTGTATCCTTAAATACTTGTGTGCTGTTTGTCTCCCTCCCCAGGTTGTAAACTCGTGGCAGGGACATGGCAGGGACCATGTCTGTTTGGTCCACCTCTAAACATCAGCACCTAGGCTGGGTACCCGGGATAGAATAGGTGCTTCATAAATATTTACTTCTTTTTTGAGCACCTACTATGTGCAACGAATTGTACTATGTACTGGGCAATAGGTTTGACCCTTATTACACATGATTTCACTATTGTTTGAGTGTGAGGGGAGAAAAGGTTATGGCTCTTTCAATACTGAAAGCACTCTGAAATTACATTTAAGAAACAAAACAGGAAAAACAGACTTATCTGTTTGCTACATGTGAAATGTTCCACTGAGGAAATGAAATGAGGTGAAAGGGAGTTTTATTTAAAGTCACTCCAGCCCAGGTGTAAAACGTTGGGTCTACTGAGCCATTTTCTCTAGAGGTTTCTGGAGTGCTTTCCTCAGTCAAGCCATTACAACATTAAAGTAGCTTAAAGAAAACCATAAAGATAGTCCTGAGTCACTTAAAGAATACGACACTTCTCATTTTTCCATCTTTTCATGCAGATAAATGTATGTATTTCTCCAGAGTATTTATGAATTTTAGTTCTTAAACAAGTTGGCCATGTTTGCATTCAATTAAAGGAGAGGGAATAAAATTCCTTTTCTATGCAGAGGAAGAAATTGAATTGAGAGTGAAATGTGCAAGGAAGATTGCTGAGTTGGAGTTGGGAAGCTGAAATTCTGAGTCCCCTCCTACCACTAACTCTGATCATCTCACTGGGCCTCAGCTTTTTGACTTGGAGAATCCAGGGGCTGGGCTAAATTCACTTCCTCCTTCCCACTTCAGCAGATCAGGATGGATATTGGCAAAATGGGAAACCCTGGGCCAGGGCCCCCAGTCACATACTCTCTACCCAGAGACACAATTTGGTGTGACTTCTGGTTCCTCGGGGTCTGCTTTGTAAGGGAGTGCTTGGTCACTGTCATGAACCCACATCCACCCTGTGTTAGATATTCTGCTGGGTAGGGCCTTGGAGTCCAGAGATCCATTCATTCAACAAACATTGATCAAGCACCTACTACACACAGTGCCAGGAGCTAGGCATGTAATGGTGATGAAGGAAAGGCTAAGTCCCTGCCCCCGGGGAGTTTAAGTCTAATGGAAGAGACAGGTAGCAAGCAAAGATGAGGGAAGAAGTACAGTGTGAAGTGCTAAGAGGATGGCAGTAAGGTGCTGAGATAAAGGGCGGCACAGGGAAACCACTTGGAAAGTGATCTGAGAAGACTTCCCAGAGGAGGTGGCATCCTTTTGATGGATCACAAAGGAGGAAGGGAGATGGAGAGCAAGTGTGAAAGCAAGAAAGGGCTCAGAGTGTCAGAGGAACTCAAAGAAAGCCAGAGTGGTTTGCGCTGTTGGTTCTGGCAGAGAGGCTTGAACTGAGGATGGTGAAAATGGTAGAGGCCAAACCATGCAGGGCCTTCTGGGTCAAGATAAGCAGTTCGGAGTTTATTTTAAGTAAAGGAAATAGTATGGTAGGATTTACTTGTCACAAGTGGGAAATTTCCCACTTCAAACAGTTCAGTGTGCAAACATTTAATTTTATTTATTTTCCTATGATGAAATTCAGCTTAGCTCATTCCGCCTTGTCAATGCAAGAAGCATCGTCAGTTCTCACGGTCTCTTTTGAATACTCTCTCAGCAGTTTCAGAATTCTTCCCTTCCTTTTCCTTCTGTCCGGATGTGCTCAAAATTCCAAGGGGCTTGTGTGTCTTCCTGGCATTGCAGGAGGGGCATCTGACCAATGTTGATCTTCTGCTGCATTCATGCACCTTGGTATCTGTTCTCTAGTGGAACTGAGGAATCTCCCCTTCCTATATCTGCCTTCATCTCAGTTATGCCACCTCTCAGGTCTCCAGTTTGAGTCATCCACCCTGACTCACCACTGGGTCCCCTTGCCCACTTTATGGTGATCCCCCAGCAGGCCCTGAAGCTCTCAAGTTTCAGCTGTTACCTGACTTTGGCTCATTCTTAAACCTCACTCCCTCATTTGCCTAAATAAACTCCTCTTCCACCCCAGCCTCTGAGGCTTCTTCTCCTGCCTTTCTCTCTCTTAGCCTCTTAGGCCAAATCTCGTAGGAGAGAGGCCAAATCCTAAGATATTCTTTCCTGTCTCCTGTGGGGGGAGAGGTTTTACAACTACCTTTGTCAGATGTGTTCCCTATGCCATAGGAAGCAAGGATGACAAGCTGGGGGGAAGGTTGTAAGGAAGATAGTATCTCAGATCCACATCCTGCCTAAATCAGCTCACCCATACTAATGGAGCATCTCTTGCTGGTGCTGGAATCTCTGTCTCCTTCCAGAGTTGCAGAGGGTAGTGGGGCCCACTTCTTTGCATTCTCAGATTTCCAAATCTTTTTGTTTTGATCCCATGCAATGGTAATGAGGGTAGGGCAGAAGGCTCCACATGTGTTTACATGTGCTCACTTTCCAATCCATTCTGTAAGCTCTACCCTTTGGTTGCCCAAACAAGACATAGGGTCACTTGAAGTATGGTGGTGGCAGTGGAGATGAAAAAGCTAGCAACTTCAGAGGCTGCCAATGAATGGGATATGAGGGTGAAGGGTGAAAGAGGAAGCAAGGATAACTCCCTGGCTTCTGGCTTCAGCAGCTGGGTTCTAGGTGGTGTCACCATTGCAGGGAGGGAGGAAGTGGTGGTGCAGATTTAGGGATGAATATGAAGAATCTAGTTTTGTGGCCAGGTGCGGTGGCTCACGCCTGTAATCCCAGCACTTTGGGAGACTGAGGCGGGTGGATCACCTGAGGTCAGGAGTTCGAGACCAGCCTGGCCAACATGGCGAAACCCCTTCTCCATTAAGAATACAAAAATAAGCCTGGCATGGTGGCTCATGCCTGTAGTCCCAGCTATTCAGGAGACTGAGGCAGGAGAATCATTTGAACCTGGGAGGCGGAGGTTGCAGCGAGCCGAAATCGCGCCACTGCACTCCAGCCTGGATGACAGAGCAAGACTCCATCTAAAGAAAAAAAGTCTAGTTTTATGTGTATTGAGATGTTTGTGAGAGCCAGCCAAGGTAGAGATGTCAAGCAGATAATTAGATTTCTGAGATTAGGGCTTGGAGGAGAGGTCTGCAAGGTAGTATAAATTTGGGAGATGTCAGCAGACAGATGGTATTTTAAATCATGGGACTGCACCTTAAATAGTCTCAAGTGTTTGGGAGGGCCTTAGGCTTTGCTGTGTGGTCCTGAAAATTTCATCCTATGATTTGGGTATGGGGAAGAGGTTAGGCTCCAGATCGCTTATTGAGGGGCCATTGGGACCCAGGTAGTGGATCACTGATCCCCTGAGAGCTGCCGCTGCTCAGTCTGTAGACTGTTGGTCTGGTAATCTGTGGGAGCTCTCAGCTGGGGATAGCAATTGGGACAGGCCCAGCTTTGGAGGAGCAGGAGTAGGAGTGGGGAATAATCTGCCCAGCTGGATGGGTCAGGTGGAGGAGGATCGTTCTAGATGAGAAGAAGGTACCTAGCCCTAAAGTTTCAATTGTCCTTTGAGCCTCAAGGCTGCAGGTGCAGTACAAGGTAATGAAGAAGTAGAGCATGAGGCCCCCATACCCAGGTCTGACAGCCTGGGACCATACACACCTGAACGTATTCTCCCTTAAAGGAAATCACAGTCAAATGACATGATCTCTCACATTTGCAACCCTTGTGAATCCAGAAACCCATGTAATTCAGACTCAGAGGGGTGTCACGTTCAGGAAAGTCTGTTCAGTCTTTACTTATAATTTAAAAGGAATTCGGTGTTTAATGTGAGGGTTATTAAAGGCATCCAAATATCTAGCCCAGGCTGGGTGCGGTGGCTCATGTCTATAATCCTAGCATTTTGGGAAGCCAAGGCTGGAGGATCACTTGAGCCCAGGTGTTCCAAACCAGCCTGAGTAGCAAAGTGAGACCCTGTCTCTACAAAAAAAAAAAAATTTTAAATTAGCCAAATGTGGTGGAACATGCCTGTGGCTCCAGTTATTCAGGAAGCTGAGGTGGGAGGTTCGCTTGAGCCCAGGAGGTCGAGGCTGCAGTGAGCTGTGATCGCACCACTGCACTCCAGCCTGGGTGACAAATCGAGACCCTGTCTCAAAACAAAAACAAAACAAAACAAAACAAAAACCAAAAATCTAGTCCAAGTAACATTAAGTAACATATTTGTTTCTTTTTCTTCCTTTTTTTTTTCTTTTTTTTGAGATGGAGTCTCACTCTGTTGCCCAGGCTGAAGTGCAGTGGCACAATCTTGCAATCTCTACCTCCCAGGTTCAAGCTATTCTCCTACCTCAACCTCTGGAGCAGCTGGGATTACAGGTACATGCCACCATACCCAGCTAATTTTTGTATTTTTAGTAGAGATGGGGTTTCACTATGTTGGCCAGGCTGGTCTTGAACTCCTGACCTCAAGTAGATCCACCTGCCTCGGCCTCCCAAAGTGCTGGGATTACAGGTGTGAGCCACCGCGCCTGGCCAAATATTTCTGTTTCCATTCAAATACCTTACAGACTAAAGCTGCTCTGGCACTACCATTCTCAAACCTCTTTCTCTTTCATCTAAATAAACTCCTTTCCTACCCTAGCCTCTGAGGCTTCCTCTGGTCCTGCTTTTCTTTCTCTCTTAGCCCTTTATTATGTATATGGTTTGGGCTTCATGAACATAATAAAGGAAAGAGTAAAGGAAAATAGAAGGGAGGAATTTATCCTTTTTGTATGTGGGGAAAGACGTTTATGAAATTGAGTTGAAATTAAAGGATTCCGTCTGGTGGGACGAAGGAATGGGCTTTTTCACTTCAGCACACACATGTAGGTGGAATTACACTTCTGTAATCGAATTGCAACTGCCCCTAAATCTTGCAGTATTGTTCTTATTAAACCAATTTTATAGAGGAGAAACCTAAGGTTCAGATATGAGGCCATCTACCCCAAGCCACATAACTTTAAAAAGACACAGAAAGGACTAGAATTGCTTGCCAAAGTGGCTGAGAAATCAAATTTGCCAGTGAAAGAAATAAAAAGGGATGACTTCTCTCTCTTTCTTCTCTTCTGTTCACCAATCTCCCCTACTTCCCTTTTGGCAACAGCAGGACAGAGGCAGTTCCACTGTTTGGTAAGGAAAGAAACAAAGAACTGTGACCTGCTTGGCTCCTAGTTTCTTTATCTGTAAAATGAAGAGGTTAGGACAGATGACTTTAGATCAACTTCTGTGAATGTTGGTGTAACCCAGGTAAAACATAGCTGTCTCGTGACCCAGTCCTAACATCATGATGTACTCAGAGAAACAACTGTCAGGTATCCAAAAAGTAATTCACAAAGAAATTTTATTTATTCTTGAGATGGAGTCTCGCTCTGTCGCCCAGGCTGGAGTGCAGTTGATCTTGGCTCACTACAACCTCTGCCTCCTGGGTTTAAGCGATTCTCCTGCCTCAGCCTCCCGAGTAGCTGGCATTACAGGCACCCGCCACCACACCTGGCTCATTTTTTGTATTTTTAGTAGAGACAGGGGTTTCACCACGTTGGCCAGGCTGGTCTTGAACTCCTGACCTCAGGGCGATCTGCCCACCTTGGCCTCCCAAAGTGCTGGGATTACAGGCGTGAGCCACCGTGCCTGGCCAGAAATTTTAATCTCTGCCAAAATCTCTCAAAGAATACCAAAAGGATGTTCAACTCAAACTAGAGCAGCACTTCAAAAACTTTATCTTTCTCTGTATATTTCACATATACTACCTCTGAAATACTATCACCTCTCTCCTCATTCCTAACAATTCTCTCTAAGCCCAGAAGATTCTCATCTTGTTTCTCCTCTCATCTCATCCTCAGGATCTATTTATTTCTCCTTCATCAGGAACTCAGAGTTAATTTTTAGAGGAAATCAATTCACCTTGTCTGGTTTCACTCAGTTCGCTCCTTTCCCTTTACCCTAGTTCAGCCAGAGAGACAGCAGCTATCCCAGAATTCCCCGCCATGGGCAGAGAAGGGGAGAGGCTGTTAATAGTGGTGAATAAATGACTTTCCTACCATAATGAGATAAGTCCAGAAAAACGGGAATGAGAGGATGGGAACTGCAGATGCTCAAAGACACGGCAGATCATGGAAAACTCCCTCCCAGGGTCATCTTAAGTTGCATCCCACTCTCAACCCCACAGCTATGGAAGTTCCCCAATTTCTGACTCTTGTCAGATGGAGGAGGAATATCCTGCCGGTTTCCCTGCTGAGGACACATAGAATAGTGGAAACCAAAAAATAAAGGAAGAGAGAAAGAGAGAGGGGAAGAGAGAGAGAGAGGCAGAGGAGAAGAAGGAAAGAAGGAAGAAAGGAAGGAGGGAAGAAACCAAGGATGGCACTGTCACCATGGCAAGTGGAAGCTGAAGGCAGGCCTGGCCTTGGCCAGAGGCGCTGCTGAGAAGGGAAGGATGACCAAGAGTGTCCCAGCCTGCTTGTGACTCTCCTGCTGCCTCTGAGAGAGCTGGCTCAACCTCGAGAACATTGGGGCAGTTCTTGGGTTTTCTAAACAGTGGCATATATCATCTCACTTAAACTTTACAACTGCTTGGAAATGTAGGCACTGTGCTGAAGTGATCTTTTTATAAGTCATTCTCTGGTGTTTATAAGTCTGACTGGTGTGTAAATGCCTCCAGGGCAGGACTTTCATTTTCTAAATTCTTGTATTCCTGGCACTCAGCACGGGTACACAGTAGGTGCTCGATGTTGGCAGAATGGAAGTAACCGGAGCAGATTTTTTGGGGTGAGTCAACTGAGCCCCCAGCCAGTTTCCAGTGGAGTCAGGACTGGGCTCAGCAATCTTGACTTCTACTTCAGCATAGCTTCTGCTGCAGCACAGTGGTAGGTAGTGTGTATGTGGGGGTATGGGGCATGCACACGCCTGTGTCCCCACAAGACAGTAGCATTGCAATGAGGAGAATGCAGGGGCTCTGAGTCCCTATATGATTCCCATTTCTGCCCTTATAAGCAAGTCCTTAACTTCTCATCTATAAATTGTGCTTAATGATACCACCTCCAATAGAGCTGATGTGATGATTCAATAAATAATAACAACAAAATAATGATGTTAAAAATCCATAGCTGGCTTGTACTTCTTTGCCCTTGGCTCTTTCCTGCCCCAGGCTCCCAGGCCCCAAACCTCTGCTCCTGTATCGGATTTTAGGGAGTTCAGCAAAGGTAGAAGTAGAGGTCAGCAGTTTGGGACTTGTTTGATGTGTGTCTCTACAAGCTCTCAGCAGATGGAGCCCGTGGCCTCTGGCTCAAGGCAGGAAGGACTGAGGGTTTTTCCCAGGGAGAGCAGGGTTGTGCAATGATTCTGTCCTGGCCTCCCTAAACCCTCCCTTCTCAGTTCTAGAAACTCTCTGCCCTCAGAAATTCCTCCCCCATCGTCCTGTTTGGGGGATTTCCTTTCTCAAGGCAAACACAATGAATCTCTCTCTGGTTTTGGAAATCCAAAACTGGCCAGGAAAAAATCTTGCAGAGCTGCCCTGACTTCCGAGCACAGAACTCAAGTCATTCCTCCCCACCTGTGGGCCATCACCTCCGCAGTCCCTCTCCTCCCATCCCAAAGACAGAGCCCCATTTCCTCATCTGGCCTGGACTTTTTCTCTAACAGACTGTAGCCTGCAGACAGGCAAGAGGACTTCAGGCTGGGGCACAGAAGTCCCAGTGACACAAAAGTGAGAGGAGGTCTTAGGATCCAGGGCTCAGGCCATGTCACTGGGGTCCCAGGGCCTGCTGGGGAGGTGAGGCAGAGACTTCGCTAGCCTAGGCCGGATGTCTGGGAGTCGAAGCCCAATTTCCCACTGTGTCAGTGGAACTCAGAGCTTCCATAGGGCCATGAGCTTACCTCTGCCCTTAGAATAACTGTTTGTGAAGGCTATAGAACAGTGCCCAGAACATAATAGACACTCAGACGTTTTGGCTATTACAGCTCCTTTAACACTGTATTGTGTTTGTCTGTTTGTGTATTTGTGTCTCACAGTGGGTGCACCACCTGTGACTCTAGTGCTCAGCATAGAATCCAGCCCATAGTGGATGCTAATTTAAATATTTTTTTCTTTTGGACACTGGTCAAGAATCTTTGAATAGCCCCTGTCATTAATCTGGGTAGAAGCCTTTCCCTCTGCTAGTGTCAAAAGCCCTGGGGTTAATAGACTTGGGTGGGGGTTCATGAATCCACTTCCAGCCCTTGGGGTTATCTTAGGCAGTCTCTGGGCCTTCACTTCTTGGCCAGTAAAATGAGAGGAAAACAGAGTCAACTCTAAAAGTCTTCTCGGCTTCCAAAGACTGGCAAGAGGTGACTTGATTGTAGGTGATGAGGGAGTGGGTAAGAGAGTACATAGAAATCCATGGGTCAAGGCCAGGCATGGTGGCTCATGCCTATAATCCCAGCACTTTGGGAGGTTCAGGCAGGAGGATAGCTGGAGCCCAGCAGTTCCAGACCAGCCTGGGCAACATGGTGGTGAGACCTCATCTCCACACACACAAAAAATATTTTAAATTAGCTGAACATGGTGGCTGAATGCCAGCTACTTGAGAGGCTGAGGCAAGAGGATCGCTTGAGCCCAGCAGGATCACTTGAGCCAGGAGGTAGCCACTGTACTTCAGCCTGGGTGACAGACCCTGTCTCAAAAAAGGAAAAAGAAAAAATCCATCAGTCAGGCTCAGGGTATGCTGGAGGATGTGGGCTGAAATACGGGGGGATGAAACTGAGCCTACTTTCTGGGATAAAACGGCTGACCAGCCAGGCCCACCCCACTCTGAGGCTGCCACTTTTGAGGTATGACCCGACGGTTCCCATTTAGAAGAGTCTACTCCACTTTGACACAGGTTACTGGAATTCCCATTTTAGAGACATTCTTCTGGGGAGAGACATTGGGGGCTCTTATTAAAATGTATGTGGATCAGGTAACATTTATCAAATGTGCACAGGTCTAGTGATTAGTAGTGTCTGACTACTAGGTAACAACTAGCTGAGGGCATGGGGGATGGAGATCTGGAACACAGGCATGCCAAGGATGCTGACTTAGAGTCCCAAAATGCAGGACCGGAGGAAAACACCTCAATTTCTATAAGTGGAAAGAAGGGGAATCAGATAAAGGGTTATTTCCAACACATTTTACCTAGTGAATAATATTCCCTATGGCAAGCTCTGCTTACGTTCACTTACCCAATGAATCAATGTTTGCTGAGTATCAACAATATAGAAGGAGCCCTGGTAAGGGCTGTGGGGGAGGAGCTGAGGAAGGCAGCAAGCTGGATGAGACACAGTGCCTGCCCTCCAGAGGGAAGTAAAGTGCCCAGTCCCTCAGGCCCCCGTGCCTGGACAGCTCAGGGGACCGAGGTGCCTGGTGGGGGGCTGGCGAGCCCTGGCTCTGCAGCTGGTACTGCAGCAGCCCAGGAAGAAATCCAGGGCTGCCGTTTGACTCAGCATCTGATCTCCACAGACATGAAAGAAAATGGGTCAGAAAGAATGTGTATGGGGAGGTGAGGGGGCATGGATTTTGCTCTCTTTTCAAGCTGGAGGGCCTGCAGGAGACAGAGGGGCCAGCCCTCTCCTCTTAGCTCCCCACCCCACAGAGCAGCCATTTATGTCAGGGAGGAGTTGGGGGCAACAGACCCTGGGTGACACAGACACTGAGCCCTGCCACCCTTTCCCTCTTCATTGTTCGCATGGCTCTCCATGACCTGTGCCAAAATGAATTCCAGATTCCAGGGAGGAAGTCCCTGGGAACTGGAGCACTCAGGGTCAGTGGGGACTCTGGGCCTGTGATGTCACCTCCATTCCCAAGGAGAGCATGCCTCGCTGCCTCAAACATCCTGATGTGCAGAGGATGTCAGGGATGGACAGAAACAGCCCAAGAACAGAGGTCCTGGCTGACTCCTCTCCCAAGGTGGGTGTTTGATTTTTAGTAATTAAGGAGAAAAAGCTCTAAGAATCAAAAATTAAAGACTTTTGTTATTCTAAATTTGTTGGTTTTTTAGTTCATGGGCTACTCATTTTATTTTTTTATTTTTTTACTTTAAGTTCTGTGGTACATGTGCAGAAAGTGCAGGTTTATTACATAGATATACACGTGCCATGGTGGTTTGCTGCACCCATCAACCTGTCATCTACATTAGGCATTCTTTGCTTTTTTTTTTTTTTTTTACACGGAGTCTGCTTTGTTGCCCAGGCTGGAGTGCAGTGGCATGACCTCGGCTCACTGCAACCTCGGCCTCCCAGGTTCGAGCAATTCTCTGCCTCAGCCTCCTGTGTAGCTGGGATTATAGGTGCCCACGACCATGCCCGGCTAATTTTTGTATTTTTAGTAGAGACGGGGTTTTACCATCTTGGCCAGGCTGGTCTTGAACCCCTGACTTCCTGATCCACCCGCCTCGGCCTCCCAAAGCTACTCATATTTTAAAAGTAGTTTGGATATGATGTCTTTAATTTGGATTGAATTACACACACACACACACACAAGCGCACACACACAACTTGACCTCTGTGTATTGTACCTTGTGAAGGAATTCAAGACTTGTTATTGCACATGTTACCGACATGCGTGATACATTTTTGAGTGTTCACCAATGTGGAAATACTTTGTCAGTGGTGAACTTAGTGCTATTCTTTATTTTGTTAAAACAACTGAGATATCAATTGACCCTTTAAAAATATGTGTGAAAGTATTTTATTCCTATCTGTGTGTCTGCCCCGAGTGATTTCAGAATCAGCTATCGACAGCCATCACAGCATGACGGATGGCCAAGTGAATATTTGCCTCTATTTTTTCCCCATATTTTTGTTGAGATAGACCAATGATCAGAATGACAAGAGAAAAAATCTGATTGGTTTAATATTAAGATGGGGTGTTAAACTTTTGATTTTTGAAATCTGCATGAGCTGATGTTAGAAACGTACTTTCGCAAAACTAGCATATACAAAGTGTACGACTTTTTCCCCCATAAGTTACTACACTTGTATGAGAGCAATTTACCTTTAGGCTGGGAATTCTTAGGTTTGTTTGCTTGTTTGCTTGTTGTTTGTTTGTTGGTTGGTTTGTCTTTAAAGATGGAGTCTCACTTTGTTGCCCAGGCCTGAGTGCAGTGGTGCCATCATAGCTTACTGTAATTTCAAACTCCTGGGCTCAAGGAAGGCTCCTGCCTCAGCTTCTTGAGTAGCTGAGATTATACGTATGAGCCACCATGTCCAGTGAATTATTATCTTTAAGGTGTCTGCACTTTTACATATGCATACACTGTAGTTCAGCAAAAGGCTGTGCACACCATGAGTGCTTGTTGAGTATTGTCAAATGTCTAGTTGATAAGGAGGAGCTAGAAACAGAGAAATGCCATAGCCAAGGCTGCTCTGCCCCTGACCTGGTTATGCCTTCCAGTTTAACCCAACAAACAGTAACTGAGCATCAGTTGGGTGCCAGACACTGGACAAGATGCTGGGGATGCAAAGAAGAATAAAGCACAGGACTGACCTGGAGCTGCTCCCAAGAAAATGGGATCAAACTTATTACAGTGGCATGTATGGACTTGTGGAAGGACAGATCATTCCAGCTCTGAAAGTCAGGGAAGGTGGCATGGCAAGTTGGATTTTGAAGGGTTGGCAGGGGTTACCAAGGTAGGGAAGAGCATTTGAGACAGAAGGAACACATGAGTGAAGGCATATGTTGCTGGGGGAAAAGGGCATGCAGCAGGTTCAGGAGAGAGCTGTAGGGCTCAGATTTAAAGAACCCATTATATTTGCTCTGTTTGGGAGTTTGGATCTTATCCTACAGGCAAATAGTTGCACAAAGTTTGAAGGCATGTAAGAGAGTGAATAGGCACCTCTAGAAATGGGCACAAGGTTCCACACGGCAGACACTGAAGACTGCTTCTGTTGTTCATATGGAATTGCTGTTGGCAGAGCCTGTCTCATAAACATGTGGCTCAAAGCTGTTGCTCAGCAAAAGCCACCCTGTTCTCAGTGGCCACACACCTATCAGGGCCCTAGAGACAAATCCCAGCTGCAGCTGAGGCCCTTGGAAGCAGAGATTTCTGCTTCAAGACCTTTCTTCCAGCCTTCCTCTGCAGGGTTGCCCATTGGTACTAATTAGTAATTGATTAATATGTGCTGTTGTTGTTGGATTTTAAAAGGTATATTTCCCATTGGCTGGGCGCAGCGGCTCACACCTGTAATCCCTGCACATTGGGAGGCCAAGGCAGGCAGATCACTTGAGGCCAAGAGTTCGAGACCAGCCTGGCCAACATGGTGAAACCCCATCTCTACTAAAAATACAAAAATTAGCCAGGCATGGTGGCATGCGCCTGTAATCCCAGCTACCAGAGGGACTGAGGCAGAGGCATGAGAATCACCTGAACCCAGGAGGCGGAGGTTGCAGTGAGCCAAGATTGCACCACTGCACTCCAGCCTGGGCAAAAGAGCGAGACTCCATCTCAAAAAAAGAAATGCTTGAAAGTGAAAATCTCTAAACATCTAATGGAAGTGCCAAGAATATTATGTTTATATTAAACATTAATTTTCTTTTTTCCTTGCTAACCAAATACCCAGTTATCCATGCCTAAGGAAAGAAAGTCCAGCTGGTTGACCAAATACCCAGAAGTCAGGTACCTCCCTCTCTTCAGGGGTAATTACTCAAATCACAGCCTATTGTTCAGAGATGTGTGATCTCAGGCATGCTGGATTCTTCAGGTTTGTCCTGCTTTAAATCACAAGTATTTTAACAACCTTACAAGAAATGGTTCTTTGTTCTTTGGTATCCTATAGTATGCTTGTAAGCTTCTGAATTTGTTCCGGTTAAATTGAATAGATGCGTGCGTGTTGGGGGAGGAGGGGATGGGGGCTGGGGGCTGGCAGTGGGAGAGAGAAATTAGAGAGACTGAGTGTTCCATGACAGCTCCACGAGTGAAAGCTGGAATTGGGCTTCATTGGAAAAGACACAGTTGGGGAAATACTTGAGAATAATAACCTTGAATAATTACAAGAAAATGAGAAAGGAAAAGGAGATAATAGTAGCTAATAATGAAGCAATGTTGTTATTGAACATGGTGGCATATGCAGTTGAACCTGTCCATGCATGGACTTATTTAGGGACTTAGTTCATTTGATCCTCACAGCAACCCCTGAGAGGGATACTGTCATTATCCCACCCTACAGATGAAGAAATTGAGACTTAGGAAGGTATCCAAAATCTTACTGCTGGAAAGAAGTAGAGTCAGGATTTGAACCCAGATATCCTGAGGGATACTTGGAAAATCCTATTTAGCAGGCCCAGACTTCTAGGCCATTTGCCAAACATTCATACTTTCTTCAACTGAAAAAAGATGAGCTTGACAAACTGTCACCAATATGTCTTTTTTTTTTTTAGGAACTGTAAGGCAATTACTATTAAATAGTTTTAAAAGTAATAAAATAAATATACAGAGAGCAAAACAAATAAAGCAAATGTGGTAAGATATTAACAAATGGGGAATCTGGGAGATTGGTATATGAGGGTTCTTTGTACTATTCCTGCAGCTTGTTGGAAAATCTGAAATTGCCAGGTGTGGTGACTCATGCCTACTGTAATCCCACCTACTTGGGAGGCTGAGGCAGGAGGATTGCTTGAGCCCAGGAATTTGGGACCAGCCTGGGAAACATAGTGAGACCTCATTTCAAAAAAAAAAAAAAGCCTTAAATTATTTAAAATAAAAAGAAATTCCAAACCTGTGACTAATGTGCCTACCAAAAAAATTATTATCTTCTATTTCATAGTATGCTTATAAATTTCTAAATCTGTCATGGTGTATTAGTCCGTTTTCACACTGCCGGTAAAGACATAACTGAGACTGGGCAATTTGCAAAAGAAAGAGGTTTAATGGACTCACAGTTCCATGTGGCTGGGGAGGCCTCACAATTGTGGTTGGAAGGCAAAGAGGAGCAAGTTGCATCTTACATGGAGGGCAGCAGGCAAAAAGAGCGCTTGTGCAGGGAAACTCCCCCTTATAATACCATCAGATCTGGTGAGACTTACTTGCTATCACGAGAACAGCATGGGAAAGACCTGCCCCCATGATTCAATTACCTCCCACCGAGTCCCTCCCACAACATGTGGGAATTCAAAATGAGATTTGAGTGGGGACACAGCCAAGCCATGTCACATGGTTTACACTGGGCAGAACACCAGGGCGTGTGTGTGTGTGTGTGTGTGTGTGTGTGTGTGTGTGTGTGTGTAGGGACTGGACGTGTGATGTGAACTGCACAACTCTTTTCTTAACTCTGTTCTGAGAAGCCCACTTCTTGGATCCTGTGTGAGAAAAGTAAATCAGTAACTAGATTTCATGGTGGCCATTAATCATTCAGGTTGTAAAGCAGACCCCTGAGAAGTGGTAGGCAGGTCCTGTCAGGGAGCTTGACTGGGGACAGGCCTCTTTGTCCATCCCCACCATTTTCACTTTCAGGAGAAAATAACCTTCCCAGTGCCAAGACACCAGTGCAATTAGCTTTACCTAATTATTACCTAATACTGTTTTGAATCTAGAAAATGAAAGACTGCTGAAAAATCCTTTTACTGCTTCTTTTCTGAATTATTCCCTCACAGTTTTTCATAAAGAACCAGTTAATTAATTAGGGCCTGTAAGGAGAAAGAGGCTTTCTTGATCTTTGGCCAAGAATTCCCCAAATCGCTCACTCTGCTTGTTCCAAAATCCTGTGCTCTTAATGACTGGGCACAGAAACCATTAATTCTGTCAGGTCAGGGTGAATTTTGAAGCTTCAGTACCTGACACCCTAGACTGGAATTTGGTTTGTCAAAACAAAGGGAAGGGAGTGGATAGTGAAGGAAGAAGACAGTTGGGCAGGAGCTGGTTCTAGACCAGGGCACCTCACTCAAGCAGGGGCAAATCTCCATAAGCAGCCTCACAGGGTGAGCGGGAACCTTAGGACTAATCTCTTACGACCGCGTGGGTAGCTGGGAAATCCCTTTGTCATGTGGGAGATTTGTCATATGCTATTTGACTTGGTCACTTTTTCCAATAACAGTCTCTTGTGCTAAAAGGGGTGGAAAAACAGACTGTGAAATTCCAATGCCCCTGCTTTTTTTTTTTTTCCTTCCCTTGGGGCCATAATTCTTCCACCTGTGTTGGCATTATGAGTTTCTAGTTTCCCTTTAAAACAGAGGCCTTGTTTATGTGTAGAACAGGATTTTCAACCCTGGCACGGTTGACAAACTGGACCAGATGATTCTTTGTTGTGGGGCTGTCCTGTGCATTATAGGATGTTAAGCAAAACCCCTGGCTTCTGCCAACTAAATGACAGTAGCACTTTCTTCTTACAATTGTGACAACCAAAAATGTCTCTAGACATTGCCAAATGTGCCCTGGGGGGTGATCAACCCTGGTTGAAAATGATTGATCTAGAACCTTTTTAGGAATAGGGGTCTTCCTGGTTTTCCTGGGAAATCACTGGAGACATGAGAGGGACCAGAGCAGGCTGGATGCATTTGACTCAAACTCAGGCTCATGAAGGAAAGAGGAATAATTATGATTTTATATCAGAGGCATTCTGGAAGACAGGGTTTGCTATATTACTCTGGTGCTAGTTCTAAAGCATTAGAATGATGTTGTACTCTGCATTTGCTGTTCATGCAAGGAGCTTTTGAAAGCGGTCCCAGGATCAGGGCAGTACAGGAAGCTGGCCTAGAGATACTAAGATTCAGATCACCAGGCCAAGTTCTTTGAACAATTAGAAATTCAGTATTTTAAGAATGTTTGGGAGAGTCCGTCTGAGACCCACCCAGGTTGACTCTCCAGATTTACCTATTCCAGGCAGTCTTTCTCCTTCTTCTTTAACTAAAACTGCTCTCTCTGTAAAGGTCACCAAATTCATCTTTTACATTCCAAGAACAAAGCTATGGACTGCTCAAAGCGAATTTCCATGATTCTTCAGGTGTCCACCCTATATTTTCAGGAAAGTACTGAAAAGGTTCACCCAGGATAAAATATTTGCAATGCCTTAAATTAGGGTGAGAAAGAGAAAGTCTGATCTTCCAGGGGGCACTGCACCTTTAGCTAAAAAATGAACGAAACCAAAATGAGCGAGAGAAGTATGCAGAAGCACTTGAATAACCCACTTAAGAGCATGAGGCTGTGGGACCTTATCCTTGCTTATGAATTTTGTACAGGTTTTCGTAATTCCTGGGGTCTCCTTTCTACTCTTGGGCTTGGGGGGACAGTGCTGCCATCCATTTCATAAACCAATGAGATAAAACCAGGTTGTTGAATAAACTGCTATATTCTTAGGATGGGATTAGACCAGGTTGAATACAATCATAACAAAACAATCTGTGTAATGAATGAGCTGTAACAAAATTCAATTCTAGTATAATATTACTCTCCACTTACTGTAGGCCTTTTTACTTTTAAAACTAATATCATAGTTATCAAACACATTAACGTGCCAAGTATCGTATCTAATTCAGAGTGAGTGACATGAGGCCTAGAGATGAGTGGATTTGTGCCTGTTTTATTTCAGACTCCTGGAATCGGCTCCTAATTGATCTCACTGGCTCCGCTCTTGCTCCACTAAATTTATTTTCCGCCCAACAGCCAATCTCTGAAATGTAACTCAGATCACTCTGCTGCTTAAGACCCTCCAAAGGCCGGGCACAGTGGCTCATGCCTATAATTCCAGCACTTTGAGAGGCCAAGGTGGGAAGATCATTTGAGGCCAGGAGTTTGAGACCAGCCTGGGCAATATACTGAGACCTTATCTCTACAAAAAATTTAAAAATTGGCCTGGTGTGGTGGCATGCACCTATAGTCCCTGCTACTCGGGAGGCTGAGCCCAGGAGTTTGAGGCTACAGTGAGCTGTGATCGCACCACTGCACTCCAGCCAGGGCACAGAGTGAGACCCTGTCTCAAAATAAACAAACACCCTCCAAAGGCTTTGAATAAAATCTCAAACTTGTTCCCAGGGCTTTCCAGGCCTTTTCTACCTGATCCTTCAAGCCTCTGACGTCAGCCTGTTTTCCCAGCGCTGCAGCCATGCCACCAGCTCTCCCACCTCAGGGGCTACAAAGCTCCTCCCTCTCTCTGCAGCACTTTCCTCCTCACTGTCGTATGGCTGATGGCTTGCCATTTGCTTATCTCCCTAGCAACCCACAGCACCCAATCTCTACCTTCTTTCCCTGTTATTTTCTTCACCACTCTTATTATCACTATCTGAAGTTACTTTAGACTCACAGTTTTATTTGGTATTGTTCTGTGATTTGATTTTTTTTCCCACCTACTGATGTGTCTTGGAGATCTTCCCATGTCAGATTAGATAAATCTACTTCATTCTTTTAAATGGCTGTATAATATTCCTTCAAATGGACGTACCAACATTTAACAGCTTCCTTTTTTAGTCTTGATTTTTTACTCTTACGAATAATGCGGAAGTGAACTATCTTTTTGAATACATCTCTGTGCACATGTGCAAGTTTTTTCTGTAGTATGGATTCCTGGAGGTGGAAGTGCCAGGTCAAGGTCATGCCCATCTATCATTTTGATAGATGCTGACTGCCATATTGCCCTCCTAAAAGGCTTTATCAATTTATGCTCTCGTGGACCACGTGTTAGAATGTACACTTCCCCATCCTCACGGGCACTAATCAGTGTCATTTTAAAAACATTTGCTTTAAGTGATACACAGTGGTATCTTATTTCACATCAGAATCCTAAAGGCCATTTTAAGATTGCTTCATGTTGGTGTCCCCTGGGATCATACCTCTGGGTCAGTTGAGGGAAAAGCAGCAAAATCCTCTATGAGCTCTGAGACTCATAAGACAAATGAAACTTTTCCAAGGAGGGTCATCCATCGCAGCAGAAACTTCCTCTGTCCCAATGCCAGCAGAGCTCAATCAATAACCTGGAGAACTGTAGGCCAGCCTGACGTTCCTGCATGCAGCTCTCCCCCATCCATCATCCAAACACACCTCAGCTGAAGCACTAAAGTCCGTCGAAATCTGCCCAAATGCAGCACGCGCCCTCCCCAACCTTGGCTTCTCTTACATTACTCAGAATACTTCGTTTGGGCCAGGTGCGGCAGCTCATGCTTGTAATCCCAGCACTCTGGGAGGACGAGGCGTGCAGATCACCTGAAGTCAGAAGTTCGAGACCAGACTGGCCAAAATGTTGAAACCCCGACTCCACTAAAAATACAAAACTTACTTAGGCTGAATGCATGACTCACGCCTGTAATCTCAGCACTTTGGGAGGCCGAGGTGGGCAGATCACCTGAGGTCAGGAGTTCAAGACCAGCCTAGCCAATGTGGTGAAACCCTGTCTCTATTAAAAATACAAAAATTAGCCAGGTGTGGTGGTGGGAGCCTGTAATTCCAGCTACTTGGTAAGCTGAGGCAGGAGAATCACTTGAACCCAGGAGACAGAGGTTGCAGTGAGCCAAGATCATGACATTGCACTCCAGCCTGGGCAACAGAAGCAAAACTCTGTCTAAAAAAAAAAATATACATTCCAGCTACTAGGGAGGCTGAGGCAAGAGAATCACTTGAACCCAGGAGGCAGAGGTTGCAGTGAGCCGAGATCACACCATTGCACTCCAGCCTGAGCAACAAGAACCAAACTCCATCTCAAAAAAAAAAAAAAAAGAACCCTTTGTTTGGTTTCACTTAAAGAGGAGAGAAGATACCAGGGTCTGGTTGTAGTCAGACCCTCACTCTCTAGAGATGACTTTCTAAGCCGGAGAGGGAACATCTGCTCTCTCTAAGGGAAGCAGGACAAAAGGGGCAGCGAGACCAAGAAAAACATCTCACTGGGGCCAGGGACAATCTTTGCTGGTCAAAAGAAAATCTTCTCAGATTTAATAACTCCCACATTGGCAAGCTGCACATTTTTTTTTTCAAAGAGTTTTTGAGTTTTCTTTGTCCCCCTCTACTTTCCTCCCCAAGGAGTGGTTGCACTTCCTCATGAAATAGAAATATGGCCAATGTCCCTGAGTGCCGGTGCTGTGCTAAACTCCTTATACTGTTTATCTAACAACACTGTGAGCCAGATTAATATTATTACCTCCAGCCTAGGGATGAGAGTTGGCAGCCAGCGCAATTGAGTAACTAGCTGGGTACCCAAGGTCACCCAGCTGGTGACACCTGGGGCAGGATTTAAATCTGAACCTGTAAACATGCTCTGTTGCCTCTAGGGGGAGGTTAGTATTTTAACCTAAGGAATTACAAAGGCTTTATTTTGGGGCACGTGTAGGTTATTGTGCATTTCTTTACTTTCAGGTTTCTTAGAGAAAAGTCCAAAATAACAGTGGAATTAATTTAAAACTGTGTCTTTCTGTGTCCCTGAAATTCTCACACATGGTACGTTTTCAATGAGCTGATTTTGTTTCTCCACTCAATGCAGTAATTGAGCTTCTTTGGTTCAGTGC
Source organism: Homo sapiens (assembly GCF_000001405.40). Classification (NCBI taxonomy): domain Eukaryota; kingdom Metazoa; phylum Chordata; class Mammalia; order Primates; family Hominidae; genus Homo; species Homo sapiens. The sequence continues at coordinate 183,306,525 of NC_000001.11, read as the reverse complement.
ATGAGTGGTTCAGTGGTTCATTGGGCATCCTGGTTGAGGGAGGGGCTGGGTAACCAACTGTATTCACTTCCTATTGCTGCTGTAATAAATTACTGGAAACGTATTAGCTTAAAACAATACAAATTTATGATCTTATAGAAGTTTGAAAATCAAAGAATGTTTTCTGGAAGAAAACATTCTTTCTGGAAAAATCCATTCTTTTGCCTTTTCTAGCTTCCAGGGGCTATCTGGATTCCTTTTACCATGTTAAGATAACATATTCACAGGTGCCAGGAATTAGATTGTGAACATTTTTGGAAAGCCATTATTCAGCCTGCAGCACCAACCAACACAGTTTGTCGGGGACTAAGGTCTCCCAGGACATGGGATTTTTAGTGCTAAAACCAAGAAAGTCCCCTGCAAACCTGGACAGCTGGTTCCCTAGAAGGGAACTCTGTTCCATGAAGATATTCTTACTAGAGGAAGTAGAGAGGGAAGATAAACACAAATAAGAAAGCTGTAAAGGGCCGGGCGCGGTGGCTCACACCTATAATCCCAGCACTTTGGGAGGCCGAAGCAGGTGGACCACCTGAGGTCAGGAGTTTGAGAACAGCCTGGCCAACATGGTGAAACCCCATCTCTACTAAAAATACAAAAAATTGGCCGGGTATGGTGGCGCAAGCCTGTAATCCCAGCTACTTGGAAGGCTAAGGCGGGAGAATCACTTGAACCTGGAAGGTGGAGGTTGCAGTGAGCTGAGTTCATGCCACTGCACTCCAGCCTGGGCAACAAGAGAGAAACTCTTTCTTTAAAAAAAAAAAAAAAAAAAAGGCTGTAAAGGAAACTGTTTTTCCAATATCATTCTTTAGGGAAAAAGCAACTACTGACCTTTCAAAAAATCCCCGCACTGCAGCCTCAGCACTGCCACACCTTCGCAAAAAGGAATCTATGCTGAATATTCTGTCACCTGTTTTACCCAGGAAAAACAGCTATCTCCTGGATAAAGTCTATTTCAAGCTCGAATTATCCCTATGTTAAGAAGCGTGTATGGTAAACTTGTACTCAGAAAGGTTAATAAAAGTGTAGAATAAAATAGACGTGTAGTTAAAAATAGAGCCTGATTCCATGCAAATGACACAGACTTGATACCCTAATGAGGAGCCAAGGTGGGCTCCTCCATCACATGTCCTCCTCCTGTCTTCATTGCTTCCTCCCCACCTTCCACTCTATCCCCTGCCCCACTCCACCCCCTGCCCAGCTATATTTAGTACCACAGTCTGTGGGTTTCTGAAAGAATTCTCTCATGTGTTTTTGAGTTTCGCTGAAGGGGAAACCTTGGTTTCGTGTCATATTTTTACATATATATTTAGTTTGTGTCATATTTTTACATATATATTTAGCTTTCCATTTCTGAAGAAATAAATACCAAAAAAAAAAAAAAGGCTTTTTCAACAATGGGCGAATTCCAAGAAGCCTGGAGCCTGATTTGGAAAGGATGCGGGATGGGAATGGGGTAGTTTTTCCAGTGGAAAGGATTTGAACAGAGGCCACACTTCCGGAGTGGCTCCTACAAGCGGGAGCATATGAGAGGTTCTCTCAGCATGGTCTGGCAGAAGTGACAGTTATGGAAGGGAGGGTCATAAATCATTTCCTGGCTGTAAGGACAAAGGGATTCAAATTCTCCCAAGCTGGAGGTAGTGGAGCAAACAAGATCAGCAACAATGAGGGAGCAGCTGCACCACTTTGTGTTACTCTCTGATGGCCAGCACAGGGCTGCAAGTAGTGGCTGCAAAAACCAGACAAATAGATGGAAATCCAGGAACTAGAGGAAATTCAGGCCTGCCAGGGGCTCTGGGAAGTGTTTGTTACTCTCTCAGGTGAGTTCAGACAGCCTGAGGCACATGGCATGAGGGCGGGGCAGCTGGAGGGAGGTGCAGATGGTCAAGAAAACAGGATTCTGTCTCCAGCGGAGCTTCTCAAGGTTTGCAGGGCTGCTCTGTGCATGCCTGTTTAGGGACATCAGCCTGATCCCTATATGCATGTAAGCCCAGCCCGCACCTTCTGCTGGCCAGTCACTGGCCACTGAGTCTGGGTAGAAGAATATACCAAATGTGGGTAACCTATCATCCCCTTGGGAAATCCAGCTGCCATCATGTGCCTTCTGCAATCGATTGTTTCTTCTAAGAAAACCCTGTTCCTATCATGCTATCTACCCCACTTTCTTTCCAGCCTTACCTTCTTCTACTTACATCTTTCTTTCTGGCATATTGCTCTTTTCTTCATTACCTGCAAAATATCATATCTTCATGCCTTTGTACGTGCTGCACGCTTTTCCAAAAATGTCTTCCACTACTTCCTGTTCCTTTGTCTTCCTAGAAAACTTCCACCCAGCCTCAAACCTTAAATACACAAGACACAAGTCACATAAGTATTGGTAAATTGGGAAATCCAGCTGCCATCATGAGTCACAGACACAGGCCTGGGAAGATGCTGACTCCATAGTGCATTGGAATAAAGGGTATGAGGGCAGAGAGAGGGCATTGTGCTGGTGTACCCACATTCTCCGCCCAGGGGTCTGAGGACAAGTGTTAGTAGATGGCTGGCCTAGGCATGGCTGACTGGCTGGAGGAAGAGCAAGGAAAATTGCTCCCTGTGGAGAGGAAATCCATAACTAGCCTGTATTTATTGGGAGCCTCAGCCCACTCAGCTAACAGTTCCAAGGGATGGCATGGTAGGCTCCTGTGGTCCCACATATGGATCAAACTTCATGGACCGTACTGTGCTTTCAGACTTACTTCAGACTCAAGTAGAACTATCTCACTGGAAAACTGTCTTAAGGCTTAGGCTGGACAACTTGAAGAGGGAGGGCCTGGTAGGATTGTCTGTTTCACGCTCCCTGAAGAATGTGATCACCCAGCTCCCTGCTTCCCAAAACTATCCAGACTGGAACGAAAGGATCTGGGACTAAAGGACCAAATCGAATAAGCACTCACCTTAGAGTCAAAAATTCTGTGTTCAAATCCCACTTCAAATTCCAAAAGCCACTTCCTGTCTCTGTGATCTCGGGCAAAACTGCTTAATGACTCTGAACCTTGGCTTCCTTATTTGGAAAATAGTGATTATATCACCTAACAACTTACACAGTTGCTGTGAAATTTAACATGAGAAAATACAGACCCAAGTGCCTAACACTGCGCCTAACACAGAGCAGATCACCAGCAAATGGTCAGTAAGTTAATTACTTGGTTTGGCACTCAAAACCCTCCTAATTTGGCCTAATTCTTCCCTGCCTTCTTCTCAGCTAGCCTCTTCCCCTCAGTTTTGCAAAGTTGCTCCAGGCTGTGTGGGGGAGGGTGAGACTCCCTTGGTGACAGTGGATGAAAATGATATCATTGCTTTTCAAACAAATAAAGCCAAGAAAAGGAGGCTTCAGTAGGGCTTAGAGACTTTGTTCCTGACTCAGTTCATCTGCTCACCTCGCTTTGTCCCCCTGGAATGAGTATCTTCCTTCTGTTTTAAAATTGAGGTTTTACTATTTTTTAGGTATGACAAGGCCAACAGATCAGGAGATGGCTGCTGTTGAAAAGAAAGTTGTTATACTCACAGGTCCCAAGAGGACGGGGCACACTGAGTCATAGGGGGCCAGCAAGGAGGCTCCAGGGTCAGTCAGAAGGCAGAGGGAGTGGGGAAAACAAGGGCAGAGGCTCCAGGGTCAGCCAGAAGGCAGAGGGAGTGGAGAAACAGGGGCAAAAGATGTGATTGTGGTTCTGGGAATGACAGGTGAGGCAGGCTCTCCTTTGCCTAGTTTAAATAAATTCAGCAGCCTCTGGGGCATAGGGGATATCCCTAGTTGTTCGGTACCTAGCCCTGGGGAGATTAGGGCAGGGGAACAGTGGCCCTGAGTGTGAGAGCGCAATAGTGAAGGTAGTTAGGGGCATGGTTGGTCTGGATTGGTTGGTTTGCATTTGAAAAGTGTGCTCAAGGGCCAGTTATTCGCTATCTCTAGGAATTGGCTAGAGGGATAATTCCTCCCTTCAAGGGTCAGCAAGTCCCCAGATGTCAAACATCAAAATACAGAAAATAAAAAGACAAAGTTAATAACACCTTCCTCTTCTCTGCTGTTGGATTCTAGCTTAGGTCTAATCTGTTCTAGGAAGACTTCCTAGGCCACCCCGTCCCAGTGGGATGACTCCCTCCCTGAAGTCCTATAGCACTTAATGTCTCTGCTGTTCATTTTGGTATCTTATTATTTCAGCAAAGTATATGCTGTGGCCCGCATCAAAAACCTGGGCTCCTTGGAGATGTGAATTGTGTCTTTTACTTCTCTATGTCCCTTATAGCGACTGGGACAGAGCCTTCAACATAATAAGCACTTATTAAATGTTTGTTAGGGAACACTCAAGGCTCAGTTTAGTAGGCCACAGGGATGATTCCTTAAAGTTTTTTTCTTAACTCCTAAGCAGGAATTCTAAGAGGCACTCAAAGCTTGATTTCTTCCTTTATCATCCAGCACTTGGTCTTCCTAAAATTTAGAATGTTTACAAATCCAGACAATCTTTGGGAAATTTACAAACAGGGAAAATACAGGCAGCTCCAGCTGTGACTACAATTCAGAAGGGGTCATTTCTAATTGCAGCTGAAAAGGAAAAATGGAGTTAGTGTTGATGCTGTGACCACGGTGGAAGAAACACTCTTCCATTAACTCCCTAGAAGGAAGGAGTAGATTACACATGTCAGCCAGGTTCACTGAGTAGCCAGGAGGATATGTGTGTCTCATGAATTTTTATTAATGGGTAAATCACTCATATTGTGTCTGTCCTTGGCTGGACATCCAAGCATCCAGCACAGGCTATAAGGAAGGGAGATTTACCTGGTTCCAAGTGGCCTGGAATGAGCCATGAGACACAGTGGACCCTCAGGGTCCTGAGGACAGGATGTGGCAACGGTCATGGAGTCCTCCTCCATGAGCACAGGAGCAAAGATGGTGACCAAATGCAGAGCGGGTCTGACTTGCATGTCTAATGTTAGAGTAATTTGGCTCCTTCTTTGGGGCAGAACTGATGGACAAAAATAGACCTCATTTTGGGAAGCCTGGCATGAAATTAAATTCCAGGGCCATAGCTACAGCTTTGCCAATGGGCTGGCTTTCTACTAATGTGCAGAAATGCCCTTGTCATGCAAGTTGGAGATGGTGGTGGAGTGGGGAAGGGAGGAGAGCCTCTTTTGTGGGTATTCTAACATGGCAGGGGCTGCTCCACCTGTCTTTAGTCGCTTGCTGTTTAAAATATAATCTGCAGACCTGCAGCCTTGGTCTCATTTGGGAGCTTGCCAGAAATGCTGAATCTCAGGCAAAGCCTGGGACTAGGGTGAGAGATGGCCTCCTCTAGTGCAAAATGTAAGGAGGTGCCCCCAAACTCAGTAATCAAAATAAACAATATTTTAAAATATCAAAATCACTGCAAAAAATCCTTGATAAACAAAATATCAACATTTTAAATAAAGGCGAGATCTGACTCAGCACTTAAACAATCCTGCCCCACTTATCTCATGCCAATCTTGACTCTGATCTCAGGTTCCATCCCAGACCCATAGAATCAGAATCTATATTCTAAAAAGACCCCCAGAGGATTCATATGCACATCAAAGTTTAAGAAGCACAGCTTTAGACAACACAACCCACAATGTAACAAACCAAAATCTTCTAATCTAGACAGCAGCAAAGCTGGAAAGGTATGAACAGAAATAAAGTTTCAGAAGCATCTAACTCCTCCAGCTTGCTTGCCACTGCCTGGGTTTGCACACCACCACCTTAAAATTGCAGTGTTCTATAATTTATCATGAACATTTCAAAAACTTTTTTTCTGAGATAACTATAGATTTGCAGGAAGTTGCAAGATTAATACAGAGAGATACCATGTACTCTTCACCCAGTTTCCCCTAGTGGTTACTGACTTAGTCCATTTGGGCTGCTGTAACAAAATACCTTAGACTGGGTAGTTTATAAATAACATAAATTTATTGCTCACAGTTCTGGGGGCTGGGAAGTACAAGATAAAGGCTCAGGCAGATGTGGTGTCTGGTGAAGGCCTGTTCCTGATAAATGGTGCCATGGTGCCTTTTTTTTTTTTTCTTTTTTTTAGATGGAGTCTCAGAGTCTGGCTCTGTCACCCAGGCTGGAGTACAGTGGTGCAATCTCGGCTCACTGCAACCTCTGTCTCCTGGGTTCAAGTGATTCTTTTGCCTCAGCCTCCCAAGTAGCTGGGACTACAGGCACGTGCCACCACGCCTGGCTAATTTTTGTATTTTTAGTACAGACGGGGTTTCACCATATTGGCCGGGCTGGTCTCGAACTCCTGACCTCATGATACGCCCACCTCGGCCTCCCAAAGTGTTGGGATTACAGTCATGAGCCACTGTGCCCAGCCTAAATGGTGCCTTCTATGTGTCCTCACAAGGAGGAAGGGCAAATGGGCTCCCCAGGCCTCTTTATAGGGGCTGTAATTCCATCCACGAGGGTTCCATCCTCATGACCTAGTCACCTCCCAAAGGCCCCATCTCTTAATAGCAACATGTTGGAGATTAGATTTCAGCATATGAATTTTGGAGAGACAGACATACAGACCATAACAGTTCTATTTTCTATAACTATAGTAGAATATCGAAATGAGAACATTGACATTGGTAAAAGGTGTATGTATAGTTTATATGTTATCTTATCAAAAGGGTAGATTTACAGAACCAACACAAGTAAGCTATAGAACTAGCCCATTACCACAAAGATCTCCCACAAGCTACAGCTTTACAGTCATACCCACCCCTTTCCCTGACCCACCATCCCTAACCCCTGGAAAGCATTAATCTTCTTAACACCTTTAACACCTTTTTTTTTTTTTTAAGAGACAGAGGTCTCACTATGTTGCCCATGTTGGTCATGAACTCCTAGGTCAAGCGAGCCTCCTGCCTCAGCCTCCCAAAATGTTGGAATTATAAGCATGAGCCGAAATGTCCAGGCTTTTAAACAACTTTTTGACCATGTTATATAAATAAAATCATACAATAAGCAAACTTTTGAGATTGCCTTTTCTTCACTCAGAATAATGAACTAAAGATCCATCCAAATTCTTGCACATATCAATAATTTGTTCCTTTTTTTATTTTTTTATTTTTTTTTGAGACAGAGTCTCGCTGTGTCACCCAGGCTGGAGTGCAGTGGCGCCATCTTGGCTCACTGCAACCTCCACCTCCCAGGTTCAAGCAATCCTCCCACCTCAGCCTCCCAAGTAGCTGGGATTACAAGTGTGTGCCACCCACCATGCCCAGCTAATTTTTGTATTTTTAGTATAGACGGGGTTTCACCAGGTTGGCCAGGCTGGTCTCGAACTCCTGACCTCAAGTGATCCACCCACCTCTGCCTCCCAAAGTGCTGGGATTACAGGCATGAGCCACGGTGCCCAGCCAATTTGTTCCTTTTTATTGCTGAGTAGTACTCCATGGTATGGGTGTACCACAGTTTAGTTAACCATTTACCTATCGTAGGACATTTGGGTTGTTTCCCGTATTTGATTATTACAAATAAAGCTGCTATGAACTATTCTAGCTCCTATAACTTTCCATACACATTTTAGAATTCTGTTGATATTAACACTTTAACAAATCTTGTTGTGATTTTGACAAGAAATACATTAAATTTCATATCATTTTGGGGAGAATTAGCATCTTGACTGTGTTGCATCTTCCAATCCATAACATAGTATGTCTCTTGTTGTTGTTGTTGTTGTTCCTAACCACTAGACTATGCCATCCAACTCAATAGAAGCATGATCACCCAAATAAATTCAGGATTGTCAGCATCTTCTGCTACTTGTTGTGGCGCTGAATTCAAATATATGTTCCTGTGTTCACAGAGGCAACATAGATACAGTGCATATGGGAATAAAGGGTTGAAGGCATCCTTGAAAAGGACTCTCAGTTAAGATTTAAAATGCATAGGTCTCTACATTTATTTAGATCTTCTTTGATTTCTTTCATCAGCATCTTGTAGTTTTTAACATACAAGCCCTGTATATGTTTTATTATATTTATACCTAAGTATTTCATTGAATTGATTAACATTTGCTTTGTATTTTTATTTTGATTTTGTTTGTTGCTAGCATATGGAAATACAATTAATTTTCTTATGTTGATCTTGTAACTTATGACCTTGTTGAGCTCACTTATTAGTTGCTGGAGTTTCCTTGTAAATTTATTGGGATTTCTAGGTAGATCATCAAGTCATCTACAAATAGAGACAGGTTTTTTTATTTTCCTTTTTTTATCTGTATGCCTTTTATTTCCTTTTCTTGCCTTATGGTGTGCACTAGAACTTCTGGTTGAATAACAGCAATGAGAGCACACTTCCTTCCTTGTTCTTCATTTTAGGGAGAAAGCATTCAATCTTTCACCACTAAGTATGATGTTAGTTGCAGGTTTTTGCAGATGCTCTTTGTCAAGTCGAGGACGTTTCTTTCTATTCCTATTATACTGAGAGTTTTTGTCATGAATGAATGTTGAATTTTGTCAAACGCTTTTTCTGCATCAATTGATAGGATCATGAGATTTTTCTTTAGCTTGCTGGTGGATTACATTGAATGATTTTTCAAATACTGAAAAAACAGCCTTGTATCCCTGGAATATACACCACTTAGTCACAGTGTATAATTCTTTCTATATATAGCTGGATTCTATTTGCTAACATTTGTTAAGGATTTTTGAGTATTCAATCATAAAGGATATTGGCCTGTAGTTTCTTCTTTGTACTGTCTTTGCCTGGTTTTGATATCAGGGTAATACTGGCTTTATAAAATAAATTGAAAAGTGTTCTTTCCTAGGCCGGGCATGGTGGCTCACGCCTGTAATCCCAGCATTTTAGGAGGCCGAGGTGGGCAGATCACCTGAGGTCGGGAGTTCAAGATCAGCCTGACCACATGGAGAAACCTCGTCTCTACTAAAAATACAAAATTAGCCGGGGATGGTGGCACATCCCTGTAATTCCAGCTACTCGGGAGGCGGAGGCAGGAGAATCGCTTGAACCCGGGAGGCAGAGGTTGCGCTGAGCCGAGATCACGCCGTTGCACTCCAGCCTGGGCAACAAGAGCGAAACTCCGTCTCAAAAAAAAAAAAAAAAGGGTTCCTTCCTTTTCTACTTTCTAGAAGAGTTTATGTAGACTTGGTTTTAGTTCTTTATGTGGAATTCTCCAGTAAAACCACTTAGCGCTATGCACTTTTACTTTCGTAATTTGATTTGATCCTCACAACAACTTTGCAAAGAAGGCATTTTACAGAAACAGTTTCCAGGTCCCTTGGACTGCACTGGATACACAGTGAGATTAGTGAGGTGGCCGGGAAATAAGTCCAGAGCAGGAGGCTGTTGGGCAGGGAAGGCATGCTAGATGTGGGGTAGGGTAGAGCTGGGTTTGAATGAAGTGCTTGGGAAGTGAAGAGTTAGAAGGCACTATTTGGAGGACAGGGAGAGTAAAGAAGTTCTGGCTTATTGCAGCAGAGGGTCTGTGACTGCCAAGGGCCAGATAGAAATGACCCCGAAGAGGAGCGGAGTGTGAAGGTCCAAGAGAAACAGGGAGAGGCTGTGCAATTTCTTCAAATATCAGAATAGATTGTTGCAAGGCCTTTAATTTGGCCTCAGAATAAGATCTGAAAACAAGTGAAGTACTACAACTCTTTTAAAAAGCAAATATGGGGCTGGGTGCGGTGGCTCATGCCTGTAATCCCAGCACTTTGGGAGGCTGAGGTGGTCAGATCACCTGAGGTCAGGAGTTCAAGACCAGCCTGGCTAACATGGTGAAACCCCATCTCTACTAAAAAATAAAAAAATTAGCTGGGTATGGTGGTGCACGTCTGTAATCCCAGCTACCTATGAGGCTGAGGCACAAGAATCACTTGAACCCAGGAGGCGGAGGTTGCAGTGAGCCAAGATGATGCCACTGTACTCCAGCCTGGGCAACAGAGCTAGACTCCATCAAAAAAAAAAGCAAATGTGACACACTTATCAGAGTGACACACTTATTAAAATCCAAATAATGCCAAATGCTGGTAAGAATTTGGAGCAACAGAAAGTCTCATTCATTCCTGGTAGGAATATAAAATGGCACAACCACTTTGGAAGACAATTTGACAGCCTCTTAAAAAGCTAAACATAATCTTACCATATGATTCATATGGCTCCTTGTGTAGATTCCCTAATTTACGTCTTCACAAAAACCTGCACATGAATGTCATATCAGCTTTATTTATAATCACTAAAAACTGGAAGCAGCAAAGATGTTCTTTGGTAGATGAATGGATAAACTGAAGTACTTCCAGACAATAGACTATCATTTAGTGATTAAAAGAAATGAGCTGCCGGCCGGGCGCGGTGGCTCACGCCTGTAATCCCAGCACTTTGGGAGGCCGTGGCAGGCGGATCTCCTGAGGTCAGGAGTTTGAGACCAGTTTGGCTAACATAGTGAAACCCCATCTCTACTAAAAATACAAAAAATTAGCTGGGCATGGTGGTAGGCGCCTGTAATCCCAACTACTTGGGAGGCTGAGGCAGGAGAATCGCTTAAGCCCGGGAGGCGGAGGTTGCAGTGAGCTGAGATGGCGCCACTGCACTCCAGCTTAGGGGACAAGAGCGAGACTTCCTCTCAAAGAAAAAGAAAGAAATGAGCTATCGAGCCATGAAAAGACATGGAGGAACTTTAAATGCATACTGCTTAGTGAAAACAGCAAGTCCAAAGAGGGTACATACTGTATGATTCCAACCATATGGCATTTTGGAAACGTCAAATCTATAGAAAAAGTAAACAGAACCGTGGTTGCCAGGGGTTTGGGAAAAGAGGAGGCATGAATGGGTGGAACACTGAATTTTTAGGGGATGAAAATACTGGGTATGATACTATAATGAAGGATACAATTGTCAAAACCCACAGAACTCTACAACACAGAGTAAATCTTAATGTAAACTATTGACTATAGTTAATAATGTGTTAATAATGATTTGTCAAGTATAACAAGTGTGCCACACTAGTGCAAAATTATTAATATAATGGGGGAAACTGCATGAAGGGAGGTAAAAAGGTGGGAGGGGTCTGAATATATGGAAGTCTATGTACAATCTGCTCAATTATTCTGTAAATCTAAAACGGTGTTACAAATAGTCTATTCATTTTTTTTTTAATCTAAGAAATTTCACATTGAAAGAAAAAGAAGCAGCCAAGTGCCGTGGCTCATGCCTGTAACCCTTGCATTTTGGGAGGCCAAGGCAGGCAGATCACTTGAGGCCGGGAGTTTGAGGCCAGCCTGGCCGACACGTGGAACCCGTCTCTACTAAAAATACAAAAATTAGCCAACCATGGTGGCTCATGCCTGTAATCTCAGCTACTTGGGAGGCTGAGGCATGAGAATTGCTTGAACCCAGGAGGTAGAGGTGGCAGTGAGCCAAGATCGCACCACTGCACTGCAGCCTAAGTGACAGCGTGAGACTTTGTCTCAAAAAACAAAGAAAGAAAGAAAAAGAAGCAAATATGGTGAGATCTTTTTTCAAGTGTTAAGAAATCCAGCAAAGTAATTCTGAAAACTTGCTTGTAAACTACACAGCCAGCTTTGCTGCCCAGGCCGCCTTCTACTTAAAAATTCCTTCACTATAAACTCCATGCTAGATTTTTCCTCAGTGGAATAAGCTCAGGCCCTGTTGACAATTTTTGTTTTGTTTTGTTTTGTTTTTAGATGGAGTCTCCCTCTGTCACCCAGGCTGGAGTGCAGTGGCACGATCTCAGCTCACTGCAATCTCTGCTGCCCGGGTTCAAGCGATTCTCCTGCCTCAGTCTCCCGAGTAACTAGGATTACAGGCGCCTGCCACCGCGTCTGGCTAAGTTTTGTATTTTTAGTAGAAAAGGGTTTCACCATGTTGGCCAGGCTGGTCTTGAACTCCTGACCTTGTGATCCACCTGCCTCGGCCTCCCAAAGTACTGGGATTACAGGTGTGAGCCACCACACCCGGCCCCTGTTGACATTCTTAAAAGGAATTGTTTTGGAAGTAAGATAGAACCAGACTTTTCAGTCCCTTCCTTGTTTGCCGAAATTTATTGCGAAAATAAAATTGGGTTTGTCTGATAGATTTGAAAAAGCAATATTGCATACCTTCCAAAGGATAAAAGGCTTTTATCTGGCCAAATTTTTCGTCTCAACCAAGTCTAAGATGGTGGTCTTCTGGGTTGATTGCTAATTCTTTGTAATTATCTACAAGGCCCTTTAAATTTGTTTTGGTGGTTTTTCTCTTCTGAATAATTAGATGAGGCAATCAGCACATCTTTCATATTATAAGGAGGCTTTTATTTATTTATTTTTTAAATACTACTCCTCCACATTATAACTCCTGCAAGTGACAATAGGGGTAAATTCCAATCTGTAGCTCTAATGGCTGCTAATGAGGCGCTTGTTTTAAATCCTTCTGAGCTACACTGGCTCCTCCCACAGAGGACTTTTAAAACAGGATGAATCTCCTTGAGTTCTAAATCCTTTTGCTTTGGGGGCTGAAATCTGGTTCTGTAACCTTTTGAATCACCAACATTTGCTTTGAAAGTTGACATTTTCTATTTAAATGGCAAGAGAGATGGGAAATAAACCCCAGCATTACAGAGCTGAGCGTATTGATTTCAATTATCACCTTTAATCCATGCCTTTCCTCTTTATAATGTGTGGGTTTCTTCTCTTAATTAGAAAGAGCCAGGGATTATCTGCACAAAACTGGAAGGTTTATTGTGATTGGCGGGATTGTCTCCCCTGTCCACGACTCCTATGGAAAACAGGTGGGTTCCTTCCTGTGCCCCTCTCCTCTTCAATCCCCGTCCCCCCATCCCTGGCCTGATAGTTCCTGGCAGAAAAACTGCCCCCGCTCTGTCTCTGCTAAGATTCCTGGAAACACAAAATGCCCAGGTCCATGCGTCTATCCTGCTTCCCATCTCAGGACCACAGTCGGACCTGAGTGGATGGGCGTTGAAGCAGTAGCTGGAAAGACCAGCTGTCCATGACCGTAGAGCCACTTACGGGCTGGTCAGGACTCACTGAAAGAGGAGCAGAAACACCCACTGGGTGTGGCTTGGTATGGTGGATGCCAGATTGGCAGCTGGTTATGGGTTGAGCTGCACTGGGCAAGTCTTCTCAGGATTTTAGGAGAAAACGGCCTATGCCTTTTATAATCTGATTTAAAATTCATATCCCTGCTCATCCCTCCCTGCCACGTGTCCCGGCAAATCTAGGAGCTCCACCCATCATTCCCCCTTTCTCCCACAGATGCACCTTGGTGGGCTCTGGGGAAACTCACCTAACCAGCCAGACTGAGCCATAAGACAAGGCCACATTTGCTGAGTTAAGTCTCATCTCTGCAGGGCACACAGGGGCTGCTTCGCAAATGGAGGCTCATCTATCGACCTTGTTGGGGTGGTATATACCACACACCCTTTATTTGTTTCCTTTCCCACCACCATTCCAGGCCTGCCTGTGTGGCAAACGGACAAGTAAAGGGGTCACATTCTTCATTCCCTCTCACCACTGAAAAATGGCTGCACTTTAACAATGGGTGGGCTTGGGCTGGTATCCCAAGGATGTTGTGGGGAACGGAGGGAGTCTCCCAATGATTGCTCTGTTGCTTCCCAGGGCCTCGTGTCAAGCCGGCACCGTCTCATCATGTGTCAGCTGGCCGTCCAGAATTCTGATTGGATCAGGTAGGACTGGCCTGAAGATGCCAGAGGCAGTGGCCCGGAGACTTACTGGGAGTGGGGTGGGGAAAAAAGAAGAGTTCCAGCAGTAATTTGGATCCTGAAAGGATGGGGAGGCAGGGGCAAGATATTAGCCTTGTGGAGGCAATAAGTAGACCTCCAGGGATACCTATAACTTTATTTTTGAACCAAACTGTGAGGCCCATGAATGTAAAGAATGTGCTTGAATGTTTCATCTGCTTTGACATCTCTGAATCCTGGCATGATTCTTGGAGCTTCCAGAAATATCACTGGGTTTTGGGTGAAGCATGACCAGAAAATCAGAAATGCCTCTCACTTTCATTCCCACTAACTTCCGCGAACCCTCACTACCTTTCAGGGAATGTTCCCTCACCTTGACAATTTCCCATTCCTGAACTCAGGCTCCCTAAGGGCCCCACACTGGCCCCAGGAGACAGGTGCGGGCCTGCCCCTAAGGGCAGCCACACCAAATCACACCCACTGGGTGGCTTTCCTGCTCACTGCCTTTCTGGCCAGACGTGCTGCTAGGAAGGCACCTCCACCCACCTCCGCTGAGCTTGCAGTGTAATTAAAGCAAGCTTCCACTAATTATGCTAATGATGTTCCCCAAAGTTCTTACCGTTATAATTTGCATGATAAGATGATGTTTTAAAAAAATAATGGCATGCCATTTGTGCTGTAATTTCCCCCACTATGGAAAAATAAGCAGCACCTAGAGGTTTCCATGAAAGGGGCGAAGTGACGGGATGCTGACCTCAGAATGAGGAATGCAGAGAGTTTGCCCAGGAAGAGCGGGGTGGGCGGGAATGAGAGCAGTGAAGGGAAGCCACAGTAATAATTCAGCAGTGATCCTTGCTATTTGTGCGCAGTGATTTGTGTGAGAAGCACATGCCCTTTATAGACTTTCTTATCCCCCTAAAGATAAAGCTTAGGTAGAGAGACAGCTGCTTTTTCTCAGGTGAGAAACAGGCCCAGAGAAATGAAAGGGCTTGAGCAATGATACATTGATACACCCGTAGGCAAGAAAGGATTAGAAATGAGGCCTCTTAACATTGTAAGTCCTGATCTTCTGGGGATGCTGGGGACCTTGAATAAGGGTCCAGTGAGGAAATCACTGGGCAGGAGACTGTTACTGCTTGGATGTGCTTAGAAGATTCTGGAATAATTCCCTCATGCATTCCACAACTATCTACTGAGTGCCTACCACCTTCCCTGGGCTGCTCTAAGTTGGAAAATCAGAATCCTGAGAATTGAGATCACTAGGGAGTCTAAGAGCTGCCTCTAGAGATGGGGTTGGCTGGGGTGGGGCGCCTGACACTGGGATCCCATTTAGCCAGGTGAAGTGTTTGTTTCCGGCACAGGTGCGCTCCCAGGGCACAGGGCCTGGCTAGGGATCTAGGGGGAGCCAGGGTCCCGGCAAATGGCAAGCTGACTCTCTAAGGGTTTTCAGCTAGTGGGATCTCATCTCTGGGCACTTTAGGCATGTGTATGTGGTGGGGTGGTGGGGTAGGGTGGTGGTGTTAAGGGGATGCATGACTGCTAAGAAAATGTTAGACAAGGCAGGGCACGGGGGCTCATGCTTGTAATCCCAGCACTTTGGGAGGCCGAAGTGGGCGGATCACCTGAGGTCAGGAGTTTGAGACCAGCCTGGACAATGTGGTGAAACCCCATCTCTGCTAAAAATACAAAAATTAACTGGGCATGGTGGCATGTGCCTGTAGTCTCAGCTACTCAGGAGGCTGAGGCAGGAGAATCACTTGAACCCAGGAGATGGAGGTTGCAGTGAGCCGAGGTCTTGCCACTGCACTCCAGCCTGGGTGACAGACCAAGACTCTGTCTAAAAAAAAATCATTAAGTTGGCAATTAAGCCCCAGTGCTGCCTCAGTCTGGGGCTGGATCCCTGCTTACGTCACAAGCAGTATCCCGGAGGGGCTGGCCATTGTTGTGTCTGCGCCCTCTCATCTGACTGTCATGTCTCACCTCCACGCCCACAAGGCACCTCACTGCAGAGGGAGGCAGGGAAGACTGATTCTCGAGGGTTTGCAGCCTGGCAAGGATAACCTGGGCCACCACTTGACAAAGGCCTGGCTCAGCTAATCCTTGTCACAATCCTCAAGGGTCCAAAGGAGGGTTTATTTTGCAGGTAACAATAAGAGCAAGATGCTGTACTGAGCATTGTACACATAAAACTTACCGAGCCTTTCTAACAAAACTGTAAGCTCGTTACTATTGTTATTCCCATTTTACAGATGGGGAAGGTGAGGCACTGGGAGATCACATAACTTTCCCAAAGCCACACAGTTGCAAAGAGCTGAGGCTGGAATTAAACCCAGGCAGACTGGCACCAGCATCTCTTCTCATAAGCCTATGCCATGCTCCTCTCATTTTACAGAGGAGGAAACTGAAGCTCAGAAGAGTGTTTCACACCCAGGTTTTATCTGATTCAAGATCTAAGCGCATGGTATGGCCAGATCTGCCATGCTTCCTGAGCTATGATTTTTGGAAGGTAACAATAAGGAAAGAATATGAGAACAGAAACCAAGGGAAACTTCTTTCCGATGATGTTAGGGTGGACCCTTGGGAGTGCTACCAGGACACCTGGCAGACGACCTGCAGCGTGTTGGAACACCACCGGGACCTCATGAAGGTGAGCTGGGCCAAGCCTGGGGATGCGTGAACCACCAGAGTGCAAGGGCGGAAGGGGCTGGACCCACAGAAACCAGGCAGGGAGAGGAGAGGGTGCTGCTGGCCTATCGACCTGCTTTCAGCCTCTTATTTCTCTGCCGGTTGTGAGAGAGACCAGCCTGTGAACAGCATGAAGAACAATGAATGAGGAACCCCGAGTAGCACCAGGGTCTGTTCCCTGTCTTCCACCCTCTGTCTTGACCTCCCATTTGGGGTGTTGCTGCTGGGTATGGTGGGCAGCTTTTATTAGCTGGGAGCAAGTTCAAGGTGGGATTAAGGAGACCACAGTGATAGGACTTCAGAAAGTGAGGGAGGAGGAAACTGGACAATGAAAGGCAGGAGAAGAGAGAAGCACTTAGGGGAGGTACAAGCAGCCTGTGGGGGCCCCACTGGCCCCCTTACTCCAGGACAGGCTGCTGTGGCTGGGGCACTTCACACCTGCCAGTCATTGCACCCCATTCCCACCCATTCCTCCTCACAAGAGCCCCACAGGCAGATGGTGTCTGATGCCTGTTTTATTAGTGGGTAAAAGGGATCACAGAGAGGAGTCCACATATCTGAGCACACACAGTGAGTGTTTGGTGAACACAGATAGGCGAGAGCTTCTGTATTCCCCATTGGGGCCTGGGGCCTGTGGCCGGGCTGCAGAGACTTCAGGGCTGGTTGCCAGGTTAGAATGGGCTCCATACCAGCCAGCAGCACTGGCCAGAGTGTGCAGAAAGCACCCTTCCCAGATCAGTGCCAACCCATCCACTCCACAGTGACAGGATGAAAAGCAATGCCACCGATGGCGAGAAGCCTGACCAACCAAGACAGCAAACAGTCAATTCTGCTCGCCTCCACGGACTCTGCAGCAGAGCCCTCCGCAGCCCCAGATAGCAGTCCACCTGGCACTGCCCTCCTACAGGGAGAGCCCATGTCCCATCTGTGTCCTTGCTGCCAGAGGGCCTGTCACCACGTTCTTCCTGGGGAGCAGCCCCTGACCACCCCACACTCCACCAGCTGCAAAGCCAGGCTTTATTTTAACAGATGTGGCGCTTCATTGCTCCGTCCTGGGGAGCTAAGGGCAAGTGAGGTAGAGAGGACCAGCTGGCTGTTCTCCATCTGTTGTTTTCTTCCCCACGGAATTGAAGAAAACTGATTTCCCTTCCCTTCAGCTTTCAGAACCCTTCTCACATATCCTGACCCTTCTGGTCCCCTTCAAAGGAGGCTGACTTGGGGCCACACTGACTTGCTCCTCTGTGCTGGTCTCCACAATAGCAGTAATAAAAGACACTGTGTAAGACTGTATCAGTCAGGATAGGCAAAGACGTGCTGTGGTGACAAACATCCCTAAAAGCTCAGTGACTTCACACAAGTTTATTTCTCACACTACATGTCACCTGGGGAGTTCCTGCAGTCCTGTGCTCTTTCTGGTCACACAGAAGCCTCAGGCTCCATGACAGAAGAGAGGAAAGGGGACCCTGCAGGCATTCCTCAGTGCTGGCCATACTGGCCAGAAAGCCTGGCTATCATTTGATGTCTAAATGCCCGGGCTTCCTGAACTCTCCCTGTGTTACTTATGCCCAGGGTATAAGTCTGGGCCAGAGAAGCTCTGCCAGGAACCCCAGCTGTTGCAGCGATGGGCAGAAGCTGGCAAAGAATGTAGGTCACTGCCGGCCCCCCTGTCTTGGAGCAAGAGCTTGGAGCTGCTTCCTAAGAACTCTCAGCCTTCAAACACCTAGCAAGCATGAGGCAGGTGTTCCCTGCATGGAGAGTAGACCTGCCGCAGAGATAGATGCATGACTTAACAGGTGACTTGGGACAACTCTCCAATATCAAGGCCTCTGAGAATGCAGGAGCCCATGGGGGCTGACGAGGGCAGGATCGGGGAATGCAGCCAGCCATTTTCTACTTCTCAGAGATAGAACAAGTCAAATGCGACCCACAGTGCAGCAAGAGGAAGAAGCTCCTCAGCTACCAGGCCAATCAGGAAATAGAAATGCAGGGTTTTCTTTTCTGGTGGTGAAGTAATAAATGGAGGCAGACCATCCCTCCCACCCCACCAGCCACAGCTGGGTGAAGAATCCCACCAAGAGGTGAAAAGATCCCGTGGTACCCACCCCAGCTGGCTCCCAGATGTGGTCAGATGTGACCTCCTCCTATCAGGAGTCTTACAAAGGTGACAGGTTACCCCACAAGACAAATGCTGCCCTTCTAGGGCTCAGAAGGACTCATACACTGCTCTGCCCACAAGATGGCCTGTGGAAGAGGTGCCCAGAAGATCACCCCAGCCTTGGGCCTGGGGGTCCCCTGGCAGCAGAACCCAAATCCAGAAAGGGTAGCGTGCAGGAGTGGGTGGTGGGTACCCAGGCAGCTGGCTTTTGGAAACGAAGAAACCTTGAATAAGCAGTGGCCCCTGTGAACCTAAACAGATTGGGAATTTGTCCTTTGTTTCTCTGTTGCCCAACAGCTACTCTCCCCATCACCTTGGCCCAGTGGGATTGCTTCTGGGTCAGCTGTGAGGAATGCTGCCTTATCAGCTCTGTGTTTTCTGCAGCACTGGTGAGGAGTAGCCTGGCAGATAACTCAGGACAATAGATAATACACACAGAATTTCCACTTGGCTCTGTCATGTGTATTCACACTGAGCAGGCGAGAGAGTGCTCAGAACCCACCCACCCTGCTTCCCGCAGCACAAACACATCCTGTGCTGCCTGGCACCACTCTCCCTCTTGCTTGGCTGTGTTACTGACAGCTCTGGCCCAAAGAGGCCGCAGGTGGTGATCGTGCCTTGTGTTTGTATGACCTTTCCCAAGCTTACAGAGCCCTTTTGCAGACATGATCTCATTTGAGCCCCATGAAGCATTTGGGGAGGGCAGATATTCATGTTACACAGAAGGTTCCAGCATCGCCTGCTGCTGACAGAGCTCCTGCCATGGGTCAGGCACCCCATAGGCACTTTGCATATGCTCGCTTGTGTGACCCGACCACAACTGAAAAAGACAGATATATGGTTAGACTCCTGATTTGAGGTTCAGGAGCGATGAAATAACTGTCCAAGGTCACATAGCTAGAAGGAGGCAGAGCCCAAATTTGGACCCAGGACCCATTATAACACCACATCTCATGCTTCTCCCACTGAGCTGCTCCTGCCAGCCTAGTGACCACATGATGCAGCTGGGTCTAGAACCCATCCCCAGGGCTCTTCCTCAGCTCTGGGTGGCCTCTCCATGATGGACAAGCAGATGACCACTTGGAGATAACTTTGAAACGATTCTCAAAGTCACATGACTAATAACACTCTTCTCTCTCTCCCTAGAGGGTGACTGGCTGCATCCTCTCCAATGTCAACACACCTTCCATGACACCTGTGATCGGACAGCCACAAAACGAGACCCCCCAGCCCATTTACCAGAACAGCAACGTGGCCACCAAGCCCACTGCAGGTAGGGGAACACTGATGTGTGATTCTCAGACCTCAGAATCATGTGGAGGGCTTGTTAAATTAATGACTACTGGGATCCACCCAGAACTTGATTCAGTAGGTCTGAGAGGGGAAAGAGGACTTGTATTTTTAATAAGGTGCTGCTGATGCTGCTAGTCCAGAGACAATACTTTGAGGACCCTGAATACTGAGCATAAGAGCAAACCAGTCACAATCAGAGAGAGGCAGGTGGTGGTGTGCACTCTTCTCCTGCATTTAAATATAAACGTAGGGCCGGGCCTGGTGGCTCACGCCTGTAATCCCAGCACTTTGGGAGGCTGAGGTGGGTGGATGGCTTGAGCCCAGGAGTTTGAGAGTAGCCTGGGCAACATGACGAAACCCCACCTGTACCAAATAATAATAATAATAATAACAATAACAAAAATTAACTGGGCATGGTGGCACACACCTGTAGTCCCAGCTACTCAGAAGGCTGAGGTGGGAGGATCTCTTGAGCCCAGGAGGAGGAGGTTGCAGGGACTGGGGGACTGTGCCACTGTACTCCAGCCTGGGAGACAGAGTGAGACCCTGTCTCAAAAAAATACATAAATTTTGAGAAATAATTGTGTTAACTGGGAATTGAATATACAAAATGGAGCATTTTTCTCTGCCTCTTCTAGGGAGGTTGAGGATCTTGCCAAAGGTCACACAGTGAGCAAGAAGCAGGGCCATGAGTCACACCCAGGCGGTCCGCACCCAGAATCCCCACACTCTTAGCCATCAATCCAGTGACAGAGAGCACCAACACATACCCCAAACCTAGGACTATGTGCCCAAATGATGCTCGTGCTTTACCTGCGTTCTTATTTAATGCAGTAATACTGTGATATAGACATTATGTTCTCATTTCAAATAGAATACAGATTCAGAGAAGAAAAGTGATTTGCTGATTTGTCACACAGCTCAAAAGTAGAAGAGCTAGAATTCATATTCAGTACTGTCAGGCTCCCAGGTCCATGCTCTAAAATTTTCTTCAAGCCAACTCCAAGAGACAGATTCTGATATTACTTTTCAAGCCTGGAGACCATAAGCTATTATATTATTGGTCTATTATAAACAGGGTAATTCACAAAGAAGAGTCAGAATTTCACAGTTTGCATACAGCTACATGTGGGGGGCTCAGAAAATTTTTCTGGATTGGAGCCCAGAGGGATAATTGAAAACCAGATCCCTCTCAGCCAAATAGGATGTCTGATGATTCTGAAGACCATCTGCATGGGAAGGAGCGCCTTAGCCCAGCAGAAATGGTTCCAAGCATGTACTTTGCTGAATCTCCTTGGATGTGGGTGTAGCTGCCCAGTGGGAGGAGCAGCTAAGGATAGGCTTGGGACAAACCTGGGGAAGAAATGTTCATGATATAGAAAATGAAAGAAGCCAGCAGCCTATATGCCCTTTAAATGGAAAATCTGATCCACTTTATGTAGACATACCTGCATAATACACATTTAAAACATGAAAGAAAATAAATGACATGCCAACAGGTTGGCAGGAGTTATCTCTTGGGGTGGGATTATGGGTGCATTAAGTTTTCCTCTTTATATTTTCCCTCTTCTATATTTTCCAAGTTTTCAACAATGAAATAAACATAACCAGAAAATGGCTTCCAGTCTAGGGCTCACAATGCGTGTGCCTCAGACTGTGAGTGAGAAGAAGGAATTTGTGCTGTCATATTTCTGTTCTTTCTCTCTACCCTCCTGCTACCTCCTGCTCCCCACTCCTGCCCCGTCCATGCACCCTGATGTTTACAGCGGCCCCAATGCCGGGCCGACATGAGTGCCAGTTGTGAGTTGTTCTCTCCCACTCTGTCCCTGTCTGTCTTGCTCTCTCCCATAGCCAAGATCTTGGGGAAGGTGGGAGAAAGCCTCAGCCGGATCTGCTGTGTCCGCCCGCCGGTGGAGCGTTTCACCTTTGTAGGTGAGGAACCAAGGAACTTGATTCCCAGTCCTGTCTCTTTTCTTTCTCTCCTCCCTTCATTCCTTCAGCAAAGATCCTCAAGCACATTCCCCCCACCGCAAATTCCCGTGATTGTGTGTGTGTGCGTACTTGTGCACAACGTATCCCCCCACACAGGCGTTGCACACACAAGGGCACATCGAAGACTCAGTCTTTCACATCTTCCTGCAGGCACTTGCTACATTCCACCATGTGAAAAAGTTCTGCACCCACAGTGTGCTTGTTCTTTAAACCAGGTAATCCCTAAGGAGAGCCAGCCACCTCTTGTGGCCCAGAAAGCCATCTCCCTAGGTTGTAAGGATGTTGCTCTTGTGGCCAGCCTCCCTCAAACACAGAAACAGAAGGCGCTCAGCATGAGCGTGTGTGTGTTCGGCATTGGCTCCCCAGCCAGGCTGTCTCATTCTGAAAGTCCCAGCAATGTGAAGTGCTGCTCCTGGAGCGGGAGGAAAGCTTCCTGTCCGTTTTATGCCTGACTGCTCTCCATTCACCCTCCTCAGGTGGCACACCACACCCCTACTTGCACCCACCCCACCCCATCCCAATAATTCCTGCTGAGGCCCTCAGGCAGACTGTGTGTTGGGTACCAGGAAGCCTGTTCCCTAATGCCCTACCTTCCTTCTTTCCTCCTTAGATGAGAATGCCAATCTGGGCACGGTGATGCGGTATGAAGAGATTGGTGAGTGGGACTGCGAAAGTGCGGAAAATGGGGACATTTGGAGCTCCCTGCCTTCACGACAGGCAACATGGGGAGCAGAGAGGCTTGAAAACCCAGGGACTGTTTTGCAGCAGGGTCTCCTCTCGGAAGAGGGATCGTTCCCAGGCTAAGATTGCATTCGTAGTTAGCTCCCTTTAACATCTCTTAACTGGACTCCAGCCAACTCCCAAGAGATAGGACTGGATCATTTGGTGATTTTTCCTTCAGAGCCTCCACTCCCTCCTCTAAAAAACATGAAAGTTGAGCTTTGGCACCAGCTGGAAAGACCCTTCTTTTGGGCACAGACACTGCACACAAATGAGGCAGAAGAGCACCCCGGCCTTCCTCATTCAGTGCTTGTAGATGAAGAAACAGAGAGGGGACTGAAAGCCACCTCCACACCTCCCTTGCAGCCTTGGGCAGAGGCTAAGGCACTTCACTGTCTGTGTGAGGGCTGCCTGCCCAACCCAATACCAGAGCAGGCCAGGGCAGGCCCGAGCCGGTGGAGGGCGGTTACACAGCTGTCAGGGTGGGAAGAAGTTGATGACCCCTACAAGCAAATTGAGAAGCAGATAGGAACACTGAAATCTTCCCAGGGTTTCAGAATGGTGGGAGACGCAGGTGTCTGAAGCTGGGGAAAGGGCAGGGAGACACCAGAATAGAGCTGGAGCTGGCACAGGTACCAGGGGACAAGAAGGGTCAGTGACATCAGGAATGCCTGGAGCTCTAGGGCAAGGCAGCCTGGTGTCCACACCCTCAATCTTCAACTTCCAGCTGAAAAGATCCTCCAAGCATCCCTTCCTGGTACTTTTCTGTCCAAGGACTGGAAGTCAGGGCTCCCACTGCAATCCTGAGAGGCAGGGTTTGTCCTGAGCACTTGGTTCACACAGACCCGGCAGATGTGATGTCATTTCAAGGGGCTTCTCTGGGTCTCATCCTCTCATCTGAGGTGCAGTGGTGTCCCTGAATTGGCTCAGGTGGTTTCCTACAACCATTTGTAAAGTTTTCAGGAATTTTGTGAACCAGTTTTAAATAGAGCCATTACTAAAAATTAAGTTATATTAACTTAAAATTAAATTTAATTAAAAACAAAAGGAATGAATACTCAAAACTCCTCACTTCTTGATTATTTTACTAATTTTAATATCCTTTATTGACCAGCAAGTCACTCTCTGAAGGCCACAGGAAGGAGCACCCGCCTTCCTGGTTGCTCCCCAAAACAGGCAGGAGCATTTGGCTCTAGGTTCTCCAGACCCAGAACACCCAACAGGCAAGGATGGGAGGGAAGGTGCCTGGGCTGGGCTGAAAGCTCCTGCACTCCACTTCCCTGCAGTTCCAGCCTGGTCACCACCTGCTGCCTTCCCACGCAGTCTCCTTGGCCAGCAGAGCTCAGCCTTAGGACTTCTCATTGTATTCCAGTGTATTTCTCTTTCCTTAGTCCAGAGATGTATTGTGGCAAGCTTGAGCCATGGCCTTGCTTGCCTTCCTAGCGCCTGGGGCAGGTGGATCAGGCACTCCTCATCCTGACTCAAGGAGTCCCCTCCAGGAGAGGACAGTGGTGATCAGTATTGCACAGCGTACTGCTGTGTTCACTTCCATTAGCTCACGGCTACCTCGGGAGGGGCAGGGGCCTCTGCTTACTCTTCTTGCTCCATAGCAGTTCTGGAGTTATGGTGAGCCAGCCGCCAGGGACCAAAAATGCTGCTGGGGAGTGACCTCTCACCTCTGGCTTCCCTGAGGCTCTGCCTGTCCCCTTCCACATCCCCTGTGCTCGCTGAGAGGGAGGGTCTACCTGCATGTGATGGAGAAAGGACAGTGTGGGGTAGAGAATGGAGAACACTTAGGTTCCGAGAAAGGACAGCTCAGCAGCCACAGCTGTCAGATTGGGCTCAGGTCCTGGCATGGTCCAGGTGGTGGCTGCATGCAGTGGAAACTGGGATGGGCTGCAGGGCCCGGGCTTCACATAGCCCGGATTCCTGGGAGGGGAGTGTGGACAGAGAGTGTGCATTCTGGCTCGTGGCCCTGGATCAGCGTGACCTGGGGAAGGAGGCTAGCCCAGAGGAGCTGGAAGGGAGCTCGCTGCCTCCCGACTCCTGCGCTGTGTGAGGCGCTGGGGCTCACGTGTCCCCTTTTTTAATATTTCCTTCCACACTAAATGAGGAGGAAAAGCCATTTTCTCCTAGCTCCATTAGCGTCTGTTGACCCTATTTACATGCTCCTAACAGCTGACTGCTCCTCCAGGGCTGCCCTAGACCACAGGCTGTTGGGCTGGAAACTTGCCTTAGCCTCATAGGACAAACTGGGAGAAGTCACTGCTGCCCTCCAGTGGCCATATGTGGGATCTCAAGCCCTGCTGGGGCCGCTTGTCTGACTTAAATGTTTGCACTGGTCCTGCAAGAAAGGGTGGCAGAGACCGTACTCTTGAACTCTTTGTGCTTTGGCTTAAAACATAAAAGTCCCATATTATATTTGGTTGGGATAGTGTGTCCCTGGCTTGGGAATAGGAAAGAGATTTATTTTCATGGCTGTAAGCAGGGATTTTTAACCTTGGCACTAATTGACATTTGGGAACAGATGTGTTGGGGAGGGGGGCTTCCCTGTGCATTGTAGGATGTTTAGCAGCACTCCTAGCCTCCACCCACTAGATGCCAGTAGCATGCCACCCTCTCCCTCCAGTCCTGACATCCAAAAATGTCCAGACATTGCCCAATGTCCCCTGGCAATTGCAAAATTGCCCTCAGTTGAGAACCAGTGATGAGAGAAAGCTGAGGGCCAGCACATTCCCTGTTGACATGACCATCTAATTCAGGGCTGTCCAATCTTTTGGCTTCCCTGGGCAACATTGGAAGAGGAAGAATTATCTTGGACCACACATAAAATACACTAACACTAGGCTGGGCGCGGTGACTCAAGCCTATAATCCCAGCACTTTGGGAGGCCGAGGCTGGCGGGTCACCTGAGGTTGGGAGTTCAAGACCACCCTGACCAACATGGAGAAACCCCATCTCTACTAAAAATACAAAATTAGCCGGGTGTGGTGGCACATGTCTGTAATCCCAGCTGCTCAGGAGGCTGAGGCAGGAGAATTGCTTGAACCCAGGAGGCGGAGGTTGCGGTGAGCCGGAGATCACGCCATTGCACTCCAGCCTGGGCAACAAGAGCGAAACTCCATCTCAAAAAAAAAAAAAAAAAAAAAAAAAATACACTAACACTAACAATAGCTGATGAGCAAAAAAAAAGAAAAAAAGTCGCCAAAAAAAAATCTCATAATGTTTTAAGAAAGTTTACATGCCGAGTGTAGTGGCTCATGCCTGTAATTCCAGCACTTTGGGAGGCCACGGTGGGCAGATCACTTGAGGTCAGGAGTTTGAGAACTGCCTGGCCAACATGGTGAAACCCCCTCTCTACTAAAAATACAAAAATTAGCCAGGTGTGGTGGCAGGCACCTGTAATCCCAGCTACTTGGGAGGCTGAGGCAAGAGAATTGCTTGAACCTGAAAGGCGGAGGTTGCAGTGAGCCAAGATCGTGTCACTGCACTCCAGCTTGGGTGACAGAGGGAGATTCTATCTCCAAAAAAAGAAAAAAAAAAGGAAGTTTACGAATTTATGTTAGACTGCATTCAAAGCCACCCTGGGCCACATGTGGCCTATGTGCCTTGGGTTGGACAAGCTTGATCTAACTGAACTTATAGGCAGTCAGAATTACAGAGACGTGCCCTTTCAACAGAGAACTGACCTAGAACCCTGGGTGGCTCCAAGTGGGCCTGAGGAACAACAGAATCCGAGAAATAAGCCTAGTCTGGCTCCTGTCAGCAATACCAAGTGTGGTTCCTCTCCACAGTTGGGGAGTTGGGCCAGAAATCCTATGGCGCAACGCAGAGGCGCCACTGACTCAGGCAAACATTCTCCCCAGTGACCCCATGCTGCAAGAGCAGAGGCCACGATAGTCACCACAGCCCTCCCAGATTGCCCGGAAGGCAGCCTGCAGGATCTCTGTTGTCAGCTCATCTGTTGCCTTACCCATTCAACATGCCTGAGCACCTACTGTATGCCAGTGACTCTGCCAGACCCTGGGGCTGTAAAGATAAAGGAAAATCCCTGCACACAAACAGATCATTAGACTAAGGTATGTTAGAGAGGAGAGAAGACAGGATGCAGGAATATTTCATAGTTACAATCCAGTCCTCAGTGGGGCTCCCTTACGTGGGAAGGCTGCCCTGACCCTGGGACCATGAGATGCTGGCATTGCCCACCATTGGCCCAGTAGCCTCCCCCCTGCTTCAGGAGTCCCACCTAGAGACTCATTCCACAGCAGGGGACAGCTTACCACCTGAAAGCCTTCGTCAGGTCCCAGAACTAGCCACAGGGTCTAAGGCAGGCAGGGCTGCCCGCAGCTTCTCTGTCTCTCGCCTGGGCCTCAGGGCCCCAGGGCCTGTGCTGGCAGCTGTCTCTGGAAGGCTGGTGGTGCCCTCAGTGCAGACCTGCCTCACTGTTTCAGACAAGATGCCCAACAGCCTCGGCCTCTTGATGAGAGGGCCTGGAACGCCTGGGAGCCACGCTGTGCTCCACCCTGAGCCACATCCTGGGTGAGGACTCTCCTCACGGTATTCTCAGAATGTTGTTCCCCACTGCTCAGTTTTAATAAGTGAGTCAGTTTGCTGCCTGTTTTAAACAACAATGGGCCTCACTGGGATAATTCAGAGTGAGCTTAATGAGGGAAGAAAAACAACTGACAAGCAGGAAGTGCGCCTGGGTGCCAGGAAAAGTATGGGCACTGGGAGGGGCCTCAGCCTTGCTTCTCAAGCCCTTTGCTGGGGACAGTGGCCATGTGACACATTTTATACACTCAGCTACCTCAAGGTACACTCACTGTCCCCTCACACCCCCTCCCATGTCAGGGAGACAAACTCCAGACAATGCACAGTAGCAGAGAATCCAAACTCTGTTGGCGTTTGAGCTTGACAGGGAGCAAGAGAGAGTACCTCAGACCTTAGACAAGATGCGTAGCTGGCTCAGCCACAGTTACAATAATGAACCATCCTGGCTTAGCCCTGAAAGATCTATGTCCTGGGAAAGCCAGGGCAGTCGATCACCCGCTATGCTCTACTCTCCTTGCATGAGTAATTCCTCCCACAGGGGATGAGGGTGGTCTGGAAATGAGCCCGAGGAAGAGGTGAGCAGGGGTTTCTGCTCTGCACACACTCAGGGGCAGAGGCACCTGGGATAACTGGGCCCCACATCCCCAAAGGTGGGAGAGTTATGTATTCACCAGGGGAAGAAGGCTGAGGGTCAAATGCTTCCCGGGCCACCACTTACTCCCTTTGCAAACTTTGCTCCCCTTCCTCAGAGCTACGGATCCTGCTGCTGTGTGGTAGTGACCTGCTGGAGTCCTTCTGCATCCCAGGGCTCTGGAACGAGGCAGATGTGAGTAGCAAGGTTATTGCCTGGCACCCAGCTGGGACTGGGAGGGATGGGAAGTGTGCATTTGATTTTGGCCTCCTGTCTTCACTTCTTCTGAGCTTCTAAGAGGGCAGTCCGTTCACATCACTATGGTAGAAAATTCTCACCTACCCCCAAGCTTTATCTCCTACTGCATTTTTACACTTACTCCTCCTCAAGCTTGCTCCAGTAAAGCCCCTGGGAAAAAAGCAAGCTGAGTCATACAGTATCTAGCACCAAATAGTGCTGGGGTATGCATGTGTTGCCGATGGGGAGAAGGAAGGGAGAAAAAAAAATCTTTGCCCTTTTAAGATTATTGTGTGTTTTGTTTTCCTTTGATTCCTTTTGAAGAGGTGGTAAATACCATCCTGGAATCCCCTCAAAAAGAGAAAATTGGTCCAGAGGGGAGAAGTTCATGGCAAGAGGTCAGCAGGATCCTTGGCAATTGACTTGGCATTGAGGGAACCAGGAGGTTAAACTTACACCACTTAGGAGCTCAATGACACCTTTTGTTGCCAGATCTGACTGTGATGATCTCAAACCAGCTCACCCTTAAATTACTCACTCTTCACACATACGTTCGTTCTTATTCCTTCATTAATTCATTCATCTGGTAGCCTGAGCTAATGCTAGCTCCCAACCCCATAGCTCTATGCACATTGAATTCCCAAGGCAGCAATTCTAGATGTAGTGCTTTTTGATTAACTTGCTGTGTGACTCTGGACCTGCCTCAGTTTTTTTGTTTGTTTGTTTGTTTTTAATCTGTAAAATCTATAGAATGTTATCTACAGGATTCTGAGATTTTAAAGAAACGTTGTACTATACAATCTTTGCCCCCAAGTAATAGGTGGCATGACATACACATATGAAATATGTTCGTGTACATTTATGTGTCTCTGGACAGAGATCGAGGCAGGACAGAGGCAGGACAGGGGCAGGACAGGGTCAGGCTCAAGATTCAAGTTCTACTCCAACACAGCTCATGACAAAATATATATTCCTTTTTTTTTTTTTTTTTTTTTTTTGAGACGGAGTCACTCTGTCACCCAGGCTGGAGTGCAGTGGTGTGATCTCGGCTCACTGCAACCTCTGCCTTCCAGGTTCAAGAGTCACTGCAACCTCTGCCTCCCAGGTTCAAGCGATTCTTCTGCCTCAGCCTCCCAGGCACCTGGAATTACAGGCACCTGCCACCACGCCCAGCTAATTTTTGTATTTTTAGTAGAGACAGAATTTTGCCATGTTGACCAGGCTGGTCTCGAACCCCTGACCTCAGGTGATCTGCCTGCCTCAGCCTCCCAAAGTGCTGGGATTACAGGCGTGAGGCACTATTCTCTTCCAACAAAATATATTCTAAGCTTCAGTTTTTTCCATCCCTGAAATGAGCCTAATAATAGTACCTACGTCCCATGGGTTTGGAAGGCTTAAATGGTATTGTTTTGAAAGTGCCTAGCCCCAGCACCTGACATACAGTCACGCTCAGCAAAGATAATAAGTGAATTTACCTAAATACACACACAGATACACACAAAGCTATGTAAGGTGAAGGGCATAAATGCTAACATGCTGTAGGATAACCAAGATGGGAGGGAAAGTTTCCGGGAAGTAAGGTATACTGTGTGAAATATACAGTCCTCTCCACCCTGGAACCATTTCCTAGAGGTGAAATTTTAAACCTCCTTTCAGTTCTTAATTAAGTGGCTTAATTAGCTTTTGCTTTCCTGGCTAATTCACAAGGAGCTATGAAAGTCAAAAGTAATGCGGGCAAAGTTCTGTACAAGAGCTCATCAAAGCTCTTTCAAGAATCCAGGCAAATCTGGGCAATTGCCGGAGGCCCCATTTTATTGCGGAGGCCTGGGCCGTCCTGGAGGAATTTAGAGGGACGAGGTCAGCAGCTGTGGCACAGCCTGGAGTGCTGTGGAGGAGGAATCCCTGGGGGCTATTTACTAAGTGTGATGGGTGAGGAGCCTCCTCTCAAGGGCAGACCCAGGCTTCCTGGAGCGTGAAACTTACACAATTTGGGGCCTTGCTGCAGGCCAATCCCTCTCTTCTCCTCCCAGTTAGATTGCTGACTTAGATCACCGGTCCTCTAACTTCTCTCCAAAATGGCTGGTCTTGGTGTTGTCAGATACCAACATTATAGGACCAGGGAGAAGAGCCCCAGGTCTCTCCTTTTCTGATTGGTCCCTGGTGCTGAGACCAGGGTTGGTTGGTTAAGACAGAAAATCTGAGAAACTAGTAGCTGTTGATTTACCAGGGATGTGACAGCAGAGGTGGAGTGAACTCACTGGGTCAAATATGTTCCCACTTGACTACTTGGCAAGTCCCAGCCCCAACCCTCTTCCCTTTCTGGATTCCCCAGGGAGATCATAGAATTTCTGTCCCATCTGGGTGGTTGTGGAAAAAGGGGAGGGATTCTCCTATCCCATTTCCAATCCCCATCTGAGATGGATGACTTTGGAACATCCCCTGGAAGCCAGGGACGGGTGAGATAATGAACCAATAGCAAGATCAGGTGACCAACTAGTCCCCGTTTCTGCAAGACTTACCCGGTTTTAAAACTGAAATACTAGGCTGGGTGCGTATTACACCTGTAATCCCAGCACTTTGGGAGGCCGAGGCAGATGGATCACGAGGTCAGGAGATCAAGACCATCCTGGCTAACACGGTGAAACCCTGTCTCTACTAAAAATACAAAAAATTAGCTGGGCGTGGTGGCGGGCTCCTGTAGTCCCAGCTACTTGGGAGGCTGAGGCAGGAGAATTGCTTGAACCTGGGAGGCAGAGATTGCAGTGAGCTGAGATCACGCCATTGCACTCCAGCCTGGGTGACAGAGCAAGACTCTGTCTAAAAAATAAAATAAATAAAATACGGAAATGCTCATATCCTGGGATCTCCCTCAGTCCTGGGTTAGCCATCCTGGAGTCCCAGGACACCCATCCTAGCTATGCTCAGAGAGTACCACGTCCCAGGCCAGCAGGGACCCCACATCTAGTTTGCCCAGGGTGGTGAGAAATCCAGTCCCCTGCAGAGGCAGCAGAAGGATTTGGGTGAAGCAGACTCCCAAGCTTGCTTCAGAGGGCTTTCTAGAGCCTGGAGCAGACCTGCTTCCCCACCCTGCCAGCCAACTGCTCAGTCCCCTGCCTCAACCCACAGCTGATCTGCGAGGTCCTTAGAATCATTGAGTCTGAGACAGGGAAAAATTTCAAGAAGCTGTTTCCTCACATAATGAGTGTGAATCTCAGTCTATGACAGAGGTGTGCCGGAAATATCATGTTAATGTATTTAAATCAAATTAACATTCCACTCCAAATCCCTATCCCACAGGGTAATTTTAGTCTCAGCCATTATTAATTAGCAGACCTGAAAGGCTCTTGCACACCCCGAACATGAGGACAGGACTTCAATCTCAGTTCACCATGGTCACCACAGACATCTTCCCTGTCCAAGCCTTTGTGGTCCCTTGAAGTCAAAGGTGCCCTGCTCCACACCCACCTGGGGCAGGAACTCCTGGCTGAGTCTGGAGGCCTCGTGCTGGGCCCCATTGTGATCACCAGGCCCGTTCTCCTCTGAGGTTTTGCCCCTAGTGTGCTGCCCAGGAGAGAGGAGGAGTGGGCTCCACAGACCTCTAGCATCTTCCTATTGTAGGGAAAGTTGGTGGGAGGGCAGCAGAACCTGTTCTTTGTTCTTTCTATCCCCAAGTCATCTTCCCTATTTTCTCTCCCCGCTTCAGGACATCTAATGAAATGTCTTTTTTTTCTTTTTTTTTTTTTTAGAGACAAGGTCTCACTATGTTGCCCAGGCTGGTCTCGAACTCCTGAGCCCAAATGATCCTCCCACCTCCGCCTCCCAAAGTGCTAGGATTACAAACCTGAGCCACTGCACTAGGTTCAAAATTTCTTCAATGAGTTTAAAGGCATTGACTTCAGGCCAGGCGTGGTGACTCACGCCTGTAATCCCAGCACTTTGGGAGGCTGAGGCAGGTGGATCACCTGAGGTCAAGAGTTCGAGACCACCCTGGGCAACATGGTGAAACCCCATCTCTACTAAAAATACAAAAAATTAGCCGGGCATGGTGGCGGGCACCTGTAATCCCAGCTACTTGGGAGGCTAAGACAGGAGAATCGCTTGAACCCGGGAGGCAGAGATTGCAGTGAGCAGAGATCGTGCCATTGCACTCCAGCCTGGGTGACAGAGCAAGATTCTGTCTAAATAAATAAATAAATAACAAATAAATAAATAAAGTTATTGACTTCAGAGCATTCTGGTTTTGTCCTGCAAATTCCTCCTGTAAAAGATCTGGCTGTCTGCTAGAAATAGAGCTGGCCAGCCAGGCGCAGTGGCTCACACCTGTAATCCCAGTGCTTTGGGAGTCTGAAGTGGGTGGATCACTTGAGGTCAGGAGTTTGAGACAAGCCTGGCCAACATGGTAAAACCCCATCTCTACTAAAAGTACAAAAATCACCCAGGCGTGGTGGTGCATGCCTGTAATCCCAGCTACTCCGGTGGCTGAGGCAGGGGAATTGCATGAACCCAGGAGATAGAGGTTGCAGTGAGCCAAGATTGTGCCACTGCACTCTAGCCTGAGTGACAAGACTCCAAAAAGCAAAAAAGCAAGAAAGAAGGGAGGGAGGGAGGAAGGGAAGGAAGGAAGGAAGGAAGGAAGGAAGGAAGGAAGGAAGGAAGGAAGGAAGGAAGGGAGGGAGGGAGGGAGGGAAAAGAAAGGAAAGAAAGAGAGAAAGAGAGAGAGGAAGAAAGAAAGAAAGAGGAAGGAAGGAAGGGAGGGAAAAAAGAGAGAAAAAGAAAGAAAGAAAGAGAAAGAAAGAAAAATAGAGCTGGCAGAGGAGGGTGTAGGCAGCACAAAATTACTTAGCACCTCAGTGAATTAGTCCACTGCTCTTATTTGGGGAAGGTTGGATCTCAAGGTCTGGAAAAGGAACATCTTTCAGGAGTGGATACAGAATGAGCCCTGCTTATTGTACTAGCAAGTTCTACCATCTGGGGTTTGCCTGGAAACGCCCATTTTAGGAATTTCAGTTCCTAACCATGAGACTCCTGGAAGCGAGATATGTGAGACCTGCTTCTGTTTCAGGTTTCATTCGTTTGCCCATTCATTCATCCCTTTCTCAGAGCACATTTCTCTTTATTATCGGGTGCCCCGAGTGATACTTGTTGACCACAGACTTTGCTTGGAGACCATGAGGCCAAAACCCTGAAATCTGCTGTTAAAAGAATAACTTCAGCTGAATTACATTTAAAAGAGTTTAATTGAGCAATGAACAATTCACGAATCAGGCGGCATCCCATGCCAGAGTAGGCTCTCAGACTCCAGCGCAGCCATGTGGTAGAAGTTTTATGGACAGAAAAAGGAAGGTGATGTACAGAAAATGGAAGTGAAGTACAGAAACAGTCTTATTTGAACACAGTTCGAACAGCTGGCTACATTGATTGGCCAAAACTTGGTAATTGGCACAAATGTAAGCTAAAGCCTGTTTACACCTCCACTTGTTATAGTTCACCATGTACACAGAGAAATCTTTAGGCCGAACTTAAAATATGCAGGGAGGCAGCTTTAGGCTAAACTTGATTTAACACTGCCCATGACTGGGGACAGAAGGGCAGGAGGGAGATCAAAGCTTTTTCTAGGAAATGTCCTAGGCCCCGGCCCCGCACTCCAGCCTCTCATATCTTCTCCAAATATCTTCAGAAACAAGGCAGGAGGGATGCCACTGGTTCAAATGGGTCTGGGGAGAAAGCCTGAAGGGGCTGTGGAGCAGCCCGGCCTCCAGCCAGGCTGGAACCGGCTGAGACCGTCTGTTGGACAGCAGGACTGACAAGGCCTCCTCCAGCACCAACACACACTCTCTACTGAGTCAGTTTTGCTCTTTCTTTCACTTTGGATTCTTGAACCAAAGCTCTCCATCCAGAAATCTAATTATATGACTAATGGGATGACCCCATCCCCACCCCAAACACATCCCTTGTGGCATTTCCCATTAGGCACAAAGATCCATTAGCCCACAGCAAATTCTGACCCTCTCTGACCAGTGACACACCCTTCCCCTTACATTCCATGGAGAAAAAATTCCATACATAGTCATCGAGTTTCTCTCAAGTGTAATAGAACAGAGTGGCTGTATGGGAAATCAAGATCCAGACTTCTGGACCAGCCTCGGAGATCAGAACCCAGCTCCTGCCACCCCACTGCATTCCCGAGTTCTTTATTGGAGAACTAGTCTCTCCCAGGAGACCTGCTCCTTTGCTTTGCTGCATCCTGACACCAGCATCAATGCAGGCATCCAGGCATGGATCAGGGACTGTGGGAAGCCAAGGCCAGAGGCTACAGGGTCAACCATGGGCAGATTTGTGAAGCAGAAGGCATTTGCACTCACTCCTCTCCCCAAAACAAAACCCGTTGTGTAGGGATCCGATGCTGCCAGCTGCTTTGTCCATCACTGTGCCCAGCAGGCAAATTAATTCTGATTCAAGGCCAGGTGTGGTGGCTCATGCTTGCAATCCCAGCATTTTGGGAAGCTGAGGCAGGTGGATCACCTAAGGTCAGGAGTTCAAAACCAGCCTGGCCAACATGGTGAAACCCCATCTCTACTACAAATACAAAAATTACCTAGGCGTGGTGGCAGGCTCCTGTAATCCCAGCTACTCAGGAGGCTGAGGCAGGAGAATTGCTTGAACCCGGGAGGTGCAGGTTGCAGGGAGCCGAGAGAGCGCCACTGCACTCCAACCTGGGTGACAAGAGTGAAACACCATCTCAAAAAAAAAAGAAAAAAATAATTCTGATTCAAGCATTCCTTTCTTCAATCAATCTTTCAACAAATGCTTATTAAGTGCCCAGGATAAACGTAGCATGTATTTATCCTTGAGGCACTTGCAGTCTAAAAGTATCTTACTTTTCATTATAATATTTCTTTATACTATATTAACTATAACATGTGAAAAGTTTAGAAGAGTTCCTGAACCTAGTAAACATTCCATAAATGTTGGCCGTTATTCACTTATTTTAAAATATTTATTGAGCACCCAGCCATGTGAGAAAACAAAGTAGACAAAGTACCTGACCGTGCACTTTGCTTTCTGTGGGAGGGGGTGGCCCTTGAGCTGGGCTTTGAATTGTGAGCAGGACTGGGTTAAGTAGGTGGAAAGAGAAGAGCTTTTTAAGGAGGGAAGAGGATATAAAAGATTCGGTGGGGGGAACAAGACCTTTGGGGAGATGGTTCTGGTTGGTTGAAATAGGTGGATCCTGGTATTTATTTGGGAAGGTATTAACTTTTGAGCAAGCAGCAAAATCATTAAGTTTAATGATTACATGTATTAGCTGCTCTCAAGAGTATTTGCATTTCAAATGAGCAAGAGTCAATATTTAACCCAAAAGAGTAAAAACTTGGGGATGGAACATCAGCCACCAGAGATGGCCACTGAGGGAATTGTTTTATCTTTTTTTCTTTTTGCGCTCCTCAAAGCCCAGCATTCCACAGGCTGGTTCTAATTGGCTGTATCCTACATTTTTCCAGCCAACCAGCCGTGGGCTAACTGCTTCCTACATCCATCAGCTATGGGAAAACAACCAAAGAAAATAAACAGAGGAAGAGCCTCGGGCATTAGCCACTCCAGAAGAAATCCCAGGGCCCCAGGATAAATGGAACAAAGACAAACTTTGGCTATTCAGGCTCAGATGGTTTTTATCAGACAGTCCAGCTCCAGCCAGGAAGCCTGATGGACTCTTGCACCCCAGGGATTAGGCCCCCACACTGATACGACTGATACCAAACGATACCAAATTACAGTCTCAGGGGAAGGAGGCTCAGCTCCTGCCAATGGGGGATTCTGGCTGTTCTCATGTGAAAGGCACTGTTGGTTTGGTTTCCAGGCTGTTGACTTGAGTCTGGAATCCCCTGCCTTCCCACACCCCCAGTTAAGTTGGCAGTGGGAGTGGGGATGATTTCATCTGGGAAGCCCCTCTTAAGAATGGTTCTCTCTCTTTTTTTTTTTTTCATTAAGAGGGCCATCCTGGAAATGCATTTCCACCTGCTGGACTCTGACCTTACTGGTTTCCTCCCAGCCTTTCCTCCAGAGAGTGGCAGGGGCTACAGCAAGGGTGGAGGATCCTTTACTGAAATGGAGGGAGCATGTTTCAGAAGCTGCTCATATACTGCATGGCTTTTGTCACAAGTTCTCTCTTTGCATCTTTTTAAACTCATCCAGAAGTATACTAAAATTATAATACTCTAAGGGTGATACAGAGTACCCCAGCCTCCCAAGTAGCTATGGTAAGCTGGGGGAAAAAATAAGGTAGAATGTATTTTCAACTAGAAATACTTCTTTAACCAAAAAAGTTTCAAGGCCAGGTGCAGTGGCTCACTACTGTAATCCCAGAACTTTGGGAGGCCGAGATGGGTGGATCACGAGGTCAGGAGATCGAGACTATCCTGGCTAACACAGTGAAACCCCGTCTCTACTAAAAATACAAAAAAATTAGCCGGGCGTGGTTGCGGGTGCCTGTAGTCCCAGCTACTTGGGAGGCTGAGGCAGGAGAATGGCGTGAACCCGGGAGGCGGAGCTTGCAGTGAGCTGAGATGGCGCCACTGCACTCCAGCCTGGGCTACAGAGCGAGACTCTGTCTCAAATAAAAAAAAAAAGTTTCAAGTCACTACAATATGAGTCTTAAAAGTGGATCTAGAAGAGGTGTGATGTGGAGGAAAGAGTCTTTAAGGCAGACCACGGTGGATTCCATTCACATTCACTCGTTAGCTGTGCAACTTGGACAGGTTATTAAATCTCACTGAGTCTTGGTTTCCCCACCTATGAAATAAGAACTGAGGCACATATCTCAGAAGACAGTTGTCATAAGGATTAAATGCGATAAGCTCCTAGTACTGTGCATGGCACATAGCAGGCACCTTAATCAATGTTTCTTCCCCTCCTTCCCAATGGGCCCATGTGCATCCCTGACTATCCTTATCCAGAGAAGAAACACAAATGGGCTGCAGTCGCTGATGTACTGTACCTGAGAAGAGAACACTGTTTGGGAGGGAAACTCAGGCTTCAGAACGCTGATCTCAGGATGGCCCTGCAGAGGATCTTGCCAGTTAAGCCTGCCAGGGCAAATCCACATACATTGGATCCTGTTGCCGATGGAAGTTTCAAGTCCTGTGTTTAAAATACTCTAATGGCATTTCTTTGCAATTGGAATGAAACCCTGTCTTCATGATGACCTGGTACTTGTCTACTTTTCCAACCGCAGTGTGTCCTAGTCCCGCCTAGTTTATTTAAACAGTTTTCCCCACCTCAGGGTCTTTGTACTAGCTGTGGCCTCATTGGGAATCCTCTTCTCCTAGATATCCCTGTGCCCATCCCTTCGTATCACGTAGGTTTCAACATAAAGGTCATTTTGTTTTATAATCAATATTGTACTTAACTCTATTTGATGTTTTCTTTTTATTTATTTATTTTTCAGAGACAGGGTCACACTCTATCACCCAGGCTAGCGTGCAGTGGCGTGATCATAGCTCACTGCAGCCTTGAACTTCTAGACTCAAGCAATCATCCTGGGGTCAAGCGATCCTCTTGCCTCATCCTCACAAGTAGCTGGGACTCAGGCACGTGCCAACACACTCAGCTAATTTAAAATAAAATTTGTTTTTGTAGAGATGAGGTCTTACCACCATGTTGCCCAGGCTGGTCTGGAACTCCTGGCCTCAAGTGATCCTCCCACCTTGGCCTCTTAAAGTGCTGGGATTACAGGTGTGAGACATCACACCTTGCCATGATGTTTTCTTATTTATATATTTATTTGTTTATGATCTCTCCTTACTTGAAGGTAAGCCCTTTGAGTACAGGAAACTTGCCTGTCTTATTTGCCAATACCAGAACAGTGCCCAGTTCACCATATACATGCTCAATAAAAGTTTGTTGAGTGAAAGGGTGCTTGAGAACAACTTGGTTGGAGGAGTTCAGCTCATAAGACAGTTTGCCTCCCCCATGGGATATGACCCAAACTTTTGCCAGTTACCCATAATATATTAGTCACTGTAAGATATTAGCCACCCGGTAGTAACCTACTCATATCTTCACAGCAGTAGATACAATTGAAAATAATCATTTGTTTAATGTCTCACACTAGAGAGTGATCTGTCCAAGAGATGAATCCATATCTGCCTTGCTCAACCCTGCATGCCTAGTGTCTAGGAAAGTGCCTGGCTAAGACCACAAGTCATCCACCCACTCAAAGCATCCCTTTAAATCCAGCAAGGCAGGGCAAGAGGCTGAAATTCAGCCTCTTGGAGGGATGATGCAAACTCTACGTTCCTTCCAAGAGCTCTGCTGCCTGGATCATGAGTGTTTTCTCTTCCAAGGCCAAGTTGCTTCCTGCCTCAACATGTCTCATATCCTTCCCTCAGATTCCCCACATTTGGGGAAGCAGAGTCTACCCCCTCCCACATCCTCTCCCCATCCCTATCCCTACCTCCCCTGGGGAGCCTTTGACCAGAAGATGAAAAGATATGATCAAAGCTGTGCCTGTGAGCAGGAAGTAGAAGCAGGATAAATGTCACAGACCCCCACCTCTGAGGCTCGACATATGCCAGTGCTAAACTGAGGGCCACTGTATGCTGCAGGGGGAGAAGATTGTGTCCTGATCCTGCCCATGGTGTGGGGTCACATTGGCCACCATCACGAATGAGATTTACCAATCAGGACAGTTCTACCGCATTGGCCACTCGCCCACCCCACCTCTCCACCCCCAAGGGCAAGACCCATAGAGAGCTCTTCATGAAGACAGGAGGTGCTGGTCCCCTCGAGCAGAAAAATAGTTCAGTTCCAGAGGCCTGGGCACACTCCTGCAGGCGGCATAGGAAGGGGATCTGAGTGCCCTATGCTTCCTGGGGTCAGATGTCTGCCCTTACACCCCCCCACTCCCCAGGGCACAGGGGGAATGTCCTTATTCTTGCTGGACTTCTCAGAGGTGCTGAGGTACCTGTCCCACAAGTATCTCATTTTGACCCCACCCTAAACAAGCCAGAATATTAGCAGCTTAGGTAATTGTCCATGTGATTTAAAGCAACAATTCCCAAAGGTGGGTGCACATCAGAAGGATTAGGGAGCTTTGTTAAGAGAGAGGCTGCAGCCCCTCGACACATGCTATATCAAAATTTCTCAGGTGAGGTCTGGGGAATATGTTTGTTGTTGTTGTTTATTTTCTTTTATTTTTCACAAATAATACTTTTTATTTGTCACCCTTAAAAGTCTGAATTTTTACAGAGTCTTGGTCCAGTGGCTTTTATCCACCAGCTTGTTCAACTTTAGCCCCTGTCTCTCCCCCAGTGGTTTTTCCAGAGCCACTACCTTCACCACATCCTCTCCCCATCCCTATCCCACGATGTTAGTGAAAACATCGCGGACAGGACAGATTGGCAAGCCTTTTCTGTTTTCCAATGCTGTCTGGGATCAATTTATTGACCACTTCTTTCAAATCATTTGTCTACAACAACTCCTCTGCCCCCTACCCCGTCATGATTACCATCATCTTCTCCTAGATTTGGCAGACCTGTTGGTGCTGAGCCTAAGAGGTCTTCCATATCCGATTGTTGCCTCTTTTTAGTAAAACCAACGCAGAATAGATGAAGCAAATAGCCATTGGTAGTCTTCACATCAGCCTGAGCTTCAATCATGGTCTGCCATTTTTTTTGACAATAGAACGCATTTTGTCATGGGTAAGATCCAGGCCATGGAAGTGAGTCAGGCAGTTTTTGCCCTGGAGATCTTCAGTAATTAGCTTGAATTTTCTAAATGCAACTTCAGCCTTCTGCAGATTAGCAAGACTCACTTCAAATGCACAACCCTTAAGGCTATCACAACCCCATGCAATTTTGGTTTCTTGCATCCTTGGGACTGGTGTTTTTCCGTTATTTCTTATATGGAACATATAGCTGGTGTTTTTACATCATACCAGTCTTATAAAACGAATCAAGCACTCACTTCTTGGCTCCCTTTTTGCCACCTTTTGTAAAGCGACTATTCTTGCCAACCACCTTAGTGCTGCTTAGAGAACCAAAAGGGTGAAAGTGCAACTCTGGTGAGAATTTAGGCTTAAGGGGTGGGAGCGCACAAGGGATGCAGGTTTAATTAGGGTGGCCAGACAGGATCTCACCAAGAAGGTGACATTTAAGTGAAAGATTTTGAGCCAAGGAGCAACATAATTTGGCTTATATTTTAACATAATCAGTCTGGCTATTGGGAATAGACTAAAAAAGGCAAGCAAATAACAGGGAGACCAGAGCAATCCAAATGAGAGATGACAGAGGTGAACTAGTTTCCTAGTTCTGCAAACTTGGTGGCTTAGGATAACACATATGTATTCTCTTACAGTCCCAGAAGTCAGAAGTCTGAAATAGGTTTTATTGGGCCCAAACCAAGTTGTTGGCAAGGCCAACAACTCCAGAGAATCTAGGGGAAAATTGGTTTCCTTGACTTTTCCAGCTTCTAGAGCTGCATTTGTCGCATTCATTGGTTAATGGTCCCTTCCTCCAACTTCAAGCTCCACAGTGGAGCATCTTCAAATCTCTTTCTACTCCATCTTCCCATTATCTTCTCTCTTCTGGGTCCAATCTCCCTCTGCCTCTTGTAAGGGTACTTGTTACTGCATTTAGGGCCTGCCCAGATAACCCAGGATAATCTCAAGATCCTTAGTTTAATCATATCTGCAGAGTCTCTTTTGCCATATTCACAGGTTCCAGAGATTAGAACCTGGATATCTTTCGGGTTCATTATTCAGCCTAACAGAAGAGGCTTGGACCAGTATAGAAAGGACAGACATGATGAGAAATGAGCATATTCTTGGATTTGTTTTGATGGTAGAGTCCATTGGACTAACTTATAGACTGAATGTGGGATATAAGAGAAAGAGAGGAATCAAGGAAAATACCAAAGCTTTGTGTCTGAGCAATTATAAGAAGAGAATTTCTGCCGGGCATGGTGGCTCACACCTGTAATCCCAGCACTTTGGGAGGCCGAGGGAGGTGGATCATGAGGTCAGGAGTTTGAGACCAGCCTAACCAACATGGTGAAACCCTGTATCTACTAAAAATACACAAATTAGCTGGGCATGGTGGCGCATGCCTGTAATCCCAGCTACTTAGGAGACTGAGGCAGGAGAATCACTTGAACCCAGGAGGTGGAGGTTGCAGTGAGCCAAGATTGCGCCACTGCACTCCAGCCTGGGCAACAGT
Organism: Homo sapiens; assembly: GCF_000001405.40. Classification (NCBI taxonomy): domain Eukaryota; kingdom Metazoa; phylum Chordata; class Mammalia; order Primates; family Hominidae; genus Homo; species Homo sapiens. The sequence goes on along the minus strand of NC_000001.11, from coordinate 183,265,299 downwards.
GAGACTCTGTCTCAAAAAAAAAAAAAAAAAAAAAAAAAAAAGAAGAAGAAGAAGAAGAGAATTTCTATTTATGGAAAAGGTTATAGGAAAACCATTTCTTTGAGGGGAGTGGATGGTTTAACTATTTGTTTATGTTAGCAGGTCCAGGAGCTCATGGACATATTAAGTTTGAGATGCCCTATCCAAGTGGGCATATTGAGAAGGCAGCTGATACATGAGCCTCCAGTTAGGAGAGAAGTTAATGCTGGAAACATTAATTTGGAAGCCTTTAGTGTGCTTTTAAAACTTCAAAATTGAATGAAATCATGAAGGGTGTGAGTGTGAATAGAAAAGAAAAAACGTCCAGGGACTGAGGCTTGGGGGAATCCAGTGGCTCAAGGTCAGATAGAAAAGGAGGAATTAGCACGGGGGCCCAGAAAGGAGTAGCCAGCAGCCAGAGAGGTAGGGCAACCAGGAGAGGGTAGTGTCCTGAGGCCTGGTGAAGGCTGGCAATGGGGGCTTGAGGTGGGAAGGACAGCTAAGCTCTTGGAGGGAGATGGGTACTCGTTGGACTGAGGGCACATCTCACCAACTCTAGCACCTAGTACCTTCCCTTCCCGAACCCACACACACATGCACACACGCAAATACCGTCCACCATGAACATTGTTTCTAAGCAGCGCAGTTCATTGAGCAAGGCGTGCTTTGGGGGCAAGGGACCCAGATTTTCTCCCATAATTCTCCAAACAGGTGCTACAAAAACAGTGTCTGGCCAAAGGAGCAGAGAGTATCTGCAGTCTCTGGCCTGAACCCCTGCCATGATGCCCTAAAGCTGTAGATCTTGTCTCATAGATCCTGTCTCCCTCGACCCATCTGTGATTCCCAGGGACAAGTCTGTCACTGTTTTTGGAAAAGGAAAACATCTTAAGCAGTAAGGCCTCCATCTGCTTGCCGCCCACTGAACAGCCTGGCACAGTTATTCATTGGGTGCTCAGATCATTAGGTACTGAGTGGAGAGCAGCAGCTGCACTGATGTCACCCACAGGGCGATTCCCCCATGAGGACTGCTATTCTGAGCCATTATTTTCATGGTTTAAATTAGAATGCTCACTTTATATAGACCCATTATTACAAACATCATATATGAAACATTCATCAAGTTTACAGAATCAATTTGAAGGCAGATCCTACATTATGCAATCTATACTAGGTTATCTTGAAACATCTACATAACCACGCAGCTTAGGAATCCCCATGGATACCAGCTTGGATAGATTCTTTCTTCTCTCCTGTCCTCCTTTCTTTTCTCTCCTTTCCTCTGCTCTTCTCCTCCCTTCTCTTTTCTATCTCTTTCTCTGCCAATTTCCCCGGAGCTTTAATTCAGTACTTAGACCACTGGTTCGCCAACTTTGTTGCATATTGATATTATCTGGGGAATTTAAAGAAATACTGCTGCCTGAGTCCCAGCCCCTCAAACAAAATTCTGGGGTTTTGTTTGTTTGTTTTTGTTTTTGAGACAGAGTCTCGCTCTGTCACCCAGGCTGGAGTGCAGTGGCGCGATCTCAGCTCACTGCAAGCTCCGCCCCTCAGGTTCACACCATTCTCCGGCCTCAGCCTCCCAAGTAGCTGGGACTACAGGCACCTGCCACCACGCCCGGCTAATTTTTTTTGTATTTTTAGTAGAGACAGGGTTTCACCGTGGTCTCGATCTCCTGACCTCGTGATCCACCCGCCTTGGCCTCCCAAAGTGCTGGGATTACAGGTGTGAGCCACTGCGCCTGGCCCGAGATTCTGGTTTAATTGATCTTAGGTGTGAGCGGGGCTTTGGAAATGTTTAAAGCCCCTCAGGTGATTCTAATGTGCAGCCAAGTTTGAGAACCAGTATCTAAGTAGTGAGTCCTAGTGCAGTATCCTAAATGCCATGGCAGAAGGAGCTGGCTCTAACTCCCTGCCCTGACTCTCCTTACCATTTCTGGTTTATAAGACAAGAGATTTGGTGTCAGTTTACCTGATCTGAACACCACCAATAGATGCAGTGTGTTGTGCAATGCTCTGTATCTTCCAGATTACATGATCCAATGGGGGCTCTAATATTCTACACCTAGCTTTTTAACTTCTCTCTACGACATTCCTCCTAAGACACCTTCAGCCAACTTTTTATTTCAGCGACATCAGAGCTCCAGCTGCAAGTTTAGGTCCAGTTGTAAGCAGTAGGAGAAGCAGGGTAAAGGTGGACAGAAATATTCAGAATGTGCACACACAAACACACACACAAAACCAGTAAATCAGGCTTAGAAATGGAATTCTGCTGGTATAGAAATCCTCTGGAGAGAAGGGGCCACCGTGCCCCAGTATATTTGTTTTTGTGCCACTTGTTTAGAGAATTATGGGAAAAAACCTGGGTTCCTTGCCCTCAAAGCAGGTCTTGCTCAGTGAACTGTGCTGCTTAGAAGCCACCTACCTCCTCCCCTCTTCCCCCATCTGGGATCCGTAATTGGCAAGATCTAAACAGTAATATGCCCAGGGTAGACCCAGGAGTATTAAATGCCGTAACTTTCAGGCTCTTTAAAAATAAAAGTTGGCACAAATTTCCAGAAAGCAACTTGGTGATATGTCTCAAAAGCTTGAATTATGTACAGTTTATATCCTTTTATCCAATTATATCATTTCTTATCCTAAGAAAATAATCAGAGATGTGATAAAAGATTTTTGTATAAAGATCTTCATTAAAGTGTTATGTATAATTGCAAAAAATCAGAAGTAACTGTACACATAGTGTAAAATATACAGATTATTAAAGGTTATGTTTTCAAATAATTTTTAACAATGTAAGAAAATGCTCAAAATATAATGCTAATGAAAAAAGGTAGGTAAAATGACTAATTTTATAATTTAATCCAATTGTGGATATATACACCTATTTGCAGAGAGAAAAAACTACAGATATACATTAGACCATTCACAGTCACTATCTGGATTGTATGATTGTGATTGATTTCTTTTTTTTTTTTTTCTGGATTCTCTAAGCTTGCATTACATCTACAGTCAGAAAATAAAAATGTTATTTCTTTTAAACGAAAAGAAGGTTTTGGCTAGGTACAATGGCTCACACCTGTAATTTCAACACTTTGGGAGGCTGAGGTGGGATGATCACTTGGGTCCCAGAGTTTGAGACCAGCCTGGGCAACATAGCAAGAGTCCATCTCTTCAAAAAAATAATTAAAAAAGTTAGCCAGGTATGGTAGTATGTACCTGTGGTATCAGCTATTTGGGAGGCTGAGGTGGGAAGATTGCTTGAGACCAGGAGGTTGAGGCTACAGTGAGCCATGATCTTGCCACTGCACTCCAGCCTGGGTGACAGACTGAGACCATGCCTCAAAAAAAGAAAAAAAAAAAATTTCATTTCTCACATGGCACTGAGCTTCTATCAAAGGCTGATCTCTGAAGTGACCCTAATCATCATCATCATCTCCCTATCACAGCCTGGGTGCCCAGTGATGCATTCCAAGAACTTCTAGTTCTAGCTTTTAGCTACCCCTTGAGTCCCACAGAAGTTTTTATGAGGGTGAGCCAGAAGAGCATTTAGTCCCTCTCATGACGTCCATCTGAGGGCTCAAATGTGCTTGCTGAACAGAGGGATCTGTTTCACTCCAGAGGGTGTTTACCAGGTAAGGACGCAATGTCATTCATGTGATTCTGCAGCATTGTGAACTTAACGGGAGCCTCAGGAATTGGAGAGATCTTGCCCAGACATATAAGAGTTCACTGATTCCTTAAGTCTAGGGTATTTATTAAGCGACTTCTGTGACCAGTCAATGCTTTCACTTATTCTATTAACACTGTTAAGTGTTGTTCCTTGAAGGAGCTGGCTGATGGGGCTGAGAAGAAGGCCGGTTTGGGACTAAAGCTTGGGGCTCCATGTGGAAGAATGGAAGCGGATTCTGCCATGCTAAGTAGTTGCTTGGTAGGAGTTTGGGATCAGGGTTTCACCAAAGGGCCCTCTCTCTGTTTCTTTAGATGGAGGTGATTGTTGGTGACTTTGGGATTGTGGTGGTGCCCCGGGATGCAGCCGACACAGACCGAATCATGAATCACTCCTCAATACTCCGCAAATACAAAGTGAGTCCTCCATCCTGCTAGTGCATCTGTGTTATGGCCCTTCTCTGAGAGTCCTGGCAGCTGGAGGAGTGAGAGAGCAAAAGGAGTTTAGTGGGAGGGACTGGCAACTGACTCTGTCTGCTCTGTCCTCAGAACAACATCATGGTGGTGAAGGATGACATCAACCATCCCATGTCTGTTGTCAGCTCAACCAAGAGCAGGTATGTTTGACAAATGGCCAGAGAGACTTTAGTCAAACTGTCTTATAAGTCTCCACATAAATTTCCTCCATCAAAGATGACCCTAAGATTCAGGCAGACATCTGCTGCCCTGGTGTTTAGCTTCCTGTTTGGACCTCATTTGTTCACAGCCATTTTACATTTTTTTTTTTTTTTTTTTTTTTGAGACAGCGTCTCACTCTTGTTGCCCAGGCTGGAGTTCAATGGCGCAATCTCAGCTCACTGCAACCCCCGCCTCCTGGGTTCAAGCAATTCTCCTACCTCTGCCTCCCGAGTAGCTGGGATTATAGGCACATGCTACTATGCCCAGCTAATTTTTGTATTTTTAGTAGAGATGGGGATTTCACCATTTTGGCCAGGCTGGTCTCGAACTCCTGACCTCAAGTGATCTGCCCACCTCGGCCTCCCAAAGTGCTGAGAATACAGGTGTGAGCCACTGTGCCCGGCCCCAGCCATTTACTTTTAAAAGGGAGGACAGTCCATTAGCTAGTCTTAGATGCTTTAAAGGGGAGAACAGGGTGTTTTCAGTTGTGGACTCTAGTTGGAGGTACTTATGGAATAATATTTGACAAGGGTACAGGCTAAGCTGCCAAAACAAAAAAAATTCCAATATTCAGAATTTTAAATGTTAGATGTTTAGTTCCCTCTTACTGAAGTCAAAGATGGAATCTATGGCCTCATCCATATGAAGCTTCCATCTCTGGGTGCACAGCTGCTGCAACAGTGGCTCTTCTCAGCCAGTGGAAAAAGGCAAAGTGAAGCCCATGGCAAGAAGCTTTGTCTTTAAGGTGACCCAGAGTTGCGCATACCACTTCCCTTTGCATCACACTGGCTCAAGGGTGGAGGACGGCTGGGAAATAGACTTTGTAGCTAGGCAGCCACATGCCCAGATAAAACTCAGGATGCTCTATTACTAACCCAAAGAAGGAAAGAATGGGTATTAGGGGCCAGTTACCAGTTTCTACCACAAACCCAAAGTGGAAATGTTGAGTGGAATGGTGAAATACACGGAATATAGAGGCTTAGAAGTGTAAAACTGAAAGCCACGAACACGTAAGTGTCAGTTAAAATTCTAGGTGTGGACAGGCCGGGCGCAGTGGCTCACACCTGTAATCCCAGCACTTTGGGAGTCCGAGGCAGGTGGATCACGAGGTCAGGAGATCGAGACCATCCTGGCTAACACGGTGAAACCCCGTCTCCACTAAAAATACAAAAAATCAGCCGGGCGTGGTGGCAGCCGCCTGTAGTCCCAGCTACTCGGGAGACTGAGGCAGGAGAATTGCTTGAACCCGGGAGGCAGAGCTTGCAGTGAGCCGAGATCGCGCCACTGCACTTCAGCCTGGGTGACAGAGTGAGACCCCATCACACACACACACAAAAAAATTATAGGTGTGGACAAGCTCACAGAAAGAGTCAAGAAGAGAAGACTATGGGGAACATTGCAAACATTTTAGCATTTAATAGAAAGTTAAAAGGCAGTTAGAAACCACTGGACCACCGGCAGTGGTGGCCCAGAAGCCAAGGTGAGAGAGGGGACAAAGATGGAGAGCATTGCCATCTGTGTCACATCTTTCAGAGAAATCAAATGAGACCAGGACTTTAAAAAGTAATTGCCTTCTTCCCTGGAAGGCAATTACAGAGACACTCACAAGGGTAACATCCACTGTGAGGTGAGGGCAGAAGCAATGGGCAATAAGCGGAGAGGGGCAGCATGTGGTTCCAAACATGGCTGCACATTAGAGTCGCCATGCAGAGTTACACAACAGTACAAATTCCTGTGTCCTGCCCAGTCCCACTGAGTCAGAATATATGGGGGGTGGGCTTAGGAATCTGCTTCAGAGCCACAGGTATACACACTTTTTCAAAAACTATGTGAGGAGGCACTTAGGGACCTAGCTTGCAAGGTCAGGGTGTAACCACCCAAGGGGTTCACCTTGCTCGCTGCCTAGACAGAGCAGATTCATCAAGACAGGGGAATTGCAATAGAGAAAGAGTAATTCACGCAGAGCCGGCTGTGCGGGAGACCAGAGTTTTATTGTTATCAAATCAGTCTCCCTGAGCATTTCGGGAGCAGAGTTTTTAAGGAAAACTTCATGGGTTGGGGAAGCCAGTGAGCCAGGAGTGCGGATTGGTCAGAGATGAAATCACAGGGAGTCGAAGCTGTCTTCTTGCACTGAGTCAGTTCCTGGGTGGGGGGCCGCAAATTCAAATAAGCCAGTTTATTGATCTGGGTGGTGCCAGCTGGTCCATCAAGTGCAGGGTCTACAAAATATTGCAAACACTGATCTTAGGAGCAGTTTAGGGAGGGTCAGATCTTGTAGCCTTCAGCTGCATGACTCCTAAACCGTAATTTCTAACCTTGTGGCTAATGTTAGTCCTACAAAGTCAATCTAGTCCCTAGGCAAGAAGGAGGTCTGCTTTGGGAAAGGGCTGTTGTCCTCTTTTTTAAACTATAAACTAAGTTTCTCCCAAACTATAAACTATAAACTAAGTTTCTCCTGAAGTTAGTTCAGCCTACACCAGGAACAAGGACAGCTTGGAGGTTAGAAGCAAGATGGAGTCGGTTAAGTTAGATCTCTTTCACTGCCTCAGTCATAATTTTGCAAAGGTGGTTTCAAGGGCAGTGCATGCATTGAAAGGCAGTGAGCTGGTCTCCAGTGAGATCTCACAGGCAGGGCTCAGATGCCTTTTAGAATCTACGTATGTGGAGGCGTATATGAATTTTTACAAATAGTTCGTTTGGGTCTGACACCTAGACTATTGTGTTAGGAGAGAACAGGAAGTAGGCAGACCAAGGCTGGAAAAAAACTGTGCAGAAGCCAAAATGTGTCACTGGAGTCCTTTATACCTGTTGGTGCCTCTCCTCCATGGGCTCCTGTAGGAAGGAAAAGATGCAGTGAATCCCAAAAATCCCTGGAAGAGAATTCATACTCTTGAGGCCAGCATGCAGAGGAACCCAAAAGGATAAACTAAGGATAGTTCTAAGAGGAAAGCTTCTAACAATAATTGCTCCCATTAAAACAGAAGAAAGACCCCAAATAAATTGCCTAGCATTATGCCTTAAGGAACTAGAAAAAGAAGAACAAACTAAACCCAAAGGAAGGAAATAATAAAGATTAGAGCAAAACTAAATAGAGAATAGAAAAACCATAGAAAAAATTAATAAAATGAAGAGTTGGTTTTTTGAAAAAAAAAAACAAAATTGACAAACCTTTATCTAGACTGAAAAAAAGACTCAAATATATAAAATCAGAAATGAAAGTGTAGACATTATAACAGATGTCTCAGAAATAAGATGGATCATAAGGAATTATTATGAACAATTATATGCAAACAAATTTGGTAACCTAGAGGGCAGGGATAAATTCCTTTAAAAAGATAATCTGGCAAGATTGAATCAGGAATAGCCTGAACAGACCAATAACAAATAGATTGAAGTAGTAATTAAAAACTTCCCAACAAAGAAAAGCCCAGGACCAGATGACTTCAGAGCTGAATTCTACCAAATTTTCAAAGAATAATTAATACCAATACTTCTTTTTTTAGACAGAGTCTCACTCTGTCGCCCAGGCTGGAGTGCAATAGCGTGATCTTGGCTCACTGCAACCTCCGCGTCCCGGGTTCAAGTGATTCTCCTGCCTCAGCCTCCCAAGTAGCTGGGATTACAGGTGCCTGCCACCACACCCAGCTAATTTTTGTATTTTTGGTAGAGACAGGGTTTTACTATGTTGGCCAGGCTGGTCTTGAACTCCTGAGCTTGTGATCCACCCACCTCGGCCTCCCAAAGTGCTGGTATTACAGGCATGAACCACTACGCCTGGCCTATACATTTTAAACTCTTCAAAGAAATACAGCTGGAAGGAATACCTCCTAGCACATTCTACGAGGCCAGCATCGCCTTTGATACCTAAGCCAGATAAAGACACCAAAGAGGCCAGGCACAGTGGCTCATGCCTGTAATCCTAGCACTTTGGGAGGCCAAGGCAGATCGATCACTTGAGGTCAGGAGTTCAAGATGAGTCTGGCTAATATGGTTAAACCCCATCTCTACTAAAAATACAAAAATTATCCAGGCATGGTGGCACGTGACTGTAATCCCAGCTACTTGGGAGGCTGAGGCAGAAGAATCACTTGAACCCAGAAGGCAGAGGTTGCAGTGAACTGAGATCATGCGCTGCTGCACTCCAGCCTGGGCAACAGAAAAAAAAAGACACCACAAGAAAAGAAAACTGTAGGCCAATATTTCTGATGAGCATTGATGTAAAAGTCCTCAATAAAACATTAGCAAATTGAATTCAACAACACAACATGAAGCTTATACATGATGATCAAGTAGGATTTATCCCTGGCACACAAGGCTGGTTTAACATATGCAAATCAGTCAGTGTGATACATCACATAAATAGACTGAAAGATAAAACCACATGACCATATCAATTGATGCAGATAAAGCATTGGACAAAGTTCAACATCCTTTCTTGATAAAGATTCTTAACAGTTTAAATATAGAAGGAAAGTTTCTCAACATAACGAAGGCCATTTTTTAAATTTTTTAATTTTTTTATTATTTTTTTTGAGATGGAGTCTGGTTCTGTCACCCAGGCTGGAGTGCAGTGGCACAATCTCTGCTCACTGCAACCTCCGCCTCCTGGGTTCACGTGATTCTCCTGCCTCAGCCTCCTAAGTAGCTGGGATTACAGGCACACACTACCATGCCCAGCTAATTTTTTGTGTATTTTTGGTAGAGACAGGGTTTCGCTATGTTGGCCAGACTGGGCTCGAACGCCTGACCTCGTGATCTGCCTGCCTCAGCCTCCCAAAGTGCTGGGATTACACGCGTGAGCCACCACTCCCGGCAAGGCAATTTATTTTATTTTTTTTAAAAAACCCACAGCTAACATTATAATCAATGGGGAGAAAATGAAAGCTTTTCCTCTAAGACCTGATATAAAGCAAGAATGCCCACTATTCCCACTTCCATTCAGCAAAGTACTGAAAGTACTATCAATAGCAGTTAGACAGCCAGGCACGGTGGCTCACACCTATAATCCCAGCACTTTGGGAGGCGGAGGCAGGTGGATCACTTGAGGTTAGGAGTTAGAGACCAGTCTGGCCAATATGGTGAAACCCTGTCTCTAACAGAAATACAAAAATTAGCTGGGCATTGTGGCTTGTGCCTGTAATCCGAGCTACTCGGGAGGCCGAGGTAGGAGAATCACTTGAACCCAGGAGGCTGAGGTTGCAGTGAGTCAAGATCACACCATTGCATGCCTGCCTGGGTGACAGAGTGAGACTCTGTCTGAAAAAAAAAAAAAAAAAAACCCTTAGGAATAAATTTAACAAAGGAAGTGAAAAATCTGTACACTGGAGTATATATAAAACATGGACAAAAGAAATTGAAGACAACACAAATAAATGAAAAGTATTTCATGCTCATGGATCAGAAAAGTTAATATTGCTAAAATGTCCATGCTACCTAAAGAAATATAAAGATTTAATGAAATACCTATCAAAATCCCAATGGCAGCATTCATACTTCACAGAAATAGAAAAATCAACCCTAAAATGTGCTCAGAACTGCAAAAGACCCTGAATAGCCAAAGCAATTATGAGAAAAAAAAAGTTGGAGGCATCACACTTCTTCATTTAAAATTATATTACAAAGCTGTAGTAATCAAAACAGTATGGTACTGGCATAAAAGCAGACACATAGAGCAGTGGAACCGAATAGTGAGCCCAGAAATAAATTCAAACATATATGGTCAACTGATTTTTGACAAAGGTACCAAAAAAGCACAATAAAGAGAGGACAGTCTCTTCAATAGATGGTGCTGGAAAAACTGGATTTCTACAGGCAAAAGAATGAAATTGGACCTTATCTCACACCAGTCACAAAAATCAGCTCAAAATGGATAAAGAACCTAAGTGTAAGATCTGAAACAGTAAACAAAAACAGAAGAAAACATAAAGGAAAATCTCCTTGACATTGGTCTTGGCAATTATGTCTTGGATGCCACACTGAAAGCACAGGCTACAAAAGCAAATAAATAAATAAATGGGACTTCAAACTAAAAAGCTTCTGTACAGCAAAGGAAACAACCAACAAAATGAAAAGGCAACCTAGGGATTGAGAAAAAATATTTTCAAATCATATATCAGATAGGGATTAATATCCAAGATTTATAAAGAACTTACACAACTCAAAATAGCAAGAAAACATATTACTCAACTAAAAACTGGGCAAAGGGGCACAGTGTGATGGCTCATACCTATAATCCCAGCACGCTGGGAGGCTGAGGTGGAAAGATTGCCTGAGGCCAGGAGTTCCAGACATAGTGAGACCCTGTCTCTATCCTTACCCCTTCCCACCAAAAAAAAATTAGCCAGGCATGGTAGCATGTGCCTGAAGTCTTAGCTGCTTGAGAGGCTGAGGCAGGAGGATTGCTTGAGCCCAGGAGTTTGAGGCTCCAGTGAGCCATGACTCACTACTGCACTCCAGCCTGGGCAACAGAGTGAGACCCTGTCTCTCTCAAAAAGCAAACAAACAAACAAACAAACAAACAAAACACCAGAAGATTTGAGTAGACATCTCTCCAGAGATGACATAAAAATTGCTAACAGGTGCATAAAAAGATGCGCAACATTACTAATCACCAGGGAAATAAAAATTAAAGGCATTATGAGATTCTACCTCACACCTATTAGAATAGCTATTATCAAAAAGATAAGAGATAACAAATGTCGATGAGGGTGTGGAGAAAGGGAACCCTTGTACACTGTTGGTGGGAATGTAGATTGGTACAACCGTTATAGAAAACAGAATAGAGGTTCCTAAAGAGATTAAAAACGGAACTGTCATATGACCCAGCAATCCCTCTTCTGGGTATATACCCAAAGAAAATGAAATCACCACCTTGTAAAGGTATCTGCATTTCCAAGTTCATTGTAGCATTATTCACAGTAGCCAAGATGTGGAAACAACCTAGACGTCCATCAATGGATGAATAGATAAAGAAAATGTGTTCTTACACACACACATACACACACACACACACACACACACACACACACACACACACGGAAGTGGAACATTATTCGACTTAAAAAAGGAGATCCTACCACTTGCCACAACTTGGCTAGACCTGGAAGACATTCTGCCAAGTGACATAAGCCAGACACAGAAATAAAAATATTGCATGATTTCACTTATATGTGGAATCTTAAATACACAGATAGAGAATAAAACAATGATTACCAGGGTCAAGTGTGGAGGGCTGAAAGTGGGGAGATATAGATCAAAGGATACAAAGCAGCAAATATGTAGGAATATATATGGAATCTTAAACATACAGATAGAGAATAAAACATGATTACCAGGGTCAAGTGTGGAGGGCAGAAAGTGGTGAGATACAGGTCAAAGGATACAAAGTAGCAAATATGTAGGACAAACAAGTTGAAAGATCTAATGTGTGACATGAGGATGACAGCTAATAATAGTGTATTATATTTAGGGTTTTTGCTAAATTAGTAGATTATAGCTATTCTCGCCACAAGAAGAACAAATACATATCTGAGTGAGATGATGGATATATGAATATTAATTTGGTCCACTACAGTAACCATTAAACTATATTATATAAATAATATAATATTAACACTTATATAAATAATATAATATAATATAATATTAACACTATTATATAAATAATATAATATAGTATAATATATAAATTATAAAATATATAATAAATATGTAATATAACATAGATATACTATATTATATGATGATAATATATGTGTATCTTACAACATCAGATTGTATGACTTAAATATACACAATACAATTTATTTGAGAAAAAAGAATAGTGAATACATTAGATGCCCACTGTGTGTCTGGCACTCTTCTAAGTGCTTTGCATAATGACTCATTTAATCCTTTGAATAACTAAATGAGAGGGGCCCAGATATTACCCTCATTTTACAGGAAAAAAACTGAAGAACAGAGGGGCTTAAATAACTTTCCCAAGGCCTCTCACCTAGGAAGTGGCAGAACCACGATGAATGATGTCACCAAGGTGGGGAAGGAGTTGTGGAGGCAAGAGGGCCTTTCCTAATACAGAACTATTTACTCAACCTGAGAAAAGGCTACAAATGGGGTGCTGGGGAGACAGGGGCATGCCAGTCCTCCTGACTTGCTTTGGGTGTGGATGTCCATCTGATTGTCATCTCTTCTTGTGCAGGCTGGCCCTGCAGCATGGGGACGGCCATGTTGTGGATTACCTGTCCCAGCCGGTCATCGACTACATCCTCAAAAGCCAGCTGTACATCAATGCCTCCGGCTAGCAGCCCCTCGTCCTCCGGCAACACAATGGCCCCTCCATCTTTGTCAGCCCCCTGTTTCTCTCCTGCCTCTCTGTTTCTCCATCTCCTCGTCTTGACTGTTTTCCCTACTTGCTGACTTAACCCCCCATAGTGTGGGGGACCTGCAGAGAACCATGGCATTCCCTATTCCACAGTCATCTTTGGACAGACTTTCCTCTAGTCTCCGGGTTGGGGGTGGGTGAGGGAATGGGGTGGGAGTCGGGGGAAGTGCAGTCCTTGGAGATGTACTGGTGTCCGTCTCCCAGCATGCTCTAGAGAGGCGGCTCTGGTGCCCATCCTCCCAGCACGCTCTGGGGAGGCGGCTCTGGTGCCCATCCTCCCAGCATGCTCTAGAGAGGCGGCTCTGGTGCCCCTCCTCCCAGCATGCTCTGGGGAGGCGGCTCTGGCTCTTGCCTTCCCAGCATGCCCTTTACTACAAAGGGCTATTTTTCTTTTCTTTCTTTTGTTTATTTATTTTTCTTTGTTCACTCCCTGTAGAACTTGGATGAAATCAGTGTCCATGGTTCTTTATGTTTGTAGTCTTGATGTGCTCCTGTGGTATTACTTCCCCTCTGATAGGACATTGTAGCCAGCCTCAGCACTCAGTGAGTTCATCAGGGCCACACCCAGTAGAGAAGGCCAAGCAACCTCCACTTCTTCAGCACCACACACACGCACACACACACACACGCACACATGCGTGTGCACCCGCGCACGCACATACACACACACATATAGCAGTAGCAGCAGCAGCAGCAGCAGCAGCAACCTTTGATCAGGAGTGAGATTTTCGGGTTCTGAAACCTGGGACACGAGTCTGTGAATAGTCGGTTTTCTCAGAATAATTTGAATCTGTTTTCTTAGTTTCAAATGACCATTTCCCTGATGCTCTGAGCTTATGATCACACAGAGCCAGTCCATCCTCATTTCCTGGTGGCATCTGTTCATTTACCTTTGTGGACTGTAGCTGATGGCACAGTGCGGGTTCCCTACCAGCCAGGGGTTTCCAAGGGACCTTTGGAGGCCATGCTTAGACACATTCCTGTACCTGAGAACAACCACATAGGCAGGACCAGATCCACATCGTGCAGTCGTGTCATAAAAAAACAAAACAAAACAAAAAAACACTAGGAGTCCACTCAACCCTGGAGGTCTTTGCTAATTGGAATTATGTATTGTCTGTTGGGCTGGGAAATGTCTCTTTCATATTGTAAGTCCAGGATGAACTAGGAGAAAGCAATTTGTTGCCCTGATGATAACTGATGATTTTCACCCTCTCTAGCTGAGGTAACTCAGACAGTGCATGAGGTCAGTTTCTTCTTGAGAAGCAGTGCCTTGGTCTTGTTTCTGTGGTTGGTTCTAGCCCCTGCAGAGCCTGGGAGCTGCAGGAACTGTCTGAGAAAATCTCCCTAATAGGGGAGTGGGTTCCCAGAAGGGAGATCTGGGAGGGGTCAGGAGCCACTAAGTTGCTTCACTCCTTTTTTCTCTAATTTTCTACCTTCCTCTCTGTTCCTGCAGACAGTTTTGCCAGCTTTGCTTCTGGTTACTAGGGTCTCATGCGTGTCCTGCTTGGAGAGCCATAAGGAAATTGCTGTCTTGTGCTTTGTGTCTCTCATCCAGTCTCTGGCTCTTGGGATTCTGGTCTTTGAGAAATAGTCCCTGAGTATTAGGATACTTTTATCAAAATCTAGTACCAGCTACGGCCAGAAAGGGCCAGGTGGGACCTGAAAGCAAAGACAATGTTCTTTACCACACGTTTCACATCTGCAACATCCTTCAATTGCGGGAAAAGGAACTTGATTTAACAGAAGAACATGGTAGAGCAGCATCCAGAAAGTCTGTTATTCCTCTTGGATTTTTTGAAATAATCTTCAGAGGAAGGAAGGAAAATCCTATTTTGGGGTATCAGTGTTTGACTAGGGATCATGAAATAATAAACTGAAAAAAACTTTAGAGTTCAGTTGATCCAACACTTTCCTTTAAAAGTTGAGGGAGCAGAGGCCCATGGGATTAAATGGCTGGTCCAGGTCAGCCAGCAGGTGTAGGGCCTGACAAGAACATATTGTTTCCCTGACCCCTAGGCCGTCACACCACACCCTCCATTTCCTCATGTTGCTGACCAGGTGCCCATATGATTTCTACACTTCCCAAGCCTTACCCTGGCATCTTTCTTTTAAATTATATCTGTCCCAGGTGCTCTCCACACATAGGATGGTAATGCCAGTCCCAGGGGAGGGTGTGATAGTAAGGAAGGCCACTGTTAGGTTTCCTTTAGAAATAAAGAGATCTCAGCAGCTTGGAAGAAATCCCAGAAGCGGACTCCATCAATCCAAGAAAGAGTTGCTTTGTGGAAGGTGAAGGAAGACCCACAGAGTGCTCAGGATGATGCTATTGCTGGAGAGCGAAAGATGGAACAGCCTTGTCCAGGCAGAACAGTCATAAGCCAGGAAATGAAACAAAGGAAAACAGGTGCCTGAATTTCCTGGGGAAACATGGCTTGTTTAAGGACTTGGAGTTATGGATGGAATTTATGGGACCCACGTGAGCAGACCTGAGGAAGGCTCGATTTCTTTTGTTTCTTGGTCCACTCTGTCACTCTGCTCTGGTCAAGCCCCATTTGGTCTACAGCCCATGAGAAGGAATGAGGCTGGTTCTGCACTCTCAGCATGCAGTCCGAAAGCATGTGGGAGTGGGGAGGGAAAGTGAGATGAATTAAGACAAAGAACAGGTGCCATAGAAGTAGATTTCTAGGAATGAAGTGGGGCAGATCTTATCTTTGTGGATTACAGGCACTGTACTAAAAACAGGTTTCCTATTTAATATAAAAAGAAAGTGAATCTTCTTTTGGATAGAATCATCCATTCCCATCGCCGCACCCCCTACCCCCCAAACACACACACACACACACACACACACACACACACACACACACACACACACGCCCTACTCTTCATTTGCTAGGGGAAGGTCACAGCACAACTAAATCCAGGACAGGACATTGTGACCATGACCCAGCCACAGTCAATACCAGAAAGATGATTCAGAGTCTGAAGTGGTGCCCCAGGTGCCAACAGGATAACCTCTACCCCCCGACTTTGTCTCTGGGGTCCTGTTCCTTCCTGCAAAGCCCAATCCAAGACTGGCATGGCTCAGAGGTTGTGAGAAAGGCATGGACTGGAACAATCATGTCCAGAGGGGTCTGGAGCTTTGTTTCCTGTTCACCAGCAAAAAATGTCTCTCCCATTTTTCTGAAAGTGGCTGATGTAAGAACAGGCAGAAGGAAAACCCTTTTTGTCAATAACTCTGTCCTTAAGGAATGGTCCTCTGGGAGGGCTGTGCTGCTAGTGGGTACCTCAGTCACACACCCCCAACCCCAGGCAGCCTCTAGAGCCTTCTTGCTTTCATTTTCCTTGAATGTACATAGGAACAAGGGGGAAAGTCTCTTACTGAAGTGCCTGAAACCCAAAGCTAGAGCTTCTAGAGACGCCGTTCTTCCTGTCTCAGCTTGGCCAGCCTTTCAACAATGTTCTCTAGTTTCAAGCTCCAGCTTCTCAGAAAGAATTAAAGAACTTGCTGTTCAAATTAAGTAGAAAGTGAGACTCAATAATAACTGAACTACAGCAAAAGGCAGAGAATTACAGGGAGAAAAAACTTGTACTTACCAGCCCAATTCTACTCTCCTCAAACTGACACACACACACACACACACACACACACACACACACACACACTCTTTTAGGGGACTAAGAGAGAGAAGCATGTTATTACATTTTACTCATCCAAACAGTAATGCAAAAATAAAACGGTAGAATATGAAAAGCTCAGGATCTCTCCCAAGGCTACCTACTGCAGGAGGGCCAACAGGTGAGATGGGAAGAATGGAAACAGGGACCGATTTTGTAGCTCATACAATTAGGACACCTTAGGAATAGCATTGTAGTAATGGTGATGAATATGCTCTGCCAAATTCATCCAGTCTGCACCATCTTATAGCTGCCCAGCACACTCGACTGTTCATGTGGTCTCTTTGTAGTGTGAGTTTGGAGTGTCCTATTAGCCTGTTCTGGTTAGGAATGAGTTAACGGCTCTTTCCCTCAACCTTAGTCTAGTCCCAGGGCTGAGGATTCAGCTGGATCCACATGGTCTTGAGGGTTGGCATGAGGAGGGGGAAGCTTTTTTGAATCGCTTTTTGATCACATAATCTGCCATTTTAAGAGTAAGATTTGCTTTATGGAAATCAATTCATTAATAAAAAATGATATTCAAGTTGCAATACCATTTCACAGTGAAATATTTTGAGTACAATTTTGTTGCTAGAATAGTCATGGGCAAGAGTTTTATGCAAAATGTTTCAATTATGTTAATAAATAAGACAATGCTACAAGAGTCTTGTGTCTTGGTCAAGAACTTTCTCTGTGAATTGCAGCATTAATCACTTTTTCTTCATAATTTTACTTGACAGGAGACAACAGTTGTAAAAATGTACTTAGAACAAGCAGTTTCCTGCCTGGTTCAGCTGATGCCACATGTGTTATATAAAAGTATGTACAGCCACATCCAAGGATGATAAAGGGAAGAATAATTAGCAAATTTGTAAATTGTGCCTCCGTTTTCTTAGTTTTGAAACATTAAATCTTACATCTTGACTAATTTGCATAGTCCAGTGTTGGTTAACTTTGGCTCCTCAATGAAATTAGTATTTTATGAAATAAAATTATATTTGTGAAAATGAAAAACTTGAACAACTTTTTAGCTTGAAAGATCTTAACTAAAACAGAACTTGTTAAACTCGCAATTTGCTTTGGCAATGTAAACAAGCAAAAGTGAACAATTTGTTAACTGTTCAATCCTGCTGTGATTATCAGTTCTTATTTCACCTTCAGTCATATCACACACCCTATATTGGGTTAGGTGTGAATGGTGATTGCCATTAGCTAATTATCAGATATGATTCAGAAGGTGAAACAGTAATTCCCTATTAGGCTGGCTCATTGAAGGATTAGCTGTTTGTTTATCAGATTTATTTTTTTAAATGAATCATTTGGTTCTTGGGGTTCTTCGTATTTTTTTCTTTTATCTTTTTTTTTTTTTTTGGCTTAAAATTGAGATGTGGCAGCTTTGTGTACATCCGTGTGGGTTTTGTGGCACATCATAATGATGCTTGATATGCTTGTAAATTGATCACTCGTGTTTACATTTGCTATTTTGTTCACAAAGCTAAACACTGCCTTTTTTTCCTTGTCCTGAGAGTACATAATGATGAAATCTCATTTCTTTGCTTTGAGTTTTGTTTTTGTTTTGTTTTGTTTCGAGACAGAGTTTCGCTCTTGTCGCCCACACTGGAGTGCAATGGCGCGATCTCGGTTCACTGCAACATCAGCCTCCGGGGTTCAAGTGATTCTCCTGCCTCAGGCTCTAGAGTAACTGGGATTACAGGCGCCTGCCACCATGCGCAGTTAATTTTTGTATTTTTAGTAGAGACAGGGTTTCGCCATGTTGGAGTTGGCTGGTCTCAAACTCCAGACCTCAGGTGATCTGCCTGCCTTGGCCTCCCAAAGTGCTGGGATTACAGGCGTGAGCCACCACATTCAGCCAAGAGCTCATTTAAAGTGAAATATAAACACTGGTTTAGTTTGCTAACTTATAAAATATATATACTAAATATGAATTAACATATGTGCACATACACATTTCTTCCCTTATGACCTATATGTAAGCTTTGGATCTTTGGATTTCTTAGAAAGTTCCATGTAGCCAATAGTATGAAGAAGGGAGAGAAAAATTCTAATCTATGTTCTCCAGGTGGGAAAATTGAACCACAGCAAGAATCCATAACATTCCCATTACCATGCAAAACATTAAAAGAAGGCACAATAAACACATTCCTGGTCCTTGAGACTTGTTCAAAACATTGAATATTACTAAGCATCTTCTTATCCTTTTCTCCAGCCTCCCAAGAGGCTGAGAGAAGTACTGGAGAGTACTGAAAAGAAACCACATCCTTGGAGAAGACCAGAAATACATCTGCTAAGAAGTTATAGTCTATGGGCAGTTTCATTTCCACCCCTTTCTCCAAACAGAGGTCCCTAACAGTTAAAGTAGATGATGACATTTGTAATAGCTTACCAACAGCATAATTAACCATAAACTCTCAGAGGAGAAGTGCAAGAAAGCTTTCACTATGAACTACTAATACTGACGAAAAATCAGAAGGAAAGCTTCCTTATCTTGGCAGCGTCAGGTTAAGGACTGACAACATGAGGCTAGATCCTGGGGAAGCCACATCCCCTTCTCTCTTCTAAGGGATAACTTTTCAGGTCCTTAGAAATGAGAGAATTATTTGTACATCAAGGGAAGTACCATAAGTCATTTTTCTACTCCCCATCTCTCCTCAGGTATCATCTCCCATTTGTCAGGGAAGACAGTCTTACGACCTTTTTTTTTTTTTTTTTTGAGACGGAGTCTTGCTCTGTCACCCTGGCTGGAGAGCAGTGGCATGAGCTTGGCTCACTGCAAGCTCCACCTCCCAGGTTCACGCCATTCTCCTGCCTCAGCCTCTCAAGTAGCTGGGATTACAAGCGCCCGCCATCACGCCCGGCTAATTTTTTTGTATTTTTAGTAGAGACGGGGTTTCACCATGTTAGTAAGGATGGTCTCAATCTCTTGACCTCGTGATCCGCCCATTTCGGCCTTCCAAAGTGCTGGGATTACCGGCATGAGCCACCGCGCCCAGCCTCTTACGACTTTTAAAACAATCTATTCCATTGAAGAATCCTTATATGATTACACATACCGTGGTTATTAACTAATGGGATCCCTCACCAAGTTTCCTAGAACATGTACTGTCTAATCTTACACTTGGAAGAGACAGCCAATCACCGACAATGCATTTTCTCCTTTCATAATGTAGAATTGTCACTGTGAAGTGGCATCCTAACAAAGGACTACATCTTCCAGACCCCTTTGCATGGCAGATGTGATTGTTTTGCTGGGTTTTGGACCATGGCACGTGAGGCCCTCCCAAGCCTGGCTTTCCTGTGTATCCTTCCTCCATGTTCTTTTCTCTTTCCATCAGCTGGTGACAACCAGCTGGAATGGCCACAACCCTCCATCCCCCAGGCAACCTTAGAAGTCACATGTAAATGGCAGGGCCTCTGAAATGACTGTGGAGTCTGGGCACTGGTCGTTAATTATAGCAAGAGATCTGTAGAATGTGTAATTGGGTATGCCAAGACAGGATTACAAATTCATTTTCACAGAAGGTAAAGCAAAGTGACCAGACCTATCAGAATCTGGGGGTCAATGGACAGAAGCAGAATTGTTTCCTCAGCCGCTTGCGTAGATGACCAATTCAAGATCTTAATTTAGTACATTTTAACTTCTTAAAAAGCATGACATATGCACCACAAACTATTAATTTTACCTTCATTTTATAGCTGATGAAAAAGATAAGAATATTAACTATATCCCCCCCACCCAGCTAGAGTTTTTCTAGAAATAAAGCTTTATGCTTAGAAGACAGCATCAGTTAAACCTCATAAAAATCTCATTGACAGCATCATCAATCCTGTATGGTTGGAATGGGCGAAGTAAGATGCTCAGAAGTGGGAACTGAAGATGCTAACTCTAGGACCTATTGCCATTTCTGTGGCATTTTCATTTCCATTACTTTGGTACCATCATAGGCTTAGAGTTTAGTAAATCAGAAACTGACCCCAGGCATCTAACAATTGTTCTTTATTTAAAAACACTTTCAGGAAAATCCAAGGAAATACAGAAGCAAGGCAGCACCATAGTCTTCCCAGCCAAGGTGGAAGTGCCTCTGGTTCCTCCAGCAATTCCCACTGGTGTTATCATAACTCAACAGTCTGTTGCAATCAGTTGTAGAAAGGCACAGAGTGACAGCTGGAATGCAAAGAAATGTGCACAACCCAGAGCTCTGTCAGCCTTGCCAAAACTCAAGTGCCCCCATGGGAGGGTCTTGCAACATATGTTCTGTTGAGCAAAGAGGTTGCAAACCAAGCGGTTATTGCAATAAACACCACTTGTGACAAACAAAGTTTGTAAGTTTAAATTTATTTTTTAAAAATGCTTGTCTTCCTCACTAGACAATCAACTCTATGAGGGCAGAGACTATGTCACCACTGTCCCACCAGCCCCTGGCACACAGTAGGTACTCAATAAATATATGTTGGAAGGATGGATGGAGGTAATGGATGGAAAGATGGATGGAAGGATGAATGGAGGGATGGATGTGACCCAGCTGAAGTGTGAGTAGGAACATTCTCTTATTATGGGTGGAGGAAAGAGAGAGGAGATTGAGAAAATAAGATAAAATACATTGATGCGCATCATTTTTGGTGTTCGAAAAGTAGGATTGAATTAGGACTAATAAATCTAGAGAATTTTACCTCTTTCAATGCCCAAGCCACACTTTTCTATCACTTTGAAACCGAAAAAGTAAATACTTTCCCAACATTTGCTTTGCTGGTAGGAAATGCTTTAATAAAAATGCAATCTCTAAGTTGCCATGGCATCATTAAAAGAAAGGATGTCATGCCCAGGTCCAGAACTTGAAGGTGGCAGGCACCAGCAAGCACCATAGCTCTGAATGGGCCTGCCTTACAGGTCCTCACTCCAACACTGCTCACTTCTTCCAGCTTGAAAATGGAGAACATGTTCACACCCTGGGTTGTAAGTAGGAGGAACTCTGATCAGCAAGAAGCTTGCAGAGGACAATATGAGGCAATAGTATTTTACTGGCCACAGTGTGACTGGGTTGCACTCTGTTCTGACATTAGGAAGAATTTCATGCCTGGGCAAAGTCAAAGTTTTTTCCTTTAGTCACATTACTCAAAGAATAAGTTGACTATATCCCAACAGCACTTGTCCAAATTCCAGGACTCCACTTACGACTATTATGAGGCAAACATCTGCCTGTGCAGTTTGTCTTTCCATCCAGTCTATTCTTTGGGGTCCAGATCCTTGATCATTCTCACACCCAGTGCTATCTGCCTCATTGCCCAGCATCAGGAAGCAAGGAGTATGGTGCAATAAGACAACCACCTGGCCATGGGATCAGGAATGGGGTCAGGTCAGTTGACCTGAGCATACCCATTAAACATGTTCAAATGTCCCCATCCCACCCACTCACATGACATGGCTCCCGAGCCCTGAGATCTGTATCCCAAGAACCTCAGTTGAGAAATATTTATGGCAGCTTCACTGTTGCTCAAGAGCCTGGGTATTGTAGCAGCCTGGGGGCAGGTTGTCCCTAATGTTCTCCAAGTTCTTCACATCAGCCAGAATCCCATCTATGCTTGTCTCCAGCAAATGGAGGTGGCCCCTCTGCTGACGTGCCCTCTCTTCCAGCTCTGACATCATGGGCCGCAGTTGGCTGTTGATCTGGGTCTTGGCTCGGGAAAGCTTCTGCTCCAGTAAGACCAGCCCCTCTTCATCTACACTGAGAGGCTGGTCTATTTCAAGGAATGAGACACAAGTTAACATAGAAAAGCTGTAGTTAGATCTCCTTGAACACCCGTGCCCTTCTATACCCATAACTAATTCCCATTTCCACTTGCCTAGAGCAAATAGTATACCATGAATTTTAAAGCTTATTTTAAATTAGAAATCACCTAGAAAGAGTTCTGAGAGGGCTAGCCTATTTACTGGGCTATGAACAACACTGTTCAAGACTCTGAGCTATCTAGTTCAGCAACGTGATGTCTGGAGTTTTCCTTTCGTGTTAAGGTCAATAGTTTATGCTATGAAAAAAAAAAAAAAGAGGACTGAAGGTCATAGGGGACTGAGCACTATCCAAGGCATTTGCCTAACATAGGTCACTGCTAGGATTAGAATCAACTCCAAATTATGCTTTCTGAACCACCCTTAAGAAATATCTTGCTGTTTTCTATTAGAAGACCTTAAGAAACTGGCTGAGCTTCAGGGTTATAGAGGCCAAGGTACGCTTTGCCACTTGGGGAATGGATTCCAGCTGCTAGAAATTGATGTCAGACATCATTCCAGCCTGAAACAGCAGTCATCTGACTAGATGTTATTTTATTTCCAATTTAAAATAAAATCACGTTTGTTCAAGCATGTGTTACCCTTAGACTATCTAAAACTAATGTCAGTATGAAGGGTACCTGGCCAGACCCATTTAGTTCAAATAGGTTTGAGTGGCCTTGGTCAATTCGAACTCAAGGTCAAGTTGCCTCACATATGTGAGCTGAAGTGATAGTATTTGACTGCATGAGTTTATTATACCTAGAACAATTAATCTCATATTGCTCCAGGACTTAAGAGAGCACACAGAGTAGAAACAACACTGTAACAAAAATGTTGATCCAAATGGATCTTTCACTTGGGGTCAGGGAGAATTTAGGAATTTAGGATTTTACGACATGCAGAGGAAGTTAAGTAAGCTTGGGAACAAAATAACCTTGTCTATGGGAAGGTGGCATGAGTTACTAGAAAAGAACACGAGCATTGGAGGCAAAAAGATATCAGTTTGGATCCTGCCTCTACAATTTACTACATGACCTGTGGGGCATTATTAACCTCTGAGCCTCAGTTCAGTCCTTCATGAAATAAAATAATAAAAATGATAAAACCCACCACAGAGGACTTTTACAAGACAAATGATATTACACCATGAAAACATCTGACACATAGTAAATGTTTAATAGCTTCCATCTACCCTGCTCTCCCTACTCTCTCATATTCTCTTTACAGGTCTCATTAGTTTCATTGCCTTTCTTTTTTTTTTAGAACACTAAACAACGCTGCTAAAGTCTCAATTGGGAAGGTTTTGTTTTCCTTTGTTTTGTTTTTTCCTTTTTTTTTTCTCAATCCTTTGAGGGCATTTTACTCTTTTGGGCTCATTGGATCACAAAGCAGACCCAAGACTATAACAACACAGATGACATTGGCATCTCAGGGTGATGATGACACCCTACAGAAAAATCCAGTTTCGAAGTTGTTCTACTGAACTGGAATAGCAGAGCCAAACATTTTCCTAAATGTTACTGGAATCTGTGACGAATCTCTAGTTCCACATCTGCTGCAGTCCAAGCTTGATAAAACAGACCAAATGAGGGTTTGATATCAGCTCTACCTAAATCCAGAAATTTAACCAAAATAAGTTTTCT
Organism: Homo sapiens; assembly: GCF_000001405.40. Taxonomy (NCBI): domain Eukaryota; kingdom Metazoa; phylum Chordata; class Mammalia; order Primates; family Hominidae; genus Homo; species Homo sapiens. The sequence goes on along the minus strand of NC_000001.11, from coordinate 183,241,472 downwards.
TTTGGGAGCGATTCTGTAGGGAAACCTGATTTTCTTCCACGCTGTGCCATCAGATCTTCCTAAAATTATCTCACAGGCCTACTCTCATCACATTTCTTCTGGGTTATTTACCCAAGCAGCTCAAGTTCCTCCCACTGGTTACATCAAGGTATAACTTTGGTTTGGGGAGGAACAAATGTAAAATCGGCAAGTGATTCTTTTTTATTTTTCCTTTTTTTTTTTTTTTTGAGACAGTCTTGCTCTGTTCCCCAGGCTGGAGAGCAGTGGTGCAATCTTGGCTCACTGTAACCTCCGCCTCCTGGGTTCAAGCGATTCTCCTGCCTCAGACTCCTGAGTAGCTGGAATTACAGGCGCCCACCACCACATCCAGCTAATTTTTGTACTTTTAGTAGAGACAGGGTTTCACCATGTTGGCCAGGCTGGTCTTCAACTCCTGACCTCGGGTGATCCACCCGCTTCAGTCTCCCAAAGTGCTAGAATTACAGGCGTGAGCCACCACACCCGGCCGGCAAGTGATTCTTGACTTCACAGACTGGGAAAATCTTCCTTCACATCTTCCCAGCCACCATTCTACTGCCTTAGAGCAGGCTCCTGTCATTTCTCTCTTCAATTATTTCAACAATATCTTAAGTAGTCTCAACCTGCCTTCTCTCTAACCCCCTCTTCAAGCTTTCCTCCACTCGGCTGCCCTAGTGATCTTTCTGAAATATACAGTGGTGATGTTATTCCTCTGCTTAAAACTGTCCACTGGCTTCTCAGGGTCCAGGCCAGACTCTTTAGCAGGATTCCCAAGCTGTCTCGTGTTCTGTGAAGTTGCTTATATACACCTGTTCTTTGGCCCACAGACCTTTACCCCCAAGTGCAATAGGTGTTCAGTGACCCATCTTAGCAACGGTAAAACAGGGTCCAGTAAATGTAAGGGAACCTGCCGAAAGTTATCTGGGCCTGGAAACAAAGCACATTTACTGATATCCTTAAGGAAAGCTGAGACTCCCCTTTGCTGGGGCTAGGTATAGTGAGTGTTCTGGAGCAAAGCCCTGGAGCATGGAGCTGGAAGGTTGTGGGTTGTGGGTTCACATACCCATCAGATGCAGGAGGCCGTCTAATGTGTTGAGTGTGTCTTGGATTGTAACCCCAGCGTTCTTGGCTCTGGTATCAACCTTCTGGGCTTCTGTAATCACCTGAGGACAAATAAGCACAAACCAGCCTTGAAAAGGTATTTTCCATTTTGGCAAGTTGAAAGGGATCTCCCGTGGAAAGCAACAGGAACTCACCATCTGTACTGCATCCATATTCGTGTCAAACTCCAGCTCCTTCCTTTCCAGCTCTCCTTCCACTTCCCTCATCTCACTCTTCAGAGAGGCCAGTCCCTTTTCCATGGCCAAGGCTCCATCTGCTGTCACATTGGCTTCCAAGTTCAGACTCCCAATCTCCTGAGAGAAGAAAAGGAGCCAGGGACGGAAGGAGAGATAGGGGTGAGGCACAAAAACATCCCAAAGACAACCATAGAAAAAATACAGCGGCAGCCGGGCCCTGATGGAGTAAATTAGATGAATAATGAGAGAATCAGACTTAGGGACAGGGGTACTTTGCCAAGCTCTGCCTCAAACAAGCTAATCTGGGGGTATGACTAGGAAGGTCAGCGGCCAGACAGTGCTTCTCTCTCAGTTCAATGCTCACCAAATGTTGAACAGAGTTAGGAACCATTTGGGAAAACCCGGAGGACAAAAAAACACATCATTCTCTGTCATGCGTCTTTGCTACCATAGTCTTTTAATCTGGGGCTCCCATGGGCCACAACAGGGCTCTGAGCCTCAGAGGTTAAAATAAGCTCAATGTTCTTTTTCCCTCCACACCACCCTTGTGTTTGGTGCTACTGGCACCAACACACATGTCGATTTCTCTTTACCTGTTCAATCTCACTGGAGATTTCCAGGGCCTCCCCGGCCCCATTCTTTGCCCTCTGTGCATCAGCAGCAGCGCTCCCCAGGGCTCTTTCTGCTTGCTGGGTCTTGTCACTGGCATCTGAAACCTTCTGGCTGATGTAGGAGAGTCTCTTCATGGCTTCTTCAGCTTCTGCTTTTCTGTTGTCCACCTGCAGGTCAAACTCTGAAATGAAGAAAAGAAAAAACTGCCGTGAAGATGAAAGCAAATTTACAAATGAGTGAAAGGGGCTGATGTTGTAAAGAAAAATTCCTGAAAGAGTGTTATTACTGACTGGGGATGACGGTGTGGGAAGTTACGGCTGGAATTAACTTTCTTAAAAGATGCATTGGAGGGGTTATAATTACTCCGTTGCTTAGAGAAACCGACAATCAGCCTGCCCTGAGTTCCACAGCACTGCAAGAGTATTGAAACTGAAGAGTGCATCAGAAGCAGGTAGAATCTTTGAAGTCCAAAGCATCAAGCCAGAGTTTTAAGCCCTAAGCTCCAATGATAAGAATTGGGGTTAGGTTTGAATGGGTAGAGAAGTACTTTCCATGAAGAAAATTCCAAAATTTTGGGAATGTTTCTCTTTTGTGCTTTAGTGAAGAAGCCTGAAATTTTAATGAAATCTCTGCGAGGCACAAATCTAAATCTCCTGGGATCTAGATGCAGTGACAAAGGTTGCTCTGTTATCACCACAAAGAAACATATCAGTTCCATACTGGAACCAACCAGACTACACAGGAAAAGGAAAAATGTCTGTACAGTAGTGGTATGTTGCATCTGTGAGAGAACTTAGAGAACACATAGTTTAACCTCGTCTCTTTAAAGAGGAAGATACTAGGTTCTGGAAAGGTTACATGACTTGCCTATGGTCACACAGCTAGTCTGGCCTGGTTAGGTGGCCCAGCAGAGATCAGAACTCAAGGCTTCTGACATCTAGCTCTATTATTACTACTACATTAAATATTAATGCATTAAGATTTTCTTTAGAAAGATATTTACTAAGGATCTATTAATATCCCAATATACCTGCCACTTAGAGAGACATATGAGAATTCAAAGGAAATTGGTCATGACTATACACTTAAAATACTCAAGTGACCTGAACCATGAAGTACTAACCTCTGAGGTTTTTAAGGATGCTCTCAACTTCATAAAAAGTGGCATTGCCCATACTCAGTGCTTCTTGTGCTCTGCTTTTAGCAAGATTGGCACGGGAAAGCAGCTGATCTGATTTCTGTAAAAAGGCAGATAGAACAAGATTAGAGGAAGTACATTCCTGCTGGCAAAATCACTCTGACACATTTCTCTTCATGACAGCAGATCATTGTGATTCACTGCAGAGTCTAGGGGTGCTGTAGCAAACCCCTCTACAATCTGGGACAGAGCAAACTTTATAAGTCCACAACACATTCCATATAGAGAAACTCTAGTCCACCATCAGGGACAGGAACGGTTTTATAAATCATAATTTTAAACTCTAGATATTTCCTGAAGCCAAGTAGTAGACTGAGCTAGACCAAAATTAGACCCAAGAGGCCTAGGTCCTATTCCTAGGTTTGAGGGCTGACCGACTGGGTGGAACTGAGCTAATCACACCAAGATCTCTGCAACTGTTACTTCTTCCATAAGCAGTGCCTTCATTGTTGATTTTTCCAGAAACAGGGTCTTGCTCTGTCACCCAGGCTGGAGTACAGTGGTGTAATCATGGCTCACTGCAGCCTCGAACTCATGAGCTCAAGTGATCCTCTCGCCTCAGCCTCTCAAGTAGCTAGGACTATAGGCACGTGTCATCATGCACAGCTATTTTTTTATTTTTTATTTTTTGTAGAGATGGGGGCCTCACTACGTTGCCTACGCTGGTCTCAAACTCCTGAGTTCAAGCGATCCTCCTGGCTTGGCCTCCAAAAGTGCGGGGATTACAGGGATAAGTCACCGTGCCTGGTCAGAGAGCTTTTGATTATTCTTCTTGCCATATTTATTCATATGGTGGGCATTCAATACATCTTTATTGAGTGAATGAATTAACAAAAGAATACCTCTCTCCCACTTTTTCCATTCTGTAAGAGCTGCTGTGCTTCTTCTTTCCAGTTTCCCAGATTCTTCTGTGTACGCTTGAACTCATCCATATGCCTGGTTACCAGGCTTGAGAGTGAATCCGCTTTTTGTTTGATCCTCTTTGCTTCTTCCACCTATGAGCCCAAAGAAACCAGGGAGTCTGACTTCTGCTTACCAGTTACCACACCAGCCTTGTTAGGACCTGGCACCATTGTTTGAAAATAGCAACAGCCTTAAGAAGCCAAGAAAATAGTCACTAGCCATCCAGGCCCAAAACCTAACAAAAATGAGTCAGTATGCCCAATGAAAGTAAGGCAGCAGGTCCCCTCAATGTCAAACAGGCTTTGTCTCTGTTCTTTTTCATTTTTTAAATGTTTACATGTTAGTTTATATATTCATGGGAACATATATCCATGGGGATTGTGAATTTTTTTTTCTATAGGTAGTAAACAAAATCTTCTTAATCGAATAAGTTTGGAATTGTTAAAGGAACTGATGGCAGAAACAATGCAAAACTTTTGAGAAGAAGTCATCTCAGAGTGGCTATACATAGAGATATACTATAGGTTGGACTCAAGCGTAAACAAAAAAACTTTATAAAAATTTTCCACAGGTTTCAACAATCCCCAGAACTAAGGAAGATACATAAAACTTTTATCCAGTAATAGGTTTAGCATGGGTCAAATCCTTTCCAGAGACTAGGATTGTGGTTTAAGAACAAGCAAATGGGTAATGAGAAGGCTAAATACTCTTCCCACTCTAAAACAGAAATGGTCAACATGGAGAAAAAGCTGAATGTTTGAACAATATTATGGCACCCCCAGAAAAGAAAGTATTTATGGCCCTCCTGTATATCAAGCACACAGGCCAGATGCCCTCACCTGAAAGGACTGATCACTGACTCCCTGAAGCCGAGACACTGAATCCAGGAGGCGGAGACTGTGCTGATAAGACCTATCTGCTTCAATTTCCGCTTGAGTGGCCTCCCTTGTCAACTGCTGGGCCAGGGACTTGGTTTTCTCCAATCTGGTGTTGGGGGTGGGGAGGGGGCGGTAATAAAAAGAGGACTTTGAGAATTCTTTTTTTTTTTTTTTTTTGAGACAGGGTTTCACTCTGTTGTCCAGGCTGGAGTGCAGTGGCGTGATCACAGCTCACTATAGCCTCATCCTCCCACGCTCAAGCAATCCTCCCAATTCAGCCTCCCAAGTAGCTGGGACTACAAGAGTGAGCCACCACACCTGGCCCCCCCTTTTTTTTTAACAAAAGCAAAATTTCACCCTGTTGTCTTGAAAGTATGTAGTTAGAATAACCAGAAGAACCAAACAAAATTATTTATCAGATACTTGTCCCTCTCCACTAAACATAAGCCTTTTAATTTACACAGGTTGGGTCAGAAAAATTCAATCCCAAATTCCCCACTTCTTGATAACAGAAATATATTTCTGTATTTTTATATCTCCCCATGCCATCAGATGGGTTTATTCACACCCTTCAAACACCAGAGGGTGACCATACCTCCCAGTATTGTAATCTCAATCAAAACATTAATTTTATTTAGACTAACCAATCTTTTTTTCTTCCAGTCTTAAAAATATCTGCTTTTCCCCAAAGTAAAACTCCCATGATTTCGGCCCTCTTATTATCATTAATAATATGTTTTTTACAACTAGCATGGTGCCCCTCAAGTACGGTTAGCATTTTGCCCTGGGAGTATCCAAGGTATAATGAGCCACGGGAGGACCCGTAGGAACGTACTTTTCCACAAGCCCTTGCACCACAGCACCGTCCGGGCTACCGCTTCCGCTTCCGACTCCTTCATGCAGGGCCTTGCGCACCAGTGAGAGGGCTTGTTTGGAATAGTCCTCAGTTTCCCTTGTCAGTTGCTCCATGTTACTGGCTGACTCAACGTGGCTGAAAGGATTAAAAACAAAAGAATAAGAGTTTTCACGCAAAGGGCTTCCTTTAGGTTGTTCAGTTACACGAAGGGCAAAGAGTACGGGAGCTGGTCTGATTTAGAAAAACCCTACAGAACTGACTCAAATTACATGGAATTAGAGGTGCTGTCAAGAAGCAGAAAGTGTTTTGGAGAATTCGCCTTATGTCATAGACCTTGTAGTGATCTTTTCCGTTTATGGCATAATCACTGGAGTCCCGGAGCGGGGTGGAGTGTGGAGATGGGTGGGAGCAGTCTCAGGTGATAAAACACTGCATCTGTAAGCTGTTTGCTGCAGGAAGAAACCTCTAGGTCTTATTTCACCCAGGATCCAACCTTTACGCACTTTCGCTTCAGCTCTAAACTGGGCCCACCACTAGGGGGACAAAGCATGTCTATAAAAATTCCCTGGATACTTTTGGTTCCTCCTGGTTCTAAAAAGTGCTTCTTTAAAAAAAACCCAAAGAAACAAAATTAAAAACGAGCTCAGGAGGCAGCTCATGTTACAAAATATACAAATCAGCCCTCTTCCGCTGACTGAATTCCACTTGGGATTAACAGAGCCTGCCACCCTGCTGAGCAGACCGCTACCAGCAAACCTCTTAAACACCGTAGGATTTCTAGTCAGAGCCAAGGATGAAGGGAGCTGCGTGTTATCATTGGGGCCCTGCAGAGCCGGTTTTCAGGAGGAAGTTCCCCCTCTGCAGTCTTGGCCCCCACAGGCTAAAAAACAACTCGTTGCTACTTGTTCCCAGGCTTGGTGTGGGAGTCCCTGAAAGCTGCAGAGCTTTCTCTTCCAAGGGCTGATTCATTTCACGTGGCCCGAGGAATCACATCTGACATACAACACAGCCATACTGTGAGTCATAGGGAAATGTGGGAAAGAAACACCCTCACCCCCAACTCCTGCCAAATGACCCTGCCCAGTGGCCACTTACATACAATAAAAGCCAAGTGGTTAAAAACTGGTTTCAAGGTAGGGAATGGCTGCAAAGGAGCCTGGAGAGAATAAATACGATGCTTGGGTCCCTAATACCCTACACTCTTATTCAAGTCTGGCCTTGCAGAGACGGCTTGAAGCAGAGGTGCCCTCTAATGCTGCTCACCTTTCTGCTAATCTTGTGGCCTCCTGAGCCAGACTTTTAAAGCCATTTGGCCCCACGTAGTGGTCTGAGGCAGGAATGTTCTGTGGGAAAAGGAGAATCGGTTAAGGCGAATCGGTTAAGGCTTTGCACTTGGCCATGGAACTTAAGCAGGTGCATCTGTCCTGTCAGAACCACTTGTCATTAGCCACACAGGGTTCCACACCCTGACACTTACACCATGCCTCTATTCACCATTATTCTATTTTTAAAAAGTATGTATAGGCCGGGTGTGGTGGCTCATGCCTGTAATCCCAGCACTTTGGGAGGCCAGGGCGGGTGAATCACCTGAGGTCAGGAGTTCAAGACCAGCCTGACCAACATGGTGAAACCCCGTCCCTTCTAAAAATGCAATAATTAGCCAGGCATGGTGGTGCATGCCTGTAATCCCAGCTACTTGGGAGGCTGAGGCAGGAGAATCGCCTGAACCTGGGAGGTGGAGGTTGCAGTGAGCCGAGATCGCACCATTGTACTCCAGCCTGGGCAACAAAAACAAAACTCCATCTCGAAAAAAAAAAAAGAAAAAAAAAGTATGTATAGACAAGAGCAAAGAAATCCAAGTTCAAAAAAGTCTGTATATAGATATAGATGCATTAAAATATATATACATAAAAAAATCCAAAACAACAACAAAGTAAAATAAAAATTCTTTTCCTGCTGGAAGCCAAAAAAAATAAAAATAAAAATATATACATGTACATTTTTTATATGAATTTAAAGTCCAGTAGAATATATTCCAAATTTTAACAGTGGTTATTTGATAGTAATGGGATCATAGAGAATTTTTATTTATTTTCTACAACAAACATTTCTGTAATAAAGGAAACAATCAATACACATTATTTTTAATGTGACTTCCTCATTATAGTATCTGATTATCATTCCACTTCCTCTATTCATCTCCCACCCATCCATTTACATTATTGTTACCATAACCTTCTTTATTCAGAAATAGAAGAGTGCTCAATCAAATCTCTCCCTCCTACCACATTACAAACTACATCAAGAAAATCATACTGGCAGCATTTTTTTCCCATTTTCAAAACCATGTCTTCCTTCCTTCCTTCCTTCCCTACTCTCTTCCTTTGTTCTTCTTTCCCTCTGTCCCTTCCTCCATCCTTTCTTCCTTCTTTCCTTCCTTCCTTTTTCATTCATTCATTCATTTATCCATTCATTCATACACTAGAAATTTACCACAGCTATACACTGTGTTGTAGGCTGAGAAAGTAAATATGAACTAAAGTAAATCCTGCCCTCTGGGAGCTAACAAGCTAGGAGATATGCAGAAGGGAGGTGAGGCAGGGCCAAGATGAGGATGTAGTTAGAAATAAATGAACTTAGGAGAAGAACATAATGCAGTAAAATAGGAAACTTCAGAAGGCCAAAGACATAAATAGATGTGACTGTTGCAAGGAAAAGAAGTCCAACAACCTGTCAGGTAGATCAGAAACAGAAAGTGAGCCACTGAGAGACAGAAATTGAGTCAGTGAGATCTACAAGTAGGTCTCCCAACACAGCAGTATTCTCAATACTCTAGCCCAGCAAAAACCTACAGTGTTTCCCAAGGAAGCTTCACTTTCTGCCAGGCTCAGCTGCATCTGAGTGATGAGCCTGTGAGTATCCCGAACTCGGTTCTGGTACTGACTTCCCAGAGCCCGAACTCTTTCCACAGTCATCTTGAGGTCATCCAGGCGGCTCTGGTAGCTGTTCTCTTGGCTCCTCACCTTGGCCAACTGGAGACCAAGGGATCTGCTAGCACCTGAACGCAAAGAAGGAAAGGGAGCATGAGCACTTTCTGGGTCAGCATAGAGTTAGCAAACATAACGGAGGGTTGACTGGCTTATGGTCAAATGACAAAAACCCAATAGAGAAATGCATCCAACCATTCTTTTATCACCATCATTCAGATCCCAGGGGGAATGCCACAGACAGTCCTTCCACTTCTGCAAGGGCTGGCTGGAGATAACTGCTGAACTGATATCCATAGAAGATTCTATGACCTAACGTAGCCATTCCTTCTAGGACTATGAATTCTCTTCTGTCTGAAGGGAAGTTGGCCTTCATCACCTTCTGAAATCTGGGCATCTCTCAGAATGTCCTGAAGGGCCTGCTCAGCCTGCTGCATCCTGCCTTCCAGCTCTGTATCAGGTACTACTCCATCACCACCCTGAGCCTTTGAAATCAGGGCCTCCATTCTCTGAAGCTGCTGCATAAACTGATCCATCTGAAACCACACAGGAAAGATCAGAACGAGGGTGGAGACCATGTACCCAAGGGATCATCCAATACCAGGTACCCAGGGGATAATACTAAAAGTCCAGAAATGCTTAGCATGTCATGGTGGTTAAAATTTTAGACCCTGGAGCCTAGAGAGTCCTTGAGTTTGAATCCTGGCCTCACTACTCACTAGCTGTATGACCTTGGGCAAGTCACTTTCTTTATCTATAAAATTAGGATAATGAAAATAAGAATAGTGTCTCCTAAAGTTATTACTTGGACTACCTGGGTTAACATCTATAAAGCTCAAAATGCAGTTAATATTTGTAAAGTGAAAGCAGTTGCAAGCTAGAGACAAGAGAACAGTGCCTGACACAAAGGAAGTGCGTAAAAGGCTTGTTAAATAGATCAGTTTGAAAAACAAGTTGAGTTTGCTCTACATTTGGAGTTCTGTTTGGGCCTTTGTCTTCCCCAATCCTCATTCCAGGAAGAAAAATAGTTAATAATTAACAAGAACATCAAGTTCATTCTTCTCTGTAATTCAAATGAGAAATTTCTGGAGGCCATTCCTTTTTGGGAAGCCTTGATACTTTCTGGACTCCTGATATCTTTTATGTTTATGTTTTTCTTCATTTGTTTTACAAAGACATCTGTTGAAAAGAAATCGAGCTGGAAAGTGAAATATTATAGTGGGAAGAGCCCTGAACTAAGTTAGGGGACATGGGTGGGATTCCCAGTTCCACCTACCCATATCACTTTGAAAAATTTCAAGTATTTTGAGACTTTATTTGACCAGTGAAAACTGAGGTCAGAATACTTTTCCTTTCAACTCAACTAAGTTATCATGAGTACCAAATGAAACAGTATCTGCAAAAGAGGTTTTGAAAATGGTATATATAAAGACATAAACCTGAAGTATTATCATTATACAGAATTTTTTTAATGCAGCAATTTTTAAAGACAGAAATAGTAATCACTACTCCCATCCTCAGGAGACTAGGAGTGTCCTAGATCTGTGACAGAACCACCCAGTGGACACTTAAGGATTTGATTCTGTGGGGTTGGGGGTGGTAAGGGGAAGAATGCATACCTGAATCTTCACTTGATTATAGCAAGCTGGACAGCTGAATGCTCCATGCTCACAGTTGGGGCCACCAAATCCTGGCTTGCAAACACAGGTGCCATCACTTCGACATCCTACAGGCTCTGAGCCCATGGGGTTACAGTTGCAAGCTAGAGACAAAAGACAAATGGAGCATTCACATCAAACTAGTCTAGAAAGTGGAGGTAGAGCAAAGATACAAGGAAGGAGATCAAGCCTCCAACAGCAGAGAATCCTTTTATACCTCCATGCACCTTCTTAATACAGATAGGTCTTAGGAATCATGTGGCAGGTTTGCCTGGTGTGTGTGGATGCAGGGAGATTACAGCCTTTCTGGCAGCACTCATTTTCCTCCCCCTGTTAAACTAAAAGCCTATTAGATATTCTGCAAGCACTCTGGCTTTGCTTTCAAGGTGAATAACATTTCTTCTGGGCCCATTACGTGCCAGATGTAGACATCCCCCTCTATTTTGCAGATGAGGAATGTGAGCTCAGGGAAGTTGACTAATTTGCCTGAGGTTACATGGCAAGTAAATGGCAAGCTACAATGAGAGGTCAGGCAGAGCCAATGTTCTTTCCTCTGTTCTGCGGCCTTTGGTGTAGGAAATACAGTTAAGAAAGCAATACCTTTACTCATTCAACCAAATTGATTAAGCCAGGTTCTGTTATAGGAGTTAAGGATATGATAGTGGGTGAGACACTTCTCTGATGATTACAGTGATTCTCTGAGTTGTTCTATCTTCAGTGCTCACAAAACGCTGATTACGTATCTAAGTGTGTTATCATTATTTGCATACATATTTGTGTATCTTCCTTATTATCATACGGACTCTTCGAGAGTTGGGATGACTTATTCACCATTATGGCCTCAGTATCTAGGTCCACACTGGGTACATGGTATGTGCTTGATAAAGGATGGTTGAGTGAAGAAATGTGTGGTGTAAAGCCAGTGAAATTTCTGTTAGTAACCTAGAATTACAGCTAAAACTAAAGACAGAATATAGTTAGAATATATAACTAGAATTATAGTGTTTATAGTGTGCTTTCTTGTATCCACCACTTCGAGTTAAATATTAATCACACATATAAGGAAACTGAGGCTTAGAGGGATTAATTGGCATAATTAGCATAATATAATAGGTATGTTACAAAACTGGACTTGAACTCAGTCCTGTTGGTGTCATATGGGCTTTTCCTCTCATAAGGTGCTTTCTAGCATATCACAGCTAACCCAGAGTTTGGGGTCTGGGCTGGTCTGGCCTAGAATTCCTGAAGGGATTTGTACCACTAAGTAGAAGCCTCAGGTTGCAGAGGTCCTCAAGCACTTCAAGGTGGAGACTCTGGTGTGAGTGGGAGGCTGTGAGCTCCATGCAAACCTCTGGGTCTTCATGAGGAACCAAGAGTCTTCCAACCTGGGTGTCCAGAGTGGCTCTGGACTTTTTTTTTTTTTTTTTTTGAGATGGAGTCTTGCGCTGTTGCCCGGCTGGAGTGCAGTGACATGATCTCGGCTCACTGCAACCTCTGCCTCCTGGGTTCAAGAGATTCTTGTGCCTCGGCCTCCTGAGTAGCTGGGATTACAGGCACCCACCACCACGTCCAGCTAATATTTGTATTTTTAGTAGAGATGGGGTTTCACCATGTTGGCCAGGCTGGTCTTGAACTCACAACCTCAGGTGATCCACCCACCTCAGCTTCCCAAAGTGCTGGGACTGCAGGTGTGAGCCACCATTCCCGGCCCCATTCTGGACTTTATAAACAAAGTTAGGGTAAACAAACTCCTGAGTTCTGGGCACCAAGGTCAGCCTGGGACTGAGGGGTGAGTCTGTGGGGCAGGCCAGCTCCTCTAGAACTGAACTTGCCTCTAAAATATAACATGTGCAAAGATTTGAAAGAAACGCTGGGCAAGAGGACCAGTCTGCACATTCATGCTTTGATCTGCAGCAGGCCTCAGGAATGCTCCACTATAGCTGCTGCTTTGAAGCTGTCTTGTTAGGAGAACTGTTGACTGTTACCTTTCTACACATCAATTACGCTGACTTCCTGAGAGAGTCTCTTAAACTATTTTACAGCCCACTCCCCTTCCCACTTGAGTTTGCTTAGGCTTACTCTCAAGTCATTTATTACTCTCCTACAACAGGTTTGGCAGCCACTTCCCTGCCTCCCTGCCTTGGGATTGGGCATAGGATGTGGCCCCGTGTTACATCCTTTTCCGCGTAGGAATGTAAACCTGACCTTTTTCACTTCTCCCACCCAGCTTTAACCCAGCTCTGTCTTCCAGAGCCTGGCTACAGGGTAAACCTGTCTTAAGGCCTTTGACAGAGGAAGAAAGGCCCAGGGTGCTCACAGGCCAGTTTGGTCAGAGAATCAAAGTAACATCATGATATGAACTGCCATTGTCCCTGCTTAGATGGCAAGCAAGTGCATACGTACACAGGCACGCACAGACACAGCCTGCCTGGGGTGGAGTCCTACCTCGACACTTGTCTGCTGGGTTGGGAGCCAATGGGTCCCCGAAGTAGCCTGCTTTGCACTGGTCGCAGTAGATGCCGGCTGTGTTGTGGATACACTTCAAACACCTGCCTGTCAGCCGGTCACAATTCCCAGAGGCACTGGGGTCCACATTGTTGTTGCATTGACAGGGCTGACAAGGCCTCACTGGGCCATGTTCACCAAAGGGGTCCCCAAAGTAGCCATCAGCACAGAGCTCACAGCGGGCACCTGGGAAGGAACAAATGACCAAGCCTAGGTCGACATCCATCAGGAGGAAGACCAGACGCAGAGGCCTAAAGTTGCGAGTCACCCTCTAGAAGAGCCAGAGAAATGTGCTTCCCTAGGGACCCCAGAACAAAGCCCTCAGGAGCAGGCATGCAAGGCAGGGCTGGCCCTCTCTCTCCATGCCCACTGCAGGTTGCAGAACACAGTAGCGCCACTAGGAGGCTTAACTAGCTGGCTGGGAAAAAGCAGGCAGCTCCACAGAAGTAGTAAGGTTTTGAGCAATACCCCCAAAACTGCTGCTGAAGAATCCATTCTTCTTTCAGATTGACCAGCAGAAGGATGTGACATTTAAGAAGTCACTAAGTTTTCCCTCGTTATCTTAGTTCATTAAGAAACAAACCATGTGCTTGGTCTGAAAATGTCATCTTCTAATGACAAACCTCTCAAAACAGCTTTAGGTGTTTTCTCCCATAATTGCACTCTGCTCTTGCTTAATCCACTTCACCTCTTGGGCATTGCAATATCTTATCTTTAAGATATTATCTTTAGAGTGAGCACATTTGGGTGAACCCGAAGTCATTATAATTTCCTAGGAATTCCTCGGAATGGAAGCTATTTGCACACATTCATGGCATCAGGACAGGAAGAGGCAGGTGGCAGAGCAGACCCATGGCCTTACCGGTGACCCCGGGAGGGCAGTTATTGCACACCACCTCCTCCGTCTCCGGCATCACTGAGCAGCTGAACCCGTTATGACAGGGACATGGCTTGCAGCTGCGGGGGTCGTGCGGATCGTTGTAGAAACCAATTGGGCAGTCAGCACACTCAATGTCAGGATTCTCATCCCCTGAATAACAATCTCCTGGGGGTAGGAGAAGAGTGGAGGGGCAGAGAAGTGAGCAGGGTCAGACAATACATTTCCTTCAACATGGGTCAGAGTGTAGAATGTCAAAGCCTTCCTTTCTGAAGCCTTCCCCAAAGTGCCTGAGCACTGGCATTCACCCCTCCCATAGAACCAAATCTAAACATGGCCAAGACCCTGAATCTCACCCTCACTCCCCTATGCAAAGTAGACACTCACTTCTTTTACTATCCATAACTTAACACTGTTCCCCATGTTCTCTGTGGCCTGACACCATTTGTCGGCACATTCATTTAGACCCGGACTTGTCTTTGATCTCCCCACACAATTCTTGGAACTCGACACCAACTCTTCTACCCAGCACTGAACCATGACGACCATTTCCTGTAACCTGGCACCTTTCTCACAACTTTGTGGCATTTCCACAGTGAAGAGGATTGAGTGTAATAAGGCACCATGTCCATCTTCCCTGACTCCAGCTCTGCTCTCCTTAATCCTTTCCCACCTCTGATGTGAGTTCAGCCATGGTCTTTCTTACACAGCTCTCTCTCTTCCACATGACACCCCAGCCACCTGGTCCAGGTGTCATTTCACTCACCTGTGTCTGGATCACAGGCCCCTCCCCCTTGACAGTTACAAGGAATACAGGTGCCAAAAGGCCCCAGTCTCGCTGAATCTCTCTTGTAGCCAGAAGCACAATCCTGGCAGAATTGCCCCTTGTACCCAACAGGACATATACACTGTTCAACCCAGGGTGCTGGGGCTCCAGAGACAGGGCGGGCTGAAATCAGGGTCACATTGTCAATGTACCCAGTACCTGCAATCGAGAGAACAGGTTAGAAGTTGCAAGTGGTACAGTCTAAAGATCTCAAGTCAGATCTCTCTTGGGATTTTATTTTTCTTAACTCCCTAACAAAGACAGGTGGTGTTCATATATCATGCCATGTAGAGAGGTATGGCAGTCTCCCACTGTGACTGAGCACACAGGCTCTGGGGTCAGAAAACCCAGGGCTTAAATTCTGAATCCACCCTCACTAGCTGTGTAAATTGGGCAAGTCACTTAGCCTCTCCATGACTGTGTTTCATCAACTATAGACAAGAAGTAACGGTGGTATTTATCTCTTATGTCCGTTGTGAAAATTAAATTAGATAATTCATATATTATAATCTATCTGGCATACAGTAAGAGTCAATACATTGTTACACCTTTCTGCTTCCGACTTTATTTACTGCATCAGTGACATGGAAATGGTGCATGCTAGCCACGCTTCCTTTTTAGGTGAGTGAGTGCAGAAAAGCTTAAGGAACTCTTGTTAAATAATTCCAGTTGAGATTAGGAGGACCCAACATGTGAAATTCAAAAAAAAAAAAAAAAGGAATTAATAGAATACATGATGACTCAGACAGGCTAGCATGGAGTATAATCTCAAAAGGAAAAGCTGCTCAAGGAATAAATAAGACTGTGTTGTAGGTGCCATTTCCTAGCTAAGGAAATGTGTCCATTTATTGTAGATTATCTTTCTCACTTAATCATCTTTAATAAAAATTCAGTGGCCCTTTTAGCAAGACAGCATCATTTACTCTTCATTGGTGCTGGGTGCTGACATCTTTTTAGAGAAACATTTCTTCTAAAAAAGCTTCTAGAATATAAAAATTCAGATTGAATCAGTGATTCTAAGTCAGGATCATCAAGTAACTTATCTACTTGTTTGGAGACTGCCGCCACCTTAGAGAGCTGAATCAAATTAAACTAACACCTAAGAAGAAAGAAATTAATTTCTCGTAGCCACTTACTGTATTCTCCATATGTAGCTCGGATGCGGAGGGCTGTGAGATTCCGCAGTAACCTTCGATACTCAAAGTAACTCAGCTGGGGGCTCCAATTATTGCTTGGATGCTCATTTAACCTGCATAATTTAAAATCAAAAGCTTTAAAAATCCGATTCTTACCACATACCTACCTGTTATAAATTATGCCTGAGGATACGGGAACAGCTAAGCCCCTTCCCAGTCCTGCTTAGAAGGGGGCATAGGACTGAGAGCCACCTTTTCATAGGCATGTACTTGGACCTTCCTCACTCCATGGGGAGGACAAACCCCAGAGGAAGTGATGGAGGGCATCCCAGTGTGGGAAGTCCAGATCCAGGGGTGACATCACCTGAAACCATGATGATCGCAAGTTCTCAGACACCACTTTCTATTCTTGGCCACCCATAAGCTAGTATTAGGAACATCTCCACGTTCCAGAAGTTCTGATTCTCAAGAGCTACTATTCATTTTTTTTAAAAAAAATCATTTATTTGTTATCTGAGCACATTTTACTTACTTTTTTCAAAAATCAGTTTCCACTTTTACATTGTCCACACTTAATACTTTTTAATTTGGCATCATTTTGGCTCACTGTAACATATCACCAGCCCCTGTGCTGTTCTTCTAAATTTTGTTTTGTTTTTTACTCATCCAGGAACAACCCTACCCACCTTCGTTTCATTCACTGATTTGTTAAATAAAAGTTGACTGTGCACTTGGTTTGGGCTAGAAGCTATGTCAGGCTGGAGGACACAAAGACAACAGGGAGAGATGATCACATCCAGCCAGGGGAGTCAGGTGGGTAGACACAGTTATAATACAATGCCATGAATGCTATAACAGATGCATGCACAGAGTACCATGGAAAAACAAAGTGACTGTAACTTTAGCTGGGATTCTGAGAAGGCTAATACAAAGGAAGAACATGTAAGCTGAATCTCAAAGAGTAAGTTCACAAAGCCTGGAAGGTGGGAACGAGTATTCCAGGCAGGAGAGCTGTGTGTGTGTGTGTGTGTGTGTGTGTGTGTGTGTATCATTAGAACACGTATACTCGGATATTTGATCAATTCTTTGTTTGTGTTCTGTGGGTCTTCTTTTCCCTATTGCCATTACCCCTGCCTTGGGTTAGGCACCTAACCACTCTCAGTTGAGCCACTCTGAATGTGTTCTGATGGTCCAGTTAAGGACCCGACCCAAACTATCATCTATATGGTGCCTGTAGTTGCACCTAGCCTTCACACCTGACGATCACACTTCTTGACTTAACAATCTCTCAATGGCTCTGCATCGTCTTTCCAGCATGGACAAGATCTAAGCTCCTTGACATGACACACAAGGCCCAACATGATGGGTCCTTTTCCAACCTTTGCAAATGTATCTACCCATCTTCCTTATGCATGCTGTATTCCAGCTATAAATATTGCTTGCCAGTTCTCCCCTATATTATGCCTTTCTGCATCCCCACATATATTCACATGTGAAGGTTGCCCTTCTCTGACTTTTCTCCCTGGAAAAGCCCTGTGGACCTTTCCATTCTTAGACCACACATTGCCTCCTCCTGAAGGTTTCCCTGACTCCTCCAGGCAGAATCGGGCACTTTCCAAGACCCCATGAACATGCACCACCCCTAAAGCAATTATCCTACTGTATTATGCTTGCTTTTTGACATGTTATACATTGTACTAGACCATGAGCTCTTGGAAGGCAAAGACCATGTTCCATCTTTATTTCCCAGCCTCCAGTGCACTACTGAGCACTTAGTAGGCACAGCTCCCTTCCCCAACCTCTCTGCAAACACCATGCAGAATCCCTATTCTGCAGGATACTGTGCAATCCCTGTAGACACACACAAAGCCATCCATAAAGTCACTCCCACCTCTTTCTCCTACCTCACTTCTCACTGCACTCCTATCGCCGACTTCATGCTTCACTCGTGCTCAACCACCTGGAATTTTCTAAATGCACAAACCTTCTTCAAGCATTGCATTTCCTCTGCCTTGTTAACCTTTCCTCCCTTCTCTTTCCTTAGAGGGCTGCCTTTCACATTTGTCATGTGGTCCTGGGAAGCTTTCCTTCATCATTCCAGTGTGGGTCAGTCATGCCTCCTTTATGTGCTCAGAACTTCTGTGTCCACCTTGCCTATTTCTGTCCCTTGACAAACTGCACTGTAATTATCTATTCATTTTTCTCTCCCATTAGCCTGTCAGCTGCTTGAGGGAAGGAATCATGTCCTTTCTCAGCACATAGCAACCTTCATGGTACGTAAAAGGTGCTCAGAAAGGCTTGTTGAACAAATGAATGATGATTGAATGAATAAAGAACAAACTTGAACTTCAATCATAGTTTGCTCTAATTGACCTACTTATGGTCTCTCTTTTTACCTGAATGTGTAAGTCTTGGTGAGCCCACAAGGCAGTGTCTTGCCAAGTGGCATCAAGGGAGCTGTGATCCGTAGACCAGCACCTTCCAGAATCACATCATGGGCAGATGGGTGTCTGCCTCCTCTGTCCACACGGTAGTCAAAGGACAGGCTTTGACCATAGCTCACCTGTTGATTCCCAAGAAATTTGGCTGTGAAACAGAGTTTTAAAAGATTGAGATCAGTTGTGAAACTGGAGAGGCAAACACATGCAAGTTTGCACTGGTGTCGGCAATTTCTGTTGAAGTCCTGTGTCATGCTGCCCCAAAACTCCTTGCTAGGAGAGTCAGGACCTGGTACTGGACATGGCTATGACACTTTGGGCTATGAAGGAGGGTTAGTTACTGAAATGATAAGAGGGCCTTGTTATAAGACAATTCCATCTATTAGGTGATTCATGATGTGGCCCTTATGACAGACTGTTTTGTAAAAATCCCAGGCCTATCAGCATAGCACAACTTGTTACATAATGCTTTAGTTGACAGAATGCCTTCACAAATATCATCACATTTGCTGGCAATAATTCTGGGAGGCAGACATTAGTATTCCCATTTAACAGTAGAGAAAACTGAAGTTCAGAGAAGTTAAGAGAACAACTTGCCCAAGAATCACATATGAGCTAAGGAAACGAACTGGGATCGGAATTCTAGCCAGCGCTTTTCCACCAAGGCACGTACCACTGATTGATTTTTTTTTTTTTAACTTACAGGTATTTGAAGTTTTAAGAAATGCTTTGTTTTTGCTTTCCACCTACTTCTCAATAGACCCATAGGTTTGGCCACAGTCCTTGGTTTCTTGCCTTGGTGGTAAACGTAGAAACTTCCCATTTGATTAAAGGAGGTAGCTCAACCAGGGTCTGACCTCTGGGACACCACATTCTGCTCTGTTGGGCCATTCCTTAGTGACTCTCAAATCAGGCTTAGCCCCCATCTCTCTTCTGGGGTTGCACTACCCGGAGATGCTGCTACCCTGAACCCAAAGTTATATGGTTTCCACAATTTCTAACTCAATTTCTCTATCTTGACTTCCTAGTCCTATAAGCTGGCCTCTATAGGAGACATTATTCCTCACATACCAGGAGCCACAAAATAGACAGGGTCTAGTCGTTGGGCTGAGCTAAACACATCTTGATGGCGCTGTGACCATTGGAGCTTTGCAGGAGACCCATTTCGTTGGACAGCCTTCCAGCCATCAACATCTGGAACACAAACATAATCAGTCTGCATTGGACAAGCCCTCATCATCTATTAAGTTAAACAAAGAAAGATTTGCTTGCCGACAAGTCCTAGTGGTGAGTAGAAAGTGGGGTTTTCTCAATATTTCCACATTTGCAAATGGTCCTTAAAATTCTGCATGTATCTCTCTATGTGGCTCTCAACTTCACCTGCTCCCATCCCGCAGCTGCTATGATTTCTCATCTTTGAGTCTGACTCGTGATAAGATAGCAGGTTTTCTTCTGCCTGTAATTTGCATTTTTTTGTATTTATATAAAAAGCTCTCACCTTAATGAAGTGAGAGGGTCCAGTCTTTTCATTTTTTTTTCATTTGTTTTTTTTTTAAGACGGAGTCTCGCTCTGTCACCCAGGCTGGAGTGCAGTGGCGCGATCTCGGCTCACTGCAAGCTCCGCCTCCCGGGTTCACGCCATTCTCCTGCCTCAGCCTCCCGAGTAGCTGGGACTACAGGTGCCCACCACTACGCCCGGCTAATTTTTTTGTATTTTTAGTAGGGACGGGGTTTCACCATGTTAGCCAGGATGGTCTCGATCTCCTGACCTCGTGATCCACCTGTCTCGGCCTCCCAAAGTGCTGGGATTACAGGTGTGAGCCACCACGCTTGGCCCGGGTCCAGTCTTTTCAAAGGGAAACTCAGACTTAATGTTGAAATAATATCAGTTTCCAATATTTTTATAGTGTTCTGTAGCTTGGGAACTAATTTCACATAAATCAGCTCATTTATTATATGTGAAAACAGCATTATTAGTGAACGTGAATTCCAGGAAGACTCATACACTCTCCAAACCAAATGAATGATTCCTTCGTGGTTTTGAAATAGATGGGGATGGAAAATTCAGGGAAATAAAAATCTAGTCTCTTTTTTAGTTATTCTTTTAAGTTATATTCACTAGTATGAATGAACTATTTTCAGCCTATGACTTTTTCAAGACATCAGGATATGCCTGAGTGCCCTGACAAAATAATGTACATTCAATACTATAAGAGAATTTCTAAAGAGAATCCATCCTGTGAATGCGGAGGTGGTTGTCTCTAAACACAAAGCCCTGTACAACATTAAAAAACTAAAACCTAGAAAATAGAAGGCTTTACCTTGATGAAAGGTAGAGGTGATCTTATGGACACTGTATTCTGCAGAGCTGCGGCAGCTGGCTGAATGCCCATAGCAGAAACACTGGGTACAGCCCTCAGGGTTCCCCCCATCCAGATTATAGTAACCTGATCGACACCTGCAGTGGCATTGTAGAAATCAGGATATTATAGGTTATTTTTTATTCTATAGAAAAAATATGATGAATGAGTCAGCCTCTCTACCTTCTCTTCCATTTGGCCCTATTAATTTTCAGAGGAGGGAAATACCAGATTTTGCATATCACCCCCACCCCCAGACCACCAGATGGACAATCACGACCCCCCTAAATTAGACGGCATAAGAAACATTCACTTTCTGTTCCTTTGTAGAACAGAGCCACATTTGTCTTGGTGGTCTGGCATCTGAGTAGTCGGCCAGTCCTTGGTAGGAAATTGAGTGGTGGTCAGATGAGCAGAATGGGTGTGGGCAGGGCTATGCAATGCTGCCCTGTCCTGGAGCTACTGTTTAATGGTGACAAAGACTGGGAGGTGGGGACCAGGAAAGGTGAGGCTCCTGCCTCAGCACCACTCAGCTCTATTGACCCCCTCCCCAAGACCACTTAGGTATTGATCCCCATCTCTGACTCTTGTACCTGGGCTCTGGCTCACTGGGGAAAAGGGCAGGTGAGGATATGACAAAGAAAAAGGATGGCTAAGACACTCTCCAAAAGCCAGGTGTAAGCTTGCATTCCACCTCTGCTCCCAGCTCAATCCCTCCAGTGGCTTCTATAAGAACCACGACTAACAGGGGCATCCTCGATGCTGGAGTCACAGAGAAGAAGGCAGGGGAAGCTGGGGAGGACTTGTTTGTCCTCTGCTCAAGTTAACTACATCCTTCCACATGAAATAATGTGAAATAACGATAGTTTCAATGATTATTTATTTAGCACTTATGTTGTGCCAGGCACCTTGTGTGTGTTCTCTCATTTAACCTCCCTCCAACCCTATGAGGAATTGCTATTTCCAATTTTCTTAGATGAGGAGACTAAGGCCAAGAGGTTAAGAAACTCTTGACATATAGCAGGTACATGGCTGAGGCAAGATTGAAATTCATGTACATCTGTCTCCAAATCATGTAGTCTAAGCCACTGCACCACATGTTGGGGGGAATGTTCTGAGTACAGTATCACAGAAAAGCAGGGTAGCTGTGAAGAGCAGGTGCTTCAGAGAACAGTTGTAACTAAACAAGCTTTGTTTTTTCTCTAAGAGCAAGAGTTAAAAGAATTATTATGGTTTCTATGGAGAAGAAACCTGCTGATTAAAAGAGCTTAAAAAAACAAGGAAGGATGGGAGGGGAGGAGTGGGGAGGGAAGACAAAAGAAGGGAAAGGAAGGGAATTAGGCAAAACTAAATGATTGTGTTTAGGAACACACTGGGGTCATAAATTATGAAGCAAAGAAAGAAAGCGATTACCATAAAAGTCAGAATAGTGGTCACTTCTAGGGAGGAGGGGGGCATTGTCACTGGGACGCAGTTTTAGCAGAGGTCTATTTCTTACCATTGGTGGTGATAACATTTCTTTTATGTGGCATTCTATTTCTGTCTTTTATTTTGAAATTAAAAAGGCTTTCAACAAGTGACTTCCTTTTTAACACTTAAACTTTATGTCCCTGCCTTCACCTCAGCAGCCAGAAACCCCTGAAAACACAAGCTAGGAGTGTATTTGACATTTCCTCTGTGCAGGTATAAGTGACTGGCAGGGTGCCAAAGAACTGCTTTCTTACTTTTAAGGAAATGAGGAGGAAGCCTTTGCTTCTGACGCCAGCCTCACAGCCCTCTGCTCAACAGCCTCTGGGAGGGAAGAGTTTAAAGCCAGAGCACAGTTGTACTTAAGGCACGTCCTGCACCGGCAGCTTGGGGGGATGGTGCCTCACTGCTCCACCTCCTCCAGTGTGGCTTGGCCCAAAGGGCTCTTACCTCCTCCCAGCCCCATGCCCATTCATGTGTGTGCATGTAACTGCCATCCTATCCCCAGGGCAGTGCCTCTTCTGTACACGATGGTTATATATGGCCATATGCTGTGATAGGCCCTCTTACAAGAATTTTCGCAGCATGTTTAATTAGGCCAGGCCTTTCCTGCAACCAGCCTGTGTCCCAGGATCTCACTATTGATTACTGCCTCATACAGAGCACCTGGGATTTGGAGCCAGCTGGTGGGAGGAATCTCTGGGGTCCTGTGCCTCTCCCAAAGTCAAAATAAAGAGAGGGTGCCCAGAGCAGAGTATGGAGTCCAGTGAGATTTGGGTGCTCAGTGTGTGTGTGTGTTTTTGCTGTTGTTGTTGTAAAAGCTTAGTTTTTGAGGACAGAGAGCAGGAAGAAGGTCATCAACGTTTGTCAAGTATCCCTTTTCCATAATTACACTCGGAGGATTAATTCTCATGCTAGTTGGCAAGGGACTCTCTCTGCTGTTTGTAGGGCCACGGTTCACACAGACCTATCACAGCGTTCTCCAGTGACAGCTGGCTTGCAGACACAGCGGCCCGCGTCACAGGGCCCTGCGATGCCAGCTGGGTCACAGTCACACTTGGAGTCTCTGGGGAAGAAGAAAAAGAAAATTAGGGACATGCTTCCAAATGCTTCACAACTATGCACATAAAAATCAACTGCTCATGAGCAAACATCACGAAGCTGGGCAGTCCTTCTTCGATGAGGCTTCTCCTAGCCATCCTCGCCCGTGCGGACCTCTCTCACACACTTAAGGACTCACTTGCCTACACAGTGCTGCTCAGAGTGTACTTGGTGGGTAGCAGCTGGGCCGAGAACTGTCTGCCACTCCTAAAGAGAGCAGGGGTTTGTGCCAGAATGTAAACCAAGTTCATCACTCAACTGTTTAGTTTACTTTGGTTCACTGTTTGGCTCAGTTTACATTTTTTAAAAAAATTATCATTTGTTTCCCTATTGTTTAATTAAATGATGTCTGCTTTTTATCATGATTAATTCCATCTACCTGCTATTTTATTCCATTCAGTTCTTTCTGTTGGTAATTCCTCAATTGAGATATAATTCATATGCCATGCAATTCACCCATTTAAAATGTACAATCCAATGGTTCTTAGCTGATTCTCAGAGTTGTACAGCCATCACCGTCAATATTAATTTTAGAACATTTTGATCATTCCGGAAAGAAATCCTGTGCCCTTTAGCAGTTGTGTCCCCCACCCTGCCACATCTCTTCCCTCCAGTCCCACCTCCAGCCCTCGGCAGCCACCAGTCTACTTTCTGTCTCTCCAGACTTGCCTATTCTAGACATTTCCTATCAATGGAATTATACCATATGTGGTCTTTCGTGACTGGCTTCTTTCACTTAGCATGATGCTTTTGAGGTTCATCTATGTCATAGTATGTGTCAGTACATAAATTCTTTTTGGTGACAGAATACATATATTCTTTTTGGTTACTGTTTTCACTTTTCAGCTATTATGAGTAATGTTGCTGTGAATGTGTGTGTACAAGTTTTTGTGCAGATATCTACCTTCTCATTTCTCTTGGGTGTATACCTAGGAGTGGAATTGCTGGGATTGCTGGGTTTAATAGACTTTTGTTTGTTTGTTTGTTTGTTTGTTTGTTTGTGGCAAGATTTTCTCAATGAAGGTATCAGAGCTTTCACTGAATTCTGGCACAATCTCCCTATCTCATCCATCCCTGCTTCTGTCACCCACTTTGCACGCAATCATGTGTTTTATCTCATTGCTCAAAAACCAAGTTTATTGTCTCTTCTCTACTGATCCGTTCCTCCTCTGCCTGCCCTATGATCCCACCCAAATCCTGCACAAACCTGGAGCACCCTTGACCCCTCCTTCTCCCTCACATTCCTCATCCAGTCACATGCCAAGTCTAGCAATGCTTATGGCTGGAATTTCTTTGCCAATCTTTATCTTTGAATTCTCACGGCCTCCTTCCTTCTTAGCTCCCTCTCTACTGCTTATCTGGACCATCTGACAAACACGTATTCAGCATCTACCGGGTGCTCAGAACCGGGGATGCTAAGAGAAATAGGAACAGTCCCCATTCCATAGGAGTCCTATGCCAGGTCAGGTGTGTGGATCGCAAGGGCAGCAGGCACAGGGCCAGCTGCAGATGCACTGGACATCCTCAAGGTGCCTCTTCCCACTCCAGGCATGGGGACACAGAAGCAAACAAGACAGAGTCACAGGGGGCTTACATTTTAGTGGGAGAAATGGACAAACATGAATAGAAAATAAGATATGGAGTGAAACAGCAGAGTGAGAACACAGAGGGGTGGGACTGCTGCAGGAAGGCCTCTGTGAGGAGATAGTGGGGTGGGGATGGAGCAGGAGGCGCTGCACGGCTTCGGGGAAGGCAGAGCTCTCCAGGATGTGCCAAGGCCACATGCACTTGGCTCTTTGAAGAAGGGAAGGAAAGCTATTGTGGCTTCCCTGCGGAGTGCAGGGAGCAGGGAGGAAAGTGACGAGAAACCAAGCAGGCACCTAGGCTGAGGGTGGAGAGGGAGGAGGACCTTGCAGGACCTTGATAAGTTTTATCTCATTCTGAATTGGGGCGGGGAGGCGGAGCTAACAGAGGGTTATGTTTTAAAAGGGTTACAAAGGAGGAGTGGGGCAGGGGTGATCTCTGAAGACCATCTGAAAGGGTCAGGGAAGGCCGGACCAGAACAAATGCCAAGAGAGTATGACAACTTGGGACCTTGACAACTGGGACAATGCAGTATGGCTGGAGGGCAGCTCCTGTCCCAGCAAGGAGCCAGCAAAGTGGGCAATGGGACGCGCCTCCTCTGTGGGAGCCTTGCTAGCCAATGCCCAATGCTTCACTGCCAAGCCCCTGCCAAGCCATCCCAACACTTGCCAGCTCTGCATCTCTGCAGATTGGTTATGTGACATTTAATGCATGCTCATCTTCCAAAAAATATCCGAGCAGGGATACAGGATATTCCAAACTAAAGGGGATCAAGATTATGCAGAACAGTTCCACCCAAATTCACTGGGGCCAAAATGGGTCCCAGGTTACTTGAAGGACTTGTTGCCTCCCTTCCAGTTCATCTAGAGGGAAGCAATTGCCAGAGAAAAGGACATAGGCTCTGGACCCAAAACTCTGAGCTTAAGTATTAGGTCCAGCCTCACCGGTAACATCAGGCAACTTAACCTCATATGGTTTAAGTTTTTTATCTTTGAAATGCATATAATGATAATCCCAACCTCTTAGGGGTATTGTGAGGATTAAAGTAGATAGCCCAAATGATGTACTCTCAAAGCAGTGTTTGGCACAGGGTAGGGGCTCAGTAAATACAAGTGTTTGCTAAGGTTTATATAATTGTCATCACTGAGTTAGTGACAGCCATGGTGGGATGCAAATACTCACAGCAGTCTCTGGTCTTGGGTGCACCCCGCATCCGTGAGCATGTGGAAGCCTGGCAGACATCGGTCGCATCTGGCTCCTGTCACACCTGGTTTACAGCTGCACCGTCCGGAGTTGTCACATCGAGCACTAAGAGAACCTGAAACCCACAAGGTAGGGGAAAGGAAAGAAGAAGAAGAAATATTTTAATGTATGCGGCATTGGAAGCAACTATCACCCTATGGGTGCTCCGTAAACACGAAGTAAGAAGCACCATCTGCTGCTTTTAACAGTCACTTCACATCGCCTGCGTGTCACCGGGGATGGTGCTGACAGCTGAGGATGTCTTCCTCAGGGAGAGGAATTAAATTACTCATAAAAGCATTTGTCTTTGTCTGCTCTGATTGTGACAGTAGGTAGCATATTGCTCACTGCTTTTTAAAAGAAGTCCATCAAATCTTTAAGATCTCAAGGAAAATTTGTGAATGAGCACATTGGCCTCCTAGAAGAGAGTTTGTATCTGAAAGTGAGCAGCATTCTCCCTTATCCCTGGCAGGCAAAGTCATCTTTTAAGGGTCAGTGCTTATGTGGTATGATTTTTAAGAGCATAAAAAGGGCTATTAACCAAAACTATCCACCTGCCAGGAGTGCTAGAGAGTGTCCCCTGTGGTACGCCCCCAAGTGAGATGTACCCTGTGTGCCTTACTTAGGGGACTGTACTTGTCTTATGATTCCACTTTTTACAGATATGCTCCTAGTTGTAAATGGGTCCTCTCAGATTGAGTGTTCATGAAAAACTCAGGGCAACAAAATGTGTCACTGTGGGATGCTGCCAGGTCTCACCACCTGCCTTTCCACACTCACTCCCATTCCAGCTCCACCTTCTCTCACCCAGGCCCTGCCTTGCACTCTCCTCCCTGCCTCCATCCTTGCCTCTCCACACTCCACAGAGAAGCCAGGATATTCTTTAAAAATGTAATTCGATAGTTAGGTCCTCCAGTGGCCCCCACTCTAAGCAGAATAAGATGCCAACTTCATATCATGATCTGCAAGACCCTACCTCTCTTACCTCATCTCCTACCCTCCTTCACTAGGTTCCAGCGACCCAGCTCTCTTGGTTCAGGCAAAGTGCTAAGCAGCTTCCCTCAAGGTATTTGCACTTGCTGCTCCCTCAGTCTGGAATGCTCTTTCCTCAGACTTCCCCTAGTTGGCACATTCTCAGCACTCAGGTCTTGATTAAATATTACTTTTCTAGAGAAATCTTCTCTGACTCCTGCATCTAAAATCCCATCCCACCCCTTCCCCAGTCCTCAGCCCTACTTGACTTAGGATGATCTCACCTTATGTCACCTGCCGTATTCCCACTGCCCAGCATGGTGCCTGACACAAGGCAGGTGCCCAGAAATCTGTTCAACTAATGTGTATATGCCAAGGAGGAGGGCTGAGCTGTTGTGGAAGGAGCTGAGAGAAAGCCAAAAGATGAGGTGGAAGGCTAGCTAGGTACACCTCAGCTACCTTATAATTCCCCTGCAATTCAGTGGAATTGTAAAATAATCTGTATTTTTTTTTTTTTTTGAGACGAAGTTTTGCTCCTGTTGCCTAGGTCAGCAACCTCCACCTTCCGGGTTCAAGCGATTCTCCTGCCTCAGCCTCCCAAGTAGCTGGGATTACAGGCATGCGCCACCACGCCCAGCTAGTTTTGTATTTTTAGTAGAGACGGGGTTTCTCCATGTTGGCCAGGCTGGTCTCGAACTCCCAATCTTAGGTGATCTGCCTGCCTTGGCCTCCCAAAGTGCTGGGATTACAGGCATGAGCCACCGCACCTGGCCATGATCTGTATATCTTTTTTTTTTTTTTTTTTTTTGGCTCACTGCAACCTCTGCCTCCCTGGTTCAAGCGATTCCCCTACCTCAGTCTCCTGAGTAGCTGGGACTACAGGCATGTGCCACCACACCTGGCTAATTTTTTGTATTTTAGTAGAGACGGGATTTCACCATGTTGGCCAGGCTGGTCTCGAACTCCTGACCTCATGATCCACCAGCCTCAGCCTCCCAAAGTGCTGGGATTATAGGCATGACCCAGGGCACCCAGCCTATATCTTAAGTATCTGTAATGATTAGTATCCATAGTCTATGAAGCCAAGGGAACATTGACCAGTCGCTACATGTTTGTTTTTTAAATTTATTATCTTTCTGTGAACTTTTAATTTACTAGTAGAATTCAAATCGATAAAGATATCGGTTCTGTGCCTGTATGAAGACTTTATGCAGCATGTGGAATGTGAAATAAATGAGTCACATTTACAGTTTGAGTCTATGAACATCTACATATCAACTTTGCAAGGCTTGAAGGAGCCTTCAGTGATAATAGCATAAATGACATTTTTTGAGCATCTCCTTAGATGTTGAGTTAGGCACTTTATATGTATTAGCTCACGCTATTTAGTAGTGAATTAAAAGTTCACAGCAGAATAACAGATCAATTTCTGCATAATAGGAACTCTCAGAGGTTTAGGCAGGCAGTGACAAGTTCAGACCTGCACTTAGAAAGAGAACTCTAGAGCAGTCTGCAGGATGGCTTGGAGAAGGCAAGATCAGCATGTCTCCTCCCATGCCATGATGGCCTGGATTAGAGGGGTCTGAGTGAGAAGAGAAGGAGGGAAGCATTGTGAGAGCCACTGTGGATATAGAACAAACAGATTTAGGTGACTCTTGGGTTAGGAATGATGAGGGAGAGAGGATCACATTGATGACACTCAGGTCCCCAGAGTGCACACCTGGCTGGACTGTGATGCTATTTACCAAACCAGGGAAAACAGGAGGAGGACCAAGACCTCAGGTTGAATTATCAAGAGAAGATAATGAGTTTAGTTTTGGGTATATGAACTTGAGTTTCTAGGGGCATATAAAAGGTGGAAATGTTCATCTGGAGCTCAGAGTCTAGAGATGAAGATCTAGGAGCCCTCAACACTCAGGCTGAATAGGAAGCCATAGTAAATGTGAGATCAGTCCAGAAGTAGATGGAGAGAGGAGGGGAAGTGGTGAGGACAGAGATAGAGCCCATCTATTAAGAGAGGATGATTGGAGAGGGAGAAGTCTCAGGGCAGGGTCTAATCAAACAATGAGCAATGGAAGGCAGGGAGGAGAGGTCTAAGGAGGGTGAGGGGAGGAGGAGAGAAGGAAGGTTTTCAGAGCCTAAGGCAAGAGAGCTTTTAAATAAGATGAGAATGAAGAGAGGCTATTTGGTTTGATGTTTAGAGACTTCATGATCATTGCTCTGTGAGTGGTCAGCAGAAGGAAGGAAAATTCCTTTTTGAATAATGCTCTGATAAGTAATGTTAAATAGAAGTCCCTCATGATGAAATTTGGTTGTTTTTAACATGAATGGATGCTGATTTGGGGATCAGAAACACATTTTTTCTGCATCCAAATTTATTACACTTTCAACTTCAGAAAACTCTCCCTGCAGTAGTTTTTCAGAAATGAATTATTTTAATAAAGTGGGGGAAGAAGTAATTCAGGCTCTAACTCTGAATATGACTGACTTATTTCATGTTCCAAAACTTCCAAAATAATAGCACTGGTTCTTCAAAGTCTCACTCAAAAAAAAAACAACCTGCCCCAATTCCCACATCATGAACTGTACTTAGGGATTGTGAACAATTGGTTTTAAAGAATAGATAAGGAATAACTTCCTGTTTCAAATTTGTGTCCCAGTAAGCACATTCATGCTTTATATAGATATAGCCTACATGCATTTGAAGACTCAGGAAGGTATTAAAAAATGATAAATATTTAAAATTTAGGGCCGAGCATGGTGGCTCATGCTTGTAATACCAGCAGTTAGGGGAGACTGAGGCAGGAGGATTTCTTGAGCCCAGGAATTTGAGACCAGCCTGGGCAACATAGACCCTGTCTCCACAAAAAAATAAAAAATTAGTCAGGCATGGTGGAACACACCAGTAGTCCGAGCTACTCAGGAGGCTGAGGCAGGAGGACTGCTTGAGCCCAGGAGTTTGAGGCTGCAGTAAGCCATGATGGAGCCGCTGCACTCCAGCCTTGGCCACAGAGTGAGATCTTGTCTCAAAACAACAACAACAAACCCAATAAAAACAAATAAACAAAACATATAAACAGAGAATTTGCATCCTTTTGAGAACCCTTTTAAAAATATATACACTTGCATTTAAAAACATGTTTTAAATAATTACTCAAATGTTATAGTCTGAATAATACACTGTAAGCATCAAAGATATGTAAAAAAATATAAAATTAAGAGAGTAAGTCCAATATCACATAGACCTCAAAAACTTAGCTGTCATGGGAGGAAAAAACTTGCACACGCAGTGAATTTCAAAGTATCTGCAAAAGGTTATCAGGGCTTAAATATGTGGTTGGAAGAGCTGAAGGTAACTCAGCCCTGTTGCTGAGCCCACAAAGTCATAATCTAAAAATAAGCCTAATTTCTGCATTTTTGGGAAATCGATATAAAGTCCAAAATTGGTGACTACTCTGGGGTTTATTAATGCCATTGGCTTCATTTGACATACATGTAATGATAGCATTTTTTTGTAAGACATGTTATTTTGCATTTGAAATGGAATATACAACAGATTTCCCTGTCAAGTTATTATCTGAAAGTGAAAAATATCCTCTGGCTAATTGGGATACTGAGAAATCACATAGGGAATTAAACTTGTGCTAGTGGTTTGGTGACATGTGCAGCTGAGGAGCAGCTGGGGACAGCACATGGTGGGAACAGTCTCTGTCACCAATGTGTCTTTCAGCCTCTGCAGTTTGGACCCTGAAAGTTCAGTTTCTTCATCTCTTTAACAGTGGATGTGTTAACACATTGTTGTCAGACTGTTATGAGGACTAAGAAGGACATCATCTATGATAATGTTTTGGAAAATTATAAAGCATTAGTCAGATCTTAGGAAATAATATCCATCAAGCTTTTTGTGTACACATAAATTGTCTGCTTTTGGGCATTGAAAAATGCCATTCTGATTTTTTTTTCTTTCATATGGAGGGAATAAGAGAATTATTCTTGATCAGAAGATCTGGCTTACAACTTTAGTTCTTGCAATCAGTTGCTGGAAGACTTTAGGCCATTCATTAATTTTTCTAGGTCTCAGTTTCCCCACTGTCTTAATAAGAAAAACAACTACATCAATTCACAATTTACTGAGTTGCCCGCCATGTGCTTGTCAAACACCATTTTATCTCCACAGGATCCCATGACATGAATATCATGAACACTCTTTAACAGATGGGGATGCTGGAGCAGCAAGAGGTTAAGGAACCTGCCCAGAGTGACCTAATGATGATGGTGGTTGTGTCCAGATTTGCACCCTGGCTGCCTGGCTCCATAACCCACCACTGTACTCTACATTATTACCTTTGATGTCAACAAACCTGGTCCTGAACTCTTACTCTGCCCCTTAGCTCTATGACCTTGGACAAGTTTCTTCCCCTCCCTCCCTAAGTCTCTGCTACATCATTTGTGAAATGGGAAAAAACATAGCCCCCTCTTTAGTTATTTGTGAAGATTAATTAATTACTGGATTAAAAGCACCTAGAAAAGTGCCTGGCCCAGGGTTGGCACATGGCACATGTTAACTATCATATAAGACATAAATCAATACTGGGCTCCACCACTTCCTGCCAAGCTGTTCCCACTGAGTCTGGGATATCTATTACCCAAATAAAAAGAAGGAGCCAGTTTCACTTGCCCTTACCACTGGGCAAGCAGTAGACTACATGCTGAAACAGAAGAGATGACATGGTAAATCCTTCTTTACCATCCTTCTGTGCTAGGCAGCAGGTTCCTGGTCTACCCTGAGACTAATAACCTTGTCTTCAGGCCAGGCTTTCAAGCTGAGCCAATTAAATTTCTAGTTTCATTCTCACTGATCATTTCACTGGGATGACCCAACTCTGGTGACTCACAATGAAGCTGCATGACCTAAGGCAATAGGAGCTCTTCAGAGAGGTTAAATGCCCATTAAAATGCAATAATTTGTCTTTTAATTTTTTTATGAAGTTCTTTGATTCATAGGGAGGACTGCTAAATCCAAAAGATTCTGGATGCAAATTCCACACAACAAAGCTAAACTAATCTGAGTCAAACCACATTGTGACAGCAACTTAGGTGAATTTGGGGGGTGACTGCTGCGATATGGGCCTATCTCACCACAGGGTCACCCAGTTTTCTATAAGACTCCCAAACCACTCTACCAGCAACTCATGGCTGCACCAGAATCTGCCCATTTTTAGATTCTTTCAAGCTGCAGCTATCAGTTGGTTCCACAGACCTACTACACTAAGTCATTGCCATGCAATAAGGCTGTATGCTTTAAGTGGATCAATATTTATCACAGGATGCTGTTAAACACTTTCTAGCAAAGAAAAGTAGATAATGCCAGAAAGATAATAGACAAATGAACCGTTTAAAAAAAAAATCTTATTTACAGAACCACCTCTCTCTCCCCCTTTATATTTACTAACTTGTCTTTACTGTCTGTCCACAATGAATACAGCACAGTGTATGTATCTGTGTGTACAGCAAAGACCTACAGTTATATGAATATAGCACTGTGTGGGATACTTTAAAAAAAAAAAAAAAAACAACTAGCCAGGCGCGGTGGCTCACACCTGTAGTCTTAGCACTTTGGGAGGCTGAGGCAAGTGGATCACGAGGTCAGGCACTCGAGACCAGCCTGGCCAACATAATGAAACCCCATCTCTACTAAAAATACAAAAAATTAGCTGGGCGTGGTGGTGGGTGCCTGTAATCCCAGCTACTCAGGAAGCTAAGGCAGGGGAATCGCTTGAACCTAGGAGGCGGAGGTTGCAGTGAGCCGAGATGGCACCACTGCACTCCAGTCTGGACAACAGTGTGAGACCCTGTCTCAAAAAAACAAAACAAAACAAAAAAACAAACTAGCTCTCCTATGAACCAGCCACCCCATTAGGTGTTTCCTATTTGTTATTTTGTTTTATCTTTTTAGCAACCTAATGAAAGACTTCAATTTTCCTGTTTACTTGTCTGTCTCCTTTATTAGTACAACTTCATATTGCTAGCACCTAGCACAGCACTAGAAACAGATCTTTCTAATTCCTTATTTTTCAAGAGGTTGGTCAAATGGATGGCTATGGATATGAAGAACTATCCCTGAAAGAGTGCAAGCTTCCTTTGTCATCTGCTTGCAAAAGACTGTCACCTGCCTGGAAAAGTTAATAATGTGACTCTTTGTATTAGAATTCAAGACAACATGCCCTCAAGGTCCCAACTGGTTCCACCAACCCCTACTTAAGAGAAACATGTTTCCTTTCAGATTGAAACTGCTAAAAAGACCAATGTCTGGTAGGTTCCCAGTTGTTGGTGAGGTTGAACATCTCCCTCTTGGCCTGCTTGCTTTCCCTGTTTTCTTTCTTTTTCCTCCGTTGTTCCCTTCCTTCTTCTTTTCCTCCTTCCTTCCTTCCCTCTTGTCTCCCCACTGCTCCATCTCCCTCTCCCTCTTTCCGTCCTTTTCAGCTACCTTTGGAGTTACAATTGCAGGGCAAACAGCGGTCCCTTTCTCTGTGCCGGTAAAAGCCATTCTTGCACTTCTCGCAGTGAATGCCATCAGTGTTGTCATTGCAGTTGAGGCAGCGGAATCCATTACCAGTTTGTCTGTGAAGTTCCCGATCAAAGATACACTGCCTGGACTTCCCATTGCAATCACAGACTGGGGAGGAAGCATACAAAAGAGATCGTCAAAAAAAAAAAAAAACACCTCAGGAACTGTTCTAGCAGGTGTTTATGTTATTATTGATAGAAATTATGCATGAGTACTATATGGTAACCTACACTCCTTGCGGGAGGAAGATATGGGAGTGCAATTGGCAGTGCAGGGACCCCGGGGACGCCTGCTCCACTTAAAGGAAGTAGGCACTATGCAATGCTGGTGGGCTGCTGTCTGGGAGAACATGGGCTCAGGGTTGCCAGACTGTCCAGTTCCTCGAGAGAAACCCAAAATGTTAAATTACATTTTTATGCGGATATTTCTGATTTAAATGTTTGCAAGGAGTTCATTTCAAAACACTGCAATCCCACAGAGCAAGTGTGTGGGCTCACGGAGACCTGAGGATGGGCAGCTGCGGACTCAGCACAGCTATTAGCCGATGGTGTCGCTGCTCAAGATACACAACACCCATCCCACCGGTGCCCGTCAAGGCAAAGGAGTGGACGTGACCGTCTGGGCACATGTCTCCTCCCAAAGCCAAGTGTCCCATGAAGAATGACCTTTCTCAAGTATCTAGGAAGCCCATCCTGCAGATGTTCCAAAGAGACTCGCAAAGTGACTAACATCTCCATAAGGACCCGAACAGCAAAGAAGCGAAACACGGAAACACCCAGCATAGTACCCGGCACACTGAGACACCAAAAAATGTTTCCGTCATGGTCTCGGAGAGAGAGATGATGGGCCTTCAGGTTAAAAGGAAAGAATCAAATACCAATTCTGCTATTTCCTTGGGCACATCACTTCAATTTTCTGAATCTTGTTTTTTCTTCCATACAGACTGCATTATCTGCCTCCCTGGATTGTAAAGAGGATCCCTCTGGGAAAAGAATATCAAATGCCTTTGCATATGCGATTTCATCACTCACTCCATGAAACACGTACTGCCTCAGAAGAGAAACATGCAGCTCGGAAAGGTGAAGTAACTCCACCCAGTGGAGAACTGAGATTTGAACCTCTGCCTGATGCGAACACCAACCTCCCTTCCCTACACAGGCTGTCTCTGTTGGCCATGCTGCCATATTGAGAATATGTTTCTAGGGCGTGACTTAACCATAGTGCTGACAATAAAGTCAACAGATGTGCCATCACCTGCTGAGTGGCTCCCTGTGCAGGCTCTGTGTCAGGCACTGACAATACAAGGGGACAATGTACATCTTTTTTTTTTTTTTTTTGAGACCAAGTCTTGCTCTGTCGCCCAGGCTGGAGTGTGGAGTGCAGTGGCATGATCTCAGCTCACTGAAACCTCTGCCTCCTGGGTTCAAGTGATTCTCCTGCCTCAGCCTCCCAAGTAGCTGGGATTATAGGTGCGCACCACCATGCCCAGCTAATTTTTATATTTTTGGTAGAGATGGGGTTTCGCCAGTGTTGGCTAGGCTGGTCTCAAACTCCTGACCTCAGGTGATCCGCCTGCCTCGGCCTCCCAAAGTGCTGGGATTACAGGCGTGAGCCACCGTGCCCAGCGGTGACCACGTACATCTAATGGACCTGCTAAGTGACTGCCTTACAGTAATTTCTATAACTCACTCTTTCTACTTTGGATGACATCTAATCTAGAAAAGTCAGCTAACACTTATCCAAAGCATACTGTTTCTAGGACTTTACATTCGACAGCTCAGTTAATTCTCACAACATTTTAACATGGGTTTTATTATCCCCATTTAATAGATGGAAAAACAAATACTCAGAGAGGCTAGGTATCTTGCCTAAAGTCACACAGCTAAATGGCAAAGATGTAATTTGCTCCCAGATGTGTCTGACTCCAAAGCCCTCATCTTTCCATTTTATGTTCCTTCTCAAGATTGAGTTTACCATTGCATGTAGACATTCTTTTTATAAATCCCTAATAGAGGGTCATTCAGCTTGGTTGTTACAAACAGTAACATTTTTATATGGTGTTTTAAATCTACCTCTCTTTCTGTAATTTTCATCATGTGTTTTTGCTCTTGCCTGAAAACATACACACACAACACACACAGATACATACAGCACTCAGGCACACACAGACACACACACACACACACCCCTACTCTCTTTTTATTCTTTTATTTATCCAACAGACATAATCTTTGGGTGTTGTTTTACATCCAAAGGGCCCTGCGTCATCAGGCTTTTGTGAATCTGAAGATAGCTATGGCATCTCCCTCCTTAGTCTTTTCCTGTTCAAGTTGGACTACAGATCTGTCATCTCCAAGTCTTTCAACCACTTCCTATGTCATAATTTCTAGATTCTTCTTGACTACCATCCTAGGAACAAATTCTAATTTCCAGTATCCTTCTTCATATGACCAGTACTGCAAGTGTGATTTAAACAGCTTGGCTTGTAACAGGACTAGATATTTTTATCCCATGGGCAAAGACTAACATTTCAGTGAACTTACAGCATATTACATTTGCACACAATTCAAAGTCCCAGGGCTTTTCTCAGAACTAGTGCCAAGCTGAATCTTTCCCAACCAATGCTTGTGAAACTGATTTTTTGGATCTCCAACAGATGTGCCACACAGCTGTCATGTGCTGTGAAATTTGTACCAAGTACATGACTATGCACGTACAAGAGCTAAATTCACTGTTCAGCAGTCCTTGCGAGGTTCTTCATCTGGCTAACCCAATGAGCCAATGCCCTCCCTGCCCTGGATGCCTTTTGGAAGCAATCTCAAAATAACTACAAATTTTTCATTGTGCCTTTCTTATTTAGAACATGGGCTGGGCACAGTGGTTCACGCCTGTAATCCCAGCAGTTTGGGAGGCCAAGGAGGGTGGATCACCTGACGTCAGGAGTTTGAGACCAGCCTGGCCAACATAGTGAAACCCCGTCTCTACTAAAAATACAAAAATTAGCTGGGAGTGGTGGCAGGTGCCTGTAATCCCAGCTACTTGGGAGGCTGAGGCAGGAGAATCACTTGAACCTGGGAGGAGGAGGTTGCAGTGAGCTGAGATTGTGCCATTGCACTCTACTGTGGGTGACAAGAGCAAAATTCTGTCTCAAAAAAGAAAAAAAAAAGAACATGCTTTGTGGTGGTAAAAATTAACTTCATAAGGGCAGCTCATTATATATTTATTCAGAGCAATCTTTTCAAAATATATAAACTTGTTATAATCTTTTTCTATCACATCCCTCTTCTGTCTCCTCCTCTAAAGCTCTACTTTGAAAATAATAGGTGTCCTTCTTTTATTTTAATTTTTATTTTTATTGAGACAGGATCTCACTCTGTTGTCCAGGCTGGAGTGCTGTGTCACAATCTCAGCTCACTGTAGCCTCAACCTCCTGGGCTCAAGCGATTCTCCAACCTCAGCCTCCCAAGTAGCTGGGAATAGAGGCGTGTGCCACCATGCCCAACTAATTTTTGTAGTGGTTTTTTTTTTTTTTTCTGTTTGTTTGTTTTTTGTTTTTGTAGAGACGGGGTTTCACCATGTTGCCCAGTCTGGTCGTAAACTCCTGGATTCAAGCAATCCGCCTACCTTGGCTTCTCAAAGTGCTGGGAATTACAGGTGTGCACCACCATACCCAGCCTATTTTCTTTTGTGTTATTTTTGAGACAGAGTCTCACTCTGTCACCCAGAGTGGAGTGCAGTGGTGTGATCACGGGTCACTGCAGCCTCAACCTCCCGGGCTCAAGCCATCTTCTCACTTCAGCCTCCCGAGTAGCTGGGACCACAGATGCATGCCACAACACTCAACTAAATGTGTTACTTTTTGGTAGAGACAGGTTCTCGTGGTATTGCCCAGGCTGGTCTTAAACTCCTGGCCTCAAGCAATCCTCCCACCTCAGCCTCCCAAAGTGCTGGAATTACAGGCATGAGCTACCATGCCTGCCCCATTGTCCTTTAAATGCACAGCCTTCAATGGAGTTGCATTACGGTTCCAGGGATGGAGGTCCTTAGCCAGCATCTCCCCTCCAGAGCCTGCCCAACAGATTCTAAGCCTATTGCAAACATACCCCTTTCCTTTCAAATGGGTCTCCCTTAAAGCCAAGGGCAATGCCATCTAGAGTGAGGGGATGTATGGGCCTCATGTCTGGGGAATGTATTGGCCTTGGGTATCTGCATTGCATGAGAACTCCGTGAAGACACTCTCTACAGCCTTGCCTGCAGGACTTTGAAGTTACCAAGCTGCACTGAGATTAAACACCCAGCTATATTGCACTTAACTCAGTATTGAGTCTTTGAAATGGTCCCACCAAGAAAATGATGGGAGAGCTTGTTCCAAGCTCCTTTTGCATGGAATGATGCTTTTCATCATTAATGTGTTTGAAAAATGGTCTCTCTCAAACCATCTCCCAAATTGAGACTAACTTCCCTAAAACCATTTATTACTTACTCTCGCTACTAGGGGTGAGGGGGGGCGGGGGGCAGGAAACAACTTTTCTATTTAAAATTCTAGAATATTCCTGCAACTGGGCTTAATAAAACGGTGTAATGTAGCTTGTATGTGGTCTTTATTCTGTGACCAATACCTGCCCAACTACTACCATGGTTTGGCAACTACCAGTTGCCAAAGGGCACTGCCAGGCTTAGAGTAAGGCAACAGGAAGTGGTGGGGATTCTGCCCAAAGGGCGTAAGAAGCAGCACTTCACCCCCTGCCAGTTGCAGCCACATGCAATTGATGCCTGTTGTAGTCAACATCAACTCTTCTTTTAAAAGAAGACAGAAATCCAGCTTTGTGTATGAAATCTATTGGTTTTAAAATTTTGGCCAAAATTAAAAAAATATATATTTTTGAAACAAAGCTGTGTCCACAGGCAAATCTCTGCACTCAACTTTGCAGTTCTAACAGGTAGAAAACACATCTCATGCTTTTGAAAAAGGAAAAAGGAAGCCCTATTATATCACACAGTGCCTGGTCCATGGTAGGCATTTAGTCTTTTTTTAACAAACAAATGAATGAATGAATGTTCTGTTGAACTTTAAAAAACCCATAGATGGTTGTCTTGGACCTTCCCTGAGTTCTAGGCAATGGGATGCATACAGTAGCAAACAAAACCAACAGATGTCCCAGCCCTCACGGAGTTTACATGCAATTTGGGGGGAAAGAAAATAAACAAGATAAATAAGTAATATCAAGAGAGAATATTAGGATAGTGGTATTTGTTAGGGAGAAATATATAAAGCAGTGGAAAGGCATAGGAAGTTGGGAAGTAGTAAGATGGGTGGGAAGGAGGGTAGAAAGTGCCATATGCCAGTTTGCTGTTTTAGTTCTATTTTCATAATTGTCTGCTTCATGATCTTTGTCCATTTATCTATGTTTTTCTTATGGCACAATGTTTTTCTTATGAATTGTTTACATAACAAATACATCAAACTATTTGTCTGTATCACTTTATTGCAGATTTTCTTTTACTCTTTCCTGATAAATCATCTTTATTTCCAAAGTACCTCATCGGTAGATTTTGTTTTGCTGATTTAAGCCCCCTTTCCCCCTTCCTTCTTTTATCCTTGGTCAATGAGATGTATATTTATTTTATTAATTTAATAAACATCACATCTAATAGGGAGGCTATACTGCATGCTTGAACAATCAGACTTTATGAGCCAGTAACATTTCAAAGAAGGAGTTTGCTAATTTTTTTGTGTGTGTGGTTTTCTTTGTTTTTTTTTTTTTGTTGTTGTTGTTGTTGCTGTTTTTCTTTTTTTGAGACAGTCTCATTCTGTCACCCAGGATGAAGTGCAGTGGTGTGATCTCAGCTCATTGCAACCTCCACCTCCCAGGTTCAAGCGATTCTCATGCCTCAGCCTCCCGAGCATCCAGGATTACAGGCATGTACCACCATACCCAGCTAATTTTAGTATTTTTTTTAAGTCAATAAATTTTTATTCAGGGAGTTCCATGTTGTGATTTCTTCCACTGTCCATCAAGGTCACCTTAGATCCTCTAGAGTGCTGGAGTCAAAAGATTTATCTTCAAGTTAGCCATTTTTAATGAAACTGATGCTTATTTTAATCCAGTTGCCTGTCAGCCCATAATTCTTTTATTTTGGCTTCTGTCATCTCCTTTTAATATGGATATGCTGATGAAGACTTCAAAATTCACCTTAGAGCTTTTATAATCTTCTGAAATACAATGGAATATTTTAGTATTTCTAGTAGAGACAGGGTTTCACCCTGTTGGCCAGGCTGTGAACTCCTGACCTCAAGTGATCCACCTGCCTCAGCCTCCCAAAGTGTTGGGATTACAGGCGTGAGCCACCGCACCCAGCCAAGGGGGTTGCTAATGTTTTATTTTTCCAAAGATATTTGCCTGTGTCAAGCATGTATCATATTATCCATGTTTTCCTACTTGAACAGGAATCAGTGCATGATCTGATGTATGCATCTAAAAAGAAGACTGGCTGTTATGGGGAAATGGAGTTAGGGAGGGTGGAAGCAGGGAGTGCCCCTGACAAAGGAAAGAGCAAGCCTAAAAGCCCAAGGTGGGAAAAAGCTCAGTATATTCTAGAGCTCATGCAAGGATTTGTGTGTTGGAACCCAGGTATGGGTTCGGGATCTGGCATTAAGATATTGCACATCATCGGAAAATAAAATTTAAAAAATCAGACTCAAACCCTGAACAGATCTGAAGCCATTCTAAGGTCAGTAAACAAAACAAGCAGGTTTCTCTCCATCTTTCACTGAACTCTGGTTCTAGGTCCCATCCATCATTCCTTTGACTATTCATTGGTACAAAGCCAGGGACACTTCTTCAAGGTTTCATCCTCTCCTCTTTCTGCCCCCTCACTCCAGCTCCCTCCAAATCCTTGATTCTGCCAGCCAGCATTCTCTCCACAGCCAAAGAAATGAGACTCTGCAAGTTTACCTCAAGTCCTACATAAACCCATCTGAAACGGAGTCATTTGAGTCAGATTTTCACAGATTTCTTTAAGTCTAGTAAAGCGTGCGTGGATGGTAATTGCGTCTGACTGCTGTATGCTACTTCTCTGGCACTGAAGCATTTATTATAATAATAACTATAATAGCACACAGTTGCTGACCCTCAAGGTGCTTCTTAGGAAAGACCGCCAGGCAGCCAGACACAGGCTGGACTGCCCACTACCACCCACACTCACCCAGAGACGCAGATCAAAGCAGCTGGAGCCCCTCCTTAAACAATAGAGTGAGGCGAGCAGGATCCCTCGGGCTCACTTCACAACACTCCCACCCCTCACTAAAACACGCAGCTCCAACAGGTTAGGACAGGAAGCAAAGGGGCAAAGGCGGTTTCCCAGCTGTGGCCTTAGGAGAATAAAAGGAAACAGAAAATATTTCCTCAGGTTGTACGCAGGACAAGGCCTTGAAATAATCATCATCAGTAGTAGCAGTTCATCGGGATCTCATTTTAAATTTCCCATAAGAAACAGTGCCCTTTTGAGGCATACAATTACGAGAAATTTCAATCACTTGGCATACATATGATTGTGTTTCTATAAGCAGGTCCTCTTTCTAATGTTCTTTTTTTTTTTGAAACAGAGTCTCGTTCTGTCGCCCAGGCTGGAGTGCAGTGGCGCGATCTTGGCTTGCTGCAACCTCTGCCTCCCAGGTTCAAGTGATTCTCCTGCCTCAGCCTCTCGAGTAGCTGGGATTACAGGCACCCACCACCATGCCCGGCTGATTTTGTATGTTTATTAGAGATAGGGTTTCACTATGTTGGCCAGGCTGGTCTTGAACTCCTGACCTCAGGTGATTTGCCTGCCTCGGCCTCCCAAAGTGCTGGGATTACAGGCCTGAGCCACCGCGCCCGGCCCTCTTTCTATTGTTCTAAACTGAAAAACATGCTCTGCTTTTCACTAAGGTGATCTAATCGCTGTCTTTGTATAATCTGTGAAATCATCATGCTTTTTAGTGCTTTAACGGTAATGACAAAATTAAAAATCCAAACTTCTTTCAAAACTCAGCAGATGTGGCCCCTGCCAACCTTTCCAACTTTACCTCATCAAGAGTTCACTGGGCTCCAATGCACAGATCTAGGCTGCACTAACCCTTTCCCACCTCTGGCTTTTAGGCTTGCTATTTCCTTTATCAGGAGCACTCCCTGCTTCCACCCTCCCTAAATCTATTTCCAGGTAACAGCCAGTCTTCTTTTTAGGTGCATAAATCAGATTGTGCACTTCCTTGCGGATACCTTCTGGCAGCTTCTCTCTCCCGTGAAAGCCCAGAGCACTTCATCCTCACCTCTCTCAGCATTTGCCTCGTTCTATCCTGTGTCATCACTGTTTATGTCTATGACTTACTTCTTCTACAGCATTTCTCACCTTATATCCCCACTGTACCTAATGCAGTGCTTGGATGGATGGATGGATGGAAAGATGGTGGATAGCATGATGGATAGAA
Organism: Homo sapiens; assembly: GCF_000001405.40. NCBI lineage: Eukaryota > Metazoa > Chordata > Mammalia > Primates > Hominidae > Homo > Homo sapiens. The sequence continues at coordinate 183,199,521 of NC_000001.11, read as the reverse complement.
GGAGAGAGAAAGGAATTGAGGGAGGGAATGAGGGAGGGAAGGAAGGAAGAAAGAGAGGGAGGGAGGAAGGAAGGAAAGAAGGAAGGAAGGAAGGAAGGAGAAAGGAAGGAAGGAATATAGGCAGTCTGACTCTAAGAAAAGTCTGTAATCCCAGCACTTTGGGAGGCCGAGGTGGGTGGATCACGAGATTAAGAGATCAAGACCATCCTGGCCAACATAGTGAAACCCCATCTCTACTAAAAATACAAAAATTAGCTGGGTGTGGTGGTGCAAGCCTGTAGTCCCAGCTACTTGGGAGGCTGAGGCAGGAGAATCCTTTAACCTGGGAGGCGGAGGTTGCAGTGAGCCAAGATGGTGCCACTGCACTCCAGCCTAGGTGACAGTACGAGACTCTGTCTCAAAAAAAAAAAAAAAAAAAAAAAAAGAAAAGCCAACAAGAACCTGAACATACAGAAATCTCCCTGACGTCCAGAAGCCTACTTTCAAATTTCCCCAATACATTACACAAAGTTTCCATTGTCTACATATATGACATTCAGTGTAAAAAAACTAATGTTCCAAGCAAAAAAATCCATGGTGAGATGGGAACAGAAAGAATTGTGAGAGGAACATGAGATTTTCAATGAGATTAAGGGTCTGGGACTTTCAGGTTGCTGCTCATACCAGATGAACTATTTCCACCCTAGGACTGCCCACCCATCTGTGGTCTATGACCCCAGAGCTGCAATGCTTTCTGCCTGCCACCTCAACGGGCAGCGAGCCTAGGGCTGTGTGGGAGGAGGGCAAGGCGATGAGGCAGGCCTCAGAGCATGAGATCAGTTTGCAGTGCTCAGGCAGCCTTGATAGGTAGTGTACTTGGCGGCTGTGTGGGACGGTGTCAGGAGCTAGGAATTTGAGCATCATGTTTAAACCTGACAGTGTGTGCTGGTTGCTATTACGTAGTGCTTTGTTGCTGTTGCTACCATTTCGGTTGCTTAGTGCACTAAAACTGATTCAGTGAAACAGCAGCAAGTTTATATGATGTGACCTGTAATCTCCCGTGAATTAGTCGAACTATGAACCATTTAAAGATAATGCTCAGCCCGGCACGGTGGCTCACGCCTATAATCCCAGCACTTTGGGAGGCCAAGGCGGGCAGATCATGAGGTCAGGAGGTCAAGACCATCATGGCCAACATGGTGAAACCCTGTCTCTACTAAAATACACAAAAAAATTAGCCGGGTGTGGTGGCAGGCACCTGTAGTTCCAGCTACTGGGGTGGCTGAGGCAGGGGAATCACTTGAACGCAGGAGGTGGAGGTTGCAGTAAGCCGAGATCACGAAACTGCACTCCAGCCTGGCGACAGAGTGAGACTCTGTCTCAATTAAAAAAAAAAAAAAAAGAAAGAAAAAAAAAAAGATGATGCTCAATTATCTTTCTTATTTAGAGGAAAGGGATGTGCCCTGTGTTTCCTTTCCTGCATGTGTCCCTCATTCTCTTTCTGAGACATCAAATCTTTTTCCCTCCTTCCTTTGTGCAACTCTCTTCCCTTGGATACAATGATGTCATACTGCCAGGTGTCTGTCTGCCTTCTGACCTTCCCTATTCAAGGCTTTGCTGGCTCCTTTCCTTACCCCTACTCTAAATGTCGGTGCTCCTCAGGGCTCCTTAATCTCCACAACGTCTCAGTCTGAGTCTCCCTTGGGTAATCTCATCCATGACAAGGACTTCAATAACCACCGTAATTGTTGACATCCGAAGATACTTCCTTGGCCCAAACTTCATCCTCAACTTCAGGTCCTCATGTCTGCCATCCACTTTATTTATTTACTTATTTACTTATTACTTTTACTTTTTTTTTTTTTTTGAGACGGAGTCTCGCTCTGTCGCCCAGACTGGAGTGCAGTAGCACGATCTCGGCTCACAGCAAGCTCCGCCTCCCAGGTTCACGCCATTCTCCTGCCTCAGCCTCCCAAGTAGCTGGGACTATAGGCGCCCGCCAGCACGCCCGGCTAATTTTTTGTATTTTTAGTAGAGACAGGGTTTCACCTTGTTTGCCAGGTTGGTCTCGAACTCCTGATCTCAAGTGATTTGCCCACCTCACCGTCCCAAAGTGTTGGGATTACAGGCACGAGTCACTGCGCCCAGCTCACTTTACATTTCCAATTGGTTATCTCAAAAGTTCTTTACACAAAACCTGTTTAAAACCAAACTTATGATTGCCATGCCTTCAAGTCGGAAAGCTGGAAGCTATCCTTACAGGTTCTCCATCTTTCTCACCTGCCTATTTAACACTGAATTTTGTTGATATAACCCACTAAATATCTCAAATCCAATCAAGTCCATCTCCACTATAGCCATATCTAGACCAAACCTCAATCATCTCTTGCCTGCCATCACTTCTTAGCTGAATTCCCTGCAACTTCTTTTGCTTCCCTCCACTCAGCAATCAGAAAATCTTTCCAAAATACAAATTGTATCATGGCTTCTCTGCTTAATATTCTGTAGTTTCTTTCCTTTCCTTTGAAGTTAAGCACCAGAATTCCTCAATATTGCCTACAAGGACTATCATGGTCTTACCCTATCTACTTTTCCAGCCTAATTTCATATAACGCTCACCACTGGGACATCTTCATCTCTCTTCCATTCATTCACATACACTTCATTTTATGTCTTCATTTCCTCTGCTTCTTAAAATTCTTGCTTTATAAAAGAAAACCATCATGGTGGGCAGACACAAATTGGGGCTGACAATCTCAACTAGTCTCCTATTTCATTTTTTCAAAGAAGTTACACTAAAAACTAAATCTTAATATACCTTATTGGATACCATTCCCTTCTTCTGAGTCAAAAGACTGCTCTCATGTAAACTGACAACTCTTTTATGTTCAAAGATAGCAACAGTTGCCTCCATGAAGTCACCTATAATGAGGTCTTTCAATGGGAAGTCCAAATGTAAAAGGCTATACTGAAGATGGTGAATAAAGTTTCAGTTGCATATACCCACTTTTAAAAATCTAGCAAAGGTTGTTCTCAGTACAAAAGCAATTATTGAAAGGGTCCTTTAAATAGAAATTTATCCTAATGTATTTTAAAAATTTTTATCAGCCAGGCACAGTGGCTCATGCCTGTAATCCCACCACTTTGGGAGGCTGAGGCCGGTGAATCACTTCAGATCAGGAGTTTGAGACCAGCCTTACCAACATGGTGAAACCGTGTCTCTACTAAAAATACAAAATTAGCTGGGCGTGGTGGCACACACCTATAATACCAGCTACTTGGGAGGCTAAGGCAGGAGAATCACTTGAACCCGGTAGGCAGAGGTTGCAGTGAGCTGAGATTGTGCCATTGCACTCCAGCCTGGGCAACAAGAGTGAAACTCCATCTCAAAAAAAAAAAATCATTTTTATCAAAAATAAATAATTATGACAAATATTCAAATTGCATATTATGTATGCAATCTAAAGCAAGATACTACCTGTCATTTATCAGTTTGATATCAAAGGCATCAGAAGCTATGATCCTCTTTGCAAAAATCCATGTCTTCAAGTCTGAGACATTCAAGATGAAAAGATGAATGTTTTTATTATATTATATTTACATGTGATGATGAAAATGCTTATAAGGACTTTTCTAGTTTTAAAACCTCCTACATGGAATTTTTCTTTCCAAGTTTTAATATGTTTGTCGGCTTAAGCAGATATTTTAAAACAAAATCTGAATCCTTCATCATTTAAACTGGCCTTGAACTTCATTGTTTAATGTGTGAATATCTGCTTCTAGTTTTATCTTCTTAAAGAATGTCACAATATGTTCCCTAATTAGAATAAGAAAACTGAAATGGTACTTCTCTCACTAAGGCTTTTAGCTGAATTTAGGCTTCTTTTGCAAATTTTTCATAGCCACATTTTAAGCCACCACAGCCAGAAAACTGATACCATATCCTGCCTGATCCATTTGTTTCATTTAAATAAAGGGCACGGCACCAGTTGACATTTAAATGTCCAAGCAATGTGAGTAAGGCTGAGGCAGGAAGTGCTAGGATGAGAGGAATGACAGAGCTCAGTTCTCTAATCTCACAGGCAATTTTGAATCATAAAGTATGGGTCAGTTTTTTCAACTCTGAATACTCCAAAGTCATCAAGAGTCAGTGAAACTCAGATCACTGCCATTTCCTTTTGAATGATTATGGCTTCAGAGGAGACACCTGTTTCACCGAGAGTTCATAGTACATTATATCACAGCCTAGACTTGGGAATGTACCCGTGTGAACTGTAGATGACTCAGCCTGGTGAGGACTCCATCAGGAGTTCACACCTGGAGATGTCTTCCCCTGACACTCCACTGGGACACCAGTGCCCAGGCAGACAATGAGGAGGGGGAAGAAAGTCCCAGTGAACAGGGAAACTGGGGACACCAAGTTTTGTCTGACTAGCAAAGGAGTGGAGGGTAAAGGTAAAACTGAGGGTTCAGTCTGAGTAAGCTCACAGGTGAAAGGGAAGGCAAACTGAGGACATTAGAGTTATAGCTGGCACTGTCAAAGGCTCTACCGCAAGACAGCTGCTGTCAGCTGCAGCATAGACTCAGGAAGTGATTGTGGTAAGATTCTATATGACAGCAACCACCTCCATGGAACTCCACACTCTTCTGACCACAGAAATAAAGGGTTATACATTTCTGTGAAGTTACCTACAAAGAAAAGCATTCCAGCATAGAAAGGACATTTAACTGTTATTCAAAGAGCATAGTGTTCTCTGGACATTTCTTGCATGGCCTAGAAAAAGGTATCCTATGCCCCTCTAAGAAGCAGTTGAAATAAAGGGAATCAGAGATTCCAGGGATGCCAGAGGTAAATACCTGAAGCAAAGAGGACCAAAAGGAAAGAAACCTTCTATGATGTGTCTGAATAAAGAGAAGTTAAAAAGGAGATTCTAATTTGTACTAAAATGCCTTTTGGAGATAATTGAAGTATAAACCATGATTTTTCAATTATTTAAATTTATGTTTCATTGATTCCTTAAAAAAAAACAATAAATCTTCCTTTTTAAATCCTTACTGCTTTTGTGAACAATACTTTTTTTGTACAAGGAGATTAGGCAAAGATTTTTTGCTATCACTACATCCCTTCACAAAAATACAAGCATTTAGGTATGTGTGTGGGCTTACATACCATTATATAGTTCTTAGTCTTCACAAAAGAACAATGGTAATTCATGTGCATTTGCAATGTTGGGAAAATATGCATGGCGTGCATTTATAGCATCTTACTTACAGATTTTTTTTTTTTTTTTTCAGAAAAAAGATGAATTAAAACTGTATTGCTGGCTGGGTATGGTGGCTCACATCTGTAATTCCAACACTTTGGGAGGCCAAGGTGGGCAGATCACGTGACATCAGGAGTTCGAGACCAGGCTGGCCAGCATGGCAAAACTCCATCTCTACTAAAAATATAAAAATTAGCTGGGCCTGGTGGCATGCGCCTGTAATCCCAGCTACTCAGGAGTCTGAGATGGGAGAAGCACTTGAACCCAGGAGCCAAGATTGCACCACTGCACTCCAGCCTGGGTGAGAGAGGGAGACTCCATCTCAAAAACAAAAACACTGTATTGCCTAAAGTCAGAAGAATGAATTAAATGAGCTCTTATGAGCCAAACTACCTTTACACATCCATAAAGAGAAGTAACAAACATTTTGAGAAGAGACTGGACCATGAAGACTACATCAGGGAGTATCTTGCATCTCAGTTGAACAAATATGCTGTTTCTCCACTACTACTTCCTATGCCAGGTCCACTGTGGCCTCTCCCCTGCTCCCTGCAGATCTCAGAATGTGAAGATCCCCTCCTACCATGGTACAACTGCCTGGATAGGGCAAGAGCAGCAGCTTCAGATTACTGTTGGATCAACTGCCTTCCCAAAGTAGGCCAGGCTATTTGGGATGAAAAACGATTTTTAAACACTAGGAATCCCCTACCAAAAAGTATCCTTTTACCAAGAGCAAAATGGGCCATGATTTGAAACAGCAGTAAGTATGTATAAAGCTTACATGGTCAACATTCTGGCCATGAAACAGACCTCTTTCTGAAAGACTCCAAAACTTACAAGGGTCTGTAGCAGGGAGACAGAAATAATCTCTGGACGTGATTACGTATATACAGATGCAAAATGTCAACAGTCATTAAAGAACAATGATTGCTAAAAGAGAAAGTCTTATCACAGTACTATCAACGATCCTAAACTGAGCCACTTGGTCAATTCCAAGCTGCATGATAACCTGACAACAGAGTGGAACAAAAGGAAGAGAAAACTTGGTAATTTGAAATCTGTTCTCTTGTTAATGCCCCACAAACTAGAGCTGTGCTTAGTTTTAACCTGTTGTTCTCTGATATTTTTAAAGGAAAGGCCAATATATTGAATCATATACACAAATGGAGACTTCTGAAAAGACGAGATAGATGTCTTCATTAGAAATACAGGTGGTATGTCAACAGTAGATAAAGGTTCCATCAAGCTTGAAGATTAGTTTCAATGAAAATTCAGGCTGGGCACAGTGGCTCATGCCTGTAATCCCAGCACTTTGGGAGGCCGAGGCGGGCAGATCACGAGGTCAGGAGACCTGAGACCATCGTGGCTAACACAGTGAAACCCCGTCTCTACTAAAAATACAAAAAATTAGTCAGGCATGGTGGTGCACCCCTAAAGTCCCAGCTACCCGGGAAGCTGACACAGGAGAATTGCTTGAAGCTGGGAGGCGGGGAGGTTGCAGGGAGCCAAGATCGTGCCACTGCACTCCAGCCTGGGTGACAGAACAAGACTCCATCTCAAAAAAAGAAAAATGAGAAATATGCCAAGGAGTTATCTCAGAAAAAGAACATTAAACTAGTAACTGAAATCTGGCCTTGGTCAAAGCAGTCACTCTTCTGTGCCTCAATTTTCCTACCTATAAAAGGATGAAACATGCTGGAGCCCAGCTCTGCTATGACCAACAGTAAGAAATTGGGCAGTTAATTTACCTCACTGGGTGTCATTTTTCTCATGCATAAAATGAGAGGCTCTTGTAGAGAACCCCTGAGGCCCACTCTCATTTTAGTTCTACGATACTGTAATAAGAGAAAAACATGGTGAAACATAAAATACTTTGTATGAAATGCCCCACATCAGTGCAGCTGAGCATTTGGATGATTTGTCCAAGTTTTAAGTTAGTTGTGGGAAATGATTTGGCTGCAATTTGATTCTTTTCTAATGCGGAGATACATATCCCCACAATAAATAAAAAGACGCGGTTAGAATTCTGTAAATATAAGCCCTGAATAAGTGCAGGATCCCTATACGTTTGGCCAATTGATCTCCACCCCTCACCTGATACAACAGAAGGGAAAGACTCAGGTTCTTCCATAGATCAGTGCTGGAGGAAGAACCATTCTCTTCTGTTTCCATGGTTGTGACATAAAGAAGCAGATGCTTTTTGGGGAATTACATATGCAGACATACAGTCACCCACAGACAGAAAAGACTTAGCCTTTGGCTTTGGACATGATTCAAACATTACATCACCTATCTGGGGATTATATTAAAACATAGCCCAGTAATGATTCAGTCACCTACTAGGTTTAATTTCTGACTAAATGAGAGTATTCCAGATTCTATGGAGCTCCTATTTCTACATTGATCTCTCTTTTTTTTTTGATATGGAATCTCATTCTGTTGCCCAGGCTGGAGTGCAGTGGCATGATCTTGGGTCACTGCAATCTCTGCCTCCCGGGTTCAAGCAGTCCCCCTGCCTCAGCCTCCTGAGTAGCTGGGATTATAGGCACATGCCACCATGCCCAGGTAATTTTTGTATGTTTTAGTAGAGACAGGGTTTCACCATGTTGACCAAGCTGGTCTTGAACTCTGGACCTCAGGTAATCCGCCCGCCTCGGCCTCCCAAAGTGCTGGGATTAAAGGCATGAGCCACCGCACCCAGCCCTCTACACTGATCTCTAATAGATGATTCAAGTCTTGCCCTTAGAAATTTCTCTAGGACAGAAAAAAAAAAAAAAAAAGTCAGTAAGTTTGAACCATTAAGAACTTAAGTGGGTTAAATGGGAAAGATATTCCCAGGATTCTCTCAACACCTTAACTTTATGCCCTGACTTTCCCATAAACACGAATCACAAATCAACAATCTTTCTCAGCTTCTTGGGCCAGTGAGGCTGAACCAGTGGCTGCCCCCAGTTTAGAACACCCAGAATTTAAGCCCATATGGGAATTTCCAGCCCACCTCCAACCCAATTCTATATCTCTGTACATGCTTGAATATAAGGTAGAGGTTTTAATTTTTCCAAAATTATCCCTCAGGAAAAAAAAGATCATACTTAAGTCCTTTCAAAATCTTGCATATTATAGGGTACTTTCTCAATTACTTTATTGTAAAAATATTGTTTGGGGAAGATACATTAAGCTAAAATGACCTCAATCAATGTATTGGAGACTTATCAGTAAGAAAGGGGCCCAGCTGTCTAAACAATTCTCATAATGGTGCATTTCTTCATAGTTGTGAGTGCTGAAAGGTGTTGCATATAAGCCTTTCAGAGTGATTATGCTGTGAAGATCACAATATACACTAAGGGATAATTTGTCTATCTTTTAAATGTTTTGAAAATGATGTACTTTCCAGTGACCACATCAAAAACAGATTCAAACAGTACTGTATCTCAAGTCATCTGGTGAGATGAATATAACTGAATATAATTTGAATATAATTACTTCATAAAATGTGAGTGAACAAATCAACACTTCTAAGTATAATATTTTATCAATTATGTGACTTTCAATATATCTGTGTAATTAATTTACTAAATTAAACATAAAGAGACATTTGACTACTACATCTGTATTGCTAAATGTTCTCATAATCAAGTTGTCCAAATCCTTTCTTTGAATGTGGGGGAAGTTCTTCCCATTGGGAAATGAGAGATGATCTTTGTAGGGTCATCTTATATTTGAGCATGTTTTGAGAAGCAATAGATTTGCTGAATCTGTGTGTGATGAGGTCTGGTGGATGAAAAAGGCAAGGAGAAGGAATGATACGAGATCCAGTCTTGAAACTGCAACCTGCTTTGGGTTCCTGTTTTGTTGGGTAAAACTTGGGGCTCATGTCTGCTTGAGCAGAAAGGCTCCTCAGCACCTTCTTGGGCTGACGAAAGGAGAGTAAAAAGGAGGCCCTTCAAAAATGTTACCACTTAAAACACAGAAAGCAATATACCAAATTCAGTACTGGCAGGGCAGTTAGTTGTAACAATAACAGTAATCTATTAACATGTATTAAGTGCTTACCAGGCAATGTGCAAAGTGATTTTTGTGTAATGGTCATATCGATTTATCATCCTTATTCTGAGATGTAGGAGCTAAGTAACAGGTGAGGTAGCTTGCCCAAGTCCCAAAATATAAATGTGCCACAATGGTACATGATAGGGCTGGGATTTGAACCCAGGCAGTCTTACTCCAGAGCCTGCACTTTTGTGTATGATGCTATACCACTTCAATGATTTAAATAACAGAATCTACGAGGGAGCATAAACATTTCCAAGGATCCTTCCTACTATCCACAGCATCTTTTTTCTAGCATCAGGGCATGGGAAAAACCAAATTAGTGATCTATGATAATCATGGATTCTGAATTCGCCGTTCTGGAAGAACAATTGCTTCAAAACTCACCTGACGGCTAAATCCAGCAGTGATAGTCCTCATTCTTTGTATATACACATTTGGATATCTGAACACCAGTTATTACTGCCATGTTGCTGACAGTCTTCCTTTGACTAACAAAACCCTCTTCTTCTTTGATTTTCCTCTATCCTCAGTGCTCATTCCTCCTGATTCTGCTCCATCGTTCCTCTATCTCTTTTTTAAGTGCTGAGGTTTCTTTTACCTCCATATCCTAGGCAATCTCGTCTGTGGTCAAGGCTTTGCTTTCTACCTCTGGGCCCCCAAATTTATATCTCAAATTTCCCTTCTAAACTAAAATAAAAAGAGAGGGTCTCGCTTTGTCACCCAGGCTGGAGTGCAGTGGTGCAATCTCAGCTCACTGTAGCCTCACCCTCACAGGCTCAAGTGATCCTCCTGCCTTAGCCTCCTAGAGGTGGGGTTTCTCCATGTTGCCCAGGCTGGTCTCGAACTCCTGGGCTCAAGTGATCCACCCACCTCAGCCTCCCAAAGTGCTGGGATTATAGGCATGAGTCACTGTGCCCAGACTGATCCTTCTTTTATAGTCCTCATCCTTTAATGGCATCACTGTCTAACCATGTACAAACCTAAAGCCTTGGATCCATCTTGGACTCTTCCTTATTTCTCTCAACTTTCCTATACTCATATCCCTAACACACAGACTTATTGGATCACCACATTCTTTAGATTTCACCTCCTAAATGTCCCTGTAATCTGTTTCCTCTTTGCTTTCATTACCATGATGAAAGTCTTCATCATCTCTCATTTGAATTACGGTAATCACCATTTATCTGGCTTCCCTAGCTCCACTTCATTCTCTAAGCCCTCGAGTGAGTGACCTTTCTAAAACATGAATCCAGTCACACTAATTCCTGCTTACAAATCATTCACAGCTCTTCTTTGCCTACAGGGCACCATCCTACTGAACAGCCTGGCACATAAAGCCCTTCACAAGCATATTGGTGGCTACGTTTCTAGTATCTTTCTTATCTCTTTCTCAATCCTTCTCCAGTCATACCTCCTGCTATGAACTAAGATCCAGACCACTGGGGCCACATGCCACTTTATCTCACACCAGGCAATCCTATCCTGAAGGGGAGCCTTGGTCTTTCTGATCTCTGGGCAAATGAATTCACTACACTGTACTGTTGGCTTTGGACTTTTTAAAGAAATGTGGTTCCAGGCATTTTAAGGCACTTTACAGTAATTGTTCATCCTTTCAAAAACTCTACAAGGTTGAAGTACTATTGCCTCCATTTTACAATGAAGAAGCAGACACCAAGTATTACTAATAAGGAACTAGTAAGTGAATGAACCAAAATGTAAAGCCAGGTCAGGCTGACTCTAAAGCCTGTGCTTTAGCTGAGCCCAACCCTGAAGTCTTGCCAATTTCATCTATTGCCATAATTTCTACTGCAAGGAAACAACCAGGAAGCAACATCACTGCTTTAGGTTCTCATATGTGCAGCCCACAGGACACTCAGACACGGTCACTTTGAGACATGGCAGATACCATATTTTCAGTCCAACTTCTAGCACATCCCAGCATCCCATGAATGAAAAAGCATGTGTGTTCTACCCTGGCAACAAACTTCACATTCCCATTGAATCCAAAAATGAAGGCCTCTGAGGAGGGAGAATAAAACCTTAGTCTGCCTCCAGGGAAGGGGAAAGTGGCAATGAGCCTCAGTGGTATTTCTGACTTCTTGGGGTAGATGGATGCCCAGAAGCTGGTATGTCTTTAAGAAGTGAGAATCCTAGCTCTGTCCTCTTAAGCCTGATTTTATTAAAATAGCATTGATAGCATCCTATATATTTATTTTTGTTCCCTAATGCTAACACACATATATGTACTCAACTATAGCCAACAAGAAAATTGCTTAAATGATTACTTATCATGTATAAAAGATGTATCTTATTCCTTTATTACTTTTATAATGTGGCTCAAAAAGCTCCAGCCTAAGAGCCCCTGGATCAAGAGCCAGTTTCATCTCTGCCTGTGTGGCCTTGAGAAACACATTTTCATTTTCTCATTTTTCAAATCAAGAGATTCCAAGTAGTTGATCCATAAGCAGTCCCTTTAAATTCTAATATTCAGAGACTATTTTTACTTTGGGGATGTCTTCCATTAGGCTGAGACTTCTTATCCCAGCCCTAAGAGAACATACCCTTCATGACCATTTTCAGAACCTTTTATTTATCACTTTTTAAAACTATATATATTTAAGGTATACAACATGATGTTTCGATATACACAGTAAAATAGTATTCTAGTCAGGCAAATTAATATGTTCATTATTTCACATACTTATCTCCACCTTTTTTTTTTTTTTGGTGGCAATCATACATGGTTTTGAAAATGGTAGTCAGAGATGATAGGTTGGAAGTTAATTCCAAGACTTTTTTAGACAAAAAGGACTGTAGCATTGCATTCAAACACATGCTCAAACATTATTCATGCCACTCAAATCCAATTCAGGCCAGCATCACCCGGAATGCACAATAATATTGGGAATGGCTTATACAATTGCATGTGCATGTGAGCATTATCTCATATTCATGCATGCACTTGTGTGGAAATGGCTCTTGGTCTTGGACCTATTGAAAGAATGATTGAAACGCCATCAGATGCAGGATGCAATATAAACATAAAACATCAGGGCAATTATACAGGCATATATCCATAGAACTAAGTGACAAGGAAAACACCCATAAAATGTTGCCATAGCTGACACATGCTTACAGTTAAGAGTTGCTAGGTTCTCACAAAGTTTTGTTTACATGAACTTAACGTCTAACACATGACAGCCAACTAGGTGCCCTAGATAAGATCAAATGATATATGACACAGGTGCCCAGTAAGTGCCTGTTGAATGAATATTACATGAAAATACTATGAAAAGTAACGTGATGCAAAAGTTAAGGGTATTGCTAATACTATTAAGGCTCATTTTTCCATCCGAAATTTGAAACATCAATTACAGGATTATTGAAGAGGTTCCTTTGCAATCTTTGTGGTGTTCACAGTCATGGGAAACATTGCCACCAAAACCTTTTAATAAAAGCACACGCTGGGGAAAGAACGTATATAACAACACATTATTGATTAAATAGCGGCCCCTTGGTCGAAAAAAGACATCAAGAAGGAACATTTTTAAGGTAAGGAAGACCCTCTTTTGTCACAGCTTATTGTCTTACTATTTTTAAAAAGCAGATAGCTTTATATATTAGTCTCATTTAAAATCCGTCTCTGGAGGAGCCCCAGATAGGGGAGGAGAAGGGAGCTCTAACAAGTTTCTGGACAAAGTGGGAATCCTCGGAGGTACGTTCAGCCATCACGGTCTGCAGAGAAAGGCAGATTCTCAGCCCAGGGCTGAGATGTTTCCTTGTGGAAGCCGACTCACCTTCCCTCCTGGAGGTGGCCCGGGCTGCGGGCAGGAGGAGCGAGAAGCAGAGGCAGCAGCCCAGCCAGAGCGCAGGCATGGCGGGGCCGGGCCGCTCAGTCTCTGTCTCCGCTGCAGGGGTCGCTGCCCGGCGCCTCGGTTGGTGGTTCTCACTCTGCGCTCCGCTGTGCCTTCCTTTTCCTTGATCAGGTGGTTTTATCGACTCTTCTACCTGACTCAGTCCTGACAGGAAGAGAGCCTGTGTTTCAGGGTGTGACTCACCTGTGAATAAGGAGGACCCAGCCCTCCAGAGGCAGACAAACACACAGAGCACAAACCGGGCTGGAAAATCGCTCCCCGCAGCCGCCCGCTCCCCCTCGCAGCGAGGAGGGCGCACACCTGGCCCGGGCCAAGGGTGTGGCACAGAGGCTGCGGCCCGGGAGCCTTTGCCTGGAATGTGCGAGATTCCCCGGAGCCCTCCTTCTCTCCCGGGGTGGTCCAGGGCAGATTCACAGAGGTAGACAGCAGCCCGCCCCTTCCTCAAACTGGGAGGCCCAATCTTAAGAGCGCTAACTCAGAAATAAGGCAGCAGCCCGAATCAGCTCCGGCTTAAAGGACATCAAGGAAGACAAGTCAGTCGGAGAGTCACAACAGGGTCCTCTCCACCCTCCAGTTTAGGGTCAACCTCTCCTTTCTCCAGGCTGAACCAAGGGTTTCTCTCCTGGTCCACATAACTTCCTGCTCACCAGGGTTAGCAACTCATAAAGTAACCTATTGACTGGCCAACCTCCCTATAAAGACTGAGTATCGTTTTCTTTTTGTTTGTTTTTTTGTTTGTTGGTTGGTTTTTGTTTTTGTTTTCAATGGCACCATCATAGCGCACTGCAGCCTCCAACCCCTGGGCTCAAGCAATCCTCCCACCTCAGCCTCTTGAGTAGCTAGGGCTACAGGCAAATGCCACCACACCCAGCTAATTTTTTAATTTTTTGTAGAGACGAGGTCTTGCTGTGTTGGGCAGGCTGACCTTGAATTCCTGGCCTCAAGTAATCCTCCTGCCTTGGCCTCCCAAAGTGCTGGGATTATAGGCATAAACACCATCCCTGGCCCACTTTATATTCCTAACTATAATAGTATCTAGCTTGCAGTTGGTGCTTAATAAATATTGGCTTGAAATGAATAAGAAAGAGGATCTAGATACCAAACTCTTTTACATCTTAGAGTGTATTTCTCAGCCACTCTCCATGGGCACTAGAGAAAATATTTGTTGAGACCAACTTTGAATGTTATCTACTAGCACAGTGCTAGCTGAAGTGAGTAATATCTAGACAACTGCAAATCTTGGTATAAACTATATTGTCTCTTCTCCTAAGGAGGCTAGTGACAATAATTCAGAGAGGTGGCTGTCAAGAAGGCTTTGGTTCCTGCTAGAGATTTAAAAATTGCTAGAGCTTTATAAATACACAATCTGTCCAAAACAACCAACCCTTCTTCTCAACATTGAGGCCTACAAAGGCCCCCAATAAATAGCTATTTGCTGACTAAATATATGAATATTCTCCAGATTGTTCTGTGGATGACAACAACATAAGATAATGAACAAATCATCCAGGGCAGACATAAGTGTCAAAGGTTCTAAAAACTTCGGTTCATGCATGTCATGGAGACCAGTGTGGGCTGACTGGGATAGCTAGGGATGGCTTTGTACAGAACGTGGAGTATGAACTGGGTGTTAGGAATAGCTGGGGTCTGAATACAGAACCCAAGAATGGTAGGGGCAAGACAGGTTGCTGCAAACTGGCTGACACCTATTCTAAAATCTCCAGCAATAAAACCTGAGGAATAGAAAAGAAACTCCAACTTTCTCA